>NC_000006.12:89523261-90148261 GCF_000001405.40 Homo sapiens | reverse complement strand
TTGGGTACGGGAGAGAAAAAAATAACATTTTTCCTCACTTGGGTGGATGTGGCTCCAAGTCTCCTATGTTTTTAAACTCCTTGAATGGAAAATCTTCCTGGCTAGTGCACGATGCTTCACTATTTGTCAGCCATTAGCTCCTCTGCCTCCTGTAAATTGCCACCTTTAAGTCAATGAGGTGTTCCTTTAAAGTTGGACTGTTTGGGAAGAGCCTCTCTGTACCTCTGTCTCATCAAACTAGAGGATTTCATCTGTGTGTCTTTCTGTAATCTCATCTCATTTTGCAACAAGATTTTCTATTTCCTCTGTTATTGGCCTTTTGATTTAATGTTTTAATTTGGCATGTAGGTTCTTTGTATTACTGTTTTGGGTAATTCATGCCATTCTAGATAGAGTATTCTGTAAAAATTTTTTGAAACATCATTTTGTGAAAGATGTCTTACAGACCCAAATTATTTATTTGCAGAAACAAAAACAAGATGAAAAGCTGTGCACTTGTGATAACCAGATAACTTTATTTTTTCAATTACGGTGCTCAGGAGAAAACTGCCTGTTCTTTTATACAACAGGAAGAAGACAAGCACAATTTTTTTTTCTAATTGACTATCTGGCACATGGGTTGTTGCTTAAACAGGTTGATCATAGCACATTTCCTAATTTTTAGGGATGTGAACCCATATGCTCCTTAGAAGAAGACTAGGTGGGTTGGCCTTGCTCCTTCTAGACAATGAAACTACTGTTGTAGGGTACCCTCGTGCACCCGGGATCCAGGATACCAGCGAGTGGCTGCCGCGGAACGGCTCTCCAAGTGTACTGTTACGGCAGCATGTGGGAAGGCTTATGGTATAGTGATGTGACAAGCTGCGAACAGCAGATCAGAGAAAAACGTGAGATAATTTAATTGAGGAGTTTGGAGAGAGGACAGCTGAAGAGCAGAGAGCAGGGACGTGGCAGAAAAAGGCCATCTGAGGAAGGGATAAATTATGAAATAACATTCTGAGGACAGGGTGAAAAGGGTGCTTCCTCATTCTCTGGCAGTTTGGGTCAATTTCCTACCCTCAGATACTTTGCAATAAGGAAAATAATTTATTTTTATTACTGCCCCTTCTTGCAGTGGCTTTTTTTTAAATATTGCATATAGCAAGTTACCCATTTCTATGTAAGAAACCAACTTCCTCTTTTTGCTGGGTTTGGTACTTACTGTTTCTGCCATATTCTACCCTTTCGGGAAAAATTTTTTTCTTTTTTATTTAAGTAGCAGTAGAAATGAAAGAGTAGGATCGAGCTATGATATGTTCACTTTGACTTATCCTACGTCTCCTGGAGGCTACTGCAAGATTTTTTATTTCTTCACTGTCATTGGCTCTAATATCTGAAATGAATAGTTTTAATCGTCATTCACAAACCACTTGTAAAGTTAGTTTTAGAAGTTATTTCTTATAGTTTACTCCCAGAGTTTCCTTACAGGACAATTGTTAATTTAACATTATCCTATCTTTTAGTAAATCTTAATCCTAATATCTGAGTGCTTAAGAAACAACAAAGAGATCAAAAAGAGTTTACCTAGAAGTATTAATGTATTTGATTATTCACATTGAAACAATTCACCTACTAATTTTTCAATTTTCTATTTTGTGTGTGTGTTGAGACCAGTCATCTATTTAAGTATGTGTGATCATCTGGTTTAGAACAAGGTCTTGGAAGAGTTGACCATCAGTTATGGGTCATGGAGTAGTTACAGCCATTTCAGACACTTCTGATTTTATATTTCATTTTAGAAAACTTTCATATATGCCAGTGACAGAATCTGTGCCTCAGAATCGTATAGAATAATCAACTTTGGTCCTTGAGGACAGACACCACTGGAAAACAAGGATGAATACACAGAGCACACGCACGCAAGAGAGAGAGTGCTAAATAAATATACTTTGCTTTGTGTTGTGCTCAATTAACAGATGTGGTTTGTCCAAAAGGCAAGCCATAGGAATCAGAGTCATGACCTTGGTCAGTACATTATGTCATAGAGTTCAACAGAGTCAGGTAACATCACTTCTGCGGGTCATCTTTGGTCACACGTGGTGATGAAAGACTATTGATTCTAGCTTAGATTTAACCCCAAACCTCACTACCCCTAAATTTAATCTTAAAAATAAATTATTCATCTTTCACATCTTCAGAATTCTCTTTCTGTGCACATGCACATAAGTCTATACATAGAATTTAATGTAAAAATTTTAAAGCAAAAATTCTAGCTTCAAACTCTTATTGAAGTTTAATGTGTTATTGGTTACACAGTTGAAAATATAAAGTGTGGTTGGAAGTCAAAGAGAAAAAGTCACAAAATGACACTGCCAGACACACAAGGACATTGTCTTCCTCTACCGGTTTCTCCCCAGCTGCCTTCTACACTGTCTTCTCTTACTTAAACCCATGTGTTTTACCTCTCTGTGCAAATCCAATCATGTACTTTCGGAAGATGATATCCTACTCTTTGTAGTGGAGTGGGTCAAGATGTCCAAATTCGTCAGAGGGAGACTTAATGCGTTCACATATTATAATATGAATGATTTGATTTAAAGACCTGGCACACCAGTCATATTTGGGAGAATGTCACTTCACACAATTTTAAAGGATATATCTGCAGAAAGAGACCCTCGAGGGAGCTTCAAGAAGCCTTGTCAAGCATTTTTCCATCATTCTGGGAGAGCTTTGATCCTATTTTAAACTCTTCACTGAAAAGTTTATATGTGTGTGAACTAGTTTCTAAAAAGCTGACTATGTACTAGTTTTGTAAACACTTTTTCTATTCACTTGCAACCCCCACATCTTCCTAAGTTTATCTCCAAATGCTTTATATTACCCAAGCACTTGAACAAGATTGCAGACATTTTCATCTAAGCTAGTAGCAGTTAATTACCTATCTTTGTCTGTGTTTCAGCACTTAATACTATTTTGACAGGGGTTGCATACTTTCTGTCTTTCTGGATTTTTTTAAGTGCTCTTATGAGTAATTTGAGAAATTCCAAGTACAGATTAGATGAGCTATTCTTTCCTTTGTTGCTTTTTTCTACTTTAAACATTTAAAGAGGACCCACTATGTGTCAGGCAGTATGCGCTTGTCTCTCCCACATACAGTGTCTGATTTAGTCTCTTCTTACCCTGAAACTGCATCTGCAATCACCACCATAATCTCAGTTTATATGTGGTTTATTTGGGGGGTGGGAGGGAGTGTTTGAGAGAGTGGTACAGAAAGGTCACGATCTCTGGGAACTATATCCTTTTTTATTAGTGATTTCGTCTACAAGGATGTTGCTGCTCCCATCTTTATTTGTCTCCTTGGTAAAATCCAGACAAATAAATGGAAGAGAAGTTGGTTAATGGAAGAGAAGTGTTTTACAATCACGGATGATCGCTCTCTGGGATCTTTCAACATAAGCATGTTTCTGTTTCTTTTGAAAAACTTGTGTTTACTCACCTGCATTGTAGGTGAATAGGAAGCCTAACTCCCCAAATGGAGTGTGTCAGGAAGGATTACGAATTTATTTATGTTTGCTTCTAGAATATTTGTAAGAAATTGGTTTTATTACTCTCTTCAGTGGGGCTTACTCACCCAGTCATTGTTTAAATATCTCAGGACTGTCATTCTGAAACAGTGGTGTTCCTGAAGGTGCTTTCCCGAACCTGAGGAGTGAAACCTGCCTCAGATGCGGGCAGGCCCAGCCAGGATCTCCCTTTTTTGGCTCAACCCCTGCTTTCCTCCTCTGGGGCCAGACCCATGGCAGCTCTGCCAGTGCCTTACTGGCCTCAGGGATAATGCTCTGTCTCTTCCAGCTCTTCTCTTGGCTCCCAAACTTTTCTCCTTCTCTCCTTCCTCCCTCCCTCCCTCCTTCCCTCTGTTTTTCCCTCCCTCCTTCCCTCTGTCCTTCCCAATCCTTCAAAAAACATTTATTGAGTGCCTACTGATGACACAGCACTGTATAAAGTTCTAGGGATCCAGAGCTAAATAAATAGACTTTTCTTTGTGTTGTACACAATTAACAGATGTGGTTTTCCCAAAAGGCAAGCCATTGGAATCAGTTTTTTAAATAAAGGAAAAAATATCTCTAGATGAATCATCTCTATATTCCTATTTAGAGTTGCCATCAAAGTAGTTGTAGGTGAGCATTTTCTAGCATGAAAATTTTTCAGGATGACATTCATCCAACGAATACTTATTAAGTGCTTGGTGTGACAAGTTCTGTGCTGGACACTAGAAACATAAAGACAGGTAAGATCAGGCCCCTTTCTCCAAAGACTTTCCTTCTAACAGGGGAAAGAGTTCTATAACATATATAGTAATGTCATAGCAGATCTCCACAGGGATGCTGAAGAGTTCATGATTATGAGTGTTGAGCAGGGTCGGGGCAGGAGTTTCATTCACTGCTGTATTTAAAGTGCCTGAGACAGTGCCTGACACATAGTAGGCTCTTAATATTAGTATTTGTTGACCAACCAATGGGGGCAGCCCTCAGTCAGGGCTTATTCAAGGAGCTGACGTTTCAGCTGTTTCATGAAGGATGAGGAAAACATTGCCAAAGAGGAGAAGCACATTCTAGATAGATAGAATGCCAGCAAAAGTGGAGGATGTGGAGGTGCACAGGGGTTCATGGAATGGCCTCAGGGTACCTCAGAAGGAAGTGTTGAAGAGATGCTTTCAGAAAGGCAAACTGGGGTCAGAGTATGAAAGGTTTGAAGGCTTTGGCCTTTTTCATACTGCTCCTACCAGGGTGGGGAGGTGTGGTTCAGGTAACCTTGTGGAGTGGAAACTGTTTTCCTTATTCCACAGATGAGGAAACCAAGGCACAGAGAAGGGAAGTAACTTGCCCAGCGTTGCACAACCGATAATGGGCAGAGGTGAATTTGAACCAAGCAGGCAGGCAGGTTCTAGAGACTGCATTCTTAACTGCAAGCCACACTACCTTCATATTGTCATCGATGTTACTATTAATTTTTCCTTCATTGTACCATCTCAGTCCTATTCCCCAGCTCTCTAGCTGCCAAGACTTTATGGGGAGTAGAAGGAAAGGGGTGTCTGGTGCCTGACCTTTCTGATCATCTCTCTTCACATAAAGCAGACCTATCCCTGTCACTGTCTCGTTCCCTCCAGACCCTGTCTGAGGCTGGAAACGAATTTGATAAAGGAATCTGCAGTGAATGGAGGATAGTGGATAAATGAGTTAGCCTTCTAAGAAACACATCTACATTTTAACTAACTTGCAACTGGCTGTCACCCAGAAGAGTGACAAATTTCATGCCAATAGGGAATTCTTTTTAGCTGGAATACCTTAAATCACACCCAAGGCTAGCTTAGCCTGCCTCTAATCATGTCCAATGTATTATTTGTATAATGTCTCTTCCTTTTTTTTATTATTCTTAATACTATTTCCCTAATTATCACAGTCACTCTTACTCATTGAAACTTTAGAAAATAGAAGCAAACAGAAGAAAATTTAAATCTTTTATAATGATCTTCCTACCCAGCAGTAACCACTGTAGACTTTATAGAGATTTTATGTCTATAATCTTTTTTTCATTGTGTATACATGAAATATGTCTGAATATAAGGCAAGAAGGGGGTTTTGTTTGGCCAAACATTATCCTTAAAGTGGGCATCATCTTATAATCAACTCCCTGTAAGTCTCAGATTATGGACACTCCTCTATTATTTTATTTTGAATAACAAAGTACTGTTTGGGCAAATAGTCCTGAAATTATCCTGAAATCACCTCAATCAGCTTGAGTTTTGGGTGCTTATAGAGGTCACTTGATAGAATTGCTGTAAAAATAAGTGTTGAAATTCAACAGAAACTTGGCCATTATAGCTAAAGATGTGACCCCATAGCCTAGGATTGGATGCCATGCTGAGCAAGTCTTTTTTATATAGAGCACTTTTAAGAACAACACAATAAGTGATGCAATGGCAGAGATCACATACAGCCCAAATGATAACACCAGCTTTCTTAATATGATGGAAATGGATGTTTCCCACTCAGGATCAAATATCCAGTGACAGCATCACATACTAAGTCAAAGATTCTATCTCAGACAATGAGAGGTGTTAGATGACTCGAAAGACGTTCTAACAATGATGAAGACATTGAAGATGAATGTGAAACATTTGAATTAAAAAAAAATTTTTTTTGAGACAGAGTCTAGTTCTGTCACCCAGGATGAAGTGCAGTGGTGCAATCTCAGCTCACTTATAACCTCGACCTCATGGGTTCAAGTGATTCTCGTACCTCAGCCACCAAATAGCTGGGATTATAGGCATAAGCCACCACACCCAGCTAGTTTTTGTATTTTTAATAGAGACAGGGTTTTGCCATGTTGGCCAGGTTGGTCTCGAACTCCTGGCCTTAAGTGGTCTGCCCTCCTTGGCCTCCCAAAGTGCTGGGATTACAGGCGTGAGCCACTGCACACAGCCTGAATAGAATTTTTAATAAAATATGATTTCAGAAAACACTTACAAATCAACCTATTATCATGTGTAAAATCTAATTTGAAGTATGTATATACAACTAAATAAATTAGGTATCATAAGAAGATGATTATTTTATCACATTCCTCAGAGTTTATATACTCAAGTTAGCAAAGCTGTTTGTCTTTGTTATTGTTGTTTTGTTTTGTTATTTTGTATTCTCATTGGTAAAATGGGAGATCATTTATTGAGGCTACCTTATATTCAGGTATATATGGTAATATAGATTCATTGGTTTAAAAAAAAAAAAAAAAACGGGATCGGGGCGGGGTATGGTGGCTTACACCTGTAATCCCAGCACTTTGGGATGCCGAGGCAGGCGGATCACTTGAGGTCAGGAGTTCGTGACTAGCCCGGTCAACATGGTGAAACCCCGTCTCTACTGAAAATACAAAAATTAGCTGGATATGGTGGCATGCGCCTGTAATCCCAGCTACTCAGGAGGCTGAGGCAGGAGAATCGCCTGAACCCAGGAGGTGGAGGTTGCAGTGAGCCGAGATCACGCCCCTGCACTCCAGCCTGGAGGACAGAGCAAGACTCCATCCCTGGGTGGGGGAGCAGTTGGAAAAAAAAATGTATCACGCAATACATTTTATTTTATAACCTACTTTGTACATTTTATAAAATTATGACTATTTTCCATGCCTTAAGTTTCTTAACCTTATCATCCTTATCATTTGTAATGGCTGCACTAGAATTTGTGGACTAGCATCTATTTAGCCAGTCCTTTCTTGTTAGATATTGAAGGTTTTTTCATTTCCTTACTATGATAAGTAACCTTGATGAATATCTGCATAGATAAGTCTCTAAGTGTATCTATGGCTATTTTTCTTAAGTTAAATTTCTAGAAATAGAATTGCTGAGTCAGGAACTTGCAGAATTTTAAAGTATTTAATATAAGTTGCCAGGTCGCACCAACCAGGAATACTTTCATTGTATCTTAGGGAATTATTCAATTATCATTCCCTTGTGACAGTGTCTTAATTAATTCAAAGTAACTCTTTAGCATGATCATTTTATTGCTGTAGAATATGTTTGTTTTATCTCCCTTCTTCCTCCACCTCATATGTCTGAATTAGTATTAAATACAAGTTAGAGGATTTCATGTCTATTTCACTGTCCAAACCTATTGATTGAAAATATTTGCTACCACCTGGGCTCAGCCAAAGTGTTTCTGTAGTACCATGTGGTATATTACCCTTTTCCTGTGAATGACATTAAATCATTAGAAAGTATCCCTGTGTCTTTTGAGGTGGAAAAATCTATCATTTTCCTTCAATTCAATGGAATACTATTACTATAGTTTACTGTAATTGTGTTCTTTTTATTCCCATTTGTTGCATATGTTGCTAATCTTCCCATTATACAGCCTCAGAAGATAAGGAAGCTTGCAAAGCCTTCATTATGGGAGACACTGCTAGTTTGACACCAAGTAGCTTTCTTCTCTTTGTCTACCAATTAGCAGAATCCCTTGTATAGTTGAGCTGCTAACCAAAATTGTGTTTCCCAGCCTCACTGGCCATGCGACTAAGTTATGGCCAATGAGATGTAAGAAGTGTGCGTCAGAGTTCTAGGAAGTCTTAAAGGGATGGACTGCACCCTTCTTCAGCCCTTTTCCATGGGGTTCCTTGGAACATGAGTGTGATGGCTGGAGCACCAGCATCATTTTAGACTTGGAAGAGGAGGAGGACTGTATCCTAGAACTGGTAGGAAGGAAAACTGGCAGGAGCTTGGGTCCTGATGAATGAGGAAGCTCCGTATCATCCTGGACTGCTTGCCCCTGACTTATTTTACATGAGAAAAATAAACTTCCATGTTATTTAAGCCCTGATTTGGGGAGGGTGTCTATTAGCTGGAGTCTGGCTTAACCGTCTGAAACAATGATCTTGTAGATTTTATGGCCACTTATCTTCCTGTTCCCTTTCCTACATTTTACTTCTCTAGTCTCATTAGCTAAAAGGGATTTCTTAGTTGAATTAGAGGACCTCCACCCCCACCTGTGTGGAAGTACAACTGGTAGTGTTCAAATGGAAGATAAGGACACATCCGAACACTGTTACACAATCACGCTTACCGTGTTCATTCACAAATACTGTTGAAGGACTGTTGGTTTGTTGAATATCCCCAACCCCTACCCCTCCTCCCCAGAAAAAAAAGGGAGGGAGATTATTGCATAAAGAACTAACAAATGAACTCTGCTCTATCAGAAAGTAAGTGGGGCGTGGCAACCTAGAGGTGATGAGGCAGCAGCTGGTCTATAAGCGAAGACAGCTCCACGTAGTCAGCTTGAGTGTCTTCAGGGAGCCAGTCACTGTGCATGCACACAGCCTGCAGGGGACCTTTCCCCACCTTCTCCCTCACTTTTCTTACTAAATTATGATCACGTGTTAGGTCTGTCTGGCTCTTCCAGCAAACAGCTCAAGGCACACCACTTTTTACATGGAACATTAAATATTATAAAACATAATCATGAGGAACATGGCAGAGGATGACTAGAAGACGTAGAGAAAGAAGAAAAGGGTGGAGAAAGGATAAAAAGAGAAAAATTCCAGATTTTAGCCATGGGCATATAGAATCACTGTAAACAGACTTTTTAAAAATCTGGTGATGGATTCATAAAGGCCTTTGATGCCTTTTTTTTTAGTGAAGTCACCCTGAGAGCAAACAAGGAAGTCAAGTAGGCATATCCTGTTTATTCTTCTTGCTAAAGTGCATGTGTACGGGAAGATGATGAGGCGGAAAGGACAATCCTTCAAAAAGATGAACCTGGCTCCCATTCTGATGTGTCCTACTTGAGGCCCGCAGGTTTAACTTCACCCCAGTCTCCTTCCCATTCCGCTTTCTTGTTACAAAACCATGTGGTACGTGAATTAATACATACATACAGACATTAAAGTGGGGTCTTGGTATTGAGTTTACTATGCCCCAGCTCATTGTGTTTGTTTCCATTCCTGATAGAGCTGTTGGGAGTTATTATTTAGTGGCAAGAAATCGGTAGAGCTGGAGAGGTGGGCCTGGAAGATGTCTTCTCAGTTTAATATGTTCTATCTCCTAGGATGTGTCCTTCGGTGGATTTAATGAATTCGCCTCAGTAATTCATATTGGCTTGTCATCTCCAAGCTATTATAGTGATTTTTTTCAATGATTTTTTTTTTAAGGAGAAGACTTACATGGATCCTTTTTCTACCCACTATTAGATTTGTCTGTATCCCCCTGCTGGTTTATTTTATTTTTTATTTATTTTTTTGAGATGGATCTCACTCTGTCACCCAGGCTGGAGTGCAATGGCACCATCTCAGCTGACTACAGCCTCTGCCTCCCACAGGCGATTCTTCTGCCTCAGCCTACCAAGTAGGTGAGACTACAGGCACACGCCACCACGCATGGCTAATTTTTGTATTTTTAGTAGAGACGGGGCTTCACCATGTTGGCCAGACTGGTCTCGAACTCCTGACCTTGGGTGATCCACCCGCCTCGACCTCCCAAAGTGCTGGGATTACAGGCGTGAGCCACCGTGCCCAGCCTCCCTGCTGGTTTAAATGGACTCTCACTGTCCAGTTCGTGTCCATGTTTCTCCCATTTGTATCTTTGATTAAATCTAGAATGAGCCTTTGGTTATGAGAAAACATATCAGAGAGGGAGAGAGAGAGAGACTGTGTGTGTGTGTGTGTGTGTGTGTGTGTGTGTGTGTTTTATGATTAGAATAGTCATGATCTCATAGAGTATTAGGGCTGGGAGAATCTGCGAAGTCATCGCTGTCACCACTTCTTATGTTTTATTGTTGCAAACCCAGAGTCCCAAAGAGGTGAAATCACTTGCTCTGATCACACAGAGTCAATCTAAGCCTAGTCCCACTCACTTCATCCAGCTGTCCCACACTGCCTGGCTTTGCAAGACAGCAGCCGAATCTTATTAGAAGTCTGGGCATCGAGTCCTCCTTCTTGGTTTAGAATTGTCTTGGAATAAATCATCCTGGTTGGGGAGAGCACCAGAGAATTATAGAATCCCACAGGCTTCTCAAAGATAATTCACTTTAAACTGTTCTCCGTAAAAGCCACATAAAAATGTCCAACAAATCATAGAAAAATGAGCTCATGGAGTTAACCACAAACTTGAATAAGAATGTGTTTGTCCAGAGCTAGAAGTATGTAGAAGATGTTTTCAAAAGTGTGGCAAGTAGTAAAAATTGGGAGAAGAAAGAGACTGGAGCCTGGTTTGGTTCTCATTGTTTTTCTGGGAAAGAACGGAGAAACTAGTTAGATCCAATTCTCCTTGCCCCACCCTAATTTTTGATGTTCTCAGAATTTGTTTCTTTGAAGTTCAAGCTAATAGATTTATGGCCTCTTTAAGCAGTTGAAAACCATCACATTACACTCAAATGCACATGTTTTTTCTCACTCCAGCAGAAACATCTGAAAGTTCTGTTTAGGTATTTGCAAAGAACTAGTATGCCTCTCAGATAGCATATACTTTAGGCAGAACTGCTCTTGTCTAACTTATTTCATGTGACATGCAGTGGAGGGATTGTTGAATGAAATGTTAGTGTGAGTATTCCTTAGGTGTTATTGTGTCTTGGGTTTAAAAATGGCAGATGGAGTCAAGACAAGCCTGTCCCTCTTTCTGTCTGTGTCAGGCTTTGCCGTCTGTTCTCTTCCTGGCTTCACTGGAACAGACATTTTTTTTTATGTATGTGCACAGTGCTAGTGTCACAGGATGACATGACATGCTACCAGGACTGCCTCACTGTCAGGATGGGTCCAGTGACTCTACAAGTTCCTTTTTGAAATGGGAATCTGGTCTAGATTTTTGCACATCTGTTAGCTTCTTCACATAAGTCCAAGTCTTTCTCACATGCTAATTTCCTTGTATCCTATTTCTTTGTAGGATTTAAAAAAAAAAAAAGAAAGAAAAGAAAAATAGCATGGTTTAGTGCTCATTATTGTAGGGCCTGGCTGTTATGTTCACATTTGGTGACCACTGCTTTTTGCTGCTCCTGTGGAATTAATTTTTGCCTTTTTTTCATCTTAATCTGTGCAATTTTATGATACACCAGCCCTGGTAATATTAAGTAGCATTTGTAGTTAATCTGTTCATTATTATTAGCTTTGCTTAATTTTGCCGGTGATATCCCCTCTCCTTCCTAACAGTTCACTATAGCCATTTTCTGCATCACATTTATAAGGAGAAGGTAAATAGTGGGCCAGGGGAGGGGTGTTTCTAGGGTGCCTTCTATGTGTAAGGCATTTTATATATTGAATCCTTATCAAAATAAACATATGAGGTAATAATTATCAGTCCCATTTTGCCAGTGTGGCAGCTGAGGCTGAGAAGAACTTAAATGATTTGTCAGAGATTCCGCAGCTACTGCTGCAGTTGGCAAGGATTTGAAATCAGATCTCTCTGACTCCAAAACCAGGCTCTTTCCATAATGTTACATTCACAAAGCAGCCACCAGTGTTAATAGTCCTATTTATCCATAATAGAACTGACCCTGAAGTTTATAAAAAGAAGAAGAAAGTCAATTATGTAGGTATCTCTGGAGATAAAGAAACTCAGCCGTAGCAGTGAGCAACAACAAAACAGCGCAGAGTCACAGCACAGGATTGTGCTCGTGGGACTGACTGATCACAGGAAGGAGAACCCTGGTGGCTAGGTGATGTCTGAGGAAGGGTAACTGGCCTTGGAGAAATTCAGGAAGCTTGGGTGAAGTGACAAAAGAGAAAGAAGGAAAGAGGCAGAGCAGTAGAAAACAAGAAGCAGCCAAGATAAGAAGTAGGGATGATGAGCTGGCCGTGGCAGAGTTGAGAAACAGCAGTGGAGGTGGCCACAGACCTGGCGGCAGTGGAAAGGGTCAGAGACGATGATAGAGGCTCAGTGTATCATCCACATTCCGCCAGCCATGAGACCTGAGTCAGCATATGATGTGTGCCCAGTGAATGTCTGGTGAGTGAGGAAATAAGTGGGAGGAGGGCTAATGCAAAGAGAATACAAGGCTCCTAGTAATCTTGATCATAGTAGGGTCTGCTCTTATTAGACGGAGTCTTGCTCTGTTGCCCAGGCTGGAGTGCAGTGGCATGATCACAGCTCACTGTAGCCTCAACCTCCTGGGCTCCAGCAGTCCTCCTACTCAGCTCTCGAGTATCTGAGACCACAGGCGTGTACCACCATGCCTGGCTAATTTTTTGTGTTTTGGGGTAGAGACAGGGTTTTGCCCTGTTGCCTAGGCTGGTCTCAAGCGATCCATCCACCTCAGCTTCCCAAAGTGCCGGGATTACAGGTGCGAGCTACTGTGCCCAGCCTAATGCTTTACTTTAAAGGTTGTTTGTGAACAGAATTCTGATCAATGTCAAGCATTCAGTAAAACTTAGGCGAGAAGTGTAGCCGAGGGTTACTGGTGCAGAAGCATCATAATCTAAAGTCTTGGTGCAGATTCTCAAAATGTGAGCGATAGATGGCAAGGTGTAGGTAACAAGGAGGGAACATGTTATGATGAAGCTAGAGATAAGGTTTTAGTTGGCTGTGTCAGGAGGGAGGACAATGGTAGCAACAAGTACAGAAAATGTTTGTAGGATGTGAAAACTACTTTGAAGAAGGAGGACAAGGCTGCCTCAGTTTCATTCTCCATTCGGAAGAAAATGGCTTTAGCATGCTGCCAGGGAGGTGATACTGTTGCACGGTCATCACTCCATTGGGGCAGGAGAAAAATTACTCAAGGAGGCAACTGAAAATTATTCCAGGAGTATAAATCTCAGGGCCACTGCTAAGGCTGGATCTGTTCATCCCATGTTTCCTGCCATCTGCTCTGCCTGTATCTGCCATGTAGATCTCAATAACTGTTAAAGACTCAAGGCCCCAGAGACAGGGAGGCATGACCCTCCTAAGTTGATGGGAAGGAATTGCCCCAGCCCTGTCAGACCCTCTCCCACAGAGGCTACCTGCCCTGACCAAAGCACATGCCAGTTATTTGCACAAGGCTTCAATTCAACCAGACCATACAGCTCTCCATTTAGACATAAATACCAGCTCCTCTAGCAAATACCCTGACTTTTGGTCAAGAAGACTGGGCACTGTGAAAAGCCTCACTCTGGAGGCTGCCATTCTGGAGATGGTCACCATTCAGATTATTCTATGCACTGCCTGTTTCTGCTGCATAATTATTACCATCCCAGTGAAACTTGCCCATAGGCCCCTGACCACCTGAACTATACATCCCATGATTCCAGCTCTACCAGGTGCTCCAGGCTACTCCTGCCTCACTAACCCCATCCGACCAGGAAGGACTCTTCTCATCCATCCTCTTGTAAAATGTCAGCCTTCATCACTCTTCATGCCTAGGTTGATACTACAAACAGGGCACTGATGTACATCATCAAAATATTTCTATACTGTATTACAGAAATATTTCTAAATTAAAATGGATTAAAAGCGAAGTCATGTGTTTGAAGTGTTTGGGCAAAAATGCATTTCTAATGCAAATCAAAACCACAATGAGATACCATCTCACACCAGTTAGAATGGCGATCATTAAAAAGTCAGGAAACAACAGGTGCTGGAGAGGATGTGGAGAAATAGGAACACTTTTACACTGTTGGTGGGACTGTAAACTAGTTCAACCATTGTGGAAGTCAGTGTGGCGATTCCTCAGGGATCTAGAACTAGAAATACCATTTGATCCAGCCATCCCATTACTGGGTATATACCCAAAGGATTATAAATCATGCTGCTATAAAGACACATGCACACATGTTTATTGCAGCACTATTCACAATAGCAAAGACTTTGAACCAACCCAAATGTCCAACAGTGATAGACTGAATTAAGAAAACGTGGCACATATACACCATGGAATACTATGCAGCCATAAAAAATGATGAGTTCATGTCCTTTGTAGGGACATGAATGAAGCTGGAAACCATCATTCTCAGCAAACTATCGCAAGGGCAAAAAACCAAACACCGCATGTTCTCACTCATAGGTGGGAATTGAACAATGAGAACACTTGGACACAGGAAGGGGAACATCACACACTGGGGCCTGTTGTGGGGTGTGGGGAGGGTGGAGGGATAGCATTAGGAGATATACCTAATGTTAAATGACGACTTAATCAGTGCAGCACACCAACATGGCACATGTATACATATGTAACAAACCTGCACGTTGTGCACATGTACCCTAAAACTTAAAGTACAATAAAAAATAAATAAATAAATAAATAAAATAAAATAAAAAGAAAATGCTTTTCTAAAGAGGAATTATTTTCTTTCTTCTTCTCCCTTCCTTACATACTGAATTATATCTCAAAGCCTGAGTTTAAGATTACCTGATTTAACGTAGGTGAGGGCATTTGGCAGCATTGAAGATGTGCTGGCAGCAGATGTACTCAATTCTGGGTTTATTCAATTCTGCTGTGTCTTCCACCCAGAGGGGCCAGTTACATCTCTGCTGAGTTTACTCTTGCATTTCACTTCAATTTCCTTCCTGGTTTCTCCTTAGGACACAGATAAAAATAAGTCCTTATTTAATATTATGATTGCTACATGGGTTTTGAAGGAGGAGGAGAAGGACAAAGGATGAGGTGGGCAGAGAAAATATAAAAAAGTAGAAAATATAATCTTCTGGGAGCTATGATAAATCTAGTTGAAGAGACAAGAAATTAACTAATTTGCATTTGAATAGCCATCAAAGCAGTAAGTGCTATAAAAGAGATCAAAAGGAAGTACTCTACTTATCACCAAGTGAGTGATCCAGATCTGGGCTGCACGTTCTCAGGAATGACCAGAGCTGTCTTCCTGGAGGAGATGTGGTTTAACTGGGTCTTGGAGCGTAACTGGACAGAAGTGGGCACTTTGGGTGGGAAAAGATGATATGCAAATACAGGGAGTGGGTACAGTGCAGGGCTCAAGAAGTGGTTCAGCCAGGCAGAAAGGGGAAATAGGATTGGAAAGACAGGCTGGCACCAAGTTGTTGGGGGCCATGAATACAAGCTGAGTTGTGGACTGCCCTTTTGTAAGCCCAGGAAAACCATTACAGTGGCTTAATGGTGGTGTCCCTGACAGGTTGCTGGGGCACAAACCAGAGATGGAAGACCAGTGAGAGGTTCTTGTAATGGTGTAGCCACGGTAGGGGTGGGAGGAGGAACCTGCACAAAAATGATGACTGTAAGAGTAAAGAGACAGAGATGGACTCTGGGCACATATCAAAGGAGTAATCTGTGAGATGTTGGTGAAAACTGAATATGAATATTGGTGGGGCCAGGACAACAGAGGAACCAGAAAGATAAAATCAGAGAAGACCCTGAGGCTCCAAGTCTAGGAGCCTGGAAGTATGATTGGTAGACATAGGAAGGTGGGAGGGGTGGCTGGTATGTAACCCAGGCTGGTTCTGATGCTTGGTATATAACCCAGATTTGATCAAAGCTGTTTAGGGGGTATGACCAGCCCTGTTGCATGCTGGAAGGATAATGTTCTGCCTTAGGAAAAAATAGACGAAGACCAAGTCAGGTTGACTTACGTAATGCTACATTGCTTGCAAGTAGAAGTCGTAGCCACTTGGCAGAAGAGCGTGGTTTACACTCTTTGGATGAGTCTCTAGGACTTAGATAGCTTCCTCTCTTAACATCTACCACATTGTTGTATCCATTTTTACTGCTACCTGATTCACAGTAGTGTGTGTTTTCATTTACTTTTTATTAGCCAGCAGTGGCTTCTAAATGGGATAAGCCTGGATGTGGTTATGTCCATCATCAGCAAAAGTAACAGCCTCTTGACCTCCTGGCATGAACATGTAATACTAAGGAGGAGCAGTCTCTGAAGCTCTGTTTCCACTTAATTTAGGAATGCAATCACTTTCATTGGCTGGCATAACAATGGTGAGCTTAATTTTTTAGTTGTGAGTGAAAGCAGCTTGCTCAGCTTGGCATTCTCTTTGCCGTGGCAGCTGGCCCACTGACCTCATCATTTGGGTTCCCTTTCTTATGGTGGAACCAATACCACAAAATTGAAATGCTGTATTTTCCACAGAGTCACGCTACATGTGATTGTTTGTTTACAATGACATAATGCTTTAAACTTTAGTTCAGCCCGCCCAAAAATGGACATAAATGTGGTATTTGAAGGGTGAGCTCATGTGTAGAAAAAGAATTGAGATTCGCCATAATAAAGGGTTACGTTAATGACCACAGTCTGTCCTTCTGGAGCTTGCCTATCTATTCAGAGGCTTTCGCTGAGATTTGGGCCATTAGAAGCAGGAAGTTTGGTATCCTGATGGCCTCCCCTGGTTCTCAGCAGGTTGGTGTCTTTGAACTACTTTGGGAGAAGCTACTGCATTTTGGAATTATTACAAAATGAGGAGTCAACTACACAAAGGTGACCCTTTCTTTTGAAGCCAGCCGGCAGTGTACAAAGGCATAAGTGTAATCACCAACAAGAAAATGATGCCTCCTACTCTGATTCAGCAGCTGACACAGGACTTGAAGCAGGCTGTGAGTGTGGAATTTCTGAATTCATTGAAAGTTCATGTTTCTCATCCACATGTCACAGAATTCATCTTGTGTTGTTTTTTAGGGTCAAACTTCACTATTACTAGTAAATGCCTCTGATAACTGGTACATGCTTCTACTCCCTTTTCCCCAGTGGTCCTCCAGAGAGCCCACTCCTGGATTTGTCAGGTGGGGTAGGTGATACTGATGTGAAAGTCAATCTTCCGCTCTCAGGAGTGACTCTTCCCACTAAAAGACCATATTAACACTAATAACATCTAAGAGTTTATGCTTCCCAAAACATTTTGCATGTGTATTACCTTATTCAGTTCTCACAAACAACTCTGTAAAGCAGGTAGTATCAGATGAATTTTATAGATGGAAAAAACTAAAGTTCACAGATTAACCGCAGGTCTTAAAGCAAAGCAACAAACAGGGCCAGGATTTTAACCAGATTGTTTGCCTTCAGATTTCATGCTCTTCTAACTTCACCACCTTCGCGTAAGCAAAGCCTCTGCATCTGCAGTATGGCCTCTAGCTGTCTTAGTATTGTCCCATGGTGAAGCAGGGGGTGCTGGCCTGTACCAGCTGTTCACAATTGATGGTTCCTATTGGGATGAAACCACTGGAGGTAGATAGAAGTCCATGAGCTCCAGACAGCTGGCTTTCAATTCCAGTTCTGCTATTCTGTTAGCATGATAACCATAAGCAAGTTATCTAACCTCTTCAAGCCTCAATTTCCACCTTGGTAAATGAGAATGCTAAAAGTACTCACGCTCAGGGTCATACTCTACTGAATGATAACCACATTTGTAAAAGCATGTGGTACATATGTTACAGTGCCAGGCAAAAGAGAAAATGCTCCTTCGGTGTTAGCTCCTGTGTCAGCATCACCCTAATCAGGTAGGACCAGTGCATCCTAGCTGGTGGCTGCATTAACACCTGTATCCTAGGTCACCTGTATCCTGGGCATGGGCCTATACTGATCAAGGAGACCTCCTCTATCTTGGAGGATGTCTTACGACTTCTCACTGCATCTCATCACACCAGCAGGAATTCCACCAGTCAACGGTGTACTCTAACAAATCCCAAAAGCTGGCCAGGCACCGTGGCTTACTCCTGTAATCCCAACACTTGGAGAGGGCAAAGCAGGCAGATCACATGAGGTCAGGGGTTTGAGACCAGCCTGACCAACATGGTGAAACCCCGTCTCTACTAAAAAATATAAAAATTAGCCAGGCACAGTGGTGAGCACCTGTAATCCCAGCTACTCGGGAGGCTGAGGCAGGGGAATTGCTTGAACCCTGGAGGTGGAGGTTGCAGTGAGCTGAGATCGCGCCACTGCATTCCAGACTGGGTGACAGAACGAGACTCTGTCTCAAAAAACAAACAACAACAACAAAAAAAAAACTTCTTGAACTGATAAGCAACTTCAGCAAAGTCTCAGGATACAAAATCAATGTGCAAAAATCACAAGCATTCCTTTACACCAACAGTAGGCAAGCAGAGAGCCAAATCATGAATGAACTCCCATTCACAATTGCTACAAAGAGAATAAAATACCTAGGAATACAGCTAACAAGGGATGTGAAGGACCTCTTCAAGGATAACTACAAACCACTGCTCCAGGAAGTAAGAGAGGACACAAACAAATGGAAAAACATTCCATCCTCATGGATAGGAAGAATCAGTATTGTGAAAATGGCCACACATTCTGCACATGTACCCTAGAACTTAAAGTATAATAATAAAAAAAAAGAAAGAAACCACATGGACACAGAGAGGGGAACAACACACACCATGGCCTGTTGGGAGGTGAGGGGAGGGAACTTAGAGGACATGTCAGTAGGTGCAGCAAACCGCCATGGCACGTGTACACCTGTGTAACAAACCTGCACATTCTGCACATGTACCCCGTTTTTTTAGAAGAAAAAGAAATATGTGACAGAGAAGTAGGAAACCACTTAATGAAGTTTTTAGGGCTCCAGTAGTCTGGGACAGTGGTTCTAAAACTATTTGATATCCAGAACCCTTTATAGATTTTTTGTTATTATACTTTAAGTTTTAGGGTACATGTGCGCAACGTGCAGGTTTGTTACATATGTATACATGTGCCATATTGGTGTGCTGCACCCATTAACTCGTCATTTAGCATTAGGTATATCTCCTAATGCTATCCCTTCACCCTTCCCCCATCCCCACCCCACAACAGGCCCCAGTGTGTGATGTTCCCCTTCCTGTGTCCAAGTGTTCTCATTGTTCAATTCCCACCTATGAGTGAGAACATGCGGTGTTTGGTTTTTTGCCCTTGCGATAGTTTGCTGAGAATGATGGTTTCCAGCTTCATTCATGTCCCCACAAAGGACATGAACTCATCATTTTTTATGGCTGCATAGTATTCCATGGTGTATATGTGCCACATTTTCTTAATCCAGTCTACCATTGTTGGACATTTGGGTTGGTTCAAAGTCTTTGCTATTGTGAGTAGTACTGCAATAAACATATGTGTGCATGTGTCTTTATAGCAGCATGGTTTATAATACTTTGGGTATATACCCAGTAATGGGATTGCTGGGTCAAATGGTATTTCTAGTTCTAGATCCCTGAGCAATCACCACACTGACTTCCACAATGGTTGAACTAGTTTACAGTCCCACCAACAGTGTAAAATTTTTTGTTGTTGTTGTTGAGACAGAGTCTCGCCCTGCCACCAGGCTGGAGTGCAGTGGCACGATCTTGGCTCACTGCAACCTCCGCCCCCCAGGTTCAAGCAATTCTCCTGCCTCAGCCTCCTGAGTAGCTGGGACTACAGGCGCCCGCCATCACACCCAGCTAATTTTTATATTTTTAGTAGAAACAGGGTTTCACCATGTTGGCCAGAATGGTCTGGATCTCTTTACCTCGTGATCCACCCGCCTCGGCCTCCCAAAGTGCTGGGATTACAGGCATGAGCCACGGCGCCTGGCCTATAGACTCTTACCACCAAACAAATTAAAACTGAGGGAAAAAAAATCCCCAAAGCCTAGTAGGATGAATACCTTAAATTGTCAGTCATTTGCATCTTGATATGGATTCTTTCCTCCACTTCCTTCCCAAGACCAAAAGAAAGGAGAGTTTGGTGCTGAGGAGGAATAAGAGGGAAGGAGAAGCATAGGCCAGGATGGGGTAAGGGGCAAAGCCAGAAGAGCTCTTTGGGCACCTGTGGACCATGGCTGGGGAAATGGAGATGGGGGGGCATAAGGGAAAAGTGCATGGGAAGGCTGTGAATCCTGGTCCACAGTTTTCCTTGGGGTTAGCTCCATGCAAACCTTACTTTCAATAGATACTTACATATCACCATCTAAAGAAAGTCCTTGCACTGCGTAGTTTTTACACATGTGGCTACTTCCAATTGCCAGAAGCACCTTTAAAGTGTCAACGGTCTTCATTTTTCAAGTCCCGTGACTTCTCAGAGAGGACGCTGCTCAGCAGGAACTGTTCAAACGCAAGAGCCTCACACCACAGCAGATCGCCGAGCTGAGCCAAAGAGTCTGTACAACATCTTCCACATGAGGCCAAATACTAGCTGTCCCACCTGGCTTCTTTTTTAACTCTAAACATCTCAGGTAACTTGAGATAATTAAATCACACTACATTCTTTCTGATTTTTTAATGTAAATCATTTCTGAGCAAGAAAGTCACATCTTCCCAGCCTCCCAAAGCCATTTTAAGTGCAGGGTTATTGTTTTTTAAAGGAAGAGGAAGATGAATTATTTGTGTCTCAGAAAGCTGTTATCCTGGCGTCTCCTTTTCTGCCAAGGCGGTATAATAAACAGCTCTACCCCACTTCCCACCCTGGTGCCTGAGGCTTGCCCTAGAGGGAAATGCCTTTGAAGGAAAAACCACCAGCAAGGCCAGTTGTAACAGAGGCCGGGGGAGAGGCTCGCAGCCTTGCTTCACCTCAAAAAGGGGGTCCACGTCTTCTCATGCCTGCAGCCATCAACCCCGGAGCGGAGCGGGAAATCCTTACCTGGAGGGTGGCATTTACAATCTCAGACGCATTTCACAGTCTCTCTTTGGAGCAACTTCAGTGTGTATGGGCTGGAAAAGAGGGTAAGTGTGTTACTTTTTTTTATGCAACAACGTATAACTGTGTCAACACATAAGACAGTCTGTCAAAGCTTTCTGCTGGTGTTGCTGCTGTGAATTAATTTTGAGCGTCACTTGTGAGCAGTAAACACTTTTGCAGTGTGAACAACTCTTTTGTACAGTAGGAGTTGTCAACAGCTTGCCATCCCCCCTTTAAAGGGAGGAAGGAAACAGAGGCTGCCTCCTCCCTGTCAAGTTAAGTTGGCTGGAGTAGGAGGAGCAGAAATTTGTGGCACTCCCATTTTGCAGTTTTATCTTTTCTTTTGACCACTCGGCTGTTAGATTTTCAGTGAGACTGGAGGATAAATGTAGTGTGTAGAATTAAGAATCTGATTAAGCCACTGGGCATCTGGCCACTTCTTGCTGTTTTAGAATTGGTTCTAGAATGTATGGTCTACATCACTTTTGCCCTTAAATTTGTTAGAGATACCACCATAAAGAGCAAGATGCAAAAACACAACACATCTGCCAAACACTGACTAGAGAGAGATGCTTCTCAGTGTTTTACATTTTATTGCTGTTATGTTGAATATTTAATTGAACTTTATTTACACAGTTAAAACATAATCACTTCACTAGGGTTGACACTTCATGTAGCTCTATGTTCATGTTCACTCTTTTGTTTCTTTTTATTTAAAGGTCTTTGTTCCTTCTCCCCTCTTCATCCCGTAACTAAATATTGAAGTCTACAACTCTTTGTAACTGTGGCAGACCCAAAGCTTTCTCTTCTGCCCGTGCCGTATCTGCCAGTAGCACTGAGAGCATTGTTGACACTGTAGCAGCAAGCTTCCTTGACTCTGACCCACATTTTTGAGATGTGTTCCCGAGTCCCTATCCCTTTCAAACATGTTAATAATCTATTGTTCCCATTCTAGCAGCTACTGAAATACGTTTTAGCATGCACAATCCTTAAGGTATATGTGCTTTGTGTGTTTACATAGAACCTGTTCTATAAAGTCATGCTTCTCCTTTTGTCCTCAAATTCCTTCCTTCAGGTTTTGTAATGGGACCTGCTTGTTCTAACATCCTAAAATATGTTTATTAAAGACCTTATTCCACCTGTTCATATCCCACAGATCGCAAAGTGGAGCCTAGAGACTTTCTCTCTCCACGCTTTCCTCTGTTTCCCTGCAGCCGGCCCTCCTGGCCACCTGGCATAGTGCTCTTGCTGTACTGTATGCAGAGAATGGTCAGCAAATGAGGATGACTGATTTGTCTCAATTCACAAATAAAGCAGCAACTAGAGGGTGGCAGGGGTGGATGAGGTGGGTTTTCACCCATTTGGCGTTGTCTTATGGGTTGAAAGAGTTCCAGGGGCCCTGTGAGAAGACCCCTGCCACTTGTTCAGTAGAGAAGTTGCGTGTGCTGGGTATGGAGCCCAAGGTGGGTGCCTGTGTGACAAAGCAGGCCTGAGGTCACCCTGGGGGTGTGAGGGATGCATGTGCCCGGTGGAATGGGCATGGTCTGCACATGCCACTGAAGTCAACCAGTACACAGCATCTGACCCGTCCCCCATTTTTTTCCATTGGTTCTGAGCAGAGAAGCAGTTTTACACCCAGTGAAAAGGATGCAACTGTTCTCTTTCCTAAGATGTGAACGTTTGGAGAGGATTGGTCTTTTTCAGAGGCAAACGTGCTGTTTCTCTTGCCTACCTGGGAGGGTGGTTAGCTCACCCCATTCCTGACGGCAGAGGATAATCCATATCATGAGAACCTTCAAAGGGTTAACCAAGAAGGTTTTTAAAATGGAAATCATCATGAAATATATGTAACATGAAAGGCAAATGCAAAATACTTAAATGACAGGTGGCATCATTTGAAAAGGATGTAGGGGCTGATCCCAGAGCTGTGATCATACACAGCTGCATTAATTTGCCTAATCACTGGATTGCTGTAACTGGTGTCTATAAATAAACACACAAACTAATCTTTTGATTATCTTTTTTTATGGCACATTTTCTTCTCTCTTCCTTTTTTTTCTTCTCCGTGTCTTTTCATTGTGACTAAACCATATTTCTAAACTCTGTAATTCCACAGATTCTTTTATAACTGTTATTTTAAACAACCAAAATAACTTTGGACAGTTCACAAAATGAGAAATACAGATGGCCGATAAATGTATGAGAAGCTTTTTTATTGCTTTTGGAAAAATGCAAGGAAAAAAATCAATGAAGTGTCATTTTTAAGTATCAGATAGACAAAGGTTAAAATTATTAGAAAAATTCCAGTGTTGGCAAGAGTGTGAGGGAACAAGCATTCGTGTGCAAGGTCACTGGGCATTCTTGCTGGTGTTCTGGCATTAGGTATCAGAATGATCAGTGTGCGTAAAATTGCACACTGGTTGACTTCTAGGGATTTACCCAAAAATAATAATGACAAAACAGAAAGATACTTTCTCAAGGATTTTTAGGTGAGCATTGTTTACAATGGTGGGAAAAATGGGAAACTAGAAATGATCATCAAATGAGAGCTCATTAAGTAAATTCTGGTACATAAAAGAATACCGTACATATATTAAGAAAGATCATAAGGTTTGTATTTATTACCAAGGACAGAGGTTACAATACATTACAGTGTGGAAAAAGCAAGTTACAAAACAAGGGATATAACATATTTGCAGTTTTAGTACATCCTGCTGTGTCAGGGCCCGAAATTCTGAATTGTTAACAATTTCCTTAGTGTTGTCAATGCTGCTGGTCTGTGGACCACACTCTGAGTAGCAGGTTAAAGTGTACACAGACATCTCTGTGTGAATAAACACTTGGAAATACACGTGGAAAGTTTCCTGAGATGGTGAATCTGGATATTTACTTTTGTCTTTGTGCTTTTCTGTATTGTTTAATACTTCATAATGCATCTGTATCAAGCTTTACATAAACAATAAAGCTGGGTTTTAAATAATAAATAGCCTGTTGGACACGTTTTTTTAAAAGTTGGCTGCAGCTGCAGATCTGCTTCTCAAACACTGAAAGCGGGAGGGAGCAGACCACCTGGGCCCATCATTTTTAAGGATGGAAGATCATTAGAATCACATGGGAGACTTTGAAAAACATGGATTCTCCAACCTGACCTCTAGAAATTCTGACTCAGCCACCCTTAAGTGGAGATATCAGTTTTTGACAAAAGTTCCCCTGGCGACTCTGACTCACACTAGGTCTGGCCCCATGCAGCCATCGGGTTTCTTCATCAGCTTTGGGGCCCAGGCCTGCATTCGGAGGAGAGTCGCACCCTCCCTCCTGCTCCCCTCAGAATCATTGTGCTTTGGGGCATCAGGAGGCGATTTTGGTGTTCTCACATAAGATTTCTATTTCTAATAGAAATTTCTTTATGTTTTCCCACCGGTCTTCTTTTTTTTTTTTTTTTTTTTTTTTGAGACGGAGTCTCGCTCTGTCGCCCAGGCTGGAGTGCAGTGGCGGGATCTCGGCTCACTGCAAGCTCCGCCTCCCGGGTTCACGCCATTCTCCTGCCTCAGCCTCCCAAGTAGCTGGGACTACAGGCGCCCGCCACTACGCCCGGCTAATTTTATGTATTTTTAGTAGAGACGGGGTTTCACCGTTTTAGCTGGGATGGTCTCGATCTCCTGACCTCGTGATCCGCCCGCCTCGGCCTCCCAAAGTGCTGGGATTACAGGCGTGAGCCACCGCGCCCGGCCCCCACCGGTCTTCTTATAAGCTGTCCTAGCCTTCAGTGTTAGTGTCCTAGGTCTGCTTAACAAATTATCACAAACTGGACAATTTAAAACAATGTTTATTCTCTCACAGTTCTGGTGGCCTGAAGTCCAAAATCAAGGTGTTTCAGGGCCACACTTCCTCCAAAGGCTTCAGGGCAGAATCATCCCTTGCCTGTCCCAGCTTCTGGGGAGGCTCCAGGTGTTCCTCAGCTCATGGCTAAATGACTCCAATCTCTGCCTCCACTTCTGTCTTCTTCTCTTCTCTTGGCCTTCTCCTCTGTCTTCTCTTCTGTGTCTTCTAAGGACACCTCCCCTTGGATTTAGGGCCTACTCAGGTAATCCAGGATGATTTCATCTCGAGATTCTCAACTTAATTACATCTGCGAAGGTCCTTTTCCAACATAAAGTTTCATTTCCAGGTTCTAGAAGTTAGGACACCTGTATTGTTGGGGACCTCAATTCAACCCCCTACTCCTTCTAAACTATTCAACAACAGTTTTGAAGTTAAGCAAAACATTCTAGATTTACCATTTTACTTTTCTCTGCCGTTAAGTTCTCCGGTTTTATGTCTCTTTTTTATGTGTAACTATAGGAAGGTCTCCCATGAAAAAAATAGAACCATTGCCATGGGCAGTCAGTAGCTACACTAGCAATGTGTCTGCCCTGTGAAGCTCAGGCTTCTGTCCTGGTGGGTCTCCCTCTTGTCAAGCAGTTTTCTCAGCCATCAGAGGGGCTGGGAGAGCCAGGCCTCGCCAACACTTTCTCTGAACACATTCACACTTCTTGCCTGTGCTCTTCTTTGCCCAGGCTCTCCTGGGATGCAGAAATCAGGGAGGTGTTTACTGAGGAATAAAACTAATGTCTCAGTAGAAATTTTTTTAAAATGTCATAGTAAGTCTATTATTGATTGTGTTCAGTTGGACTTTGAGCAGATTTGGGGCCACTTTCCCCATCCCAGCCCTCAAGGAGAAAGAGAAAAGACAAGACTAAAATGAGTGTGGCCATGTATCCCATCTTACTGCCTTCAAGAAGTCCTTTCCTGTAAACCTTTTTTTTGATTGTTCTTGTTGTTCTGGTAAGGGAGGGCGAACTGGGTTTGATTCTGAGACTGCCACAAGCCTGTCTCTTTTTTTGTGTTGTACTGACTCGATCCTTGCTTCACGCTACAGATTTCTCACAGTGGGTATTTTTAGTTGAGGAGGAGGTTTCTCAAAAATACTTTGCCGATGTCTGGTCATGCACAACCCCTGGGCATCCCCAGTGAAGTGCTTTGAGTCATGGCCCCTTAAGGGCAGAGAGGATGTGCATTTGGCCCATGGTGTGCTTTGCCTGGACGTGTGTCATTTCCCAAAATATACAGGAGGAGAACCAGATTAGTAAAAGGAAACCTTGTCACACATGGTAGGGTTCTGCTGCCCCAGAATCAACCTTTACAGCTGGAAAGGTTCAGCCTTTCTTACTTGGAAGGGTCATATTCATTGAACTGCAGTTAAAACAGTCTTACCAATAGATAGGTAGCCTCACACCAGAAATGGGGGGCAAAAGGCAGAATCACTAAACATTTAAGCAACACATGAGTAAAAATATTTGGCCTCTTTTTTTCTTTGTTTAAAATATGCAAAGGTGGCCGGGCACGGTGGCTCACACATGTAATCCCAGCACTTTGGGAGGCCGAGGTGGGCGAATTACCTGAGGTCAGGAGTTCGAGACCAGCCTGACCAACATGGTGAAACCCCATCTCTACTAAAAATACAAAAAATTAGCTGGGTATGGTGGTGGACGCCTGTAAGATCCCAGCTACTCGGGAGGCTGAGGCAGGAGAATTGCTTGAGCCCGGAAGGTGGAGGTTGCAGTGAGCCAAGATTGTGCCACTGCACTCCAGCCTGGGCACAACAGAGTAAGACTCGTCTCAAAATAAATTAATTAATTAATTAATAAAATGCAAAGGCTTTTTGCTCCAAGATAGCTGAAATTTAGATATATATCTTTTTATTAAAATAGTTTTTATTTAAATAAGCAAATAATAACCGTTAAGAAAAGTTAGAAAATTTTAAAAATCAGAAAAAACAACAAGAAGGAACCCTATCTACCTAGAGCTTCCCAGGGTTCCAGGCTGGTTACAGAGTCAGAGCCCTCTTAGCTAACCTGACTGGGTGTTTTCTCATTAGTTGAAAAATCAATTAAACAGTGAATCATTTTTTAAAAAGATACTACATAGCCTAAATCATGTATTTAACCTAAAGTTGCAAATGAACAGTTATTTGCCAATCTTTTGATGTGGGCTCGAGGCCTTTTCTTCGAGTTTGGGTCTGCTGATTGGAACTTCATGTAATCTTTCATGCACATTATTGCATGATTTCCATTTTCAGTCTCTTTAAGTGAGGAATTTTTTAAGACACTTGCAACACAGTCTGACTGCAAAGTCATTTTAAATTTTTATTATTTCCCCAATCTTTCACAGTTGTCTCAATCATATCTAATTCAATGGCAGATTTCCTCTAGTGACTTACTTTCATTTCTTTAATTTTACTAAATTTTCATACAAATAACTATTTTCACACTCATATTTTATGGGCCAACATAATATTTAATTTCTGTAATTACAAAGCAAGTATAGCTGACATTAACAGTTTATGCAGAGAGAGCTGATGTGCTCCAGAGTTCGAGAGAGAACATTCAGTATTCGTTTGACCACAGTATTGGTCAGTATATTTTATACAGGGGATGGAGAATGCTGATTGATCCATCCAGTTGATTAGGGCCCATTGGTTAAAAGACTTTCTATTGGATAGGTTCTGAACTCCTCCCAAAAATTCATCAGTAAAAACCCGTTCAAAAAGCAGGTAGCTTTCAGATGATTTGAACGGTTCTGCCAAACATAGATAGGGACCCACTTTGGCAAATTAAGATCATGACAAGTCTCAAGATATTTGAAGGAGGCTTATGGTTATGCAAATATTTGGCTTCCTCTGAAGGGCCATTAAACATATCCATGAAGATGTTTGTGAACTAGGCAAGCTTTGCTCTGATAACCTTGTACTTATTTGATTTTCCTAATGGTTTATTTTAATAAAGTAGGGTTTTTTATTTCAAATTTGTTTAACACATTGTTAAATGCCCACAGAGTTTGGTACCTGCTGAAATAGAGAAAGCAGGTGTTGTACTCATGTTCTATGAATAAAGAAACGAAGCCAAAGACATTTCATCCCATGAGAGTGGTGACCATCATGGACCTCTTCCTATGATGTTTGATTTAAACTTCTTCTCAACTCTACGGTCCTCTCCCCATTTTTAGGGTGCTGGTGAGGCCTTAATGAATAAGCTTTGTGATATGTGATATGTGATATGTCTGTCTTGTTCATTGATGTCCCCAGCAGCTGGCATGAATAGATGAATGAATGAATGAGACCAGTCACACTGCTAGCAAGAGCTAAAGTTGGGGTGAGAGCCAGGTCTTCTGACTCTTGATCCTGTGTCTTTCTAGTACATCAAAATCTCCTAGTCCTTTGCTGGCTTTCCTGGGTCCTTAATGGTCCCCTGACCTGAGCAAGACCCATTGTCTCGTCACAGATTGTGACAACACAAACCAAGAGCAACTCTCTGATTTTGATAGATTTGGCGTTTTTGAGCTTCAAAATTATCTAGAAATGTCCCAGTCAGCAGATTTTTTTTCAAGGTGGATGAACGTTATGTTTAAAGAGATTGTTTTTACTAGTAACTAAGAACTTCTAAATATTTGTTTTATTTAAAATATTTTTACCCCCTAAGAATCTTCAGTAAATGTTAATTATATCCTTTCAACAACTTTTGCAGTTACTGGGTAATATTAAATTCTGATTTTTTTCAATAAATAATTGCTTTTTTATGTGCTGGGTAACAGTATATATTTTTATAAGTTTGTTTCTGCAGCTGTTCAGCTATTCTGTATATTCAAATTTCAGGCTTTTAAGTTTAAATTAATAGCTCAGTAAACTGACACCACAAAGCAAGTGGAAGATTGAAGATAAGCATTTCTCTATAATGTACAGGGTATTTTAAATAATGCATTTCTCAACATTATATTAGTGTGTGTTTAAGTTGATTTTTGGTATATGTGAATTACTCTCATTTGTGTTCCTCATTAAGTCTTCGTATTATAGTTGTCGATTGAAACTAACATAATTAGGTAAAGACAGAGCTGGGCCCACAGGAGACCCTGGAAGAATCATGACTGAATCATTTTAAAATGTAGCCACATGGGCATGAGAGGTATAAATATGAACAGTTCCTACAACATGCAGATAGAAGTTCCCAAATGTCATAGGCACATGGAAGCTTGCAAGTGCCACCTAAAGACTTGCATATAAATAAAGTCTTCATTTTATATGATATCATGTCACATGTTTGTGCAAAGGAAGGTGGATGATAACATATATTTAATTTAGGTAAAATATTCTGAACATTTGATAGATAGTTGAGACTGGGCTCAAATTTTACTTTATATGTATTGTCTCCTTTAATCATCATAAAAATCTTACTTGGTAAGTACTATTATCTCCATTTTATGGTATTGGGTTTAAAGGAGGTCAGGAACATTTTCTAGATATAGGTAGTGAATGGCAGAGCTTAGAACCAAACCCAGGTCTGGTTAGACCCCAGCTCCCACGCCTTAATGACTGTACTGTACTGTACTGTGCTGCCACCTTCTTGGATAACTGCAAATAACAGATGTTCCTTTGTTTATTCCACTTTGACATCAGATACTTACAATGACCCTGTTGGCTTAATATGGTCAACTTTTCTTAAGAGCGCATCTTGGTCTTTCCATGACTAAGGCATTTTCATTCATCAAATGCATGTCTCTTGAATTACTGAGACAATATGAACATGAACAAGTCAATTCTAGCTCATGAGTACTGATCATTGATATGCCTGTATTAACAAGAGGTACATATAGATAGAACAAAATTATTTATCAAAACTCTTACCAGCTGAGAGGCTGGATCTTTGAAAGGAATAAACTCTCCCAGTGAGACTAGCAATGTACTTAGATGCAATAAAGTGGGCTTCCAGAGAGCTGTTTTAATCACTGGAGAGCAACTTTTTTTCCTAACTTGCAAGCCATCTGCTTAAAAAGGATATTTACTTGTGGAGTATCAAGATCCTTTCATCCTGTTTGTATTATCCACAGAGCAGAAAAAGCTAGTCAGTAGCAAAGAGAAGTCAGCTGTGTGAAGCCATTGTCCCTGTTCCCTTAGTATGAATAATAGATGGTTCCCCTTCAGATTTCTTGGTTAGTATGACATTCCTGAAGGATGTCCATAGGAGACGGCTTTGCTTTAAAGCTTATTATCTTAAATTTTAATTGCTTTTGGAACTTCAACTTTAAGGACCCTTACATTCTCTATTAGACTTAAGTGTCTTTAACATAGCCACATAAATGAAACTATAATGAGTCATAAATGAAAAATATTATAGTCAATAAACACTGCAGAATACTTTATAAGTTAGATGCTTGTTAATATGGGATGAAGTAGAAAATAGTGAAAGCAGAGAAGGTGAAAAAGACTTTAGAGGAAAAGGGCCTAAACTTAGGTAAGGTAAAGTTTATTCTCGCTTGGTACGAAAAACACAAAATAATGGAGAAATGTATATTGATCCAAAACATAAGTAAAAGCTAAACAAGAATGCTGAAAATCAAGCACAGGAACTAGGAAGAAGCAAAGACATTAAAGAAAAAGGAAAAGCTAACCACATATACACTCTCTAGAATTACCTGTTTTGTCTTTGATGGGATTCATGGATTAGTTCCTTTGTTCATAATTCCATAATTATTTTTGAGCACCTGTTGTGTCTTAGGTAGCAGTCTAGGTGCTAGGGCTCAGTGATGCACAGGGGAGCAGAGTTCTTGCCCTTAAGGAGCTTACAGTTGAGTGGAGGAGGCTATAAATGAGCATTCATCATAGGAATGACAAATGCTGTGATTGCAGAAGTATAGGATGCTATAGAATTACAAAAAAAAAAAAAAGTCAAGCTAACAGTAAAGAAGTAAATGAGACAGGAAGAGTCAGAAAGGTTCTGAGGAGAAGTGCTCTCTAATCTTACACCTAAAGGTTGCGTTAGCCAGAGAGAGGGAAGAGGGAAGAAGGAATGAGCCTGTCAATCCCAGATGAGAAAAGAATTGAAATTCAAGATGGCTGGAGCAGAGAGCAGGGTAGGAGGAGTGGTGAAAGATGAAGCTGTAGAGGGAGCAGCGTCCTACTCATAAACAGCCTTGGAAGCCATATTTGAGCTTCATCCCAAGATCAGTGGGATGAAGGGAAGTGACATGATCAGATTTCCATGTTGAAAGATTATTGAGAGTGCTGGGCGCATGCACCTTGAGAAGTTGGCCAGAGAGACGAGAAACACCCAACCCTTAGTGCTTTCTTCTGAACAATGGCTGAATTCATAGACAGTACTTCAAGTTAGTGTGGGAAATATTATTCATCTGTGCCAGAGAAAGAAGGAGCAACCCATGTCTATCATTTTCACAGAGGGAAGTTGAAGCTGCACATGTACTTGGACATAGGGAATGGTCAGAGAAAAGACAGAAAAAAGACATCCCTTGGTCCTGGAGGCATCTATCAAATATCAAAGCGTGCTCCAGAGGCATCCCAGCCTAGTGAGAACACCTCTACATAGAAGTGTATCCAGGGACCTATTCTGTCACTGTAGGCGCAAATTACTTAACCAAGAAGACTTATGTGGTAGCAGTTGATTGTAGACAAAGTGTGGACCTGGTCTTCCCCATATGGTATTGACCATCACTGCCATCACATCACCTTTTTTTAAGTAGCAAGAATAACACCACTGTATGATTCTCTTTTTTTAATTTTTATTTTAGGTTTGGGGGTAAATGTGAAGGTTTGTTATATAGATAAACATGTGTCACAGGGATTTGTTGTACATATTATTGCATCACCCAGTTATGCTACTTTCTCTCCCACCCTCCTTCCTCAAGTAGACCCCAGTGTTCATTGTTTCCTTCTTTGTGTTCATAAGTTCTTATCACGTAGCTCCCACTTATAAGTGAGAACATGCCATATTTGGTTTTCTGTTCCTGCATAAGTTTGCTAAGGGTGATAGCCTCCAGCTCCATCCATGTTCCTGCCAAAGACATGATCTTGTTCTTTTTTATGGCTGCATAATATTCCATGATGTATATGTACCACATTTTCTTTATCCAGTCTGTCATTGACGGGCATTTAGGTTGATTCCATGTCTTTGCTATTGTGAACAGTGCTGCAGTGAACATTTGCATGCGTGTGTCTTTATGGGAGAATGCTCTATAATCCTATTAATGGGATTGCTGGATCAAATGGTAATTCTGCTTTTTGCTCTTTGAGGAATTGCCATACAGCTTTCCACAATGGTTGAACTCATTTACAATACCACCAACAGTGTGTAAGGGTTCCCTTTTCTCTGCAACTTTGCCAGAATGTTATTGACTTTTTAATAACAACCATTCTGACTGGTGTGAGATGGTCTCTTGTGGTTTTGATTTGCATTTCTATAATCAGTGATATTGACCTTTTTTTCACATGCTTGTTGACTGCATGTATGTCTTTTGAGAAGTGTTTGTTCGTGTCCTTTGCCCCCTTTTGAACAGGGTTGTTTATTTTTCTCTTGTAAATTTGTTTAAGTTCCTTACAGATACTGGATATTAGACCTTGGTTGGATGGGTAGTTTGCAAATATTGTCTTCCATTCTGTAAGTTATCTGTTTACTCTATTGATAATTTATTTTGCTGTGCAGAAGCTCTTAAGTTTAATTAGATCCAATTTGTCAATATTTGCTTTTGTTGCAATTGCTCTTGGTGTCTTTTTCATGAAATCTTTGCCCGTTCCTATGTCCAGGATGGTATTGCCCAGGTTGTCTTCCAGGGTTTTTATAGTTTGGAGTTTTACATTTAAGTGTTTAATCCATCTTGAATTGATTTTTGTACGTGGTGTAAAAAAGGGGTCCAGCTTCAATCTTCTGCATATAGCTAGCCAGTTATCCCAGCACCATTTATTGAATAGAGTCTTTTTCCCGTTGCTTGTTTTTGTCAGCTTTGTCAAAGATCAGATGGTCATAGATGTGTGGCCTTATTTCTGAGCTCTCTATTCTGTTCCATTGGTTTATGTGTTTGTTTTTGTACCAGTACCATGCTGTTTTGGTCACTATAGCCTTATATTGTAGTTTGAAGTCAGGTAACGTGATTCCTCAGGCTTTGTTCTTTTTGTTTAGGATTGCATTGGCTATTTGGGCTCTTTTTTCGTTCCACATAAATTTTAAAATAATTTTTTCTAGTTCTGTGAAGAATATCATTGGTAGCTTGATAGGAATAGCACTGAATCTGTAAATTGCTTCGGGCAGTATAGCCATTTTAATGATATTGATTATTCCTATCCACGCGCATGGGATGTTTTTCCATTTGTTTGTGTCTTCTCTAATTTCTTTGAGTAGTGTTTTGTAATTCTTATTGTAGAGATCTTTCACCTCACTGATTAGCTGTATTCCTGGGTATTTTTGGTGTGTGTGTGTGTAGCAATTATGAATGGGATTGCCTTTCTGATTTGGCCCTCAGTTTGGTTATTGTTGGTGTATAGGAATGCTAGTGATTTTTGTACCTTGATTTTGTATCCTGCAACTTCGTTGAAGTTGTTTATGAGCTGAAGGAGCTTTTGGGCCGAGACTATAGGGTTTTCTAGGTGTAGAATCATGTTGTTTGCAAACAGAGATCGTTTGACTTCCTCTCTTCCTATTTGGATACGCTTTATTTCTTTCTCTTGCCTGATTGAGCTGGCTAGGAATTCCAGTGCTATGTTGAATAAAGTGGTGAGAGAGGGCACCCTTGTCTTGTGCCAGTTTTCAAGGGAAATGCTTCCAGCATTTGCCCATTCAGTAATATGTTGGCTGTGGGTTTATCATAGATGGCTCTTATTCTTTTGAGGTATGTTCCTTCACTACCTAGTTTATTCAGAGTTTTTAACATGAAGAGATGTTGAATTTTATCAAAAGCCTGTTCTGCATCTACTGAGATAATCATGTGGTTTTTGTCTTTAGTTTTGTTTATGGGATGAATCACATGTATTGATTTTTGTATGTTGAACCAACCCTGCATCCGAGGGATGAAGCCTACTTGGTTATGGTGGATTCATTTTTTGATGTGCTGCTGGATTTGGTTTGCAAGTATTTTGTTGAGGATTTTTGCATGGATATTCATCAAGGATATTGGCCTGACGTTTTCTTTTTTAGTGTATCTCTGCCAGGTTTTGGTATCAAGATGATGCTGGACTCATAGAGTGAGTTGGGGAGACATTTCCTCTCCTAATTTTTTGGAATAATTTCTGTAGGAATGGTACCAGCTCTACTTTGTACATCTGGTGGGATTCAGCTGTGAATCCATCAGGTCTTGCGCTTTTTCGGTTGCTAAGCTATTTATTGCTGATTCAATTTCAGAGCTCACTGTTGGTCTGTTCAGGGAATCAATTTCTTCCTGACTCAGTCTTAGGAGGGTGTATGTGTCCAGGAATTTATCCATCTTGTCTAGGTTTTCTAGTTTGTGTGTGTAGACGTGTTTGTAATCGTTTCTGATGGTTGTTTTATTTCTGTGTGGTCAGTAGTAACATTCTCTTCATCATTTCTAATTGCGTTTATTTGGATCTTCTTTCTTTTATTCTTAGTCTAGCTGATGGCCTATCCATTTGATTAATTTAAAAAAAAAATCCTGGATTCATTGATATTTTGAATTTTCATGTCTCAATATTCTTCAGTTCAGCTCTGATTTTTGTTATTTCTCATCTCCTGCTAGCTTTGGGGTTGTTCTTTCTAACTTTTTGATGTGAACATTTAGTGCTATGAATTTCCCTCTTAACACTGCCTTAGCTGTGTCCCAGAGATTCTGGTATATCTTTGTTCTCATTATTTTCAATAAACTTCTTGATTTCTGCCTTCATTTCATTATTTACCCAAAAGTCATTCAGGAACATGTTGTTTCATTTCCATGTGATTGTATGGTTTTGAGCAGTTTTCATTGTGTTGACTTCTATTTTTATTGTGCTGTGGTCTGAGAGTATGTGGTTATTTAACATTTGTTGAGGATTGTTTTATGTCCAATTATGTGGTCTATTTTAGAGTATGTGCCTTGTGGAGATGAGAAGAATGTATATTCTGTTGTTTCGGGGTGGAGATGTTTGTAAAGGTTTATCAGATCTGTTTGGTCCAGTGCTAAGTTTAGGTCCTGAATATCTTTGTTAATTTTTCACCTCAATGATCTGTCTAATACTGTCAGTGGAGTGTTGAAGTCTCCCACAACTATTGTGTGGGAATCTGTATCTCTTTGTAGGTCTCTAAGAACTTGCTTTATAAATCTGAGTGCTCCTGTGTTGAGTGCATTTATATTTAGGATATTAGGATGTTCTTGTTGAATTGAACATTTTACCATTATGTAATGCCCTTCCTTGTCTTTTTTGATCTTTGTTGGTTTGAAATCAGCTTTGTCTGAAATTAGGATTGTAACCCCTGCTTTTTTTCTGTTTTCCATTTGCTTGGTAGATTTTTCTCCATCCTTTTATTTTGAGCCTATGAGTGTCATTAAGTGTGAGATGGGTCTCTTGAAGACCACATACCATTGGGTCTTGCTTTTCTATCCAGCTTGCCACTCTGTGCCTTTTAAGTGGGGCATTTAGCTCGTTTACATTCAAGGTTAGTATTGTATGTATGAATTTGGTTATGTCATTGTGCTGTTAGCTGATTATTTTGTTGTCTTGTTTGTGTGGTTGCTTTGCAAGTAACACTGGTCTGTGTGTTTAAGTGTGTTTTTGTATTAGCTGATAGCAGTCTTTCCTTTCTATATTTTGTGCACCTTTCAAGATCTCTTGTAAGGCAGGTCTGGTGATAATGAAGTTCCTCAACCTTTGTTTATCTGAAAAGGATCTAATTTCTCCTTCACTTAGGAAGCTTAGTTTGGCTAGTTATGAAATTCTTGGTTGAAGACTTTTTTCTGTAAGAATGTTGAATATAGGCCGTGAATCTCTTCTGGCTTATAGGGTTTCAGCCTTAGAGGTTCACTGTTAGCCTGATGGGGATCCCTTTGTAGTTGACCTGCCCTTTCTCTCTAGTTGCCTTTAACATTCTTTCTTTCATTTCAACCTTGGAAAATCTGACAATTATGTGTCTTGGGGATGATCTTTTTGTGTACAATCTTGCAGGAGCCACTATATGATTCTCTCAAAAAAATAAATAAATAAATGACATACATTGCAGAAGATGGCCTGGAGAAGAAAAGGATTAACAACAGGGAGACCAGTTTGGGGAGAGACAAAGAGATCTTGGACTCTTATCTTGTTTGATCTGCAGAAAAATAGTCAAGAAGGTAACACTAATAGCCTGATAATGTTATCTATGACTTAAATTTGACATGGCAAAGTATGTACTAGTGACGGAGAATTACAAGTTGTAACACATCATTTCCCTTACCTTACATGTGTATATTTTGCAGTATGCAGAGAGCTTTCCTGCATGGTATCCTACCACCCATTGTCACTCACAGAAGCATCCATTCAGCAAATACTAATTAATCACCTGATGTGTTCCAAGTATTGTCTTAGATGGTAAGGATATGGCATAGCACAAGATTCAAGATTCCTACCCTTGTGGAAACTCACTTTCTGTTTTAGAAATACAGACAACAAACCAGCTGTCAAATTAGTGAACAATATCATTTCAGAGAACGATGAGAGCAATCAGGGTAATAAATGGAGCTATGTAATCCAGAGGAGGGCAGTGTATAGGAAGATGTGTATGGGCAGGTTGAGTAATGCCTAACACAGGAGATGAGACCTAAATGAGGAGAACCCTACCTGCTAAAACCTGGGGGAGGAGCCTTCCAGGCTGGAGCACACAGGATAGGTTTAAAGAGATCCACAGGTCAAGTGACTGGAGAAGGGGAAAGAAAAGGAGTACAGGCATGAATGAGAAAATAGGGGCAGCCAGGGCCTTGCAGGCTTGGGCCTGCACCTCAGATGCTATTCTATGAGCAATGGGACATCTGAAGTGGGAGTTTTAAGCAGGAGAGCGATGTGATCTGACATACATTTTTAAAAGATTATCTGGCTGCTCTGTGGAGAAGGGCTTCTACAGAGGCAAAAGTAAAAGCATAGAGACCATCAAGGAGGCTTTTTTGCAAGCCCGGGAGAGAGATGGTGGTGGCCTGGACAGAAGATGGCAAGCTAGTGCCACAGTTCTCAAAGTGTGGTCTGTGGGTTCCTGGGGGCCCGCAAGATCTTATCAGGGAATGCAAGGTTAAAACTATTTTCACAGTAATACCAAGATGCTGTCTGTCTTTTTCGCAGTATTGACGTGCACTGCTAGTGAAATGTAATGGTGGGGAAAACTGCTGGCACCTCAGCACGAAACAAGATAGTGGTACCAAACTGCTAGTTCTTCACCAGCACATGCTTACAATAGAACAGAATGCCAATTTCACTTCAGAATATCCTGTATGAAGCAGTAACAATTACTGTTTTTATTAAATCTCAACTCTTGAGTGATGTCTTTTTAATATTCTGTGTGACAAAATGGGAAGGACACATAAGCCCTTCTACCGTATACCAGAGTGTACTGGTTATCTCCAGGAAAAACCCGTGTGCAGTTGTTTGAGTCGCAAGCTGAACTGGCTGCTTTTTTCATGGAATGCCAATATGACTTAAAAGAACAACTAACAGACAAACTCTAGTTACTCCAATTTGGGTATTTGTTTGACAGATCTTTTATCAAAAATGAATGAAGTGCCCTGATACTTCAAGAAAAACAACTGACAGTATTTGTTGCCAATGACAAAATTTGAGCTTGAGACAAAAATTAGGATTTTGGAAAACACATAGCTGCTACTGTAGAGCTTGATAACTTCCCAATACATTAAGGACTTTTTCTGACGAGATTGATGGTGATATTAATGAATGTGGAGAATTTGGTATTGGATCATGAAATGTGAAACATTCAAAAGATCTCAAAGATCTCCGAACTTAGTGAACAAGTATTTCCAAATGACCAAATGGGTAATGTTATAAAATTATGCACAGGTGAAAAATCCATTCAAAGCGCAAGATAGACCAATAGATTTTAATATTAACAAAGTAAAAAAAGTTTATTGACAGATTTTCAGGTACCACATTTCAGACTCCACATTTAAAAGCTACCACTTGTTGATTTCTGGTGTAGAATCAGAGAATATCCACAGTTATCAAAAGATGATGAAAATACTTCACCCATTTCCAACTATGTATCTGTGTGAGCTAGATTTTCTTCATGTCCTTCCATCAAAACACCATAGAGCAACATATTGAAGGTAGTACCAGATATGAGAATCCAGCAGTCCTCTGTTAAGCCAGATACTAGAGAGATTTGCAAAAATGTAAAAGTGTTAATTCTCTCACTTATGTTTTGTAAAATGTATTAATTTTCATAAAATATGTGATTTGTGTTAATATACAATGTTTTATTGTATTTCAAATACAATGAATTCTATTTTTTTAAAGTTTTGTTTTAATTTCTAATATGGCACATATCAATAGCTATAACCCACATAATCAAGAACTCTTTGGAGATTTTATTAATTTTTAAGGTTGTAAAGGAGTCCTCAGACCAACATGTCTAAACACTGAGCTAATGAAAGTGGTTCATTTCAAGATGTATTATGGAGGCAGGGCAGATGGAAGTCTATATATTCTCTTTGATTCATCTTCAGATATTTGTCCCAAGCAGCTGTGATGAAAAAGACTGGAAAGAAGCAGGTTTGGAGGGAGGATGGAAACAATAATTGTTTTTTTGGCCATGTTATACTTGAGATGCATGTTGAATATACAAGTTCAGGTGCTGAGTAGGAAATTGGATATGGAAATTCAGGAAGAGGTCAGGGGCAACATATAATAAATTTGAGAGACTTCAGCATATAGGTGACAAAAACCACAGGCCTGGGAGTGAGTATAGTTAGAGGAAAGAGAAAGTCCGTGGATGGAGCTCCAAGATAACGCCAGCATTTAGATGGGGAGCAGAGGAGGAGGAGCAGAGGAGGACTCTGCAGAGGAGGGAGCCACAGGTGAAGCTGATGAGAAGCCAGGACAGTGTGGTGCCCCTGAAGCCACAAGAAGAAGTGGTTTCATGGAGGAAGTTGACGACTGAGTCAAGTGATGGTGAGAAGTCTTGTAAGATGAGAATAGAGAGTTGAGCATGGACTTGGCAAGACGGAGATCATCACTAACCTTCATAAAAGCAGTTTCTCTGGAGTGACAAAAAAAAATCTACAACAGGTTAAGGAAAGAAAGAGAAATGAGGAAATAATGGCAGCAAGTAAAGACAACTATTTTGAGGGTCTTCCTTCAGAACAGGGGCAGAGAAAGGGATTGGTTCTGGAGGAAGCGATGGCATCAAGAAGGGATTTAAGATATGCCAGTGGAAATGGTCCAGGAGAGAGAAATTGATGTCCCAGGGACAGTGAAGGTAAATTCAGAAACAGATTCTCTAAGTGAGAGAGAGGGGATGGGATCCAGAGCTCAAGAATAGTGATTGATTCCTGAGGAGGGGAAAGAGCAAACAGAAAGCCCAAGAATGGGGCAGGTCATCCCTCTGTCCTCAATAAAAAGGTTAACTGGGGAATAGCTAAAATTGAAGAAAGTTCCAGAGGATGTAAGACAAGAAGGGCGTAGATTCTGTATTTGGGTTGTTGGTTGGTTTTCACTATCTTAAGTCTAGAGCAATGATAGACATTCTCCACTGCCCCAACCATTTGGTTCTCTTCCTCTGGGCTGCAGTAAGCAAAGAGCCCACCTGATAACCAGCTTGTGAGGTAGCATCCTCTGTCTGATCTCAGGCTGATCTCAGGCTGTTTCCCAAGCTGGGAAGGAAGAAGGGAAGAATTAGACAGAAAGTGCTTTGTGATTTCTTTGGTAGTTCACTTTCAGTAGGAAGCCATGGAAGTGTAATGCAGCGTCCACTAATCTCTAACTAGATTCTTCTTGACCTCTCCTTATTATGTCAATTGGAAGAGGAGATGGCTCTGGAGTTAAAATGTCTCTTTTCGCCTTTTGAGACAATAGGGATTGACAGCTTGAGCAGGTAAGCTTAGTCAGGGCTGTATTCCATCCCAAGCACATGCTGTCCACCTTCCCAGGAGGGTATATTAAATATTATTATTACTAATGATAATTAATACCAATCATTCCCTTGAGATCTCAGGTTAGTGATACATAACTAAGTCTGTGTCATTTCAAGACATCTCCCAGGTGAGGGGGTGGTTTAAGAAACAAAAGGAAGTGAACTGTGTCTGGTTTCATTATGAGACTGGGACTTGTATCAGTCCTCACGCCCCATGGGCAAGACTCAGCGGAGAGCAAAAATCCTGAAATCTGTTTCATCATTTAACATCCTCTTGTCTTATATAGTTCTCAGTAGGAGAAATAAATAGATATGGTAAATATTTATTCAGAGTTTCCTCTTGGAATTTACCAAGCAGGATTTGACACAGCATACACACTGAGCCAATTCCTAAAGGGTATTGTTTACTGAGTTAGTTTTCACCCTGACTGCCCACTGCTTTGTAAGCCTTGTACAGTTCCATGATAAAAAGAAATTCCCTTGAGCACAGTTCTCTTTCATGTGCTCCTTTGCCACCGAGTGAATAGACAGAAGAAAGAAGAAGAAAACAAGGGACGAGACCCAAGTGAGTTGACATTTAGTAATAGGAATAAGTGCCAAGACCTGCAGTTGTATCCCACACCCCCACTAAAAAAAAAAAAAAAAAAATCACAAATAGAGAATGTGGGAAATAAAACACAATAGCAATATGTGAAGACTCCTTGGGGGTTTCATTTCTGTAAGCTCAATCCTAGCCAGAGATGTGATGTAGCTGCCCAAAGCATTAATGAAATCATGGTCTGCATTGTAGGACTAAGAAGGTGAAAGATAGTTCTATGTACTCTTCAGTAATAAAATTGTGCTTTATTTGAGATCACATTTGATAGATATATTGGCAAATGTATTGTTGGCTATAACATGGGGTGTTTTTTTTGTTTTGTTTTGTTTTTTTGTTTTTTTTTGAGACAGAGTCTTGCTCTGTCTCCAGGCTGGAATGTAGTGGCACGATCTCAGCTCACTGCAACCTCCGCTTCCTGGATTCAAGCAATTCTCCTGCCTCAGTCCCCCAAGTAGCTGGGACTACAGGCGCACGCCACCACACCCAGCTAATTTTTGTATTTTTAGTAGAGACGGGGTTTCATGATGTTGGCCAGGATGGTCTTGATCTCTTGACCTCGTGATCCACCCGCCTCGGCCTCCCAAAGTGCTGGGATTATGGGAGTGAGCCACCACACCCGGCCTATAATGTGATTTTAAATTGAAATGATGATTTTTAAATTTAGAACTTAAATATTTTTAAAGGACAGTGGCCCAAGACAGTGATAGAGAACCTGAAACCATGTCAAATAACATTTGAAGGAACTAGAAACAACTATCCAGCGAGAAGACTTGAGGAAAGAGAGGAGGCGGAGCCACCACTTACTCCCTACCATGTATGTAGGTGTTATCCTTCCTCTGGTTGCCCTGTAGGGCAAACCAGTGTTTTTAGGCTACAAGGAGGCAGATTGGCCTGAGAGAGAACTGTGTAATGATGTATGCAGTGATGTGGTACATAATAATTTTCCAAAATTGACTTGGCAGTACCTTTCTTCTCATTAGAGGTATTTAATCAGCGCCACCCACTTGGTGGTCAAGACTTTGATGACACATTGAACTAGCTGATCCCCAAAATGCCTGTCACCTCATAATAGCACAGTCATTCATTGCTTAACGATAGGATGCATTCTGAGAAGTACGTCATTAGGCAGTCTCATCATTGTGCAAACATCATAGAGTGTACCTAATGCAAACCTAGATGGTATAGCCTACTGCACAGCTAGGCTGTATGGTATAGTCTACTGCTCCTAGGCCACAAACCTGTACAGCATATTACTCTACAAAATACTATAAGCAGTTGTAATACAGTGGGAGGTATTTGTGTATCTAAACATAGAAAAGGTACAGTAAAAATATGATGTTAGAATCTATGGGACCACCATTATATATGCAGTCTATTATCAACTGAAATGTCATTATTCAGCACATTACTTTATTTACTTCATGGAAAGTGTAAGTTTGCTTTTCATTAACCATCTACTTGATTAAAATAATGAGCTATGAAGGCCAAATAAAAAGAGGTGGCCACTTTTCCAGAGCTACTTTTGGTACCTGAGGATAATTTTATGGAATAAATATCTTTGAATTGTTCTAGCTTTTTTGAAACTTCAGCTTTAAAATATGAAAAGGCCCTTTCTTAGCAGTCCTTGTCTCAAAGAGAAAAAGAAAAATGTATTGAATGCAGACTGAGGTCAGCAAACCCCTCTGCCCTGTTTCCTTCTTCCCTCTTCTGAAGCTCAGTTGCTTTAGAAAGGAGCTTTGGAGAGAACAGGAAACAAAGTTGATGCAAGAGGCTCACTAACTCTAAGAAAACTGTTGGTGCAATCTGTAGTTGTAATGTGGGATAAGTCTTAAATAATTACTTTGAAGCTTAGAACCCCAAATTTTAAAATTTAAGGTCTAAAAATTCAGTCTTTTAAAGCAGATTTTGGTGACTAAAACCAGGAAAATGGCCCCATCCTTCACTTTTCTTCTTGTTCATTTGGTTAGCAGTAGAATTGCCACCCCCATAAACAGATAAAAGTACTGAAAAACAGGAAGCAACATCAAATAGTTTTAAATTACTTTGGGAAACTCCTGAAAGTGGGTGTAATATGTGTGGGCCTTTAAAAAAGAATCATATTTATGCATTTGATATACAGCTACTTAATTATGTCTTACAGTTCAGCCTAATGTTCATTGGTATTTTTATTTTCCTGCCTATGTTTTGGTCCTTACTTGCCGTGTATAACTACTGCTGGTTTGTCTCCCACTGGTACACCAAGTTGTTCAACTAGCTGCTGATAAACACATTACAAAGTATGTATGGAATAAAGAAACCACAAGAGATGAAAGTGTTAGGTAATTATTTTTTGTAAAAATTATGGTTTGCTTAGTTGGCCTGTAGCAAGACCCTGATGTATTTGGCTGCAGCCAAACAGAGAAATATTTGGCTAAGCTGTCTTCAGCACAGTGTTCCCAAAACAAGTGAAGGAAACCTTTGTTGTGTGAGCACCTTGATATTCTGGAAATGCCTTGCAGCCACCTCCACTTTATCATCCAGAGGGTCAGTGAATGCAACATGGGGCTTGTGTAATGCATAACTGCACATCTGCAATCTGAAGCCTTCCCAGCCCTGATCCACATGGCTCTGGACAGGTCTGGCTGTAATATTTGTAGGGCTCCAGACAAAGGCACAATTGAAGCTCATATGCTGTATGCTTAAATATTAAAATTTATGAATCAGGCTAACAAACTGGTTGTATAAAATACATTCTGTCCTTCTGCCTTGATGTAATGACCTTTCGGAAGGCCAGATTTAAATTTAGAATTATCGGTCTCCTTAGAGTTCCAAATGGGAACATGGTAGTATGGGGGAAACCAGCATACACCTACCTGCTTCCTTCTTTCCTGCTCCTTCTCCTCCCACTCCCCCAGTCCCCCATCCTACAGGGGTCTTGAAACATGCACATGGACACCCCAGCCCACATGTCCAAGATACATGCATATCTCTGTAAATAGCTGCCCTTGGCCATTCTCTCACCCTTCAGGTGGTGTAGCCCACCAAAGGGAGGAAGGACCGAGGGAAAGGGCATACACTGACCCTGGGAGCTCACTTGGAACCATTTGGGTGGGAAATTCTGGAAGAGTTTAAGGGAGAGATCATAAGGCAAGATGGGGAACAATGCCTCCCTGGCCTAACTGAAGGAGAACAGAGTCCTTCCTTGCCTGGGTCTAGGGGCTGTGCTGTCTGTGGGCATTTAAATAAAATCTGCAGCATCTCCCATTTTTTCATGACAGCAGTTCTTTCTCTTCACACAGAAACCGCTCCTGCCTCAACTCCAAGGGCCAGAGCGAGTTGGCACACCCTCCAAGAGGAGCACCTCGCTTCTGGGCACAGCAGGAGCAGCCTCACTGTTGAGGTTTCAGTAAAGTATTTTGCCTGAAGTCCTCTTGTTGGTTCAGCCTCTCCTTCAAGCTTTGTTCCTGTTCCCTCTGAACACCCCACCTCTCCACACACACCTAGATCTCTAACTTGAGACCTGGACAAAGAAACTGCTCTTTTGGGGGATACATCACTCAGCCCTAATATTTGCCTTCTCCAGAATCAGTGATCTCAATAAAATTGTGAAGGATTGTAACATCTTTTTGGAAATAATATCAGGGGACCCTTGATACCTGCGGATTTTATTTGGTGCTGATTAAGGGTCAGTATGTCCCTGTGATGCATTTGGCCCCCTCTTTGCCACTTTGTCGGTCACTGACCAGGCCACTTCACTTCTCTACACTTCATTGTCTGCATCTACAAAAAGTGAACAATAATTCATGCCTGTTTCTATTTCAAATGGATGTTTTCAGGACAAATTTGTAAATACATATATGAAGAACAATCAAAATATCCAGTCAGTCCTTTTTCCAGTAGAACTTCATTTAACTCTCCAAGAGCTTTTGTATATTACCAAGAAATAGGATTCAGACTTCCCTAAGTTGACAGAAAAGCATGAAATCTGTTTCTAACAGATGTTCCCCATGATCCCCCAAACGTAAACATGTTTTCAAGATGATAGTGAGACAACCTGTTTACACAAGGAAGTACTTTAAAAAGCAAACAAAAAAGCATCACCCAGAGCAGTCATCGTGATCAAAGTGCCGTCAATTATTAGGGCGTAAAGGGAACTGATGACTCAACTTAGCACCACCGCGGTCTCCAGATTTCAGTTTCGTAACAGAGTTTCTTTTCAGGAATATTCTTCATTTACACACAAATCCGATTTTCTTTCTAAATTGTTTCTCGATTTTTGTCAAACCGAAATACCAGGATCTCTTCAAAAGATGACTCCGATAACCAGATAATGCTGAGATGAGCATCACACGGACACACTTCGCCATGGAGAGCAGGGTTGCTACTCCCTGGGATCTTGGTGCCTGGGAGGAGGGACAAGGTCTTCCACACAGCAGCTCCTGGCTCTCTCTGCTCCCACACCTCCCCAATTAGTCAGATGCAGCATAGAAACTCTCAGACTGCATGGTGGTAGAAAATAACTTTCTAAATCAATCAAAGTGTGATATTTTGATCCTTTCACATGCCTGGGTATTCTGGGCAAATGCATGCTCAAATCAGTGACTCATGGATCAAGATGCAAAGTAGGTCTCTGAATGCTGGCTAGAAATCAGTTTTTGAACCTGAAGCAAAATATAGTCTGGTAAAAAAAAAAAAAAAAAAAAAATATATATATATATATATATATATGTATTGTGTCAAATTTAGCAGTTTTTGTGCAAGGTAACTACCACTGCCCCTCAAAGTATTGTATATTAGGAGTCAGCCCTGAGTTGGAAAGAAGAAGTAGGTTAGCAGAGGTGTCTACATAAAAGCCCATAAGAAGTCCTAACTGAATGGAAGGTCCTTTTATTTTTATTATTATTATTATTATTATTATTATTATTATTATTATTATTATTATTTGAAATGGAGTTTCGCTCTTGTTGCCCAGGCCAGAGTGCAATGGCGCAATCTCGGCTCACTGTAACCTCTGCCTCCTCGGTTCAAGTGATTCTCCTGCCTCGTCCTCCCGAGTAGCTGGGATTACAGGCACCCGCCATCATGCCCAGCTAATTGTTTGTATTTTTAGTAGAGACAGGGTTTCACCATGTTGGCCAGGCTGGTCTTGAACTCCTGACCTCAAGTGATCCACCAGCCTTGGCCTCCCAAAGTGCTGGGATTACAGGCATGAGTCACCACGCCCAGCCCAGGAGGGCACTTTTTGAAAGGTTCATTCAAAACTCCTTTAGAATGTGGTTTTTCATTGAAACAAACCCTTTAGATTCCCTTTGAGAATGGCGAGGCCAGACCCTGTGGCATCCTCAATGAATGATACCCCTTTAAACAGACTTTAGGGATAGGCTGGAAACCTGACCTCTTTTTATAATACCACTTCTATGGAAAATAGATTCGTGTCTCACCATGTATCCTGGAGTCCCAGGAACTTTTCAAATCATTATATGGGCTGTCAGCAGCAGTAGGAATGCCACCAAGACCATAACCCAAAAGCAGGATCATTACCCAATGCCACAGGAAGGGGACAAATAATAGTATGAGCTCCTTATATTTATAGTGAAGTTTTAAGTCATGGGTTTTTGTGCCAGGATATTCCTGTGATTCAGAATACTTAAAAATACTTGACTGCAATTCATTAGAAGAAAAAATAAACCACACACGAAAAAACCTATTAGAATGAATAATAAGATCATCAGTTTTGCAGGATGAAAGTTCAGTCTACAAAAATCAATTTCTGTACCCTAGCAAGAAAAATGAAATTACAAAAACAATTCCATTTACATAGCATCAAAAATAATTAAATATTCAGGAATAAATTTAAGAAAAGAAGTGCAAGACTTGAACACTGAAAATTACAGAATACTATAGAAAGAAATTAAGGAAACATAAATAAATGGAAAGACATCCAATGTTCATAGATCAGAAGACTTGTTAAGATGGCAAAACTATCCAAACCTATATAGTCAACACAATCCCTATCAAAATTGCAGCATTTTTGCAGAAATTGACAGGCTGATTTTAAAATTCATATGGAAATGCAAGGGACCCAGAATAGCTAAAACAATCTTGCAAAAGAGGAACAAAATTGGAGGACTCACACTTCCTTTTTTCAAAACATCCTATAAGATAGTGTAGTCTTGAATACAGTACACGTATGCTCAAAGTTTTCAACAAGGGTTCCAGAACAATTTGATGAGGAAAGAACAGTCTTTTCAACATATAGTGCCAGGACAACAGGATATTCACACACAGAAGAATGAACTTGGACTTATACCTTACACCATATACAAAAATTAACTCAAAATGGATCACAAAAATAAATGCAAGCAAAAATTCTAAAACTCTTAGAAGAAAATATAGGGATACATTTTTGTGACCTTGCGTTAGGCAGTGGATTCTTAGATATAACACCACAAGTACAAAAGACAAAAGAAAAATTAGATAAATGGGACTTCATAAAATTAAAAACTTCATGCTTAAAGGAAACCATTAAGAAAGTGAAAAGATGGTCCACAGATGGGAGAAAATACTTACAAATCATGTATCTGACAAAGGATGTGTATCCAGAATATATAAAGAATTCTTACAGCTCAATGCTCAAAAGACAACCCAGACAAGTAATGGACAACTAAAATATGCATTTCTCAGAAAAAGATATACAAATGGCCAGTAAGTGAATGAAAAGATGTTCAGCATCATTGGTCATTAGGGAAATGCAAATCAAAATTATAGTGAGTTACCACTTTACCCCCACTAGGATGGTTAAAGTCTAAAAGACAGTAATAAGTGTTGGTGAGGATGTGGAGAAATTGGAACCCTTATACATTGCTGGTGGGATTGTCCTGCTACAGCCATTTTGGAAAACAGTTCCTCAAAATGTTAAATACAGAGTTACCATTTGTCCCAGTATATTAGTTAGGGTTCTGCAGAGAATAGAACCAATAGAGGGTGTGTGTGTGTGTGTGTGTGTCTGTGTGTGTGTGTGTGTGTGTGTGTCTGTGTGTGTGTGTGTAGAGAGAGAGAGGAAAGGGACAGATTTATTTTAAAGAATTGGCTTACATGATTGAGGAGACTAGCAAGTTCAAAATTTGCAGGGTAGGCCAGCAGGCTGTAGACCCAGAGAAGCATCGATGTTGCAGTTAGAGTCCAAAGGGAGTCTGCTGTCAGTATTCCTTCTTCCTGGGAGAGGTCAGCCTTTTTTCTTAAGGCCTTCAACTGATTGGATGAGGCCCACCTCATGAAGAGTAATCTGCTTTATTCAAAGACTACTGATGTAAATGTTAATCTCATCTAAAAAACACCTTTGTAACGACACCCAAACATGTTTGACCACAAGTCTTGGTATGGTGACTTAGCCAAATTAACACATAAAATTAACCATCCTACCTAGCGATTTCACTTCCAGGTATATATCCAAGTAAATTGAAAACATGTCCAAATATGTCTAACCATACAAAAATGTTCTTGGCAGCATTATTCATAATAGCTAAAATGTGGAAACAATCCAAATATCCATCAACTGATATAAATGGATAAACAGGATGTGGTAGATGAATATAATTGATTATTATGCAGCCATAAAAAGGGATGAAATATTGACATTTGCTACATCAAGTGTGAACCCTGAAAATATGGTAAAGTGAAAGAAGCTAGACACAAAAGGCCTCATAATAGATGATTCCATTTATACAAAATGTGTAGAATAGGAAAATCCACAGAGACAGAAAGTAGATTGGTGGTTGCCAAGGGTTGAAGGGGAAAGGAAATGAAGAGTAACTACTATGGGTGTAGGTTTTCTTTTTTGGATGATGGAAATGTTCTGATATTAGATAGTGGTGATGGTCGCACAACTCTGTGAATATACTAAAAAACATTGAATTGTATATTTTAAAGGTGTGAATTGTATGATATGCTGATTATATCTCAATAAACCTGTTAAAAAATGCCTAAGCCTCCAAACGTAAGTGGTCCTGGCCACCTAATAGAAAGCAGCAGGAGTTGCTTCTAAAATATAGAATGTATGCTGAATCCCATATGTGAAGAGTTAGAAGGGAATGAAATGATCATCACCATTTACTAGATACCTTCTGTGTTTCAGAAGCTGTGAACATATCAGCTCTCTTAGTCTTCCTTAAAAAACAAAAACAAAAAACATAGCCAGTTTTAAGGGCACACACCTGTAGTCCCAGCTACTCAGGAGGCTGAGGCCGGAGGATCGCTTGAGCCCAAGAGTTCGAGGATGCAGTGAGCTATGATCACGCCACTGTACTCCAGCCTGGGTGACAGAGCAAGACCCTGTCTAAAAAAAATAAAACAAAAGCATATGTTGGCTTTAATCTTCCTTGTTTGTTCACATCAGGAAACTGAGCCTTTGTTCAAATTGCTTGGCCAAAGTCAGCTATGTTGGGACTAGACCTGGGTCTCTCTGACTTTAGGCTTATTCCTAATTCACTGCCCCACACTTCTCCTGGAGGAGAAACCCTGTCCCGAACTGAACAGAGAGTGGCACGACCTGCCACTTAGAGAGGTGGGCAAAGTCTTCCCAAGAACAAAGGTATGAAGGCTGAAGTATGCTTTTGGAGAAAAAACAAAGGAATTAAGTGCAAACGGGAGGCCGTTGCTTTTATGATAAAGAAAAAAAAAACAGGTTTAATTTTTAAAACAAAAGTTCCACAAGGACCACAAGGAAAGTGACAGGAAGACAGAAGGGACCACAGGATCCAAGATTGCCAATTGAAAAGCAAAACCTAACACTGGGGTAGAGCCAGCATGTCATGGACCAGTAAGAGAAATGAACGTTCCCAGAGTAGCCAGCTGAATTGGGGAGAGGCCTAGCCGTGTTGACAGTCAGTTGGACCAGAAGCCACGTAGGGGTGTTCCGGAAGCTGAAACAAGTCGTTTCTCATCCAGAGACAAAAGTGGCCCCAGAAGAAGTTACCCTGGATGCTCCATGGATCAGGATCCAGTACAGGGGCTTGTAGACAAAGAGAAGTACTGGAGTTCTTTTACAAGAGATTTTAACCTGAGGTTTATGGATTCTTAGGGGGCCTACATCGTCTTCAAAGGGTCCTTGAGCTCTTGCTATCATGTGGAAATGTTTTGTGTCTATGCGTCTGGTTCTGGGGAGAGAGTCTTCAGGTTTTTAAAGAATCTATGTCAGGAAGAAGATATTTAAAAGTTATTTAAATGTTTCTCTTAAAGCGCTAGGCTAATTTTCTGGCTGTGTGATAGATTGTGTTAAATGGTCTGGCACTCCTAATTTTTGGAATAAAAATGAATTCTTAGTGAATGATCTCACAGCCTGCAGTGCTGTCTGATTCTGTCCTGGCATTTGATAGAACTTGTTAGGGGATTAGGTAAGACAGGATGTTGGTACATTTGAGGTCATTAAACCAAGAAGGGAAGGGTGGGGGTTGCGGGGGGGGCAAAGAAATCTTGCTAAATATATTGTGGAGCTGAACTAAATGCTGAATAGCTAAGGGACATTCTTTGTGTTCTGTGCCAAGACTTTAAAACCCTGTTTAGAAACAGACTAGAATGATGGAGACAGCTCCATCTAGATGCAGTGCATTGGTAAATGCCTGTCTTTCCAAGAAATACTATTTTACTTGTCCTTTTATGGAGGAGGCGTGGAAGGCTGTGATGTACTGGGTTGTATAACATTTTTGTAAGCGGATACAGCTAGTATAGAACCTAGAGAAACAATAAAAGCCGCCTTTTCACATGGTGTCTCACAGTTCCCGTTTCATTACTAGGAAAATAATGAATATGTCACAGAGAAGCTAATTCGTATGAAAGGTTTTTGTCAGCTGAAATGCATGCCCAAAAGTTTATTTTCTACCTGTCTTTTCTTTCTACTTCTTTTTTGTTTCCTTCACTCTTGTTTTGGATGTATAGTTTTAGAAAATACTCACTTTAAAAATGTATTGGATGGATAGTGGTGAAGGCTGTACAACGAAACAAATGTACTTGGTGCCACTGAACCGTATACTTAAAAATGATTAAAGTGGTAAATTGTACGTTTTGGATATTTTACCATAATTTTTAAAAAGTATATCGGCTAATACAGAAGGAAAACCCACTTACCCTTTGAGGCAAGAATTCCAAGTATCTTTATGTGGTAAATGCCACACCCTTTCCCACACGTGGTATGAATATGTAAGTCGTAGGGCAAAGTGTGTATGGGGTAGAAGTGCTCATTTAAGCATTGCATGGTCCCCACTCTGCCACTCACTGGCTATGGGACCTGGGACCCTATATCCCAAAGCAGATGTTAAGCCCTCCACAAATGCTGCCTTCTTCCTCCTCGGTCCATTACTCACATGTTGGTTTTTCAACAGTACAGTGAGACAGTGGGACTCAGTGATCTCCAAGGTCCCTTTCAGCTCTGCTGATCCATAGTTTAAACTCACTATTTTTAAAAAAAATCTATAGAACACTATGAAAATTCTCGTGGACAGATGTAGTCCACGGGCTTCCCATGTGGACACACAGCAGCTTTTGCTGCTTCTGACTTTCTCTCTCCTCTGTTCCACATTCTTTCTCTTCCCCAGCCTGCCAAGAGTCATCCATGAGCTTGGACCTGGGAAGAGAGGGCAGACAGGAGAAAGAAGTGAGGTGGCTCAGGACAGAAGGCTGGGAAAGAGCCTGGTGCTGGATGTCAGGCTGGACTAGGGATGCATGCAACAAGCCAGGAGTCAGCCCTGACAGTGCCACATGGTTATGGGTGTGATGGAACCCAAGGCCGTGGCCCCAGATTATCTGAAGGGTATGTGACCACAGGAGAAGTAAGCACGATTGATTTTTATACGAGGTGGATGGTGGTGGGAATGTAGAGATTAGATCCAGGGAGAGAAGCTGAGCTCATCGTGTGAGGAAGAGCCTCTGTTGGGGAAGAAGAGGCTATGTCAGGAGGTGCAGCAGGAGAAGAGGGCCAAGGGCCAAGTGCAGGTGTATGCTCAGTCTCCAGGCAGGGTTCAAGCTGAGAGCAGATGAACTCTGGCCTAGGACTCGAGGGCTGGCAAAGGCAGATCCCCAGGGCAATGTCTCTCCTCTGGTTCCTCTATGTGTACCTGTCACTGTACTCTGCAAACACTGATCTTCATTCATGTATTGGTGTAGCCATTCATTCAAGTTTGTGCCAGGCACTATTCCAAGTGTCAGGTATCAATGGTTAGCAAGAGAAGCTAGGTCCCTGCTGCTGTGGGTCTTACATGGACCAAGAGAGAAGATAGGTAATTATACAGTAAATAAACATGTGGATTTTGGTTATCCCTTGATGGAAACAAGCAGGGCAATGCCTAGCTGTTTGGGAGAGGACAGAGCACATTAAGGACAGTGTCTCTGCAAGTGACATATTTGAACTAGACCTAGTGAAGGAGAAGTAACCAGCATGGCTAAGGGTTGTGGGAGGGAATTCTAGGCAGAGAGAGAAGCAGGTGGCAAGGCCAGGCAAGGGCTTTGCATAGTCAAGGGACAGAAACGACACTGAAATATATAACAAGTAAGAAATTATGCTTCATGAACTATAACCATTTTAGCACTAAAACTCTTCATACAAATAGTTAAATTGCTGTGGGACCTGCAGCCTTGTCAGTTTACTTTCATGTTTTACTGGTGGCACATGGGAAAGTGGTCATGTTTCCTTCGCAGAAGAAGGATGTAGTCTCCCCACATTGTAGAGGAAGGCAGTGTTGTACAGGAAAGGAGGTAGCCTTGACAGGCCAGCTTGGATTCAGATTGCATGTTGTCCTGTCTCCAGCAGTATGACCTTAAGCAAAACACGTTGCCTCTCTGAGTCAGGGTTCTCTCATGTACCAGAGAGGCTAATAATTCCTGTAAAATTTCTAGCACAGTTCCTAGCAAATAGATATTTTCAGTAAATGGAGATGATGAAGGCGGCAGTGGTGGTGGTGGTGGAGATGATGATGATGATGATGGTGATGGTGATGATGTATCAATACAGGCTAGTATTCCAATTTTTATGTATAAAGTCTGCAGAAATCCAAGAATTATTTCAAATTATGTACTTTCAACACATTTCTATCACACTTTTTATTTTTCTGGCTTGTTAGTGGCAAGTAGTTCTGCCTGCACCATCCTTTTATGATAGAAGTGAAAATCTGATAACCTCTTTGTTGTATTTGGGAACTTAAACACCTTGAATGTCAAATAAGTGAATTTTCTAGCTTTGGTTCTTCAGCTAGAGTCCCAGAACCTGAAATGTTGAAGTGGAAACTTTCAGAGCTGTTTAATCTCAATTAATGTTCGCCATCCTGTCTGAAATAACTGCATCTCCCTCCCCACTTCTTTCTCTGTTGCAGCAAAAAAGCCCACTTTCTTTCATCACCTTTCCATGCCAGTAGAATAAAACACAAAAGCCACAAGATCTGTGGTTCAAAGGGGTTCTGCCTTATACAAGTGTCTGTTTAAATTCTGTTTGAAAGATAAGAGTTTAAAAAAAAAAAAAACTTCATCTCTGAATTTCCAAAAAATTAACAATTAACATCAATTGACCTCTTTCCTTTTGAACCCCTTCAGCCATAAAATGGCGTGCGACTACTCCACTTAGTGTTTCTGAATATAAATAAGGATTTCAGGGCCACTCTCAAGATGTTTGTTACCAAAGCTGTCATCAGATTTTCAGTAATATTTTTATATAGCCTGGAACCAGCTGAACGTTTGAGATTTGACCTTTTTAAAAAGAAGATAATGGTATCTAAATGCAATTTGTATTTTTAGAACTAAGTTTTGAAGTCTTATTTTGTTTTCTAACCATTGTATTAAATTGTCTTTCTACTCAATCCAGAGGGGAAAAAAGTGTGTGTGTGTGTGTGTATAGTTGTGGAAGAGTCACTTATTAGCCCTAAAAATCAAAAGTCTGACTTAGGGCAGGGGAACCAGAAGTGGCATGGTGAAGCTCGAAAGATTGGCTGACTGGTGTCATTCCCATTGAGATGCTGAACATGATCCCCTTGGGATGCTGAGCAAAATCAGATTGTTTTATTTGGTAAATTTTTTACCTCCAGTGATAATATTAATACAATGGAGAGAATTAGCTTAAAAATTCTGTATCCCAACATGCAGTGTCCCGTCCTTGAAGTTTAGGCAAACCTGGATTCAGTTCAAACCTGAATATCATGTTTTGTGTTTTTTCTGTCACTCCAGATCCCAATAAGGTAGGAAGAGGTGATTAGGATAGGAGAGAATTGACAACAGGAGGACATTGAGAGCAACACTGGAAATCAGATCATTAAACCACTTTTGTGTTTCTTAGAAATTATGTTCTTGGTATTAGATTTGTAATGTAAATAGAAATATTTTCACCTGTAGTTTCCTGGGGACAGGCAAATGGGGCTTTCCTCATCAAATCCCATTAAAGCCACTAAGAAAATCCTAGCTAAGAGTTGAGTTGGGATAAAGAATTCAATCAGCCTTACTTATACAAAAAGTACCTTCTAGAAAACCTGATCATTTCACAACTAATTGGTAAGAACACTCCCTTGCCCACCATTTGCAGCTGGAGACCCACTTGTACTTTTTCTACGGCTGTTGCTGTAATTGAATACCATTTACTTTTCTTAGCTTCAGAATGCGGTTCCTCGGACTTTTCTTTTTAAGTAAGGTTAAGATTATGCAAGAGGTAGTTACCTACAGATAATTTCCCATATCTGGGATATGTTACTTTACTTGTAAGAGAATGAATAGTAACCATTCAGATACCTCTTTTTAAACTTTCCCCCAACTTCTCTAACAGTAAATACGAAGAAATGAAAAAGCAGTGCTTTCATGCTTAGTGTAGCATTACCATATCTCCTCACCCACCTTTTCCTAAGAGCAGTCTGGTGAGCTACTTCAAGATTTTGTGAGGTCTTCGGAAATCAATCTAGCCGCAAAATGCCACAAGGCAGGAAGTGTCCATGGTACTCTTATTCACCATTGTTCTGAGACACCTAAACATGGCCCAGCACCTAGGAGAAGGGCAGTGAATACCTATTGAAGGACTATATTGGGTATTGTCCTGTGGGCTTCTGGAGTCTGAAATAGGTCCAAGAAAACTAATATGTGAAGCCACCTAGGGCTGCACTGTCCAATCAGCTAACCACTAACAATATGTGGCTATTTAAATTTCAGTTGATTTAAATTGACTAAAGTTAAAAATTCAGTTCCTCACTCTCACTAGGTACTTTTCAAGTGCTCAGTATCCTCATGTGGCTGCCATATTGGACAGCAGAGATATTGAATATTTCCATCATTACAGAAAGTTGTGTTAAACAGTGTTAGTAGAATAGCATTAGTAGAGGCCTAAGTTAGTGTCTTTTTAAAGTCAAATTCCCATGTGACCCTGATGTGCACTCATAATACCAAAAAGAGCCCTCTTACACATCTCCCCCCATGCTGTAGGAACTTAGCCAAGCAAGGTGGTTGGCCCTCAGTGGTGGCCGTCTCTTTGAGACTGATAGACAAACAACAGTAAAACTGTTAGCAAGACTGACAGCTGGTATATACTTACTTGGCTATACCAGTTGTTAAAGTTATAAAATACCTGTACCAGTTAATAAAGACCTGCTGTCCTAAGTTTCTTCGGTATTTCTTTCCAATGCCCAAGACACCCTGGCCATTCCTTTAGGATTCCACCAACCTCCCCTCAGTCCAGCAAAATGAGTTAGTTAATGTCTGTCTCATCTCTGGGAGTTGGGGGCTGCTCAAGGACTCTGCGCCAGCACTGCAGGCCTCAGATTGATGGATGCTACCTTTGGCCTCATGGTTCCTTGGCCTCCAGGAGGGATTACTTCCTAAGGCACTCCCATCACTACCATGGCCACGTCCTACATCACAGATCCATTGGCTTCCAAAAGACCTTACAGTCATTTCATCCAACCCCCTTGTTTTACTGAAGAAATCAAGTCCCAGAGAGTCAGGCAGCTAGTTCGTAGCCAATTTAGAAATAAAACTCAGATCTTCTAACTTAGTACTTTTTTTGTTACATCTTCTTGTGTTCTTTTCCAAACTATGAAATGGCGATTAATATCTTTATGCCTCACAAAGTTGTTTAGTTTAAAAAAAAGATACCTAATATTTTATGTATGTCTTATAATCTGCAAAAAAAATTCTGTATACATTCTCATGTGATCCCCACAAGAACCTGTGAGAGGTAGTAGGCTCCGAGGCAGTGAGTGGGGTGCCCAGCATAACAAAGCTACTGTGAGTGGGAAAGTCTGTATCTCTGTGGCTTGGAAAACTATAAACTCTTTTGTAAATGTAAGATAATATACCATGTGGCATTACTTGCTTTTAGCTTGCGGTGTTTTGCAGTTCAGGATTTAGTGACATTGAAAGTAATAACTTTGTTCAAGTGCAAGTGATGCAATGTGTGTGTGTGTATATATATATATATATATATATATTTTTTTTTTTTACTTTGACAGTGTGCCAATTGCACAGACTTTGGTTCAGCATTGAAACAGAAGTGGGTTGCTTCGAAGTATATTTTTAAAATGAGAGAATCCAAATTTGTAATTAGCTTTGCAATGATAGTTGTACAGTTTGAGTATCCAAGGAGTGTCTGGTAATCGTTTGCGTTATTAATGGTGGTTTGTTTTTTGTATTTCCCCTGAAGCAGTTAGGCCCTTTGGAAAAAACAAAGTATACTCTTTGAGGGTTTATTTCTTCTATTACCATTTTATTTTTCACTCCCTGTAGCTCTGGTCTGCTTAGAAACTTAGGCATATACCTGAATGTGGCAAAGAAAAATCATTTATAAGCTATTCTATCTGCGTTGACACCTAATTATCAGGAAAATGATGCTTAAATTATGAAGTAAAGCCACAGTGAAGGAAATGGTCCACTTCTCTTTGGTCTTTTGATCATTTTGATAGAAACAATCCTTATTTTTAGATAAGATTGTTGGGAAAGATCAATTTAAATCACTCCCAAAATAGGATTGAAATTTTTTGCACCCCCCACTCCTCAAACCATAACCATCTTATAGTATTAGTGGGTGCAGAAATTTGAGTTTATACATAAGTGAAAGAGTGAGGTTATTTCATTTAATATAACAAACAAACGTCACTTCAGTTTGCTTTTATTAGCATATGAAAATTGTGGCATTCTCTATACCAGTTATCCTGTAAGGTTAAATATACATAAAGGGGAAAGAGAAAGAGAGATTATTAGAAAAAGCTATAAATCTAAAAGAACCTGGGGCTGTAAGACCTGCTTTAGCATTCCTAATTCGTAGCCACATTTGGGAAGAATGTGTTTGTATGTTTCTTTTTTCAAGTGTGTATTTTATCTGTGTCTTCATGTCTTTCTCCATGTATAACCTGTTTTGTGTTATATAACACTCTTACCTCACACTTCTCTATTGTGCTCAAAGAGCTATAGCCTTCCCCGTGTCAATATAGGACTTTCAAAGGGTTTACTATTGTCTAGAATTTTCTTAGACTTTCTCTGCTTCGTTTAGATGCTATAGATGGTACTGACCAAAGAGTGGAAAGATCAAGCTTGTGATATATAGCTAGGCAATGAGTCAACATAGTAATGAGACACTAGGCTTGAATACATCTTTGGAATTCTGAAGCCCAAATTCCTACAAACTTATTGGGGAATAAGGAGGACCAATGAGTGGGCACATACTTTCAAACTTGCCAGCCACCAGTTTTGTTACCAATGCACTTGGCGTTAAATGAGATAATACATACAAGGACCTGGCATTGGAGTGGACACACTGTAATCATGCATAAGGGTTAGCCATTATTATTAGCTATTCTGATTTGATTTTGTCTTTGCATCTTTTTCTGCTTTTTGATGCCATCCTGAGGAAGAGCAAAATGTCCAAGAAATAGGAAAACCCCAGAAGGAAGGAAAATACAAGGCCTCACTACTCTAGAAGATGAATTATCAACCCACAAATAATCAGTGGTTTTTCTTCTCACGATATTATGGGAATTATTTCTGAATTCTCTCACATGCTTTTCCATGTGGAGACCCCATGGACAAGTCACAGCTCCCCCACTGTCCACATCTAACTCAGTCTGGCCTAATGAGGGTCATTTGATGGTAAACTAAAATTAACTCCATTTCTCTCTTGCTATGTCAAAAACAGCAAGCTGTTCACTATCTTCTGTGTAAGGAAAACAAAAATAAAATATCTTACATTTGATCATCATTGATTAGAATTTTGTTAAGTTGCGTGAGGAGCAAGTGTATTTTTCTCTGTCTGTGATAAGGTTCATAATTAACCAGGCATTCATGCTGCTGAAAAAAAATATAAATTGGTGCAATCTTTCTAGAAAATCAAGACTCTCAAAGTTTATGCCCTTTCATGCAATAATTCCTTTTCTGGGAACCTGCGTAAGAAAATGTTCAGAAATTCAAGACAATCTGATATTCAGAAATATCCCCTAAAGTGTTATTTACAATAACAAAGAAAAAAACAATCTGCAACTCCAAAAATGAGGGAAATAAATACATAAGATGTATTTCTATGGGGTATAATACACATGAACATTCAAAAGCATGTTTTGAATAATTTTTAATAACTTGGGGAAATACTCATATTCATATAACTCACATTTTATTTCAGAATTGAATGAAAAAGTAGAAGCAATACTTTGAGTATGTGCATGTATCTGAAAAGAATACTGGCCCACAATCCCTTATCTCTAATTCTAAATCTAAAAGTTTTCAGAAATCAAAAGGGGTTTTGTTTTGTTCTATTTTTAGTAACTTCTTTGGTAGGAAAACCTGGCCTGAACAAATGTGAGGCTCTATTTTACCCCCACTTAATAAGAATATGCATCTATTTTTGTGCACAAATATTTAATGTTTAATATTTAATATTATAGGGTGCTGCTCCATACTCTCACAAGATACTAATGTAATAAATGGTAGCTGCATCTCTAAAATCCAAAAATTCTGAATTCTGAAATATATCTGGCCCCAAGAGTTTCGGTGAAGGAGTTTCAGACCCATACAACAAAACATCATTAGTGATTTATCGGTGTCAAGGTTACCATTGATCTTTATTTTTTTCTTTATTTTTCTGTATGTTTCAAATGTTCTACAATAAGCATGTATTAAGTTATCTGAAAAAATAAATATTAATTTTAAAACGAAACACATTTGAGGCATCAGGGAATCATCTCATTTCGGTCAGAATTCTTAAATCATTTGCTTCCCAAATCTCTTCTATTTACAATGGCCACATGTGTCTTTTAAACCAAGGTGTTCTGATTTGCTGACAGAAAACGTGAGATGAAATATAGAAGGTGATAACTTACTGGACATGGACCTATCTCCTAGGCTGCATTTGGATTCAGGAGAGCCCCTCGTGAGGGCTGCTCACCTAAAGGAGATACCTCAAGGAATAGGGCTTCTAGTAGGCAGAGCCCAGGCGTTTCTACCACGGGCTATGGTGTCTTATTCTGTTCATGAGGATTGGTCAAGAGGCCGACAGCCAGAGACACAGACAGTTGTGTGAGATCATAACAAGCAGAACGGAGTATGGCGAGATAGCAGGAGAGAGGGGGAAACATTCACATGCATACTTTCATCTGCTAATGGACAACTTTTCCTTCCCAATTAGGTGGACACTCACTGACCTGTCACAAGGTTGCCCCACAAAACTTTGGGGTCCATGTCTGAATGGATTGCCAGAGCCTTCTCATCTCTCCCTTCGCCCAGTTCCCTGCATCCTAAGACTCGAAGGCAGCACAGGACCTGGAAAAATTACATGTAAGTTTTGACCAGGGTTTATTTTCCTTAATTAAACAATGATAAATATTTTCTTAGGTGATAGTAACAAATAGCCCAAGCACACATGAATTACTTTTTTTTTTTAACAAAGGAGCTGGAGAGTTATCATTGAGCAAAGGTTGGAATCTGTATATTGGTGGTTCCTTAACTCAGTGGCTCTTAAATTTCAGCTTGAATCAGAATCACCTGGAGGGCTTGTTGAAGTACAGCTTGCTGGGCCTCAAGCTCAGATTTCTGATTCAGTAGATTTGGTACAGGCTAGGAATTTGCTTTTCTAAGAAGTTTCCAAGTGAGGCTGATGCAGCTGGTCCAGGGACCCCAATTTGAGAATCACTGCTTTAACTCATGTGCTTGAAATAATGAAAAAGGTAGAAAACTGTATATACTTGAGTAATAAATAGCATTAAATTAAGAAATTTAATGCTTTGCTTAATACACTGACTTATGTCTCAGAAAAGAGTTTTAAGGTTCACTTAGCACCTTCACATTTGGAAGTCCAGCCCAGTTGATGCCATTATTCTGTGCCAGCTTTACCCCAGAGCTGCTAGTACCAGCCATTCTTTGCCCCTGGTTTTCAACAAGTGTGACTAATAGTGCTGTTATTAGGCTAAAACAACAGCTACAGTCCTTTTGCAGGTGTGCTCATCATGCTTTTAGACACACTCAAAAGAGAAAATCTTTTTTCCCCTGAGTTGGGAAATACATTGTTCCCTTTCAGAGTGAGTCATCATAGCATTATCCCTCCCCTCACACACTTAAATGTGATTTGATTTACAAAACACATGTGGGACAGAAAGGCAAACATCACATGTTCTCACTTACTCATGGGATCTAAAAGTCAAAACACTTGAACTCCTGGACATAGAGAGTAGGAGGGATAGCTACCATAGGCCAGGAAGGGTAGTGGGGGTTGGGGGCAGGGCATGGAGGTGGGATAGTTAATAGGTACAAAAAAAAAAAAATAGAAAGAATGAATATGGCCCACTATTTGATAGTACAGTAGAGTGACTATAGTCAATAATAACTTACATTTTATAGTAAAATGTGTAATTGGATTGTTTGTAACTCAAAGGATAAATGCTTGAGGGGGTGGATACCCCATTCTCCATGACGTGCTCATTTCATATTGCATGCCTGTATCAAAACATCTCATGTACTCCACAAATATACACACCTACTGTATACCCACAAAAGTTAAAAATAAAAAAAAAACACACACATGGGAAGGGAAGCACACCTCCAATGAGTAACTCAAGCCAGCAAGTCCAGGTTTTGTGAGATTCTAAGTTCTCAAGACTGAAAAACTTTGTGAATCATCATGTTGTGGTGTTAGCTTTCGAACAGGCCCGTTGCCTAACTGCTGAGGACAAGAACAATTTATTCCACGTTAATAGAAAAAAGTAGAAGAGTTTGACTAAACAAATGTACATTTGGACACATGTAAGCATACATACAAATGTACATGTGTACCTGTGAATAGATATATGCATTGTATATTTCTGAGCTTTGACTGTAGGAATTTGAAACAGCATTTTTTCTTTTGTTTCATTGAGTCGATGTGAGTGTAAAAATAGTATGAGTGATACTGTCCAGGAAACATTTGAGAAATTTCTGGGCATTTTAAATCTGTGGATAAGCACTGTGATTTATAACATTTTACTTGGATATGGTAGATGTTATCATTCAGAGTAGCACTTAGGATTTACAGTTCTCTTATTATAACTCTCTGGAGTTGAGAATAATCACTGTTAATAAAGCAATTGCCAAGCAAAGAAAGAACATATGTATTGCCTCAACATTAATAGAGTCAAAAATCCTGGAGATAGACTTAAATGTACAGTAGGTATATGTTAAAATGTTTAAAATAAAACCCCCAATATCAGAAAAATAAGACAAAAACCAGTAAGTGTTAAAAGTGATCTATAATGGAATTAACCCAGAGGTGCCTTCTGGGGGCTGCCCAAAGGGTAACAGGGCTGGGATTAGGGCTGATAGAGTTGTGAGTGATGTAATTATTATTACTCCACCCTCAAAAATATACCATCTCCAACAAGCACTAGTTTATTCTGCACTGCATTCCTGGAAGGAAGGTTATCAGTTTATGAGACATCTTCACCATAAAGTGAAAGAAGGAGGTTGGATCAAATGCCCCTTAGCGCCCTCTCCTGCTCTGCCACTCCGCAGATCTCCACGTTTACACATCCAGTGTTCCTGTGGGATGACCTTTGCTGTCAGTCAGTTTCCTGTCTACAGGTCAGGAAGGAAAGAAGTTGTCATGACTCCTTAGGTGAATCATGGCTTCAGGCTCCTGCTGGATCTGGCAGGACCTGCCTGGATCACTCCCCATGTCTTTGGACGAGCGTTCAGTCACCGAGTGAGTAGGGTGCCTATAAAACTGAATCTTGTGGGGCAGAGGGCGACAGGGGGCATGTGGGAAACTTCTGTACTTTCTGGTCAGTTTTACTGTGAACCTAAAACTGCTCTTTATGATAAAGTGCATATATTTAAAAAATTAAATACTAAACAGTACGACAGTTCCTCAAAAAAAATTAAACAGGATTACCAAGTGATCCAGCAATTCCACTTCTGGGTATATACCAAAAAAAGTGAAAGTAGGGAATTGAGCAGATAGATGTGTGTACAACCATGTTCATAGCAGCATTATTCACAGTAGCCAGAGGTGGATGCAACCCAGGTGTCCATCTACAGGTGAATGGATAAACAAAATGTGGTGTATATTAATACATACAATGGAATATTATTCAGCCTTTAAAAAGATGAAATTCTGACACATGCTAACGACATGGAGGAACCCTGAAGATGCTAAGTGAAATAATCCAGACACAAAAAGGCAAATATTAAATATCTCATTTATATGAGATACCTAGAACTGTCAGATTTACAGAGTCAGAAAGTAGAATGGTGGTTGCCAGGGGATGGGAGGATGGAAAAATTGAAAGTTGTTGTTCAATGGATATTAAGTATCAGTTTGGGAAGATTGGAGAGTTCCGGAGATGAATGATGATGACAGTTGCACAACAATGTGAATGTATTTAATGCCACCGAAATGCACACTTAAAATGGGTAAAATGGTAAATTTTATGTTGTATATATTTTACATAATTTTTTAAAGCTTTCCTCCTAAGAGTGCTGTGCAGAATCACTAGCTAGTGCTTGATAGGGATGCTGCAGTTTGTGAGGGTGCAGGAAGAACAGATCATTATGTCTCTCACACCTCCCTCATTCCTGTTACCCTTTGGGCAGCCTTTAGAAGCCAACAAAGGTAAGGGATCCACTGAATGGTATATACTTCAGTCCCAGGAATGAGTTTCCTATCAGAGTAAAGACACAGTTGTCAGAAGCCATCAAGGGAATTTGCCTTAAACAACTGTGGTCTCTACTAAAATGCCATTTACACATCTAGAAGACCTGCTTCACTGGGGCGAAGGAAAGCGTGAGCCACCCATGCTCCAGCAGTGGGGCTGCTCCAGTTCCTCCAGATGGGTGTTTGTAAACCAGTCCATGCACAGAGCACAGAGAGAGTCCCAGAGCTGTGTGCCTCACTGTGGCTTCTGAAAGGTCTTAATCAGCGGAGGTGGACATGGAGGCAGGAACCAGGGAATGCAGACTTCCCGTAGATTCCAGCGCAGTAGAAAATGAAAGCTGTGAGAGGAAATCCACAGCAGATAGTTCTCCCGCTGTAGGGCCTATGATTATTATGATGCCTGTTTTACATTCTCCAAGTGAAGCAAGATTTATCCCCCATCACCAAATCTCTGTACTTATGGGTATTATTGTACCCGTAAGTCACAGACAGGTTAGTGAGTGGCCGGTAGTCCTGTGAGGAACACACAGGATGGAACTCACTAGGTTAGTCCATTGTACCCTACTTTTTTTGGCTTTTGTGTTTTATTCTACATTTCTAGAAATTTGGCTTTGAAGAACAATCAACAGTTTTATGGGGCCCAGTAGCCATACTTTATTCAGGTCGTCTTCACTACCTTTACCCTCTACCCCTAGGGCTGACCAGGGGTTAGAATTCCTGAAGAGTCATCTATAAGGATCCATGGTTTCAAAAAGTTCACAAACTGCTATCCTAAATTATCCTACTATCTCCTTAAGATACCAGTATATATATAGTCTGTTACAGAGGCCCTATAGCAGAACCATTATATATAATTTTGCTTAAGGAAAAGGTGTAACTGAAAAGAGGTAAAATGAATTTGTTAAAGTACAATATATATAAATTAGTCCACTCATTCTCACGCCAGACTTTCCAAACCTGCTTAGAAAGAAACTCTTCATGATTTTCACTTAGGTATTGGAAAACAGGGCAAAGGAAAAGAGGTTTCTGAGTCAGTTGCTATGGGGAGCCGCTGAGATACCAAAAAAAAAAAAAAACTGGAATTAAAGATTTTTGTAGAGGAGAAAATTCAGGTCAGCAAGTCTAAGGGAGAGGAAAGTAAGGGCTTATTCATCTTTGACATCCACCCTAAGCTTGAGTTGAAAGGGCATGGATATGGAATCTAATCAAAATAAATTCCCCCCCCATGAGTTCATAGACCAGAATTTTTAGATAGACACACTGACACATTTTCCACAGAGAAGAGCATCAAACCAGCAGTCACCGAGACAAAATGACATAAAGTAGAGAAGACCAACAAAGACAGACCCTAGTGGGATCTCCTTGTGTCCTTGTCTCATCATTCGCAGGAATCAGATGTGCCTGGTTCCAGACATTGAATTTGTGTTTACTGACGGTTTTGCTACCTGGAACCCAACTAGCCAGAACCCTGAATTAGCTAACCTTCATACTTCCCCACCCCCTCCCCTTCCCTCCCACACACCCCACCCTACCGCACACACCACACTTCCCTTTTTCAGCGATGAAGAAAACAAGATAGCTTTGGTTTTGAGTAAAGGTGGGGTGTAAACCCTGGAGGATACTTGTAGCTGATGACATTGACCTGCTGAATCATTGAGAATGGTTAGATGTTTTATAAAGAGGAAAAGAAACTGCTTTGGAAAAACTTCAACAAAAAGCATTTTGTAGTTGTCAATTAACCAGAAAATCAAAATAATAAAAAATATTCTTGTCCTCAAATAGTCTAATTAACTGAGGTTTTAGTATACCTATTTCCATGCTTTAATAATAATCTAAAAATTTTGACTGAGGACAGAACAATATACCATTCATTTTTATCCTTCTCGAGAAACTGCAAGTTTTGGCTTTTACCACCTTTCCAGTGCCAGAGGTTAAATGTTGAATGTTCTGTTTATGTTAAGCACTCTAAAAGTTGTGATATTACTGGTTTTAAAACTAATATATGAAATCATTTTATGAACCTATGTATTTAGCTCCTATAGTCATTGGGAACCAACGGCATACTTTTGAAGCCAATTCTGTTTCTTTTTAAAAAATAAAAAGAACCTATGATATGATTATTTGTAATATTCCATTTCAGATTCAGATTATGTTCTGCTCAAGAGATCATCAAAATTAATTTTCATTCTCTGCTAATGGTACAGAGAGGAGTGATGTTACCAGCATGGTTGTAAACATTAATATATAAATCAAAAATTTCAAAAGATAATTCTCTGAGTCGTGAGTCTCCAAATAATCTATGTTTTATTATAAAGCTGCCTGCCCAGTGACATCAGTTGTAGTACAAATTGTTTATCAATTTATTCTAATAGTTTCCAATCTGTTGATTTTTAAGAAATGGTTTGTGTGCTCTTTTTTGGATGCACCTGTCACTAGTGAAATGATGCCTCTCTGTGAGCCCAGATTTAACCCAGGGCATTGCAGCATGTTTTTCCAAGGATGTCCCATTAGCTAGATCTTGTAAGAGTGTGTGCCTGCAGCCTTGTGGCAGCTGGAAGTTGCACAGACTGTGCGTCATGAGGAGGAAAAGCACTTCTGCTCTTCTGCCCCAGAACAGTATTTACAAAGCTTTGCAGGATAGCAAGATTTTTAGAGTCCTTGCGGTGCTTAATTAGAAGCTATAATCTGTTATTTCTAGCATGTTTTTCCTGTATTCTGTGCCTTACTTGTCATCAGTTCAGTTCAGATTAGTATGCTGGGTCCTTGATTTCTTGACAGAAAGTGTCAGAAACTTATTGATGAAGTGTTCTTGATTTCTAGACAGAACCACAATCAGAAAATAATTGTTTCCTTTTATCTGAACAGAAGTAGCTTTGTTTTCCTTATTATCAAAGTGATACATGTATTCTACATAATTTATAAAATAGCAGAAAATTGAATAAAGGTAGAGATAAATTACCTATAATCTGGCTGCCCAAATATAACCTACCTGTTAACTCATACTTTTATGTATTTTTCCAGACTTTTTTCAAGAAACTAATTAACTAATTCCAAATTTACAAGCAGTGCTCTAGACTGATTACATCCTACAAGCTGGTGGCACTTAGGAATGATGCCTTTAAGTGTCATCTTATAGGACAGTGATCTCCTTGTTACTTTTTTTTTCTTCCTTCTAATTATATTAATCAGCTCTTATAAGAACAGATAGCTGTGTGGACTCACTAGTATCTTTATCAGGTGGAAATTCCTGTCAACCAGTATTTTCATTTCTACCTTCTGTCAGTCAAAATGATAGTGAGTGGCCCTGTAAGATCCTAGTGGGCCTCTGGAATCATAAAGGAAGATTCAGTTATGTACAAGATGGCTTTGGTGTTAGGTCAACTGATTGTGTTCTGATTATTTAGAAATTAGTAATCACTGTACTATAAGGCAATTTGGCAGAAATGGGAAAGGTTGAGTTAGCCAGATCTTCCCATTCCGCATTCACAATCCAAACAATATGAACTCCAATCAAATTCTGATTTTATAATTTTGGTAACAAAATTTCATTCAAATATATGCCTTCTTGTGCTGTGAACAGAGTTTTCCTTTAACTTTGCATCCTTTATCCCCCTTTAAAGATGCATCTCTTCCGATTGCTGTGGTGTGATTTTATAGCTCCTTGAGTTGTGCTGGTATCTCTGTGCTTCCCTTTGGAGAGTACTAGGCCTTCAGGTTAGGATGAATCCTAACACTTGGCCAAGGTTAGGAAGGGCTTTGAGCACTGAAAGAAAACCAAGGTAAAATTTAAGGAATTGTTAGAAGATTCATCTGAGAAATGTAGAATTGTAATCCACAAACTTTATGTCCGTAGAATAGGAAGTATTTAGTAAGCAGCTAGCTGCTAGAAGGGATTTTGTTTGTTTAAAAAAAAAAGAAAAAGTCTGTCTTTGACATTGGTTATATCTAGGTTTTATCATCCCGTGTAAAGGATTCTTAAGTTCCTTGAAAGCAGTGACTTTGAGAGCATCCCTTCATGTCCTCTGTGTCCTTGTATGTAATAGGAACTCAGTGTATATTGGATTAATATTTCTGTGGCTCTTCAGTGACAGATGAATGAATGTGCTCAATTCAGGTAACTACATTTGACCTTTTTCCTACAGCAATTGAAGGGTGTTTGGGTAGCATCTGCGATTGTGTTGAATGCCCTGGTTGGTTACGGGTGTGGGGAAGTGGTATACAGTACTTTGATCCTCCTTTGGAGAAGGAGATGCTAATGTGGATAATGAGAATTTGGTTCTTTATCTTTAGTTTCGATTTGGCCGCCTTCCTTCACTGAGTCACAGTGCTCACTTGTTTAGTGATGGGCATGTCATTTAAGCCTGAGACTGTCCCTCAGACTGTTTATGACATTGGATCTGAATTTCCCATTAGATGAACAGCCAGCATTTGTCATATAAATTCAAGAACACACTAAAAGTTTGTTGGCTTTGTAGTTGACATTGAGATTAACTTTCTCTAACCTAAACCAGTGAAAACTAAAATGCTCCTCACCACATAAAAGTTTTGCTTTCGCTGCGTTCAGACCCCTCCTACCTTGTCACAGCACAGTCATTTGGAGTCTGATTTGGGGGCGGTGTGGTTGTCTCAGTGGCGTATGACCCACTTTGTGTAATACTTAATTGCCTGTGTTTTTACAACACAAGTCAGAAGTTCTGGCGATAGTGGACTATCACCCAAAAAAGATTTTCTGAGACATCTCATCAGAGCTGCTCGAGTACCGCGCATGAAGACGGTGTTAGCTCTGCAGGGCATGTGCTAACTACCAGACGATGAAAGAACATTTCCTCTAGTTTCTGGATAATGAGCAGGCACACAGGTAAAGATGCCTTTCTCAGGGTTGACGCCTTTTGTTTCCTAATGATTCTGATGATTTTGTTGAACTAGACTTTTAAATATTAATTGTTACCTGCATATGTTTGCTGTTGTGGTTTGCAGAGGGCTCAGAGGAACAAGCATTTTAATTGGTATCCTGGGACTGTAATAACTTTTTATTAAAAGTCTGGAAAGATAGTAATCAAAAATAGACTCTCATCTCTATCTTCTCTGTGCCCCTGGCAAATATCCTCTTCATCAATTTTGTTTTTATTATTTGCCGTCAAGATGGTTATCTCTAAATATCAGATGCTTCAATCCACAGTGATAACCATGTGTGAATTAATGCTTGATAAGCTTCAGGTTATCAGGTGGAGAAGTGTGGTTAAGGCATACAGAAAGAAAAAATGCACAGAAGGAAAGGGATAGCAAGGGGATACTGTGCCTTGGTAAGCGTGGTGCCACCGCAGACTAAAAGCAGATATAAGTCAAGTGCTACTGACTTAAGTTTGGCAAAATCACTCCTCACAGCCCGCTCTGTTTTAGAAATGTTTATATTTCTGATATCACTTTTGTTAATTTGAAGAACTTTTAAAATACCATCATTGTTTCAAAACAAAATGTGGAAGGTGTGGATCACCTTCCTGAATTTACAGAAAAGTTTTTGGGTACATTTCTTTGCGGAAGATTGGCTGAGATGTGGTTCACGGCAGGGTGGTGCCCGTGCCTTGCGGATCACGTTGTCTGTACACTGACTGACATACCAACTTAGAGTCTTTGAAAATGCCCATTGGTAAGTCAACATTGTTTTCCCTGAAAGTCCTGAGACAGAAAAAAAAAAAAAATGAAAGTACAAACACTAACTGGAAAAAATGTCACACATTTTAGCCACTTTGCATCCCTTGTTAGGACAAACCCTGGTCTGGGTTTTTTTACATTTTGAAGTTGTGTGGTAGGTGGGGCAGTGTGGGTGGCCCAGAAAAAGTAGCGGTTAGAATAAGATTTTCCATTTATTGCCCTTTGTGCATGGCTAAAAATAAGAGTCATACAAATCAGAATATGTAGTGCAAGCAAAATCACTCTGTTAATTCTGATGACTGGTTTGCCCACATCTTTGCATCTGTCTGGTAAGTGGTATATTGGGAAATAATTTGTCTCTGTTTAAATAGCAAAAGGCAACCAAGTTTTTGCGTTGTGTGTCTACACATGATAGTTTATCAGCACTTTTCTCTTCCGAAGGAAGAAAGATCCAACTCATACATAAACAAATTGTGTTGATGGAAGGAAGAAAGAAGCGTGAAACCCTTGAATCTTTTTTAAAAAGGAATTGCCTTATTTGAAATGCAGTTTTACAACATCCATCTTCTTGGCTTATTGTTAGAAAGTTATTTCTTGTAAACTCATAGCACAGCAAGGAAAGGATATCTTAATGGTGTTGCCCTAGAGATTGGAAAACTTTTTGTGTGTTTGGTTGGAGGAGGGAGAAGGGACAAGGATGAGCACACGCCTGCCCTGTAGTATCTTCTGTAGACACAGATGTTGGAGGGACAGTTAACCAAGTAAAAACTCCCCTGCATCTGGCTGCTGAGTCGAATGCAACCACAGTAAGTGATAACGTGTCCGTTTGTGGCTAGAAGAAACACCAAAGAGAGGCGGCGCCAGCATTCACAGGGAAATTTGTGCCTTCGCAATCCCATTGATGGTGCTGTCCCATTCCACTGACTGAGTGGTTGTGGCATTTCCAAAGAATGAGAATGTCTGCAAGTGTTCTGAGCCTTTCAGTCTGATGAGCTTTGTAAAATGGATGAGTCAAGAGGGCAGTTCCAGAAGATTCTGAAAAATGAAGACTGCAAATCACATTTTTCTTTGGCATCCCCAACTGTGGCAGACAGTGTGGCACAGTGGTTACAATGAGTTGAGAGCTTTAGGAGGAAAAAAAGACTCCGGATCAAATCTTAGCTTAGCTACTTGTTGACCTTGATCTGTTAACCTCTCCTAGGCCTGGGTGTCTTTATTTGAAAATGGGAACAGAAGTAGTACTGCCTGCCTGAATGAGAGGGTGGTTGTGGGGATTCAGTGAGATGACGTACATAAAGCACAAAGCCAGCACTCCACAAAATGATGTTGGTGTTATCGTCATTTGTGCAGTTGCATCATAAAATGTGTTGGAGAATTTGAGAGCATTTGGGAGTTCTCCTCTATTCTTGGAGTACAAATTTTGGAATTAAATGGACAAAAGATCAGCCTCTGGTTCAGTGTTTCAGAAGAATACAGGCATTTATAGAGTGGTTTGCTTCTTCTTAGGTTACTAATGCCAACTGGGGGATTGTTGTTTTTTTTATTTTGCTGTTAAGTTAGCACAATGTAAGCCTCTCTTTCCTTTTAAGATTAGTGCTGTGTTGAGCATATTCAGTAATTTTTACCTTCTCCCTGTTTTTTATTTAAACATGGATGTTCAGTTCTAACATCTGTGCATGTTAATTGTAGTACCTGCTGGTGTACGTTATGAAAGAGAGTGCTAATGTTGTAATCAAGTAAGGCTAAAAAAATATTTCAGGTGGAAATGGGCAAAACTTCAGGAGCAATAGCTTCCATGGTGGTGTAATTCCCCACAGAAAATATTGCATCTGTTATAATTCTGGTTACTGAACAATCTGACAGATTGACCAGATGCTGACAGGTAGAAAACAATTGCTGTTGCTTTTATTTTTATTTTTTATGCTTTGCAAGTTATTTTCTGTTTAATACAATGTATACCTGTCCTTCTAGAGTCCTTTTCCACCCACCAAAGTTTTGCATTATAAAGTGTATTGTGTATTTCACAGTACAAAGTCATAATTGTGGACATAACTTTTTTGTTAGCCTTCAGGATTAGATGCTGAGACTTCAAATCAGTCTCCCTTTAACCTCCTCCAGGACTTTCCTAGAATGCTGTTTCTTCATTTATCAAAGTTAAAGAGAAGTTATGACTGTATCTTAACTTTGCCTCACCTGAGACCTGACAAGAAGTGATGAATTAAACCTATAAGCTAAGGAATTAAAATACAGGACAGATATAAAACAGTGGTGGCTTAGTTTTCTTAATTGTTGTATTTTGCTGGGTTGTTTTTCAATCCTCTTCAAATTTTCCTTTTCTTAGTCTGTCCTACCATCCCTGTCCCAGATACAACTTGTGACTTATAATTTATATATTAGTATTCTCATCAGATTTTTGGTTTTTGTGTTAGGAACCATCAGTCTGGAATAAAGACATTTCTCAGGTCAACTCTGCCAGGGAAATCTGTCTTGTATTAAAATGATACCCGCTTCTCCAGTGTCTCCAGACAATGCTGCTTTCTCCACTTTTCTCTGTTAACGAAATGGAAGAATGCTTTTCAGGCCGAGCAAATCATTCTAGGTGACTTTCAAAGTTCCTGGCATTGCAGATACAGCTTCTGTTCCCTGTACACACTCATATATTCCCCATTATCTTCGCCGTCCCTCTTGCCCTTTGCCATAGACCGAAGTTTCTGTAAAAATAATAGGTGAGAGAAGGTGATAAATTAGACTCTGGCTGTGATTCCCTCCCACGCTTTCATAAGGAATGACAGATTCTGAAATGCATCCTGTGGATACACTGTGTGCTCCTTCCTGCAAAACTGCCAGTTTTAACTTATCCTTCATGTGCAGTTTGAGGGTACTGGCCAGGCGGGGCTCATTATTCCTTTGGTTGAATAGTGTAAAGTATTTGCAATGGAGATTTTCTCTAATGATGTATTTTAAGTGCATGTCCGCATTGCTGGTTTAATGCACTCAGTCACAGAATGCTTTAAAGTTTATTGCTAATGGATGAATCCTCCGGAAAACGGGAATTTTCAACAAGATTGACATTTGGAGTGTGAAATATAAATCTAATGAGAGTATTTTAACCCAGGTTTGTAATTAGGGCTGAGTGGAGTGAATGTGTACGTGCACACCAGAGAAGGGCACGGAGGAAGGTGAAATTGCATGCTCTCCTCTGAATGAGGGATGAAGGCGGATGGATCAGTGTCAGGCCACGACACGGTGGAGTATAAATGATACTGTCACCAAGTACTGCACAGGGTACCGAGGGAATTCCACTCTAGTAAATTACATTACTTAGACAGACCTGAAGGCATTGTGTCGGAACAAGCAAAGGGAAAGGGGGCTGTTGGCACCATGCAGAAGATATTACAGTACAACTAGCTTCAGGGATGGAATTCACTAGTTTCCATTATACCTGCCTATTTTGTATTCTCCTTCGCTAATTAGTTTACAGAAAGTTACAAATGTGTACATGTGAAAGAACATCATGTGTGCTTGGAGTATGGGTTACCATGGACCATAAGGGAATAAGTATTAGTCAATTTGTATGAATTGGTCAGAGTGAGATTCTTTTTCTTTTATTCACAGCTGGGTGATATTAGGTGTTCAGTAAAAGCTTGCCCTTGTTTTATTTTCTTTTTGTGAGAATCTGACATGCATTATGAAGATTTAATCCTCATTCGCTCGGTAACATAATGCATTTCTTTTCCACCCTTCCTTTACGTGTCTTTAAATCTCACCTATCACTGGTCTCCCCTCATCACCTTCCATCCCTAAGGGAAACAGATTGTATTGTCACATAACATTTCATTTTGTGAAAGAACTCAAAGTTAACAAAGGTGATTCCTAGAGTGGGACTTGTAGAGAAAAATCATTTTTTTCGCTTCTTCTATTTTCTTTTATCCCTCTGCAGCAAAGTGAGGCCAGCCTTTTTGGGTTTATCTGTCTCTTACCATCTCTGGATCGTCTCTTACCATCATCTAGATCATTGCAGATGTGCCAGTCACCATTTTCCAGTTTGACTTCAAATGCTCATTCTTGAAAAAGCCAATACCAGGTGCTCTGGAATTAGTCACAGTCATTTTTTAACTAAAAAGCAAGTGTCTTCTCCTGAATGGATAGAGATCCTGAAACAATATCCATCCTTTCTTAAGTATATGTCATATTTTGTCCTTGGTGAAAGAAACCTGAGAAGTATCTCTGATCAGTTAACAGAGAGAATACATAAGATTCTGAAAAATGTCTCCATAAGGCTTCCAAATGGCAGGTTTTCTGAAACAGGGTCACAAGTAGATTGCAGTTACGATAATAATATCTTGGATTTGACTTTTTTTCTTTCCAAAATAATACTCTGTTGGGGTCAGGGTATCGTAATTTATTTTGTAGCCATAGTTAACAGTCTTATTTTATTCATCCAATCATAAAATAGTAAAGCCAACACACTTGGAAAGCCAGGTTTGAGTGTGGACAGGAGAAGCCTTGGTTAAAAAGAAGATACATCTATTTTATGCCGGGTACCTCCACCTTAAAAACGCTTTTAGTTTATGATTCTAAAATAATATCTAAGTGTAAAAGGCATCATGTAAAATGTTTTTGTGCCATATATCATCCTCAGCATAGAAAGGCTGTGCTTACAGACTTTGCTTTATTCACTGAAGTCCTACAAAAGTCAGGGACTCTGAGTTGTGTGAGAAATGAGGGTCTCTCCCTACATAAACTCACTAAAATCTTTCCTTTTTGTATTCTGTTTACTTTAATGGTAGTATGTGCCTTATATCTTATATGTTCTTTTCGTCCATGACATGCACTGGGAAATAACATTTTGTTGTTTGCCACAACATTACACCTGTGACTTCTTTCTTTCTCCTGTCCTCTTGATGCAGCATGCTGTCAAACTGTATCTTTTGAGTTGTTCTAAATTGAATCCTGGTCAAAGGGATTTAACAACATCTAAAACGGAACTAGCTTAGATTCTCTTCCATTCTGTAGAGGTTCCTTTGTTCCTGCTTACCTACCCATGTCTGTCTGTATTCTATTCTTTTTCTTAGATTAAAATTGGAAAGGGAGAAAGGGGGAGCTCCTTAGGAGAAATAGGTCTGTGGAGAATTGTGAGTACTCATTCAGAAGCTATTCTTAGTTCTAAGGAATATAATGAACTTGAGCTTTGAGTCCTACTGAATCTCCCATTAATGATCCCGCCATCGCTTCCACCTCCCATCTGATTATGTTCTCCCCAAAGGCTACTGATATTTTTCCCCTAATATTCTGAATGGAGTCTCTTCCAAGGAAAGCATATCTCGAAAGGAATTGAGCCCTACTGCAGTAATAGTGTACTGGATGATTCTTAATTATTCTATTAAGTACTTCTGTTTTTGCATTACCATAATGTCTGCTGTAGCGGAAACTTTTCTGTAGACCTTGACTTGTCAGAAGTCAACCCCTTAATGTGAGCACTTCACTTACATTATCATTATGGTGTTTCCAACTGACAACTGCTGCCACACTGCCATCGTCCCTGAGTTCCCAGCGCTTCAGTAAAAGAGACTTTTGTTCTGGCTTGTTGAGGGGAAAAATGCAAACAACAACACTAGCTCTACCACCAGAGATCCTATAAAGACATGTTCAAATGAACAATAAAGTCATTTGTTCACATATGACATAAGGCTATAAGAATTTAAACAATAAGACCTCTTGTGAAATGTGGCAAAATATGCACCACAAACATTGTGAAGTTCTCTGTCTTGTGGAAGGCAGTTTTTACATGGGCTTCAAAAAACCATTAACTTATAAACTACCCTTTTAAAAAAGAAAAGAAAATCACTTGTCTCACTATAACATTAAAGCAATTTCTGTTCTAAGGAAAGCTTAAATGCATTCATTTATACAAAGTGCATGCACTATAATTTATAAAAAGCACAGTATTCTATCAGGAAATGCGGCACCTCTTCCCTCCTTCACCTGAAATGGGAAATTCCTCCGTTTTTGTCAAGTCCCTTTTTTCTTTGAGTAATATTGATTTCTTCAAAATGAAAGAAAAAAATCCTTTAAATCACTTAGATTCAAGACGAAGTTTTAAGGCTTGATAATAATTCTCTAAATACTTCTGACATGGGTGGAGCATGGAGAGGGAATAATCCTGCTCTGAAGGGAAATTTTAATTGAATTTGCTTTAATGTGAACCCTATCCTTTTTTGCTTTGAACCTTTAAGGAAAACTTGTTATATTTTCAGACCTCAGCAAGGCAGAAAAATGCAGAGATTTCCTTGTCCGCTCATGTCAGGGTGTCTGGCAGCACCTTAAAATTGTTCCGATTTTGATGTTTGAAATGTGACCTCCCAGGAAAAGTGGGAGGAGAGGAGAGCATGTGTTAACTGGCCAAAGGTGTTTCATTGAGCTGACTTAGTATTAACCTCTAAAGGTTTTCAAGTATTTGCAGATGGATATGTACAGCATCCTTGCAGAATTCTCTTAATTGAAGAAATGTTTCATCTCGATCTCTGTTGACAGAAAAGATTGCCTACTGATAATTGCTTTCCTTAAGTGTCTGATAATATGCCAGGAATGAGAGCATTCTGTGTTAGGTCATCTTTAATTATGCATGTACCACCTGTCAGCTCTAAATCAGTACCAGATTAGATTCTCGCAGAGTCAGTTTGGGGAGGTTCAGAGGGAAAGCTGAGGTGATCTCTTTTAGAAACAACAAAAATAGACAGTAGTAAACATGCCTTCTAACCTGAAGCTTTTTAAAGGAGCCTCATCTTCATTGTTCTCGAGCAAGAATACGCCATTGGTACATCTGAAAAACGTTTGAAACCTCGCCCAAGCGGGGATAACTTACTGCGAAGATGGATGACTGTGAGCGAGGATGGTAGTACCTCCTCCCTCAGTACCATCTGTTGCATTTCCTTTTTGCTCCTTCTCATCGTTGTAAATGAGCCAGGGAAAAGCTCAGAAACATTTTTATAAGCTATGTGAGGACAGGAAATATGTTAACGATGTTAGATTTCATACATTTCAGGGGTTTTTTCAGTAGCGGGTTGGTTTTTTTTAGAAGGACAAGTGTGGGTTGGAAATAATGCTTGTTACCCTCTGTCAGCTTTTGGTAGTTTTATTCTCACTTTTCAGGGTTGTTTGGGACTTTCTGGTGGGATGTTTAGGGTTCTTTACTGAAGGCTCTGTTCTCTCTTCTTCTATCCCTTGATAGAATGGATTTGTGAAAGGTGTTTTTCTTTGTTCACCTGTCAGAGGCCTAAGAAAAGCCTTGAGTCATTGTGCACTTTTCACAGAGGCGGGGTTGGATGACTGAGAAGCTAAAGGCAGAGAAGGGACAGGTAAAAAAATAACAGATGCGTGAATTATCATGTGGAGGGTTTCTCGAGCTTTGACCTGCAAAGGTGAGGCTCTGAGCCTGTCTGCTAACCAACCTGAGAAAACTGCCTTGATAAGAGTTTGTGACTAACAGCCTTAGAAATAGTTTGGAAATCCTAAAATATCTCATTTCAACACTGCTGGCTGGAGGCATTGAAGGGAAAAACAGATCAGCTCATAATGGGGCAAAGACCCTGGAGCACTGTGGTCCAGCCTGTGGCCCTGAGTGACCTTTGGCTGCCTTTTGATACTTAGGGTACCATTTGCTTTTCTAACCTAATCAAACAGTTCACTCAAGTAGAGGCACAACCTCCAAAACTACTTATTATAGTAACATTGCCAGTGCTTTGGCTATTTGATGCTCACTTAATACAGTAAACAAGTTGAAGAACTTTCAACTCCATGCAACAGATACTTCTTAAAACAGGAGAACATAGTACAATTAACCCTTAAACAACACAGGTTTGAAGTGCGTGGGTCCACATATACGTGGATTTTTTTCTCGATAGAAGTTACACTGAGTGTACCTGCCTCTTCTGCCTCCCTTCCACCTCCTCCACCCCTTCTGCCTCTGCCACCCCTGAGACAGCAAGACCAATCCCTCTTCTTCCTCCTCCTCAGTCTGCTCAATGTGAATACCGTGAGGATGAAGCCCTTTATGATGATCCACTCTCACTTAGGAAATGTATTTTCTCTTATGATTTTCTTAATAACATTTTGTTTTTTCCAGCTCACTTTATTGCAGGTATATAATACATATAACATACAAAATATGTGTTAATGGACTATTTATGTTATCAGTGAGGCTTTCAGCCAACAGCCGGCTATTAAGTTTTGGAAGAGTCAGAAGTGATATGTAGATTTTCGACTGCGTCGGGGATCGGCGCCCCAACCCCTGTGTTATGCAAGGGTCTTCCCAAGCCTTAACTGAAAAGAACATCCGAAAGTGAAGCTAAGTCAGAGAAAGGCTGAAGAAAGGAATTGAAAAGAGAAGCAATGGGGAAGAAAAGGCTGTACTGCCATGTTCTCTCACACCAGCTCATCTTTGTAAAATCTTTTCCATCTGCCTGGAAAGACCTTCCACTCTCTCCACCTGGTTTACTCTCACTTTGAGTTGTTCTTCAAGTGTCATCTCCAAGAAGGCTTCTTTGTTCCTTTCTGGCAAAATTTGCTGTCCCTCCTCTGTGATGCCATAGCCCACTGGCTGCCTCCTTCGCAGAACTTATTATGCTGTACTGCAAGAGCTTGGTGACTTAGCTTTCTCCTCCACAAAGTGGCTGCTGAAAAAGTTAACATTATCCTAACTGTGACAAAAGAGGTCTCATGCCCACAGAAGGAAGAGTCATGATTTCATTAGACTCTGCAGTACTTAGATCACATTAGGAGTATTATACCAGTACATTTGAAAAGGAACATAAACTGGACGTGGTGGCTCTTGCCTGTAATTCCAATGCTTTGGGCAGCCAAGACGGTGGGATTGCTTGAGACCAGGAGTTGGAGGCTGCAGTGAGCTATGATCATGTCATTGCACTGCAGCATGGGTGACAGAGCAAGACTCTGACTTCCCCCCAAAAAAACAAACAAAAAACAAAGGAAAGAAAAGGAAAACAAACAAACTTGAGTGCTTTATGAACACAGCATGAGGAATGGAGAGGGTGTCAGAGACTGTCTTGTAACCAGTGGTTGAAGGAACAGAGAAAGGTTAGCCTGGAGAAGAGAAAAACAAGGGGAGACACAAAAGCTGCATTTAGATATCTGAAAGACATTTGTTATTCTAGCAAAAGCAGAACTAAAAGAAATTATAGAGAAAGAGATTTGGGCTCAAAACAAGAATTTTCTTCCAGATACAGCTAGCCCACAGTGGAACCTGTGGCTTCATTTAGTAACAGTGAACCTCTGCTACTGGAATGAGAGTCATTGTCTTTTTAGGCTATGTTTGGGGGCTGCTGTAGACAAGACTGCTGCACTGTGTGGGAGCACGAACCAGATAGCCCTAAGATTTTAAAGAATCAGAGTCCTCACTCCATGCAGAATTACAGTCAGGAGGACCGTGGGACATCAACCCCAACCGCCATGCTGTGTCTGCTTGGCCTGGTACTCAGCACTCATCTGGCCACAGGCTACAGGATAAAGCTGAGGATGGGGTGAAAAGAAGGGAACCAGCTACTTCCTCAAGGAGGCTGTTTAGTGAAACAGAAGGAGCACTGGATCAAGTCCCAGTCCATGTGCTTCCTGGTCTCTTGCTAGCTGTGCGAGTGGCTCCCTCAAAGCCTGCATTTCTTGCCATGCAAAATGGAAATGATATTGTTCACTTCACAGAATTGCCTGAGGTTTAAGGAAGATGAAGGAGTCCTTTGTGGATGGCAGTGTGCTGTCCGTAGGTGGGTGCTTGTCCAGAACCCCTGCTCCTTGACCAACAACCTCTAAACTCAGTTTTGTCACCAGTACAATGGACATAATTTCCTTCCTTGCAGGTGGCTTTGAACTGGATGATTAAATAAAATGTTATATATAAAAGCCCCCAGCAGAGTAACTGCCACAATGATCGTGTTGTCAGCCTCATTCCACCCTCTGGAGCTGAGGAAGACAGGAGAGGAGTGTCCTTTCTCACCCACCTCTGCCAGTCAAGTTCTCCGAAGGTTCTCTTTTACCTGCCCCCAGACCTGACCTCATGCTCACATTCCTCTCCTGCTTCCCTGTCACCTTAGCATGGAGTCTTCTTCTCTGCTTTTTCTTCTTCCTTCCTCCTCTGCTTCCATCTTTTCCTAAAACTCTTTTCTTCTTTATCTCCTACTAATTTCCCTAATCGCCTTCTTGTCTGCATTCTGTAAAGGATTGTTCTAATGAATACAAAGTTTAGAATAATATTCTCCATAACTTCCTTGTTCAAAACAAGATGTTATGTGTAGCATTTTGGGGAGGGAGTGGTGAGTCCTTTTCCATTTTCCTCTGAATTTGCTTAAAGTCTTTTTTTCTACGTTAACATTTTCCCATTCTTGCATCCCTTGGGCTTGTAGTCATTAACTTGCCAGACACACAGCAACTGATTGTCTTTATGACGTTGCTAAAGTTAGGAGAGTGTCATTCACAGGGAACTTAACCCATATATTAACTCAGACATAGCAAATTGCTAAATACGTGCCTTTAAATAAAGAGCTTCAGAATGCCAATTTGATTCTCTTGTTCACATCCTCTCTCATTGAAAGGGGGTTGCTGAAACAGAAAAAGCAACGGGAAGGGGAGGATAAATTTCAACTGTTTTACTGAGTCAGAAATTGGAACACTGCCATCCGGATACAGGCATCTCATCCATCCTTCCATCCATCCACTCAGTGTTCAGGAACCAAGTCCTTGTCTCAGACCCAGCAGCGGACTGTGGGGCAGATACTGAAGTGAATGATAGGATCCCGTCTTCAGGCTTCCTCCCATCCTAGTCTGCTACTCAAGCATCAGGAACTGTGGCTCATTCATCTGTGGATGCCCAGGAATCCTTATGAGATCTAGTTCAGTAAATGTGGGAGTAACAGTAAAAGCAGAAAGACAGAGGGAAGCAAAGAAGGAAGGAAGGCAAAATAATCAAAGGAAGAAAGGAAATTGTATTTTACTTAGTGCCGGGGTGTAAACTGGTACATGCTGTAAGTGTGATGTAATGATTACGGCGCGAATCCAGGGGAGCATTGCTGCATGTGGAAATTTGAATACAGTTTACAGGAAAACGATGCTAATTATCCTTGTCCATATAAAAGTCAGAACAGAAGCCACACACTCTCCAGGTGCATCCCTTAGAACATGTTGAATTTCTTCTGGTTTTTCTCCCACTCAGCTATGTTGCTTTTTACTTAGCAGAATAACTTTACCGCTCCAGTCATTTCTAATTTTTAGGTCAGAAAACTGAATTTCTTCCCTTCCAAGAAAACAAAAAAAAAAAACAACAACAACCTGTTTCTCCCCACCTTTTATGGAGCATGGTGTTTCTCTGGGAGCCACTGACTACTGGAAAGAGCATGGCTCTTGACTCTTGGGTCAGCTTATGACTCACCAGCAGCCCTGGGCCTCAGCGTCTCCATGGGAGGTACAGGAAGAGAAATGCTTGCCTTGTGTACACCCCCGCATTGTCCTGACATTCACATGAGAAGAGACATATGCAAAAGCACTTTGAAAACCAAGGTGCTAACTATGTAAGGACTTTTATTGTAAAATATAAAGACCTTTGAGGACAGGGATTTTCTGATTCATCACTACTGTACTCAGTGGTGCCTGAGATGAGCTTACAAATTAGGTCTTCCTAAATGGTTGCTTGAGTGAATATATTCTGTACCATGTCATGTTTAATTTCAATCTCAAAATCAATACCACAATTTTTTAAAAGCTCTGAACTTAATTCCATAATGGGATGTTTGATACTTTCACAATAAGTATCTTTTAACTCTGGAGGAAAAAATACAAAGAAATGCTGACTTCAATTCTACAACATAATTAGAATAAGTGCAGTGATTTTGTTTATGCTTTGGGTGTAAACTGAATGCACAGAGATCTCAAGGAACCTCAGAAATATTTGTTATATTCACTGATATATCCCCATTGCCTAGAACTATGCCCAACATGGAATGGGTGCTTAATAAATATTTGTTGAGTGAATGAATGAGTTTAATAAACATTGAGCATCTAGTATATGTCAAGTCCTGTGGTATACTCTGGGGACTAGCTACAATGATAAATACACTGTGACCACACTGCATGCATAGTCTTTTAGAAAGAACGTGTGTGTTTGGTGACACTCCCTGGCCTGGGGAGAAGCAACCATGTCTTGTGCACAGCCGATTACCACCATTTAGAAGTGTTGAGCACATAACAAACAAAGCTCAATGGCAGCTTAACTGAATGAACCAATGAGTCAACCAGTCAGTCTATGTTCTCATTTCATAGTGAACTTCACCTCCACCCTCTCCTTCCCGACCTTCACTGTTTCCCAATGTGGCCAGCTCGTCCTCTGCATCCTCTCTCACATGCCCTCTCCTGCCGTTGCTGTGGCCAATCCCTGGAAGGGGCATGCCTCACCTTGTTCCTGCCCTCCTTGCATGAGTGTCTCCTGCCTCCACACCACTCACAGTGCCACCTGGGGTTTGATCGTGTCACTGGCCCACTCAGGATCCTTCAGCAGCACCTCACTACTTACTGCGTAACATCCCAGCTCCCCTTCCTGGCATTCAAGCCACTCTGCTGTCTGACCCTAACCTGCTTCCCAGCCTCACCTTCCACCTTGCAACAGCCAAACTAAATTCCACCACACTCCACAAGAGGGGCTCCGTCTTTTATCTCTGTTCCCTTCCACAGAACGTTTTCTTTTCCTGGAACGACCTTCCCCTTCCCCTACTTGTCAAAATCGTCCTCATTTTTTGCCACCAGACCACATGCTATTCTCACTCTCAAATCCAAAGTGACTGTCCCAGCCAAAAGTGATTTTTCTTTCTCTGCCCTATTACAGCACTCAGATTATACCATTCATGTGTTCCCTATTACATGTTGCTTTTATTGTAATTGTGAATCATACGAGTGCCTGCTCTATTCAGGGACTGTGCTATGCACGTCACCCATCCTTTCTATAATTCTCAACCAGCCTGCAAGATGAATACCATCATCAGTGGTGTTCATGGTCTGTCCAACATCGCACAGCTAATAAGAATGGAGCCCGGCTCTAAGGCTGTGTGTGTCACTGCAAACCTTGTGCCCTGCCCATTCTAGCAGTTGCCTCACTCACAATTCCTGGTTGTCTTGTGCTTCTCCATGAGTATAGTGGTGGCCTTGACCTTATGTATCTTGGTTCCAAATGTAACATAGATCTACTTAGTGTCTTCATGGGCTCAGAACACATGACTTAATAATACCTTGTACTCAGTAAAGGTGGCATGAAGGAATGCCTGAGATGTCTCTCTTTTCTTTTGTAGTTTATGCTGAAGCACATGATCAGCTCTATTTGGTGTTTATCAGGAGCTGACACCTTGATATTCCCACCATCTCCCAGGCTAGTTGCTCCCTCGTTCCTGGATTAGTAAATTGTCCTAACTATTCTCCTTGCCTGGAATCCACCCTACCGTCTGCCACCAAACTTATCTTCATAAATGTCAGCTAGGTCACATATTCCAGTAACATATAGCTTCAAATCCCTGAAAGTCAGTGTCCTTCATTTTGCCTCATCACCCCCACCCCATGACCCAGAGTCACATGGCCAGCTATAGCTTCTACTTACCCCAATCTCATTCTTCTCCCTGAGCCACTGGTCACCTCTCTTGAATGCACCACGTGAATTCCTGTGCAGTGTTCTTTGATCATGAGGTTTGGTTTTTCCACATAGATGCTCTTTCTCCTCTCCACCTGTGGACTTATTGGTTTCTTCAGTAAGTACATACTGAGCCTGGCTGTGAACCAAGCACTGCACTGGACTCTGGGAACCTAGAAAATAGAAAATAAGACCTTCCCTCAGGAGGCTCCCAGTCTGCTGGGGTACATAGACATAAAAGTAGGCAGCATAAAGAAGGGCAGTGAAAAGGAAACAGGAATCTTTAGGGAACTGTCATATTCTACCCATTCTTTATGAAATGCTGCCCAAGTTTTTTGTGTGTCCAAACTGATTTTTCCCTTTTATAAATCCTTATAATTCTAATTCTCCTGCATCATTCATTTTGACATTTAGTCACATACTGCCTTCTATGGTTATTTAAATGTTTCCCACACGTGTCGTGCTTCCACAGGTGGATTTTAAGTGCCTTGAAACAGGGTGTATGCTTTATGTGTTTTATACCATTTTCATCAGTTAGCATTAGCTGTGTAACAACACTTCCAAATTTAGTGGCTTAAAACAACAAGCATTTACTATTTCTCACGATTCTGTGAGTTGGCTGGGCAGTTCTTCTAGTTTGGACTGGCTCGACTGGGGCTGAATAATCTGGGATAGAGGTAGGCGAACCATAGCCCACAGGCCTGCCACCTGTTTTTATAAATAGGGTTTTATTGGAACACAGCCACTCCCATATCGTCTATGGCTGCTTCTGCACTACAACAGCAGAGCTGAGTATTTGGAATGGAGATGATCATATGGCCCACAGGCCTAAAGTATTTCCTGCTGGTCCTTTAAGAAAAAGGTTGTTACCCCCCATTCTAGGATGGTTGGTCTGGGGAGGCCTCCCCTGGGATGACTCATCTCTGTTCCACATGTTCTCTCATCCTCCAGGAGGCTAGCCTGGAATTCTTTATATGATGCCCTCAGGGGTAAAAAAAAAAAAAAAAAAAAAAAAAAAAAGTGGGGGCGGCAGGGGGTGGGGTGGCAGCAGGACCTACTGCTTTACACCAAACTGCCTGCTGGACATGCCTCAAGGATTTCATATTCAACCTGTCCAGACTGGAACTCGTTAGTTTATCAATGTATAGGCTTTTTTTTTTTTCTCCAAGTTTCTGCTTACCTTACGTTTTCTGTTATGCCTTTGGTAAAAGCAAGTCCTATGGCTAAGCCCCGAGTCAGCTTTGGAGGGACCACCCAAGACTCTGTAAGGAAGGAATTCTTGCAGCCATTTGAAAAACAGTCCACCACATCAGCCCATTCTTCCCGACCCCAGTGTCCAGCATCAAGCACGTGATAGGTACATGCTTGCTGAATTGAATTAAAAATATAAATGGAATTTTTGGAGGAAGGGAGTATATTAAATAGTTATTGTGTAAGTACCATGTACCAGGTGCTGGGATACAATGATGTACAAAGCATGCAGTTCCCATCCTCAAGGAGCACACAGTCAAACATCAATTCAGTGCATCCTTTCTATCCATTTGTGGAATGGGCTTTCTCTCTAGGATTCTCATTAAGGATCTTTAGCGTTTAACTATGGCTCTACCATCCATTTGTTATTTCCTGTCTACCCCTACTACCCACTTATTAGCTGGACTTTTCAAGCCTGCACAAGGCCTGCTTTAGGATGCCCCTGCTTCCAGCCTCTTCTTAACTGGTCCCCCTGTACAGGCTCCTAATGCCCCACTTTCATCAGGCTGCTCCTTGCTCAGGAGCCTAACCCATTCACCAAATTGAGCCCAGATCTCTAATATCCTAGAGCAAGCAGCCCATCATGGTCCCCATGCTCCTTCTTGTCTGGACCGCTTCTTGTCTGGACCATATTCCTCAGAATATTTGCTGTGCATCCTATGTCCATGCCTCACTTGTCCTTTCTGCGTAGGGTATCTCCCCTTCCCATATGTGCCTGTTGAGATACTACGCATCTGTCAAGGCCAGGCCAGGTGCCACCCCCTCCATGCTGCTTCCTTGGTTGACCCTACTGAAAGTTATTTCCTCTTCTGCATTCACAAGGTGCCAAGTTGTGAATGCTACTCAAATGGCACATATCACATTCTGTTTAGCATTTGAGTTATCCTGAGTCATCCACTTCGTGCATTGCACTCTTCTGGAGATTAAGGACCCAATCTTATTCATTTTCATTTTCTTCTGAATGCCTTGCATAAGGGAGACTTTTGGTAAAATTTCGTTTTATGAATAAATAACTGATATTTGCATAGCACTTTTGCCATTTCCCAACTCTTTCATTTGCCATATTTCTAAGAGGCCATTGGTTTAAATATATTATGTACCACCAAGAAAGAAAGAGTTAATTAAAATATAAGCCACCAACTATAAGATATATCCTTATTTCTGAAATATCATTAGATGAAAAAATGTACAGACTGGAATCTGTGACATACAGAATATTAAATCCAGTTCAGATATCTATCGGTATCCAATTAGACATTTATAAAACACCTAAATATGCCAGGCATTAGAATCTCACAACAGCCATATGAAAGAGGTAGGGTGGGTAGTAGTATTCCCATTTTACAGAGGAAAAAATTGAAGTTCAAAAGGGCTCCAATGCTTGTTCAGAGTGAAACAAATATAAGTAAAAGAGCCAAAGCTTATGGCATTAATCTTATGGTTAAAACAAAGCTGCCTTCCTAAAATCACCTGTGGGTATCAAAACCTGTAAGTCACCTCTAAGTCTTATTATCAGTGTGCACCTTTTTCTTTCTTTTTATAGCACTACCTACCCAAAATTATATGCACATCATTTGGCCTTTCAATTTGTTTTTTCCAGCTGTATTGTTTTGTCATGTTTACCCCAAGAACATCCTGTTACTTGGCATAACATAATGTAATGTGATGTGATATTTCATGCTTCTTAGGAAAAATTAGAATGATTGTTGGATGCTTAGATTTTTCTTGGGAAGTAATTAGCAGGCAGAATCTCTGTCACACACACACCCCCATAGGAGTTTCTCAACCATCATTAGCCTCAAAATAGTAGAAGGCTTTCCAAACCCAACACTTCACTTAATTAATTACCTCATCTGAATACTTGCTTTTGGATTTTAAGAAATACTTTGTGGAATATGCAGTTGAGAGACAAAACATTTTATTGGTATATTCAGATATTTGTTACATTTTAGAAGGAATTGGTATGTGCACATTTTGACTTTTACATAAAGCTCAAGCTGATTTTAAAGAATAGGTACACTAAAAACTCTTTTCCCTATACATCTGGTTGTATTTTCATTTTATTCAAATTGCCAGGTAAAAGAAGAAAAACGCAAGTGGAAGAGACTTCTCAGATCAGCAGGAACTGGAATGTGTTCAAGTCTTGGCAGAGCCAGGTCAGCCTTTCATCTGTCTAAAGGAGACGTGTTGAAATACCCACACTGCTCTCAGGATTATTCAGACTTTGTTTGAGTAGTTTGTCAATTGCTGGTCACTACACTTTAGGGAAAAAAAAAAAACAGTTGGAGAGAAGGGAAAGAGGCAAGATTAGCCAAATGATACAAGATAAGATCTGTAAAGGAAAATCAAGAGAAAGAGGTTGTTTGGCTTAGAGAAGAAAAAGTAAAGTTAATTTCTAATTTCAAATACATAAAGGTCTTTGGGTGAAGAAAATTACAGTTCAGCTGTATCCTATGACCATTAATCACAAAACAAGAGGAAATTGCTATTTGTGCTAAATACGTGGCATTGTGACAGCATCCTAGAAGTAATTCCCAAGGGATAGTGAGGTGTCCATTCTAAGACCTTTAGGATTCAGTTGCCTAAAGTGGATACGAGACCAAACTAGAAGTCCTCTAAGACCTCTTTAGCTGTATATTGAGTTAATCACCTACTTTTATAACTACCCAAACAACTTTCAGATCATAATTATCAGATATATTCTTTAGCTTCTACCACTAGCCGTTGTGACATGGGTAAATTTGAAGCTAGGGTGGAGTAGACCTCATGAGAACTTGGCAAATAAAGATTACTCAGCTCCCAAGTCCTTATGTAATATAGGTGTCCTAGCCCTTCTGTCTTGTAGGTCATATGATGGCTCACGCCACACACATGTTCCACGTCACCTCTTAAAGACTTGTGGGTGCTTAATCTTTGAAGAGTATTTTCCCTGAAAATATTCCCTTTCTTTCCTGCATGATCAGTTTCTCCCTTTGTACTAAATCTTTCCCATTGGCATATAAAATCTTTAATACTGCCCCAGGAAAAAACTTCTTGTGTCACATTCTCCTTTAGCTTCTACTCCACTTTACTGCTCCCTTTCACACAAAACACTTCGAACTTCTTGTCTATAGGTATTATCTAGACTCATCTCCTGTTATCCTTGACACACTCCATTAAAGTCTCTGACACCACTGCTTCACCAGAACTGTTCAGATCAAAGCTACCAATGACCACCTTGTTGCCGCATCTTCCTCAGCTTCTCAATAGCTTCCAGCACAGTCAATCACTCCCTTCTTCCTGGAACCCACTTTTCTCTGAGCCTCCATGACAGCTCCTCTCGTGGATTTTTTTTTCCTTCTCAATCACCACTGCTGTCTCCTCCTCTGTTAGTTTCTGAATTGGTGTGCCCTGAGGCTCAGTCTGTCCCTATGTTTTCTCTCTGCACTCTCACTTGTTATCTCCTCTGCTCCCAAACCTTTATGGCAGCAACTCCCCAATTTATATCTTCAGCCCAGCTCTCTCCCCTAAATATCAGACTTAGATACCCAACAGGGTACTTGACATGTCCACTTGGATGTTTGATAATCATTTCAAACTTAACATATTCAAAACAGAACTCTTAATTTCTACCCACGCCCTAACCTACACAAACACTGGAAACTGTCCATCTCCCAATTATTCTTATCTCAATAAATGAAATGACACCACCAGCCATCAACCAGGGATCCTGTACCTCACCTTCCACATCCAAACTATCAAAAGCTCCTCCTGTTTTATGCCCAATCAGATATCGAGTCATTTCACCTCTTTCTGTCTCCTCTGCTACTTCTCTCAGACATGTTGCTTCAATTTCTCACCTGAACTACTACATTAGCCTCCTACCTGGCTCTGCTTTCATTCCTGCCTCCCTGCAGTTCATTCTTACAGAGAATCTAGAAAAAGCTCTTCAAAAGCAACAATCAGATGTCACTCTCCTACTTTCTAAAAACTTTTAAAGAGGACCTCTTCTTCTGCCAGTATAACAGACTTTGTACTCCAAAGGATATCTCTGTTGCATTTTAGAACTCCTAGGAAGTAATGAAAATATCTAAGAAAAAAAATACAAGTAGCTAAGTGCATATATGTCAACAGTAAACAAGCCAGAAAAGGCAGAATTGGCCATCCCTTGTGTTTGTGTGTGACGGTCATGTGGGGGTGCAAATGGGGACCGTACTGCAACTCCCAGTTTAAGCCTGGGATTCTAGAAGGGAGATAAAATAGCCCAGGTTGGTAGTACCACTAAATTCCAGATAAAGCAAATGTAATTTAGGCTTCTAGTTTTTTTTCACAGATTGGGATCTTGAGCTTTCAAAAAAGATTATCAAACAAGGAAACAAACCACCGTGAGTGAAAATCAGCAAAACTAGCGTTAATATATTAATTACTCCTTCCCCACCAAGGGCTTTAGATGTTTGAAGTATCAGATAAGAAGAAACTAGACTACCTTATATAAAGAAAAATTAACTTAAATATAGACTACAAAAATGGTGAATGGTGAACAACAATGGTCTCTCACAATCACCAGGCACTTCTGAAAAAGAGCTAAAGAAAACCTTCAGTAATAAAAAAAAATTATCAAAAAATTTAGTGGATAAGCTTTTTTGTAATGGACTAATTAATGAACTGGAAAATAAAACTAAAATAGTTTCATGCAATGGAGCACAGACAAAGAGATGGAACTATAAGGAAGAGAGGTTAATAAGTTTGGAGGGCAGAATAAGCAAGCCTAACTAAAGCCTATTTAGAGCGTGAAAGGCAACAAAAATATGCAGAATGGAGATGAGACAATGTTTAAAGAGATTGTGGCTCAGAATTTTTCTTTTTTTTTAAGTGAAGAGTTTTATCTTTTGTGTTTTTTGTTTGTTTGTTTTCTTTGTTTTTTTTTTTACTGTTATTATACTTTAAGTTTTAGGGTACATGTGCACGACGTGCAGCTTCGTTACATACGTATACATGTGCCATGTTGGTGTGCTGCACCCATTAACTCGTCATTTAGCATTAGGTATATCTCCTAATGCTATCCCTCCCCCCTCCCCCCACCCCACAACAGTCCCTGGTGTGTGTTGTTCCCCTTCCTGTGTCCATGTGTTCTCATTGTTCCATTCCCACCTATGAGTGAGAACATGCGGTGTTTGGTTTTTTGTCCTTGTGATAGTTTGCTGAGAATAATGGTTTCCAACTTGATCCATGTCCCTACAAAGGACATGAACTCATCATTTTTTATGGCTGCATAGTATTCCATGGTGTATATGTGCCACATTTTCTTAATCCAGTCTATCATTGTTGGACATTTGGGTTGGTACCAAGTCTTTGCTATTGTGAATAGTGCTGCAATAAACATACGTGTGCATGTGTCTTTATAGCAGCATGATTTATAATCCTTTGGGTATATACCCAGTAATGGGATGGCTGGGTCAAATGGTATTTCTAGTCCTAGATCCCTGAGGAATCACCACACTGACTTCCACAATGGTTGAACTAGTTTACAGTCCTACCAACAGTGTAAAAGTGTTCCTATTTCTCCACATCCTCTCCAGCACCTGTTGTTTCCTGACTTTTTAATGATCGCCATTCTAACTGGTTTGAGATGGTATCTCCTTGTGGTTTTGATTTGTATTCCTCTGATGGCCAGTGATGATGAGCATTTTTTCGTGTGTCTTTTGGCTGCATAAATGTCTTCTTTTGAGAAGTGTCTGTTCATATCCTTTGCCCACTTGTTGATGGGGTTGTTTGTTTTTTTCTTGTAAATTTGTTGGAGTTCATTGTAGATTCTGGATATTAGCCCTTTGTCAGATGAGTAGCTTGCAAAACTTTTCTCCCGTTCTGTAGGTTGCCTGTTCACTCTGATGGTAGTTTCTTTTGCTGTGCAGAAGCTCTTTAGTTTAATTAGATCCCATTTGTCAATTTTGTCTTTTGTTGCCATTGCTTTTGGTGTTTCAGACATGAAGTCCTTGCCCATGCCTGTGTCCTGAATGGTAATGCCTAAGTTTTCTTCTAGGGTTTTTATGGTTTTAGGTCTAACATTTAAGTCTTTAATCCATCTTGAATTAATTTTTGTATAAGGTGTAAGGAAGGGATCCAGTTTCAGCTTTCTACATATGGCTAACCAGTTTTCCCAGCACCATTTATTAAATAGGGAATCCTTTCCCCATTTCTTGTTTTTGTCAGGTTTGTCAAAGATCAGATAGTTGTAGATATGCGGCATTATTTCTGAGGACTCTGTTCTGTTCCATTGATCTATATGTCTGTCTTGGTACCAGTACCATGCTGTTTTGGTTACTGTAGCCTTGTAGTATAGTTTGAAGTCAGCTAGTGTGATGCCTCCAGCTTTGTTCTTTTGGCTTAGGATTGACTTGGCGATGCGGGCTCTTTTTTGGTTCCATATGAACTTGAAAGTAGTTTTTTCCAGTTCTGTGAAGAAAGTCATTGGTAGCTTGATGGGGATGGCATTGAATCTATAAATTACCTTGGGCAGTATGGCCATTTTCACAATATTGATTCTTCCTACCCATGAGCATGGAATGTTCTTCCATTTGTTTATATCCTCTTTTATTTCACTGAGCAGTGGTTTGTAGTTCTCCTTGAAGAGCTCCTTCATATCCCTTGTAAGTTGGATTCCCAGGTATTTTATTCTCTTTGAAGCAATTGTGAATGGGAGTTCACTCATGATTTGGCTCTCTGTTTGTCTGTTATTGGTGTATAAGAATGCTTGTGGATTTTGTACATTGATTTTGTATCCTGAGACTTTGCTGAAGTTGCTTATCAGCTTAAGGAGATTTTGTGCTGAGACAGTGGGGTTTTCTAGATATACAGTCATGTCATCTGCAAAGAGGGACAATTTGACTTCCTCTTTTCCTAATTGAATACCCTTTATTTCCTTCTCCTGCCTAATTGCCCTGGCCAGAACTTCCAACACTATGTTGAATAGGAGTGGTGAGAACGGGCATCCCTGTCTTGTGCCAGTTTTCAAAGGGAATGCTTCCAGTTTTTGCCCATTCAGTATGATATTGGCTGTGGGTTTGTCATAGATAGCTCTTATTATTTTGAGATACGTCCCATCAATCCCTAATTTATTGAGAGTTTTTAGCATGAAGCATTGTTGAATTTTGTCAAAGGCCTTTTCTGCATCTATTGAGATAATCGTGATTTTTGTCTTTGGTTCTGTTTATATGTTGGATTACGTTTACTGATTTGTGTATGTTGAACCAGCCTTGCATCCCAGGGATGAAGCCCACTTGATCATGGTGGATAAGCTTTTTGATGTGCTGCTGGATTCAGTTTGCCAGTATTTTCTTGAGGATTTTTGCATCAATGTTCATCAAGGATATTGGTCTAAAATTCTCTTTTTTTGTTGTGTCTCTGCCAGGCTTTGGTGTCAGGATGATGCTGGCCTCATAAAATGAGTTAGGGAGGATTCCCTCTTTTTCTGTTGATTGGAATAGTTTCAGAAGGAATGGTACCAGCTCCTCTTTGTACCTCTGGTAGAATTCGGCTGTGAATCCACCTGGTTCCTGGACTTTTTTTGGTTCGTAAGCTATTGATTATTGCCTCAATTTCAGCTCCTGTTATTGGTCTATTCAGAGATTCAACTTGTTCCTGGTTTAGTCTTGGGAGGATGTATGTGTCGAGGAATTTATCCGTTTCTTCTAGATTTTCTAGTTTATTTGCGTAGAGGTGTTTATCATATTCTCTGATGGTAGTTTGTATTTCTGTGGGATTGGTGGTGATATCCCCTTTATGATTTTTTATTGCGTCTATTTGATTCTTCTCTCTTTTCTTCTTGATTAGTCTTGCTAGCAGTCTATCAATGTTGTTGATCTTTTCAAAAAACCAGCTCCTGGATTCATTCATTTTTTGAAGGGTTTTTTGTGTCTCTATTTCCTTCAGTTCTGCTCTGATCTCGGTTATTTCTTGCCTTCTGCTAGCTTTTGAATGTGTTTGCTCTTGCTTTTCTAGTTCTTTTAATTGTGACGTTAGGGTGTCAATTTTAGATCTCTCCTGCTTTCTCTTGTGGGCATTTAGTGCTATAAATTTCCCTCTACACACTGCTTTGAATGTGTCCCAGCGATTCTGGTATGTTGTGTCTTTGTCCTCGTTGATTTCAAAGAACATCTTTATTTCTGCCTTCATTTCATTATTTACCCAGTAGTCATTCAGGAGCAGGTTGTTCAGTTTCCATGTAGTTGAGCAGTTTTGAGTGAGTTTCTTAATCCTGATTTCTAGTTTGATTGCACTGTGGTCTGAGAGACAGTTTGTTATAATTTCTGTTCTTCTACATTTGCTGAGGAGTGCTTTACTTCCAACTATGTGGTCAATTTTGGAGTAGGTGTGGTGTGGTGCTGAAAAGAATGTATATTCTGTTGATTTGGGGTGGAGAGTTCTGTAGATGTCTATTAGGTCCGCTTGGTGCAGAGCTGAGTTCAATTCCTGGGTATCCTTGTTAACTTTCTGTCTCGTTGATCTGTCTGATGTTGACAGTGGGATGTTAAAGTCTCCCATTATTATTGTGTGGGAGTCTAAGTCTCTTTGTAGGTCACTCAGGACTTGCTTTATGAATCTGGGTGCTGCTGTATTGGGTGCATATATATTTAGGATAGTTAGCTCTTCTTGTTGAATTGATCCCTTTACCATTATGTAATGGCCTTCTTTGTCTCTTTTGATCTTTGTTTGTTTAAAGTCTGTTTTATCAGAGACTAGGATTGCAACCCCTGCCTTTTTTTGTTTTCCATTTGCTTGGTAGATCTTCCTCCATCCCTTTATTTGGAGCCTATGTGTGTCTCTGCACGTGAGATGGGTTTCCTGAATACAGCACACTGATAGGTCTTGACTCTTTATCCAATTTGCCAGTCTGTGTCTTTTAATTGGAGCATTTAGCCCATTTACATTTAAAGTTAATATTGTTATGTGTGAATTTGATCCTGTCATTATGATGTTAGCTGGTTCTTTTGCTGGTTAGTTGATGCAGTTTCTTCCTAGCCTTGATGGTCTTTACAATTTGGTATGTTTTTGCAGTGGCTGGTACCAGTTGTTCCTTTCCATGTTTAGTGCTTCCTGCAGGAGCTCTTTTAGGGCAGGCCTGGTGGTGACAAAATCTCTCAGCATTTGCTTGTCTGTAAAGTATTTTATTTCTCCTTCACTTATGAAGCTTAGTTTGGCTGGATATGAGATTCTGGGTTGAAAATTCTTTCTTTAAGAATGTTGAATATTGGTCCCCACTCTTCTGGCTTGTAGAGTTTCTGCCGAGAGATCAGCTGTTAGTCTGTTGGGCTTCCCTTTGTGGGTAACCTGACCTTTCTCTCTGGCTGCCCTTAACATTTTTTCCTTCATTTCAACTTTGGTGAATCTTGACAATTACGTGTCTTGGAGTTGCTCTTCTCGAGGAGTATCTTTGTGGCGTTCTCTGTATTTCCTGAATCTGAATGTTGGCCTGCCTTGCTACATTGGGGAAGTTCTCCTGGATAATATCCTGCAGAGTGTTTTCCAACTTGGTTCCATTCTCCCCGTCACTTTCAGGTATACCAGTCAGATGTACATTTGGTCTTTTCACATAGTCCCATATTTCTTGAAGGCTTTGTTCGTTTCTTTTTATTCTTTTTTCTCTGAACTTCTCTTCTTGCTTCATTTCATTCATTTTGTCTTCCATCACTGATACCCTTTCTTCCAGTTGATCGAATCGGCTACTGAGGCTTCTGCATTCGACATGTAGCTCTCGTGCCTTGGTTTTCAGCTCCATCGGGTCCTTTACGGACTTCTCTGCATTGATTATTCTAGTTATCCGTTCGTCTAATTTTTTTTCAAAGCTTTTAACTTCTTTGCCATTGGTTCAAAGCTCCTCCTGTAGCTCAGAGTAGTTTGATCATCTGAAGCCTTCTTCTCTCAACTCAGCAAAGTCATTCTCCATCCAGCTTTGTTCCATTGCTGGTGAGGAGCTGTGTTCCTTTGAAGGAGGAGAGGCACTCTGATTTTTAGAGTTTCCAGTTTTTCTGCTCTGTTTTTTTCACATCTTTGTGGTTTTATCTACCTTTGGTCTTTAATGATGGTGACTTACAGATGGGTTTTTGGTGTGGATGTCCTTTCCGTTTGTTAGTTTTCCTTCTAACAGACAGGACCCTCAGCTGCAGGTCTGTTGGAGTTTGCTAGAGGTCCACTCCAGACCTTGTTTGCCTGGGTATCAGCAGCGGTGGCTGCAGAACAGCAGATATTGGTGAACCACAGATGCTGCTGCCTGATGGTTCCTCTGGAAGTTTTGTCTCAGAGGAGTACCCGGCTGTGTGAGGTGTCAGCCCGCCTCTACTGGGGGGTGCCTCCCAGTTAGGCTCCTCGGGGGTCAGGGACCCACTTAAGGAGGCAGTATGCCCGTTCTCAGATCTCAAGCTGTGTGCTGGGAGAACCACTACTCTCTTCAAAGCTGTCAGAGAGGGACATTTAAGTCTGCAGAGGTTACTGCTGTCTTTTTGTTTGTCTGTGCCCTGCCCCCAGAGGTGGAGCCTACAGAGGCAGGCAGGCCTCCTTGAGCTGTGGTGGGCTCCACCCAGTTCGAGCTTCCCTGCCGCTTTGTTTACCTAATCAAACAACTAACTTGGCAGTGGTGGGCGCCCCTCCCCCAGCCTCGCTGCCGCCTTGCAGTTTGATCTCAGACTGCTGTGCTAGCGGTGAGTGAGACTCCATGGGCGTAGGACCCTCTGAGCCACGTGCGGGATATAATCTCCTGGTGTGCCATTTTTTAAGCCCATTTGAAAAGCGCAGTATTAGGGTGGAAGTGACCTGATTTTCCAGGTGCCGTCTGTCACCGCTTTCTTTGACTACAAAAGGGAATTCCCTGACCCCTTGCACTTCCCGAGTGAGGCGATGCCTCCCCCTGCTTTGGCTCGTGCACGGTGCGCTGCACCCACTGTCCTGCACCTACTATCTGGCACTCCCCAGTGAGATGAACCCGGTACCTCAGTTGGAAATGCAGAAATCACCCATCTTCTGCATCGCTCACGCTGGGAGCTGTAGACCGGAGCTGTTCCTATTCGGCCATCTTGGCTCCTCCCCACCGGCATTCCAGAATTTTTCAATGAGAAATACTGATCCAGAGATATAGGAAGCAGTGTATCTAAACAGACAAATAAAAAGGCCTTCACAACTTTTTATACCGTAGTAAAACTGTGAATCACTGAAGACAGCTCTCTTAAAAGGAGCCATAGGGAAAACAGACCACATCCACAGAGGAACAATACTTAGACTGACAGCAGACTTCTCAACAGCAATGACTAAATCCAGGAGATGATGAAATATTTTCAAAGTTCTGAGAGAAAATGATTTTCGACTTAAAATTGTGTTTTCAGCAAAAATAACCTTCAAAATGAGAGTGAAGTATTTTCTTCAGACGTACAAAACCTAAGGGAGTTTACCACCAGCAGACTTACACTGAAGGAACTTGAAAGAATATACTTCAGGCTGGGTATGGTGACACACACCTGTAATCCCAGCATTTTGGGAGGTCAAGCCAGGAAGATTGCTTGAGGCCAGTTCAAGACCAGTCTGCACAATACAGTGAGACCCTAGCTCTACAAAAATAAATAAATAAATTAGCCAAATGGGTGGTGTATACCTGTAGTCCTAGCTACTCAGGAGGCTGAGGCGGGAGAATCACTAGAGCACAGGAGTTGAAGACTGCAGTGAGCCTTGATCACACCACTGTACTCCAGCTTGGATGACAAAGTACAACCCTGTCTCTAAATAAAAGAAAAAAAAAGCGTATACTTCAGAAAGAAGAAAAGAGATAGCAAAAGGTCTGAAAAATAGAAATTGTAAGCAAAGAAATTGGTAAACATGTAGGCAAATCTAAACAAATATTGCTGGTTTAAAATACTGTGTAAAACTCCCTATATATGAGGAAGGAGATAATCAGAGTTTGCATTATAAGTTCCTTTTGTTGTTCTGAAGGGGTTAAACTACTAACTTTGGATTTCAAGGGTAACTGCTAAAAGAAAAGAACTAGTGTATAACTTCTAAGCCTGATTTTTAAAAATCAAAAAAGAAAGAAAAAATACATAAAGCATAGGAAAGTAGGACAAATAGAAAATAATATTATAAAAACAAATGCAGATATATCAGCAATCACAATATATGTAAATTGCCTAAACTTTCTGGCTAAAAAATAGAGTAAACATTAAGATTTTTTAAAAAATATAATACCAATTCAGCTATACAGTGTTTAGAGAAATACACATTTAACAATTCGTATTCGAGCAAATACCAATCAAAAAGGAGCTATGTAGCTTTGTTGATATCAGTCAAAATAGACTTTAAGGGCTGGGTGTGGTGGCTCATGCCTGTAACCCCAGCACTTTGGGAGACTGAGGCAGGCAGATCACTTGAGGCCAGGAGTTCAAGACCAGCCTGGCCAACATGGCGAAACCCTGTCTCTACTAAAAATATGAAAAATTAGCCAGGCATGCTGGCCTGCACCTGTAATCCCAACTGCTCGGGAGGCTGAGGCATGAGAATCGCTTGAACCCAGGAGACGGAGGTTGCAGTGAGCCAAGATCATGCCACTGAACTCCAGCCTGGGTAACAGAGAAAGACCCTGTCTCAAAAATAAATAGATAGATAGATAGATAAAAGACTTTAAGGCAAAAAAAAATCAGGATAGAGAGAGCACTACCTATTGATAAGGTTTTAATTCACTGGAAAGGTATAACATTTCTATATTGCATCAAAACATGTAAAACAAAAACTAATAAAACTATAGAGAAATTTCATGTTTCTCCAAGATATTGCTTGGTCAAGCACATAACAAATAATTAGTAAAGAAATATAACATTGAAGCAGTACAACTGAATAGTTTGATTCATAGAATCTTGCATCAAACAAATAGAATATATGTGTTCTTCATATGGAAGAATTACAAAACTTGCCCTCATACTATGCCCCTAAAACAAGTCTCAACAGATTTCCAAGAATCAGTATAATGACCACATTATCTGATCATAATACAATTTAATTAGAATTCGGTAACTAAAACATAAACTCCCCAAAATTCCCCTTATATGTGGAAATTTTTTAACATTTTAAAATAATTCATTGATCAAAGATGTAATAATGGAAAATTTAAAATACTTAGAATTGAATGATAATGAAAATATGATATATCAACTTGTGGGATACAGTAAAAGTTGTACTTGGAGGAAAATTTATAGTCTCAAGTGTTTTTCTTATTTTTATTTTTTATTTTAAGTTCTGGGATACATGTGCTGAACGTGCAGGTTTGTTACTAGAAAAGGAAAAAGTGAAAATTAAGAAGCTAACTTTGAGAAGGTAAAAAAAAAGACGAATGAGAAAGGAAGGATGAATAAAGATGAGAACAGAATTAATTAAATTGAAATTGTAAATACTATGTAGGGTATCAACAGAGCCAAAAGTTGGTTCTGTGAATGGAGTTCATAATACAGGGTTTGGTAAACTTTTTTTGTAAAAAGGCATATAGTAAATATTTTTGACTTTGTGGGCCATAGTCTCTCTCACTACTACTCAACTCTGCCACTGTAGTGCAAAAGCAGCTATAGATAATACGTAAATGGGTGGATAGAGCTCTGTTCCTATAAATTGTTGTTTTAAAAACATGGTAGACTGTATCTAGTCTACAGGATCATAATTTGCCAGTCCTGTACTAACAGTAAGACTGATGTAAAAGAGTAAGTCCAGTGAGAAAGTTTAGCACAGTGACTGGATATAAGATCAATATACAATATATATCAATAAAAATTAATTGCCTTATATACCAGTAACACAGAAAAGTAATGTTTAAAAAGTTATTAATGATAATAACAAAAATTTAAGTACCTCAGAACAAATCTAACAGAACTTATGCAAGACCTAAATAAACTAAAATTGTATTGTTTAATATGCTCAGGTCAATTGTTCTCAAAATTTTGGTTTCAGAATCCCTTTATACTCTTAAAAATTACCAGCCTGTAAAAGCCTGTAATCCCAGCACTTTGGGAGGCTGAGGTGGATGGATCACCTGAGGTCAGGAGTTCAAGACCAGCCTGGCCAACATGGTGAAACCCCATCTCTACTAAAACTACAAAAATTAGCTGGGCATGGTAGTAGGCACCTGTAATCCCAACTACTTGGGAGGCTGAAGCAGGAGAGAATCGCTTGAACCCAGGAGATGGAGGTTGCAGTGAACCGAGATCGCGCCATTGCACTCCAGGCTGGGCGACAGAGCAAGATTCCATCTCAAAAAAAAAAAAATTACCGAGAACCCCAAAGAGCTTTCGTTTATTTGGGTTTTATCTATATTTACCTTATTAGAAATTAAAACTGAACATTTAAAGTATCTATTAGTTAATTTTAAAATCACAGTAATAAGCTCACTACATGTTAACATGAATAACATATCTTTATGAAAAAACTATATTTTTCAAGATAAAAGTGAAAAGAATTGCATTGTTTTGTATTTTCCCCAATACCTTTAATGTCCAGCATACTAGAAGACATTTAGATTCTAATATCTCTTTTAGTGTTCAATCTTGTGATATGTCATTTTTGTTTCATTATATGAAAAAATTCAGCCTCACAGATGTGTATTTGGACAAGGATAGAGTTAATAGGTTTTTCAAATATTGTGGGTGTTCTTCTTCGATATTACGTTAAAATTTGACAAGTGGTAACTTCTTAAAAGTTAGTTGCAATATGGAATCTAAAGCCATATCAATGAACTTTTCAAACTCCATTATATTAAAATTCATTACTCTGCCTTGCACATCAAATCTTTTACCAAGTATGATTTTGTATGATTGGAACATGTTGCTTTATCAGCTTACACAGATCTTCAAAATGATGACACTATTTTAATGTTCAAAAAAAATCACCTATTAATGTTATTATCATTCTTAACAGAAAAGCCTCTCAAATTTGGGGAAGCTGCCAAGCTTACAGTAGGAAATACACATTTTCCAAAAATCACGTTTTTATTTGAAAGCTTAGATTTTATCAGTGGCAACAAATACTGTCAGTTGTTTTCCTTGAAGTGACAGCTCACTCACCTTGTTCAATTTCAAGAAAATGTCTCCCAAATGCCCAAGTCTGAGTAACCTTAGTTTGTCAGTCATTCTTTCAAGTAAAAATGGTGTTCTCTGAAAACAGTTACTTGTGCAGCTTGCCGCTGAATCCCACAAATGCTTTTCCTTGGGATGACAATCTTACTTTGGTTTGCAGCAAAAGTACTTTATGAGCACATCTCATTTTGTCACACAGAGTGTTAAAATGTTATGTGTTGAGATTTAGTACAAATAATAATTTTTACTGCTTGATCAAGTCCCTTTATAAGTGAAACTGTCACCCTGTTCTATGGTGAGTATATGGTAGTGAAGAACTGATAGTTTGGTGCCACTGCTTTGTTTCATGCTGAGATGCCAGCAGTTTTACCCACCATTACGTTTGCACCAGCAGTGCTCATGTCAACACTGTGAAAAAGACATACAGCATCTTAGTATGACCATGAAAATAAAATTGACTTCACTGGCATTCTGAAAGGGTCTCGGGATTCCCAGGGGTTCCACAGACCACACAGAGATTCATTGCCAGAGACCCTCCTGTGGCTCTCTTCTTCGCGTCATTGAGATCTCAGTTTAAATGTCATGACCTCAGAGAGGTCTGTCATCCGTAGTCACCCAGTGACTTCCTATCATAGCACCCTATTTTGTTTTTATAACACTTATCACTACTTAGTAGTTTATTGTTTACTTACATACATTTATTGTCTGTTTTTCCCAGCTAGAATATAAGACCTAAGAATGTAGGGACTTTGTCTGTCCTGTTCAATATAGTAACTGTCTACAAAACTTAAAATAATAACTTGGCATCTGAGCACTCAATAAAAGTTTATGGAATGATTGGATCAGATTGAGATGGTGCATATGGAGTTGGTTTTTCATCATTTCTCATCAGATGGCCTCATAGCTGCAACTAGCTATTTTTTGCTTACTCTGGATTCTCTGTATAACAACAAAAGGAACTTTTGAGTTCCCCATTTTGCTTACATTAACACAATCCTCACTAGAACCCTGCAAGTTGGGTTCTGTTTACCCCTTTTTACAGAAAAAGTATCTGAAGGTCAACAAGAGCTGTTACAAATCTAAAGAGCTAGTGAGTGTTAGAGCCAAAAATTTAACTTACATCCTTCAGCTTCTTCCCAGGCAAGCAGTAACTCAATGGATACACATTAAGACATACTCATAATTATTGCTCAGAGTGCCAAGGTTTCAAGAGTTGGCTGCCAAATGATGAGGCAGTAGTCATTCAGAAAGTGTGCTTGTTAGAGGGAATTTTTAAAATAATTAAAATTGAAACTCTGAAGTTATAACAAATGAGCAGCAGATTTTCAAAATTAACTTTTTTGCACATTTTAGAAATGTTTACCTCAACCCTCAATTCCCAAGAAACCATTATATTTCTTCAGCCTTTTGCCCAGAAGTTCTTAGGATCTTTCCTAGGAACTGCCACAATGGCAAATTAACATAAAGTTTTGTATTGCATTGACACCAAAGACCTTTCCTTTGCCCTGGTTCCTGGTTGAAACAAGCGTGAAATACCATGTCTGATGACATGCCATGGCAGCATGAAGGCTTAGGCCCAAGGGATACCAAGGCAGGAGGATTGCTTGAGGCCAGGAGTTCAAGACCAGCCTGGGCAATATAGTGAGACCCTGTCTCTACGAAAAACACAAAAATTAGCTGCACATGGTTATGCACACCTGTAGTTCTAGCAACTCAGGTGGCTGAGGCAAGAGGATTCCTTGAGCCCAGGAATTCAAGGCTGCAGTGAGCTATGATCACACCACTGCACACCAGTCTGTGCAACAGAGTGAGAACCTGTCTCTAAATATATAAATAAAAAAAAAATAGAAAGACCTAGACCTGAAACTAATCTCGGTTATTATACCCTCACTTCATAGAATATGCCACAGAAAAGCTACGACTGAATTTCTAGGTGTCACAAGTCAGCAATAGAATGGAATATGAATCAGGCCTCTTATCATCTAGACAGGTGCTCTGTTTGCTTCAGGTTTTATTTGAAATCTTTAAGGAGAGATTTACCAAGAGACTTTCAGGGGAGCCCCTAGATTAGCCCTTTAGACACCAGATGATTTGAGACCTTTGAGAATCAATTGTCTAGGATTGTGTTTGCCAGCCCTGAGATCCATAACTTGGAAAATAAAGTGGAGTGCCAACCCAAGTTCTGGTTTTGGGGTTTGCTGGAGAGAACTCAGGCCCCAGCATACCCCAGGGTTTGATGGTGTGACTCTACAGGAGGCACTGACAAGGCCTTTCTTTACCACAATTATCCACTAACTTAACTCACCCTCAGAATATAAATACTCCTAGGAACGTCAGGATGGGTTATTATAAGACAGCCACGGCTTTCAAAAACTGCGGACACTCGAAGGTGCTCAGCTTCATCAAGGATACTGTATGAGTAGAGGAAAGAAGTGATTCGGGGAAATGGGGCATGAAGTATAGGTTCTGTTAGCAGAAGAGCACTGACATCCAAGAGAATGAACGAGGTGGGGTAGGGCATCTGTGGAGAAGCATTTGCCTGCCTCAGCCTTTCCAAGGCCTTTCCAGGACCATGGACGTGCCAGTATAACTCTAGCTGACATTGGATTCTCACCAGCAACCGGAAAGGAACCTGGCTGTACAGCACAGAACAGTTACATTATAGGCCCCTGCCACCTCTGCCCCCCATCCCTGATAACTTCCTGAAAGCACCAAGAGGATAAAGGTTTGTAGAAATAACATGGGCAGGACAGGCACAGTGGCTCACGCCTGTAATCCCAGCACTTTGGGAGGCCAAGGCGGGCAGATCACCTGAAGTCAGGAGTTCGAGACCAGCCTGGCCAACATGGTGAAACCCCTAAAAATACAAAAATTAGCCTGCGTAATGGCAGATGCCTGTAATCCCAGCTACTCAGGAGGCTGAGGCAGGAGAATCGCTTGAACCCGGAGGCAGAGGTTGCAGTGAGCCAAGATCATGCCATTGCACTCCAGCCTGGGTGACAGTAGTGAATCTCTGTCTCAAAAAAAGAAAGAAAGAAAGAAAGAAATTACATGGGCAATTGGCCTGGGCTTGGCCTCTGTTAATGAGTTGCTTGGGCATAAGAATATGGTTTAGCTTCATCCTTCCCTTTATTCTTGTAATTACAGTGTTAAAAAAAAAAAAGTCACCAAATTCTAGTAGCTCTGATGCATTCATTTTTGAATGCTCGTAAACTTGAACTTGTTTACAAAAGCGTCTCTATAGGTCTGTGGAAAAAACATCTGAAAGAGCCCATGGAATCAACTCTCCAGTGTGCTCCTGCCTTAGTACCTTCCATATTGATATCACCCACAGGTTCACCCAGAAAAATCGGATGCTGCTTCTGGCTAGCTCCTTTGAAATTTCAAAATAGCTACTATGTCTTTTGTCTTCTTTTGGGGAGGAGGTGTACCATATTCATCTTTGTATACCTAGTACCAGGCTTACAAGGGAGAATGCAGTTAGGGATCCACAAATATTAACTGATTCTCCCTCTGTGCCTTCCCTTAGATAATTTCTGTTTTGTCCTTCAGAATTCAGTTTAGGCATTGCCATTGCTGGGAAGAGTCTCATCTGTCCTTGATGGCATTTGTCTCGTTAGCCACTATATTATGAGCTCCAGAGGCTTGTGTTTGTGACCCAGCACTTAGCAAAGTGGCTGGCATGTGGTAGACACATACTAAATGTTTCTTAGATGCTTAAATGACTGAATCTTTCCATGTTTCCAAGTTTCCACACAATTTTGCTCTTTTTTGAGTGTGTTTTCGTTCATCCATGTCAACGTATCCAGAGCTCTCATTGGCAGCCAGCAGTCATTCTAAAACAGAGCTTTCACTCTTTCAGACGTGGATGGGACACTGGGGAAGACATGAGATACTGAGGCTTCATTTTGGGGTCTTTATTTCCTGTTTTGAGTATTACACAGAGATACAGAGGAATATCTTTGATCATAGTGGAGCAGGGGAGCAGATATGAACAGAGTCCTCATGGTTTTTAGGGGAGAGAAGCCTGTAAGACTATGGGAATGAATGGAAATTTTAAAAGTCCATGGAAGCTGGCACCTTTAAAAATGTGCCAACTTTTAGTGCCTCATGATTAAAAAGCAAAATAAGTGGCAGACAAAACCCTGTGTACTTGGAAAGAAATATTAATTTTAGAAAGTATGCAAAAGGAATTTTTCACAGTGGGATACCTCTTGCATCACCATCCTTTTAGTGTTTTTACATGGGATGAGAGTCCTGTGGGCCTGAGAAGTTTTTGGTATTGGTAATATGATATTTGAAGTAACCAAAAGAATTTGGTGAACCCACTGACTTGGTTTTGACTTTTGAGAAATACAGCTTAACTACCCCAAATTCAATGCAACTTATCTCGGACTTACGGCAAAGATTATTTTATCTTAGTTGTGGAAGCTTACCTGCCTGTTTCTTCAATAGAGATGACAAGTTGCACGTACAGTGTTACAGATGTTGTATTTGTGATCTTCCCCCCACCTTTATTAATTTGAAACGTGTTGTGTACATCTGTTGATGTCGTTTCTTTCCTGAAGGACTCACTCTCATGGGTTCCAGCCTGCACAACATGCTGTGATAAGATGCTCACCCAGAAAAGTGCTTAGTTACCAAGACGCCTGAAGTAGGCTGACACACCTTGCACACAAGCCAAGCAGTGGAAACTGCTCCACAGAGTCATGCGGTCTGCTTTGTCCTCAATAATTTAGGATGCAGGCTTTTCTGCGCATGTAAGGGAAAAGTCTGGATTAGCCATCTAGACATGGAAAAAAATTAATTCTGTGCCCTTTCATCCCTGTGTTTATTATCTATTTGTCCAGTCTCTGTAGAGTCAGATGTTATCAACCTGATAACAGTTTCCTTCCTGAGCATAAACTTGCTTATTCATTCATTCAGCCCACATAAGCTTACTCCCTGGTGATCTCATCCAGTCTTGTGGCTTTTAAATACCATCTGCATACTAATGGCTCCCAAATTTATCTCTCTAGAATCAGGCTGTGTTCAGTTGCTTACCTCCACAGGGCTGTCTAATCAACTCCTCAAAGTTGTCATATCCAAAACCAACACTTGTTCTGCCCTCATCCCCCATACCTGATCCTCCTCTGGGGTTTCCTCTTTCAATAAATGACACCCCCATTCATCTGGTCACTTAAGCTGAAATCCTTGGTGCCATCGTTAACTCTTTCCGTTCTCTCACCCCACATCCAATCCACTAGCAAATCCCGTCAGCTCCACCTGTCAAATCCAGGCACTTTGTCACCACTTTTCTGCTCCTTCCATAGTTCAGTCCATCATCATGCTTACCAGGACTGCTGCAGGAGCCTCCTAACATGCTTTCTTGCTTCCAGTCTGACCCTACAGCAACCCATTTTCCATATGGAAGCCAAAGGAATCTTTTAAAGTGTAAATCAGATCCTATCACTTGCCTACTCTGGCTTCTCATAACACTTAGAGTAAAACCCAAACTCCTACCTCGAACTGCATGCCCTTCACTTCCTGACTACCTCTGCAGCTTTCGCTGGCCACTATCCTCCATGCACTCTGGCCTTTTGAGTCATCAGAGCATCAAGCCTACTCCTGCTGTAGGGCCATTGAACCAGCTGTTTATTTCTGCCAGGAAGGCTCTTTTCCCAGATATCTGCATGGTTTACTCCCTCACTTCATTTAGAATCTGCCTAAATGAGATCTTCCACGACTGCAGTATTTAAAACAGGACCTCACCGCCCACATCCTTCACTGCTCTTGCCCTGCCTTATTTTTTTCCTCTACAGCACATTATTGTAGATTCATTCGTTTGTGTGTATATTGCCCTTTTCTCCAATGGAATGAAGGCTCCATGACAAGCACAACTTTGCTTTGTTCATTGCTATATCCTCAGGTACCTAGAACAGTACATGGCATCATGTGTTATACATGGTAGACACTCCATCAATATTGATGGAATGAATGAAAACACTTATTGAGTAGCCATCTTTGTTTCAGGCATTGTGCTCCAGGGAAAAAAGAAGAAAAAAGCATGACTTCTGTCCTTGGGGAACTTAACCAGGTGACAGAGACAGACACATAAGCAATTTTGTGAGACTGAGATGGCTGGGAGGCTGGAAAGCTCCAGCATGAATCTCCCAACTGTGCCTGCAGGAGTCAGAAAGGTAACCAAAGGAGCTGACATTTGAGATTATTCTTGAAGGATGAGCAGGTGTTTGCCAGACAGAGAAGAGTAGGCAGGACACTTTGGGTGGAAACGGAACATGCAACAGCATGGAGCTGTGATAGGACAAAGGTCAGTGACACTTGAATATAACCAACTTATGGGAGAGGTGAATGAGATGAGTGTCTTAGTTTGTTTTCTGTTGCTGTAAGTTAATATCTGAAACTGAGTAATTTGAAAAGAAAGAAAGGGAGTGAGGGAGGAGAGAGAGGAAGGGAGGGAGGAAGGGAGGGAGGGAGAGAGGAAGGGAAGAAAGGAAAGGAAAGGGGGAAGAGGAAAAGGAAAGGTAAGGTATTTTCTTCCAGTTCTGGAGGCTGGCATCACATGGTGAGGGAGGTTATGAGACATGGCCAAAATGGCTTTTATAAAGACCCACTCCTGTTATAACAGACTCACTCCCTCATTAATCCATTAATGAAGACAGAACCCTCATGACCCAATCACCTCCTAAAGGTCCCACCTCTCAACACTGCTGTCGCAAGGATTAAGTTGCCAACACATGAACTTTTGGGGGACACATTCAAACCATAACAGTGAGCTTGGATAGATGAACTACCAGGAAGCAACAATTTATTTCAACCCCAGCCCCCAAACATGATCCTCCCCTGGAGTTTTCCCTTACAGTAAATGACACCCTCATTCATGTAATTGCAGAAGCTGAAATTCTCAAAGTTACCCTTAACTCTTTTCATTCTCTCTCACCCCACATCCAGTCCATTAGCAAATCCTATCAACTGTACCTCTCTGTACCTTTGAAATTCATGCCAAATCAGGCCGTGGTTGCCACTCTTATGCTTCCTCACTAGTCCAAGCCATCATCATCACTCACCTAGACTGTTACAAGAGCTACCCAACAAGCCTTTCTACATCTCTTCTGACCCATATTCTATGCAAAAACAAATATTGTTATTGTGAACTGCTTTTAAGTTGGAAGAGCAACTTAGGTCAGTATAAATTAAATGAATGCCTATTAAAGATTATAGGTATGTATGTTTTGAGCAGAAGAAGGGAAATTATTTTATGTGAAAGTTTGTATCTCTTTATGGTTTGTATGACTTGTCCTTATGTTTCTGTGATATTGTATATGTGAGTATGTGTTTTTATGTGCTCATGTGTGGTTTCCTTACTGATGGAAAGACAGAGACCCCTTCATGTTTATTCTCACAGTAGCCCACACTGTGCCTGGTGCACCTGGTCAATACACCATGAATGGCAGCAAAAGGATTATTCTTGGCTGGGCACAGTGGTCGTGCCTGTAATTCCAGCACTTTGGGAGGCCGAGGTGAGTGGATGAGCCCAGGAGTTCAGTCAATACCAGCCTGGGCAACATGGCCAAACCCTGTCTCTACCAAAAAAAAAAAATACAAAAAACTAGCTGAGTGCAGTGTCCCGTACCCATAGTCCCAGCTATTCGGGAAGCTGAGGAGGGAGAACTGCTTGAGCCCAAAAGGCGGAGGTTGCAGTGACCCATGATTGCGCCACTGCACTCCAGCCTGGGTGACAGAGCAAGACCCTGTCTCAAAAAAATAAAAATAAAAAGAATTATTCTTCACCCTACAACAGACTTACTGCTGGGTTCCTTTAGTGGTCTTTTCTAACATCTTTTTAAATGATCAGTTTCCCATAGTTTATTTATATGCAATGTTTAGGTAAGTATCTGTGTCAGTGTGTCAGTGTGTTTTTAGCAGAATCCAGGAGCTGCAGCTTAAAGCAGTGGTCAGAAGAGAAGCCGTGGCCTAAAATATTTATTTTGGCAAATAAGAAAAATAGAAATAAATGAATTAAGTGTCTAACTCAAAACGTTAGAAAAGAATAATAAAACAAACTTAAAATATAGCAGGAAGGAAATAAAAGTATATCAAAAAATCCTGAATTCAAAAACTGAAAAATTGAAGAATTAATAAATGCAAAAGCATGTTGTTTGAAAACCTCAACACAATCAAGGAAACTTTAGCTGACTTGATTAATAAAATAGAGGAAATAATAAAAATAAGGTAAATAAAAGATTACAAAGGAATCATAAAGCCTGTTTTACTCAACTTTTTACAGATAAATTTAAAAATCCATAATTGTCTAAGAAAATATAATTTAGTCACTGACTTCTAAAGAGCAGGATAATCCATCAGACCAACCACCATAGAAGAACACAATTGTAAAATTCTAAATAAAATATTAGCAAACAGAGCCTAGCACCATTTTGAAAGAACAGTGTACCATAACCAAATGAGGTTCATTCCAGGAGTGATAAATATTGGAAAAATCTTTTAATATAATTTATCATATTAATAGATCTTTAAGGAACACTTATTTGATCATGTTCATAGATGCTGCAAAGGCATTGATGTAATTCAACATCTATTTTCATTAAAAACCACTTTATAAAATCAGAAGTGATGGATACCTCCTTAACATAAAATTATTATTATATATATTATTTATTATAAAATTAGCATCACGCTTTAGTAGATGTAGTGTTTATGGGATTGCAGAGTCAAATTAGCTACCATTTGGCCCAGCAGTCCCATTACTGGGTGTATGCCCAAAGGAATATACCCAGTAATAGGGAAACACCAGAAGCCATGTCAGAAACAATGAAGACAAGGGCGCCCATTGTTATTTCTTTAACATTGTTCTGAACGTACTTAGCCTGTGCAGTACAAGAGAAAGAAAGTAGAAGTGTAAAAAGTCAAAAGGACGAGGTTAAACTAATGTTTGTTATTTGCAGATGATATGATTGCACACTTGGATAGTATGCTTTCTTCTGTGAATCAGCTGGAAGATGGTGGTAACAATAACAACCCATTATGTACTAATGGATTATGTAAAACTAAACATTCTTCATATATGTGATCAACAGCTGATTAGAAGATATAATGGAAGTTAATATCCTATTTACAATAGCAAAAAAGAAAAGTTCAAATAAAATATATACACATGTGTATATATATATATGTAATGTGTATAAATATAGGAATTGAACTCAAGAACTCCTTAAGATGTAAATCTTTATTCTTGTAAATAAATGAAACTGTTTTAAAATCCTCCTGAGATGAAGAGAAAAAACAAAGATGTGAATAAATGGAAAGACAATCCATGTCCTTGGACAGAAAACCTCAACATCACAAATTTAATGTGAATGCAGTAAAAATACCAACAGAATATTTTGTAACCAAACAAGCTGATGCTGAAGTTCATGTAAAAAAAAAAAATCAAAAATAGCCAAGAATAAAAAGAGAGAAAATTGCTCTTTAGATATTAAAATATACTACAAACGTACTCATATATTTGAATTGGCATTAATGGGCAAGTCAGTGGCACCTTATAGAGTCCAGAAATAATCTCAAATACATTTGAAATTTTAGTTTACATTAAGGAAGCATCTCAAATCAGTGTGATAAAAAAGGATGTTCAATAAATGGTGCTGGGACAATTAAATAGCCTTCTGGGAAAAAGAAAGTTTGGTGGTTCATATTTACACCAAGATAAATCCTAAATGGTTCCAAAACTTACTTGGGAAAAAAATTTAACCGTAAAAGTTCTAAAAGGATTCAGGAGAAAATTGTTTATAAGTTGGGAAGGCCTTTCAAAGTATGACAAAAATCCAGAAACCACAAAGGGAAAGTCATAAAATGAATTCAATGACACAAAAATCAAAAATTTCTGAGCAGCAAATACCACCATAAACCACGGCCAAAAAAAAAAAAAAGTGACAAAGAAGGAAAAATATTTTTGCAACTCATCTAGAGATAGAACTGATTTCCCTAATATTTAAAGAGCTTCTCCAAGGCAGAAAAAGACCAACAATGCAATAGGGGAAAAAAATTAAAAGAATAGTAAGACTATTAACAATTTACAGATGTGGAAATATAAATAGCTGTTCATAAACATGAAATATATCAGTGTCATTTATTAAAAATTAATGCAAATTAAAACTATAATTAAACGCTGTTTTTTACTTGCCAAACAGGCAGGGGTTTTTTGTTTTGTTTTGTTTTTAAGTTTGGTAATATAATCTATTAGCAAGACTATGGATAAAGAAGTACTCTTGGCCAGGCGCAGTGGCTTATGCCTGTAATCCCAGCATTTTGGGAGGCCGAGGCGAGCAGATCACGAGGTCAGGAGATAGAGACCATCCTGGCTAACACGATGAAACCCCGTCTCTACTGAAAATACAAAAAATTAGCCGGCCGTGGTAGCACGCACCTGTGGTCCCGACTACTCAGGAGGCTGAGGCTGGAGAATCGCTTGAACCTGGGACGCGGACATTGCACTGAGCCAAGATCGCGCCTCTGCATTCCAGCCTGGGCGACACAGTGAGACTCCATCTCAAAAAAAAAAGTACTCTTGTACATTGCTGGCAGGAGTATAAATTGGTACTGTCCCAATGGAGGACAATTTGGCAGTATCAAAACTACAAAGTTTATATCCTTTGATCCAGTAATTTCACATTTAGGAGAATGTATGGATATGTGTACAAAATTACAAGATTACACGTTACAACCTTGTTTATAATAACACATACTGACTACAACCCGGATAGCTGCCAATAGAGAATTGGTTATATAAATTGTACTATGACCTTCTAGTCAAGTATTATGAAACCATAAAACAAGAATGAAGAAACTATATTTTTAAGTGAAAGCAGGGTGCAGATCATGGCTTAGTATGTAAACTTTTTTTTTTTTTTTTGGAGACGGAGTTTCACTCTTGTTTCCCAGGCTGGGGTGCAGTGGTGCAATCTCAGCTCACTGCAACCTCTCCCTCCTGGGTTCAAGTGATTCTCTTGCCTCAGCCTCCTGAGTAGCTGGGATTACAAGTGTCCACCACCACACCCAGCTAATTTTTTGTATTTTTAGTAGAGAGACAGGGTTTCACCATGTCGGCCAGGCTGGTCTTGAACTCCTGACCTCATGATCCACCCACCTCAGCCTCCCAAAGTGCTGGGATTACAAGTGTGAGCCACCATGCCCGGGCCATATGTAAACTTCTGTGTAAAAAAAAGGACAAAGATCTATCTATAAATATATATATCTTTGCTTAAATAGGCATCAGTTCTCTCTGGAAGGATACACAAGAGACACTCGTGGCCTCTAGAAAATGGAACTGGATGGCTGGGAAGCTGGGATTGGGAGATTTTTGGAGAATTTCAGTATTTACCATTTTATTCATTTTAGGAAATTTGAACCAACCAAAGCAAAACAAAAGAAAAACTTAATGATATTTTTCAAACCATCTTTAGAAGAAACCACTCTTATACACAACAACATGGATGAACCTCACAAACATAATGTTGAGCACAAGAAGCCAGACACACAAAAAATTATATATTATTTCTTTAAAGTTCAAAAAGAGAAAACTAAGGTGAAGGAAGTTAGAATTAGCAGTTCTGTTGGTGGAAATAACAACTGGGATGGGGCATGAAGGAGAATTCTGGGGTGCTGATAATAGTCTTCATTTGGGTGGTGGTTACATGAATGCGTCTACTTGAAAGAAAATCATTGATTGTGCCCTTATGGTTGGTATACTTTTCTGCATGTAAATTACACTTTTGTTTAAAACAATTACCAAAAAGGGGAAAATCTTCTTTAAGGTTGTTCTAGTTTCCTAAGGCTTCCATAACAAAGTACCACAAACTGGATGCCTTACAACAGAAATGTATTGCCTCACAGTTCTAGAGGTTAGAAGTCCAAAATCAGGATGTTGGCAGGGTCATGCTCCCTCTGAAACCTATAGGGAAGAACTCTTCCTTCCTTCTTCCTAGCTTCTGGTGCTGACCATTCATCTTTGGCATTCCTTGGCTTGTAGCCACATCACTCTCACCTCTGCCTCCATCTTCACATGGTGTTGTTCTCCCTGTGTCTCTGTCTCCATATGGAGTTCATTTTAAAAGGACACCCATGATATTGGATGAGAGGCCTACCCTACTCCAGTATGACCCCATCTTAACTAATTACATCTGCAATGATATTATTTCCAAATAAGGCCACATTCTGAGCTACAGGAGGTTAGGGCTTCAACATTTCTTTTGGAGGGAGGGAGAATATTGTGATTCAATCCACAACAGGGGTTAATGAACTTTTAAAAGAGTATCAGAGTTGCTGTAGGAGAGCCTTTTAATGCAGTTTTAGTGACTGATATGTGAAGCGTGCTGTTGAGCTCTTGCAGAAAGAGGTAGGTAATCCAATGCTGTTTCCACCAAGAGTGTTAGCACCTTGACAATAATTCAGCTGCTGGAAAATGAGGGCCTAATCCACACTGACTACTGTAGTTAAGTTTAAAGAAAATAAATGAAGAGCCTTTTGGCTCCTTTACTAGCCTCCTTCATGATTTTATAGTTGTGTAAAACTCGGGGCTGTGTCTTTGTAGGTTACAGGCTTGGCATGTTATAACAGTTCATCTTCATCATAAAGCGATGATATTGGTTTGAAGATGGGCTTTTTTAAAAAGCCTCCTCATTTTTCACACTTAATCCAAGGATCCTGCATAGCCCCATTTTTCACTGGGCATGGGTATGGATTTTAATTTACTATTGAAGAGTCAGCAAGTTTCCAAATGAGTAACAGCCGCAGGGTGTGGTATGTGTCTTCCCTTTTGGTTGTGCATCTAAATTGCCCTTGAAGTATAATGAATCCCATGGTTCTCACCACCATGGAAGGTATTTTCCTAATTTAATGGAATAATTATTTTGTTGTTACTGGCTTTAAGTGTGTGTCTCGTTTTAGGTGCTCAGTTTGTGTTGACTGAAAGAAGAAAAACAGAACACTTAGCTACTTAAAGTTTCAAAATTCAACTGTTTTAGGGCAGACAATTAGTCTGTTAGACAAACTGGAGCACTGATTGCCTTTGGAGGAGGGGAATGACTGGGATGGAGTATAAGGGATCTTTCTGGGGTGATGGTTATAGTCTATAGATTGATAAGATTTGGTTTACATGGGTATATGTATTTGTCAAAACTCAATGAATACACACTTAAGATTTGTACATTTCATTGTATGTAAATTTTGCCTCAAAAGAAAAAAACTATAAACTAATCTTAAACTCTAGCAAGTAATATCCTGCTGAAATGTTTAGGGGAAAGTGTGCTGATTTCTGCAGTTTACTTTGATATGCTTTGAAAAAAATCTGATGGATATAGATGGATGGATGTGTAATGAAATAAGCATAATAAAATGTTAATCGTGGAATCTAAGTGATGGGTATGTAGGTGTTCACTGTAAAATTCTTTAAATGTTTCTGTAAATTTGAAATTGTTCATAATATGTTAGAAAAAATTCAAAGTACAAAATGATACAGGACCTTGCAAATGTGGGACCAAAGTCCACTTGCCATTTTTATCCCCTGTTACAAGCTTGAATGTCTGCTACTTTAACAAGGGAACAATATCACCTGCTAGGGGTCTACTTCTGAATCCAAGAGCAAATTTGCAGGGATATGCAGGGAGCCTGTTTTACTGCCCTGCTGGGAATAAAAGGAAGTAGGTGAAAAAAGGTGAAGGGAATTTATATCTAGTGTGGTGTCCTACCATATGATCTTGTGCCAACTGCCTGCATGTAGCCCAGAAAAAAAAAGCTGATGAGAAGCAATGCCCTGTTTTAGAATTATTTTTGTGACTCAAAGGAAACCCATTTTATTTTCACTTAAGGAAATACATGAAGAGCTACAGTTCTATGGTGTTCTCTTAGAATGGTTCTTCCTCTACCCACCCCCAATCTTACACATAACCCCTTCGTAGAAATGAAATGTAAGTAAATGGGCTTAATTTTAGAACAAAAATTGTCTCCATATGCTGCTCATCATGCCCCTTCTCCTTGGGTATTTTCTTTAATAAAATATAGTGGAAACCTGGGATTCAGACATGCTTGAGTTTTTCTTCTGTTATTGTTACTAAATGGTTCTGCGACCTTGAGTAAATTGTTTAATATCTTTGAGCCTAAACGTCTATAATTTTTAAAAGAGCATATTCAATCAGATGATCTACAAGTTCTTTCTACCACTGAAATGAAACTGTTTTTTCACCCTGTCTTCCTTTATCATCTTGTTGGGGCCAGCTGTAATGAAATCTTGAATTCAAACCCTGGCATACTCCAGAATGAGGAACCCCCGGTCCCAACAAGACACACAAAAGACTCTGCAAGGAACTCATTTAAATAATGCCTAAGATTTTAGTCCCGGTGAATTTTCCATCTGTTTCTCCATATTAGTTGAACATGAAGTTAGTCAGATACTTAAGGCATTCAAGAGAGTAAAGCCAAGATGTCTTACAAATCTCCTCTCTAAAAATAGCGAGAAGAAAGAGCAGAGGAGAAAGTGATTTTTATATCTGTGGAACTGTATGTTTAGTTCACTTGGGCTCATCCCCAGGTGAAAATTCTCATTTAAATACTGGTTATGGGAAGAGGCCATAAATTTCTAGCTAGGTTTTTTCCCATGGAATGCAAGCAGAGCAGAGTGAGTATTTCTAGCAGCTGAGTGTATTTTCATTCTCAGGATGTAATAGAACTTAAAGGCAAGAGTAGTTTGGTGTGTCATAATATGTTAACAACCCAGAGAGGGTAGTTAGATAAACTTTGTATTTTTTCATGTGCTATTTACTCAACTGTGTTGCCAGAGACAGAGATTTACATTATGTGTGTCCCTTGACTTGGTGTTTAATTATCTAAGGGGTAATTATACAGGTATACATATATGTGTATTCATGGTCAGATATGTCACATACCAAATGTGATTGTATCCCTGTAACTTTTCTATAGGTTATGTTTCTATGTTTGCATATTTTGGCATGTATTCCTACATATTGTCTTTCTTTGATTAGCTGTAAACCAAATGTGTGTAGTAGGACTAGTTAAATAATATAAGAGGCTAATTATCAAGGACTTTACTAATGTTCTCAGATTGGAGATGTTTTAGGTGAGGAGAGCATGGGCAAGCCATCTGATTTGGTCCATTATTATATTTTCAGTTATCTTTGGTGCTCAAAGAGAGACATTAATATAGCTGAGGATGACATAGCAAATTACCACAGCTCTCTAACCTTTTAAATTGCTAACACTGTTGTAATCTGTAATTATAGAAATCAGTGTGAGAATTGTGGCACTGCATAATTATCTTTCCTGATACTTTATTGCTGAATGAATTATTAATCAGAATCAGTCTTGTATATTATTTTCAGCAACTCAGAAGAATAATGTATAATTAAATTTCATTATTCCTATTTTTGTGCTAATGTTTTATGATGTTGTAATTGATAATTAATTGGCCAAAAACTCACACAATACTTGGGAGTTTCAGGTGGCTGGAAAATGTACAGTGTGCTGAGTTCATTAAGTAATGATCACTCTGTGAAGACTACAGAGTCTAGTCCAGTCTGTACAATAAAGCTTTTGAAATTGTTATATTAATCATTAAGCATTTCATGTTGCCTTAAGAGAAAGCAGTGACTATGGGCATATAAGAATAATTAAGAGATTTTAATAGATTTCAAATACGGTCAATTGTAAGTAATCAGATGCTAGTTGTTAATATCAGGCTAATACATTAGATACGGTTGGTATGCTTCTCTGTGTATCAGTTTTCCATTCTAACTAAATAACCAGCAGTCACCATATAACTACAGTTTCAAAAAGAGAATAACAGCCATTTCCTTCAGCCTTTGATGAGGGTAACCCAGGGTGTAGCACAACTTTATAGACACAGTGTGGTCTAATCTTCTTTTCCAGTTGTCTAAAATACTAAATGGTTATCCTCCTCACAGACACACAGGATTTAAAATCTGAAAGGATTATGAACTTTTCCTTGACTGGCATTCTAACTAAGAATTCCTAGTGTCTCTTTTGGTATCATTTGCAACCTAGGTAACCAGTAAAAGCTCTGAATCCAAGCATGTCTTTTAGTCAGCTTGAGTTCTATTGAAAAGAAACATTGTCGGGCATTTTATGTGAACTTCTGCTGTGCCATTTTGATTTTTTTTTAAGAAGGTGATGCTCCTTTCTGGTTTTCAAGTGTCTCCTTTAGAAACTTACGTTTTTTTTTAACAGGTGAGCATCTTTTTCTTTCAAAGAATTTTGAAAGCATTGTAATAGGGAATTTAACAACGCATATGCTGTTATTTAATCAATTCTTTGCTAAGCTGCTCAGAAAACCATCCACAGAAGACTGTTCCTATATAAATGCACCTCCATTTTCCCAGGAAGATCATGAGTGGTTTGTTTTTACATTGGTTGTGTTGGGTCCAATGTCTTACAATTCCAAATTATAAGTTATTAAAGAGGACTTTGTCATCAGACCACTGTGAGTAGAACTAAAGCACATTCCTGTGCGTGAGGAAAAGTTGCTCTGTGGCCTTCCTGCTGGTCTGATTTTCTTTTTTTTTTTTTTTTTTTATTTAAGTTTCAGGGTACATGTGCACAACGTGCAGGTTAGTTACATATGTATACATGTGCCATGTTGGTGTGCTGCATCCAGTAACACGTCATTTAACATTAGGTATATCTCAAAATGCTATTCCTCCCCCCTCCCTCCTCCCCAAAACAGGCCCCAGTGTGTGATGTTCCCCTTCCTGTGTCCATATGTTCTCATTGTTCAATTCGCACCTATGAGTGAGAACATGCAGCGTTTGGTTTTTTGTCCTTGCGATAGTTTGCTGAGAATGATGGTTTCCAGCTTCATCCATGTCCCTACAAAGGACATGAACTCATCATTTTTTATGGCTGCATAGTATTCCATGGTGTATATGTACCACATTTTCTTAATCCAGTCTATCATTGTTGGACATTTGGGTTGGTTCCAAGTCTTTGCTATTGTGAATAGTGCCCCAATAAACATACATGTGCATGTGTCTTAATAGCAGCATGATTTATAATCCTTCGGGTATATACCCAGTAATGGAATTGCTGGGTCAAATAGTATTTCTAGTTCTGGATCCCTGAGGAATCGCCACACTGACTTCCACAATGATTGAACTAGTTTACAGTCCCACCAACAGTGTAAAAGTGTTCCTGTTTCTCCACATCCTCTCCAGCACCTGTTGTTTCCTGACTTTTTAATGATGGCCATTCTAACCAATGTGAGATGGTATCTCATTGTGGTTTTGATTTGCATTTCTCTGATGGCCAGTGATGATGAGCATTTTTTCATGTGTCTTTTGGCTGCATAAATGTCTTCTTTTGAGAAGTGTCTGTTCATATCCTTCACCCACTTTTTGATGGGGTTGTTTGTTTTTTTCTTGTAAATTTGTTGGAGTTCATTATAGATTCTGGATATTAGCCTTTTGTCAGATGAGTAGATTACAAAAATTTCCTCCAATTCTGTAGGTTGCCTGTTCACTCTGATGGTAGTTTCTTTTGCTGTGCAGAAGCTCTTTAGTTTAATTAGATCCCGTTTGTCAATTTTGGCTTTTGTTGCCATTGCTTTTGGTGTTTTAGACATGAAGTACTTGCCCATGCCTATGTCCTGAATGGTATTGCCTAGGTTTTCTTTTAGGGTTTTTATGGTTTTAGGTCTAACATTTAAGTCTTTAATCCATCTTGAATTAATTTTTGTATAAGGTGTAAGGAAGGGATCCAGTTTCAGCTTTCTACATATGGCTAACCAGTTTTCCCAGCACCATTTATTAAATAGGGAATCCTTTCCCCATTGCTTGTTTTTGTCAGGTTTGTCAAAGATCAGATGGTTGTAGATATGCGGCATTATTTCTGAGGACTCTGTTCTGTTCCATTGGTCTATATGTCTGTCTTGGTACCAGTACCATGCTGTTTTGGTTACTGTAGCCTTGTAGTATAGTTTGAAGTCAGGTAGCATGATGCCTCCAGCTTTGTTCTTTTGGCTTAGGATTGACTTGGCAATGCGGGCTCTTTTTTTGTTTCCGTATGAACTTTAAAGTAGTTTTTTCCAATTCTGTGAAGAAAGTCATTGGTAGCTTGATGGGGATGGCACTGAATCTATAAATTACTTTGGGCAGTATGGCCATTTTCATGATATTGATTCTTCCTACCCATGAGCATGGAATGTTCTTCCATTTGTTTATATCCTCTTTTATTTCATTGAGCAGTGGCTTGTAGTTCTCCTTGAAGAGGTCCTTCACATCCCTTGTATGTTGGATTCCTAAGTATTTTATTCTCTTTGAAGCAATTGTGAATGGGAGTTCACTCATGATTTGGCTCTCTGTTTGTCTGTTATTGGTGTATAAGAATGCTCATGATTTTTGCACATTGATTTTGTATCCTGAGACTTTGCTGAAGTTGCCTATCAGCTTAAGGAGATTTTGGGCTGAGAAGATGGGGTTTTCTAGATATACAATCATGTCATCTGCAAAGAGGGACAATTTGACTTCCTCTTTTCCTAATTGAATACCCTTTATTTCCTTCTCCTGCCTGGTTGCCCTGGCCAGAACTTCCAACACTATGTTGAATAGGAGTGGTGAGAGAGGGCATCCCTGTCTTGTGCCAATTTTCAAAGGGAATGCTTCCAGTTTTTGCCCATTCAGTATGATATTGGCTGTGGGTTTGTCATAGATAGCTCTTATTATTTTGAGATATGTCCCATCAATACCTAATTTATTGAGAATTTTTAGCATGAAGGTTGTTGAATTTTGTCAAAGGCCTTTTCTGCATCTATTGAGATAATCATGTGGTTTTTGTCATTGGTTCTGTTTATATGTTGGATTATGTTTATTGATTTGCGTATGTTGAACCAGCCTTGCATCCCAGGGATGAAGCCCACTTGATCATGGTGGATAAGCTTTTTGATGTGCTGCTGGATTTGTTTTGCCAGTATTTTCTTGAGGATTTTTGCATCAATGTTCATCAAGGATATTGGTCTAAAATTCTCTTTTTTTGTTGTGTCTCTGCCAGGCTTTGGTATCAGGATGATGCTGGCCTCATAAAATGAGTCAGGGAGGATTCCCTCTTTTTCTATTGATTGGAATAGTTTCAGAAGGAATGGTACCAGCCCCTCCTTGTACCTCTGGTAGAATTCGGCTGTGAATCCATCTGGTCCTGGACTTTTTTTGGTTGGTAAGCTATTAATTATTGCCTCAATTTCAGAACCTGTTATTGGTCTATTCAGAGATTCAACTTGTTCCTGGTTTAGTCTTGGGAGGGTGTATGTGTCAAGGAATTTATCCATTTCTTCTAGATTTTCTAGTTTATTTGCGTAGAGGTGTTTATCGTATTCTCTGATGGTAGTTTGTATTTCTGTGGCATCGGTGGTGATATCCCCTTTGTCATTTTTTATTGCGTCTATTTGATTCTTCTCTCTTTTCTTCTTGATTAGTCTTGCTAGCGGTCTATCAATGTTGTTGATCTTTTCAAAAAACCCTGCTGGTCTGATTTTCATTCGAAAATCAGAAACCTTCCTCCTACCATCTTCTCTCAAACCCAGGCCTTCCAGAGCCACGTCTACTCCCAGGGCAGCAGAGGCCTGGGCTGTGGTCGCTGTCACATTCTGAAAGCATCATCCTGAGGGTGCCATTGAGGGTCCTGTGTGCTGGCTGTTTTCCTGAGGGCTGCGGAAAGGAAGGGCATAATTGGTCCTCTGTTTGGCAGTTTGAGATAGGCCGTGGACATAAGGGGGTGGGATCAGAGCCATCTCTTAGAAGCAAGAGCACACAAGCTTTTACCAGGAGAGAACAGCCTAATTCTACTCTGCAAGGATCCACATTGTATAGAGCCAATGGGCAATGTGTTTCTGGATTTGTGAGTATTTGAGCACAGAGAGCTTCAGAAATAAAGCACACTCAAGACCTTCTACTCAGCATCTCTGCAAATGGGAGCTTTTCCTTCACTGTGTCAATCTAAGCCTTTCTTTTGCTTTTGTACCATCCCATTATCTTGGCTGTGTGTCTTGGAGGTTATATCATTAGTTTTCTCTAACGGTCGCATTGCTTAGAATGGAGTAAGTTTTCTGTGGATAAATGGATAGGCAAGGCGACCTTGAGGCCCAGAAAAGACAAGCAGCTCTGGAGAGCGTAGGGATATGTGTGAAGAAACAGGCTGGAAGGAGACCTCAGCAGAAACAGAAGTGACATATGGACCTGTTGGGATTAGGAAAAGTCTTTTTTAGTCACTTTCTTATTAAGTATGTATTGAGTGTAGCACTTTGAAGTTCTGCGGCTTCAATGGTGAGCAAAACAGGTAAAAATTCCTGCCCTCAATAGAAAAATAGGTCATTAACAAAATATGAGTAAAATATAGTGTGTGTGAGATGTGAAAACGTTATAAAGAAACATAAACAGGGAGGGAGGATGGAGAGTGAGGTGGGAGGCTGGGGTTGTGGTTTAAACGGAGCAGGGTGGTTAGGGAGGCCTCACTGAGAATGTGATGTCTGCACAGAGACCTGAGGAGGCCAGGGATTGAGCCATCACATTTACATCTCCTAACAGTCTCTCGGGAGACAGTCTTTATCTTCATTTCACACATAAGGAGACTCTAAGGACTTAAATAAATTGCCCAAGTCCCCTCGTTCTTGGAATGGCAGGGCGGGGAGTCTTAGTTTGTAGGGTTGTTTGAAATCAGCTGTCATGGGGTTAAAATGCAGATCGCTGAACCTGCTGTGGTTACCCTAAATCTATGCAGTTAGAGAACTATTGTTATTTCCAGAGATAGGAAGCAGGCCGGGAGAGTCTGGGTGTTAGGTGGGCAGGGCCAAAAGCAGGAAATACTTACGTGAAGAAAAGGCAAGCCATTGTCAAACTGGAAATGAAACGTGAATGGGGAAAATTGGCATGGTTGGAAAAGAGGAGCTAATTTGATGGACCAGTTACTATATGTTAAATTGGTGAATTAATGAACAAACAAACACGTAAAATATTTTAATCCTCACAGTTCTATGAGATAGGTGCCCTTTATCAGGTACTTTTAGTACAGATCAGGAAACTGAGGCACGGAAAAGTTAAGTGTCTTGTGCAAGGTTTTGCAGCTAGTGAATGACAGAGTCAGAATTCAAAGCCAGGTAGGCTGGCACCAGAGCCTCCATCCACAACCACTGCACTACCTTGCCTCTGTAGACCATCTTTGTATGCAGTATCTAATGGGTGCTTACTATTCTCCAGGAGTCATTCTGTTTCCCACGTTTGTGTTTTAAGTTGCTTACGCCTTGTGACCACTGGATTACAGATGAGAAATCTTTACAGAGAGCTCACGTGGTTTGTCTGAGGTAGCATTGTGGTCATGGTTCAGATGCAGGCAGGCTGGCCCCAGAGCCTGACCTGTCACCACTGCAGGATCCTGCCCCTCATGATGAAAGAGGATTCTGATTTGGGCAGAACATACATGCAAAAGGTAGCAGAGAGAGAAAATAGGAAAAGCCCGTAATGGGAGGATAGAGTATCCAAAGCACGCACTTTTAACAAATCTGAAGGAATGGAATCTTTTAGGAAATGTTATCAGATGAGAATCAATACAAGTCCCCCATCTGCCAGATGCCTTCTTTTGGCATGAGAGTGAACTATATCAGGGCTAAGTGCCCATAAGAGCAGACATTCTTTATATAATTATGTGTAGGATTAGTCAAATAGTGGTGAGGATAATTCCTGATGCGAGCAGAGTACTCTGCACTTCTCAGGGAGGTCTCAGATCTGTTGCCTTATTTGACCTTCACAGTCATCAAGGGATGTTGCAGAAGGAAGTCTACATAGTGTCATGGCCGAAGTTGCCAGCAAGTACCAGAATGCACACCTATCCCATCATTCTCTTGCAGGTCTTGGATGGAAATTAAGCAAATTGGCCCTTCCCCAGGTTTAAGCAAGAGAATCTGGCAAACAAAAATATACATTATTCTTCATGCAGTCCAGATTTGCCTCAATATAAGAAATTTTCAGCATATGTAGAATTACAAGTGTATATAATGTGCAAAGAAATTAACTTTCTTTTCATAAGAATAGCTTTTATTTGTGTTTACTGTAAAACAAGGACCATCCTAAATACTTTATTGCTTCATCTCGTTTAATCCTCACATAAGTATTTTGTACATAGAAAGACCAAGGATTACACAGTCTAACAATGGCCCCAAAGCCAAAGCCATGCAGCTAGGAAGCAGGAGAGCAGGGATTCAAATGGAGCCCCTCTATCTAAGGATGGAAGGAGAAATGGAAAATAGGTGCATTTTAGAGTCAAGAAAGTGCGAAACACTGTGTCTCTCCGGTACCACCTGGCCAATGAGCCCTTGTGGCACCCATTCCTTACCGTTTGGAGAGGGGGTATTGTCTGCCCCCATGGCAGTACAATTCTGACTTTTTATAATGAGTGAATTAAAAAAAAATCTCTTCCTTAATATACTTGGCTTTATCTGAAGCATATTCTGTGAGGTGAAATCGTGTGTGAGTGGCAGTGGTATAGGCATATAAGACCGTCTGTATCTTAAACAGTATACTAAGTGTCATGTAGCATGTGTGTCACTACCTTTTGGTCACAATAATCGTCATTCTGAGAAGCTGCCAAGGACAGGACAGGGACTTGGAAAGCTCCAAGCACATTCTTTTTCTCCCATTCCTTTTCACTGCCTTTTCCCCGTGTTCTCTGAAGGGCATTTGACCTGCGTGTTAACATTCCAGTTCCATTTGACCTCCTGCTTGGTGACAGGTGGTCCAGATGCTTTTGTTACTTGATATGGGACTTAACAGACTGCCAACCAGTGGTCTTAGCCTCATGGTTTTCATCATTTTTAAATGGAAAAACAGGAGTGGGTTTCAGGTGTGCCTAGGCTCCAGTGGAAATCAAACCTTTCTCAAAACACTACCTGAATGACCCTCAAGCTAGATGACTTTCACCCCATTAGATGCTGCCTGCCTTTGGTCTTGAATTTCGATTTTCTTAGTTACCGGGTGAACCAACTTGCAATCTAAACTTCATTCGTTCTAGCCTGCATCCCTGCAGAGATGATGTTTCAGAACAGAATCATTTTGTCCAAAAGACCCCCATGCATGAAAGGAGCAAGTTTCCTTTTATTAAGAATCTTTTCTGTGAAAGCTGTATTTCTGCCAAGCCTCAGTATTCACTTCTGTTTCCTTTCCTACCTGTAAACCGCGTGCCCTCTTAGGAGCTGGGGCAGGCAACAGTAGAGATCAGGCGGATGAACAGCTGTGAAACTATAGATATTCTTTATGTATAGGCAGACAAAAGTGTGTCTGGAGGTAACCCCCACCCCCATTCCAAGAAGGAGTTAGGTTTGACAATCCAGTCTCTTAACATCATAATCCCTGGTCAGATGAATCTAACTTTGGCAGGTTATACATATTAGCATCTATAAGCAATACCTGGCCTGGGAAACATACTAGGAACAATGGCATGACTAATATATTGCTTCTTGACTTCACATGGAAACTCAAGCCCAGCATTGTCACTGACCTGGTGGGCAAACTTCTGACAGTAATTATCATTGGAAAATCTTGCAAAACTAATTTAAGAAACACAATTATTTAATTATAGCACTTTGATAGCGTTCTCCTCTTTCCTCTCTCTCCCTCCATTCCTCCTTCCATCTTCCCCACTCCTTTATGACATCTGAAGTCCACTAATTACTGAGCTCAATTTTCAGGCTGTGTCTTAGGTTTGACAGAAATGCTAAAGTTGAAATTAGACTTGCAGTCTCCCCTCTTTTCGGCATTTGACTATCTGTTGTCTTTTCTTAGTCTTGATTCTCTGTTGTGAGTTTTGACTTGGTTTTTTTCTAAGACAGAATAATTTCTGTCAGGTTCTGGGAACTCCCCTCCCACCCGATGAAGAAGTTTTGGGGAGGAGTTATGAGCCCTGTGTTGAACTGTGCACTAGGTACAAATCTGCAGTGCCTTCTATTAAAATGTAAAATGATCCGTTGAGTCATCCTCCCTCTGGTTTGACTCAGATGCTTTATGGCGCACTTTGCATGTCATTTCTCTGTAATGATTTCCCCATGGAGAAGGGTGTCTGATAGAATCCAGGCAGACTGAAGATTGCTCTGAGTCAAATGGATCTGTTATTCTTTTAGTATTAACCCTTATCTCTCAGTTTCCCATCCTCGTATTTTCCCTGAAGGAACTTTAATGAAGTAAATAGGTTCCACCACCCTCATTTAGCCTCCTAATCACTGTTCACAATTTCTTCTCACATTAGCAGCGTGAAGCTCTAGGGTAATATTTCTCTGGCTACAAGGGGAGGGAAGGGGACACTGGGAGAGAATATTTCACACAGATGCCCTGATAAAGAGAAATGCAGAAAAGAAATGACTTTTCTCTGTCCTCTAACTCCTAATAGGCATGAAGCACATGCTAATAGGAAGCAGAGATTAATGTATGAGAAGTGAATATAAATGGAGAACATAGACACAAAGAAGTAATACCAGAGACAAACTGGAAGTGACAATATAGAAAAGAAGGCTTGCCAAGAGTAGAAAATGACCTATCCCAGAAGAATAGATGGAGGCTTTGGCTTTACTCTTAACTGGGGGGTTACACAAAAGAAGCAAAAGCAAGCATCAACATATAAAAAAGACCAGTGCGATGATCACAAAGCTGCATATCCAAATCTGCCCATGGCTAAATTGCACATTTTCTCCCTGGTCCACACACCCACTGCCCCACCACCACCAACCACCACTAACAGTAATCATGCCCCTTGGATGGCCTGACATGGGCTCCCTTTCACCCGCTGATTTCATCTCCTTTTTGAGATGACAGTTTATGCACCATGCTATTGTTAAATCCCAGTTGTAGCCTTCTCTCTGGCCCGCTAAACGGGGTAGTCTCATCTGACATCGCTGGGTGGAGACAAGAGGAGAGGATGGACACCCCGCTTAATTCCAGAGCCACATACCTAAGACGGCTTTTGAGGGAGACGCTGACCTGCACACCAGAGCACTGTTTTGGCCATGGAAAGAGAATGCCGAACTATTGCTCAGTACTGATGGGCACTGTGTTCCATTAATGTGTGAAAGTTGACCTTTGATTCATCCTTTGGGTTGACTCTGTTTATAAGGGGGAAAGTTCACACTGTTATTGGATGGGTCTTCCCCTCTTCTTCATCTCTCTCAAAAGTTATGTGATGGCATTTTTCCCTTCCAGCCAGTTGTGTTCTTTTGAGCATCTCTAGCTTCCTTAAAAAGTCTTCTCAGGAACCACAGTTAGAAAAGCTCATGTTTCAGGATTTTCCTAAAGTTCCTATACTTTCATAGAACCATAGAAACTAGAACTAAAAAGTCACCTAGTTTATTTCCTCCTTGCATAGATAAGGAAATAGAAGTGCATGAAGTGATTTGGTTTTAACAAGAGAGAAGACAAAACACGAGATCTCTGAAAAAAGTTTTACTGCAAAGCAAAGGCCTGGGCTCAGATTTCTTACCATCTCCCAAAAGGCCTCATCCCTGTATTTGGCCCATTTTTGTAGATTATTACTGAAAACGTACAACTTGGAATTGGTTAGATTTGATTGCCTTTAAGGACCTTCCTGACCATAAGTTGTAGGATTTAAGGTGTGGGTGTGTTTTTTTTCATTTGAAGCCCAAAGCGCACCCTAGGACCTTTGTGATTAAGTCACAGAACCTAAAGGAGGTGCTCAATACTTGAGTTGTTAACATTCTCCTACAGTCTTTAATTTGGGGGAGCTGGGATATATATATATATAGTAGATGTAGAAAAGTGCATAAAACAAATGTATAACTTAAAGTGGGAATATGTTTACCTGTCACTCATGTCAAGAAATAGAGCATGCAACAGCACCCCTGAAACCCCACGGTGTCCCTTTCTGGTGAACACTGCCTCGCTCTAAATGGAGCCTCTATTCTGAGTCTTTTCTTTATAGTTTTGCCACCTTTGTATATGTCTTAATTCAGGCTGCCATAACAAAGTACCATAGGCTGGGTGGCTCAAACAACAAACATTTATTTCTCACAGTTCCGGAAGTTAGAAGTCTAAGATCAGGATGCCAGCATTGTCCAGTTCTTGGTAAGGGCTGTCTTCCAGGTTTGCAGACAGCCATCTTCTTGTGTCCTCACATGGCAGAAAGAGAGTAAGAGGGGTTCTCTTATAAGGACATTAATCCCATTCGTGAGGGCTCTACCCTTATAACCCAATCACTCCCAAAGGCCCCACCTCCAAATACCATTATACTGGGGATTAGGATTTCCACATACGAATTTTGAGAGGACACATTTACTCCATGTGTTAGTTCTCACACTGCTATAAAGAAATACCTGAGACTGAGTAATTTATAAAGAAAAGAGGTTTAATTGGTTCATGGTTCTGCAGGCTGTACAGGAAGCATGGTGGTATCTGCTTGTGGGGAGGCCTCAGGAAACTTACAATCACAGTGGAAGGCAAAGCTGGAGCAGGCGTCTTCATGTGGCCAGAGCAGGAGGAGGGAAGAGAGGAGGGGGAAAGTGCCACACACTTTTTAAACAACTACGTCTTATGATAACTCACTATTGAGGCAACAGCTCCAAGGGGGATGGTGTTAAACCACGAGAAACCTCCCCTATGATCCAGTCACCTCCCACCAGGCCCCACCTCCAGCATCGGGGATTACAATTGAACATGAGATTTGGACAGGGACACAGATCCAAACCATATCACTCCATAACAGTATATATCCCTAGATGTTTTTTATCCATTTTTGAATTTGACATACATGAAACCAGATTGTATGTTATTATCCTGTGTCTTGTTTCTGTAGCTCAGTATTCAGCATTAGGTTTGTGCAACTCCTCCACGTTGCTGCATGTGGCTCTAATTTGCTTTGTTCCGTTATATGAATATATAAATATATCTCAGTGTATTTCTGCATTCTGCTACGGATAGACATGATGTTGTTTCCAGTTGGGAGTTATTCTGAACAATTCTGTGAACACTCTTTATACAGAGTTTCTGTTACAGATATCCAGGAGTATCTCTAGGGTATAACCTAGGCATGGAATTATTCGGTCATAATCTATGCATATCTTCAACTTTGCTAGATAATGCCAAACTGTTTTCCAAAGAAGTTGATCTGACCATCAATGCACTTGATATTGTCAAACTTTCTTATTGTTTCTAGGTTAGTGGCTATATATCTTTAATTCTTTATTACCTTTGGACCAATACATACAGTCTGCTACCAACATTCTAATATTTCTTCCACCTCAGTTTCCGTATCAGACTGTGACTCTCCATTTTGGTTAAATTCGTTCATTCGTTCATTCATTTTTGAAACGGAGTCTTGCTCTGTCGCCCAGGCTGGAGTGCAGTGGCACGATCTTGGCTCACTGCAACCTTTGCCTCCTGGGTTCAAGCAATTCTTGTGCCTCAGCCTCCTGAGTAGCTGGGATTACAGGCATGCACTAATATACCCAGCTAATTTTTGTATTTTTAGTAGAGACAGGGTTTCACCATGTTGACCAGGCTGGTCTCCAACTCCTGGCCTCAAGCAATCTGCCCACCTCGGCCTCTCAAAGTGCTGGGATTACAGGCATGAGCCACCGCGCCTGACCGATGTCGATTACATTTAAATATAGGAAAAGTGCTAGTAGTTGCCACAAGTTTATTACCAGATATTTTGGAAATTTGGGTTATTTTTTATTTTGGCCTATTTGAAAGAATAAACAAGCAGCAATAATAACAAAAATTAGCAAAAAAAATTGGGACTTGTTACAACTGTTCCTTTTTAAAGTTTTTGGTATATTTTTCAGCAGTGCAGTAAAAACCATTGTCAGTTTTTGAACATTGAACTTTCCCCTAGAAGGTCAAGGAAAATAGAAGTTTATACTGAATTACGAGAACCATTCAGAGCTATTAAGGATTTGATGATACAATTGCAAGTGCTTCCTCCTAACAACAGCCTTAAATTTCAGTTCCCTTGGCACTAACTAGGATGCAGGCAGATGGAGTGTTTGAGTAAATAAGGAACACAAAACGTTTTAGCTGCTCCATGTCAGTCAGGGCCCTTACTTTAGCTATCTAAGGCATTAGGGACATTAAGTGACAAGCACTGCAGTTTTCCATTAGAAAATACTGAAATTGGATTGCTTTTCACTTAAAGTAAGAAGTTTTAGTCTTGATGCATTAGAAAGTGTTTCCAATCCAAAAGTAATAAGTAAGTAATTTTTATAGCACTGTGCACTCTAAAATGTCTATAGACTTGAAAACTTTCTTTTATAAGAACTAACCCTTACAGTTTTACAGTAAATAACTTTTTTTAAAAGCATGTTTTATAAGAGCAGGAATTTACTCAGCAATTACTAAATAATTTAGTGTTTGATTCACAGAAGTATTTACTTAATGCACTGTTTCTGGGAGAAATGTAGTTTGAATTTCAAGTGAAATGGTTTATAATTTGGTCTTTTTCATTACCTGCAAGGCATATTCATTTCTTTTCATCTGAAGCACTCTAGACATGACAGGTTGTCTGAAAATCTTAACATTCTACTTTTTTGTGAATTGCAGCTTTTCAGATCCCACTGTGATTTTTTTGTTGGTTTTTTTTTTTTTTTTTTACTTTTTTGCTTTATACTTTTACCTGCAGAACTATTAGACATTTTCATTTCTGAATATGACCCGATAATGAATGAAGAGTCAATGAGTGAGTTAATGAGTAAGTCTGTATTCATTAATACTATACCTTCGAGTAATAAGAGTTGTGGTCTGTGTAGCTTCTTAAGGGGATGAATATACTATGATAAAATAATAGTGATTTACTTTTACTGCTGAACCATATGATGAGATGATTGGGGTATATGTGTATGTACATGTGCAGCTGGGTTTTTTGGCCTGCAAAAGGAAGAATGAGATCCAGCCAAAACCCAAATCAGAACCTTTGGAAAGCTTCCTTACAATCTGATTTCAGCTAATGTCTACATACTTTAACACGTTGTCTAATGCTTAAAGACTGGCTGTCATACTCCTCCATGCTATTCTGGGTTCTGTTACTCACTATAAACCATTTCATTCTTAGATCCCATGGGTCCTGCTGCAGATTTCAGGATTTGCTGCATGGAGGAGTGGGGGGCGGAGGGGAATGTTGTTTAATATTAGCAAGGCAAGTGAAAAAAGAAAACCTAGTGGAAACAGGAGAAGCAGAATTCAGTTTGGCATTGGCCAGTCAAAAGCAGACAAATTGGAGGGAGTTCATAGAAGAGCACCTGTCTTAGCCTGTTTTCTGATACTCTAACTGAATACCTAAGACTGAGTAATGTATAAAGAAAATTATTTCTTACAGTTCTAGAGGCTGGCAAGTTCGAGGTCTAGGGGCCGCATCTGGTGAGGGCCTTCTTGCTGATGAGGACTGTCTGCAGAATCCCAAGGTGGCACAGGGCATCACATGGTGAGGGAGCTCATGAGAGAGGGCCAAAGTGACTTTTGTAACAAACCCACTCTCATGATAACTAATGCACTCCTTCAATAACCCATTAATTCATTAATCCATGAGGGCAGGGCCTTCATGTCCCAATCATCTCTTGAAGGCCCTATGTCTTAATGCTGCCACATTGGGGATTAAGTTTCAACATGATTTTCATAGGGGACAAACATTCAACCCATAGCAATGCACCCATGATAATTGGAGGTTGAGAAGGGCTGACTGATTTTTAAAGAAAGCAGAAAGGTATGTTCCATTATGTTTGAAGAGGAACCAACAAGGAGGGGTAGGTAAAGGCCAAGGGGAAGAAAGTAATACTGACATGGCATAAAGAATTATTATCCAGAAATAATGTAATATATTCAAGAAAATCTTCAGTCAGGTTAGTCTAACAACAGCTCCACGAAAGTGATATATTTTAGATTATACCATTTGATGAACAAAACTAATACTTTTTCAGTGTTTTCCAAAGCTCTCAAGTAAGTTTAGCCCAAAAAGCAGATGCCCATGTTTATGTGACTGTCACAGCCTATTTCATCAACTTGGGATGCTTATGTTGCTGTATCTTTGTTTTTCTAAACCTGCCCTGTTAGCAGAATATGGAGTCTACTCTTGAGAACTTCAACCATCTTAGAGCCCAGAAAGAGCAGGGGTTTGGGTCCTAGTTTCTACTCTCCCAGAAGGCTGTGGTTTCCTTGTATATTTGTTGTCCACCCCATTCCCTGTAACCAGCTCTGCAGGGGCAGTTTTGTTAAGCCATGCAACATCAACAACAATATAACGGCACAAAATGGTCTTTAGAAGGTCAAAGAAAACTAGCTTCTCTCAGTTAAAAAAGACAGTATCCCGCTCTTTGTGATCAATCAGGTATATTTCTTTTATAGACTCATAGAATTGTAGATCTGGAAGAACACTATTGGTCTTCTAGTTCATGCTTTTCATTTTACAAACATGGAAGCAGGCCCCTAAACAGTTAGGCAGTTTGTCCAGATCCACAAAGTTGGTCAATGCTGGAGCTAAACCAAAAGCCCCAAACATGCCTGGTCCACTCCTGTTTCCACTGCACTTCACTTTCATTTCTCTTTTTATTTTCTTTCATTTCATGTTTCATTAAAGAATTTATGGCTTTGTTTCTTTCAACACAAGCTTCTATCTTGGTGTAGGCACATTAATATGTATTACCCATAAATGAACTGGAAAAATGAGATGTCCCTTATAAATCTCCTACTTTTTATGAATTGAACACACCATCCGTGACCTAGAACATTAAATGCTCCACCAAGTTTTGAGTGTTTCCTTATACATGCAAGCTATTATGATTTTTAACTCAATAATTTCTATAGACTAATTGAGGAGACTCAGTGTGGTAGGAGAAAGAATAATAATTTGAAAACTAAGAATGGAGAAAACAAATCAGAATTGAGACCCTATATGGGAGATAAGAAAATCCTGAAAACATTCCACGAAAATGAAGGACTAATAAGAAGCCAGAATAGAAAATATTTGTCTTCTTACTAGATAATAAAGAATTTAGCAGCAATTTCCTAGTCATTGACAGAAGCCAGGTGAACTCGATCTTACCCCGTGGCTTAGGGTCATTATAACTGAATTGTGTTATTTAGAATGCTATTCTAATTCCATTTAAAAAATGATTCCAGATAACAAACCTCACAAATATTTTATCTTTTATTGGAATACCAAAGAACTAATAATTCTTCACAGAGGCATCTTTGTAATTGGGTATTACAAACCATTATATATAGCAGAGCAAAGTTTATACTATGTGGTTTGCATTGTGATAAGTTATTGTTTATAAAGTGTTTGGAGTAGCTGTAGCATAAAAAATAAACCTATGGCTTTTACTTTCAGCCAAGATGGAGTAATAGGTTCTAGATTTACCCTTTCTCCTAAAACAACTATAGAAACAGATAAAATATATGAAATAATGATTTTTAAGACATGGGACATCAGGAACCAAAAGATAGTAATCCCCAGGAAAGGAAAACAAACTGAACTCAGCATACTGCTTTGAGAGTTTCTAGGCCATGGCACAGGAAGGAAGAACCAAGGAAGAGCTGGCTGACTCTTCAGTTGAAGAGACAGCACTAAGAGTCTGGAAAGATGATAATAGAGTTCAGAAAGCAAGGTAGCAGAGAAGAGAGAGCTGCAGAGAGAGAACTCCAGAGATCTTCAGAGAGTTTCCCTTTAATATTCTGCAGAGTACTGATCAGCAGATGCAGGTAAGAAAACTACCCAAGGATGGAGAGACAGCCACCCAAAACAAAGGGAACTCAGAGAACTGGGAATAACATCATTTCCTACCAGCCAGACTAGAAAACACATATATCAGGGGTCATTAGATAGAGTACTCAGAAGTGTCTTGAATCAGTAGTAGGGAGTAATGAACCCTAGACTAAATGCTGCTTTTCCTATCTAACAAATCTCAAAAGCAAAACCTGAAAGGATCAAACTGCTTCCAGGTAACTCAACTGTGTCTTAGAACAAAGCTCAAGATTATTTATGGGAACACAAAAATATCCAGCATTTAACAAGGTAAATTTTACACTGTCTGGCATCCAATCAAAAATGTTCAGTTATGCAAAGAAGCAAGGAAATATAACTCACAATGAAGATAAATAACAATAAAAACTGAACCAGAAGATGTTAGAATTAACAGACAAGGACATTGCAGTAGTTATTATAACTATATTCCAAGTGTTCAAAAAGTTAGAAGAAAGATTGAACATCTTAAGTAGAGACATGGAAGATTTTTTATAAAAGACCAAAGGGGACTTTTAGAGATAAGGACCACAGTGTCTGAGATGAAAATTATGCTGGAAAAGATTGATGGCAGATTAGACCTTGCAGAAGAAGAGATTAGTGAACTCGAAGGGTTAGCAATAGAAAATAACCAATGTGGCTAGGCATGATGACTCAAGCCTGTGATCCCAGCATTTTGGGAGGCCGAGGTGCGCAGATTATTTGAGGTCAGGAGTTCAAGACCAGCTTGGCCAACATGGTGAAACCCTGTCTATACTAAAAATACAAAAAAATTAGCTGGGTATGGTGGCACACACCTGTAATCCCTGCTACTTGGGAGGCTGAAGCAGGAGAATCACTCGAACCCAGGAGACAGTGGTTGCAGTGAGCCAAAGTCACACCACTGAACTCCACCTCAAAAAAAAGAAAAGAAAAGAAACTATCCAATGTAAAATGTAAGAGATTTCTTTAAAGTACCAAAAGAAAAAAAAAATGGGCATTTGTGAGCGACGGGACAAATGCAGATGGTCTAATATTATATGTAACTCCCCAAGGGAGAAGAGGGGAGAAGACAAAAAAATTGTGGCAAAAATATTTGAAAAAATGATGGCCAAAATTTTTCCAAATTTGGTTAAAACTATCCACGTATCCAAGAAGCTCAAGAAACATGAGGAAAACTACACAAAGGCACATCATAATCAAATTGCTCAAAACAAGTGATCAAGAAAAAGTCCTAAAGGCAACAGAGGAGAAGAAAAGACATTACATACAGAGGAACAAAGATGAGGATGACAGATTTTTCACTGGAAACAATGCAGGTGAAAAGACAGTGGAATGACAATTTTCAAAGTACTGAAAAGAAAAAAAAAAAACACCTGTCAACCTGGAATCTATACCCTTCAAAGATAACTTTCAAAAATGAAGGCAGCAGGCTTTTACAGAGAAAAGTTGAAATAATTTATCACTAGTATACCTGCACTGCAAGTAATGTTACCTCATTATTTATATCTTTTTAAAAGGTAATTGACTAAACAAAAGTAATGACAATATAGTACAGGGGTTTTAACAAGTAACAAGTAAAATGTATAATACAATGGCCAGGAAGGGAGAAATGGAAGCATACTACTGTGCTTTACACGACATGGTATGATATCACTGGAAGGTAGATTGTGATAACTTAAAGAAGCATATTATGATATCACTGGAAGGCAGATTGTGATAACTTAAAGAAGCATATTATAAATCCTAAAACAACCAATGAAATAACAAAACAACATGCCAATAATTGAAATGAAATTGAATCATAAAAAAATAGTTAACACAGAGAGTCAGAAGATGAAGGAAAAGAGAATAAAGAACAAATAGAAAACAAGTAGCAAAATGGCAGATCTAAACCTAGCCAAATCAATTGTCACATTAAACATACATGTTTTAAACACCAGAATTAAAACTCAGACGTTTTCAGATTAGATTTTTTTAAAAAGCAAGACCCAATTATATGTTACTTACAAGAATCACATTTTAAATATAAAAACACAAAAAGGTTAAAAGAATAAGAGTAGAAAAAGATATACTGTGCTAACACCAAACAAAAGATGGAGTGACCATGTTAATATGAGACAAAGTAGATTTCAGAGCAAAGAATATTTCCAGGAATTAAAAGGTGACTTCATAGTGATAAAGGAATAAATACTACAAGAAAAAATAAAAACCCTAAATATATATGCATCTAATAGGATTTCAAACTGCATGAGGCAGAAACTAATAGAATTACAATAACTGACAGACAAGCCTACAATTGTAGCCGGAAAGTTTTAGTACTCCTTCTCAATACATGACGGAACCTATAGACAAAAGATCAGAAAAGATATTAGAAGACTTGAACAACACTCATCATACAACTTAACCTAATTGATATTTACAGGACATTCCAGCCAACAACAGAATATACATTTCAAGTGCTTATGTAGTATTTACCAAGGTGGGTCACATTCTGGGACCCAAAACAAGTCTCCATAAATTTAAAAGGATTAAAGTCATATGAAGTTTGTTCTGTGACCACAATGGAATTAAATCAGAGAGGATTAACAAAAAGATAACTAAAAACTCCCCCAAATATTTGGAAGCCAAAAAACACGTGTGTAAATCATTTGTGCATTAAGGAATAAATCAAAAGGGAAATTTTAAAGCATTAAGAATTGAGTAAAAATTAAACATTTCAAAATTTGCAAGATACTGCTAAAACAGAGTGAAATTTATAGCATTAAAGCCTGTGTTAGAAAAGACAAAAAAGATCTCAGATTAGTGGGCTCAACTACCACCTTAGGAAACTGGAAAAGAAAAAAAGACCCAATTAAACCCAAAGTAAGCAAAATAAAGGATATAACAATGAGAATAGAGATCAGCAAACTAGAAAATAGAATAATTTAAAAAAACTAACCAAAAACTAGTTATTTGAGAATGTCAGTAAAATGGTTAAGCCTCTAGCCAGACTGATCAGAAAGAGAAGACACAAATTTTCAGTATCAGTAATATGAGAGGTGGCATCAGTACAGATTCAACCCATATTAGAAGGAATATTTTTAAAAACTATATATGGGCTGGGTGTGGTGGCTCACGCCTGTAATCCCAGTGCTTTGTGGGGGCCAAAGCAGGAGAATCACTTGACACCAAGAGTTGAAGACCAGCCTGGGTATCATAGTAAGACTCCATCTCTTACAAAAAAAAAAAAAAAATAGCTGAACATGGTGGCACGGCCTATAGTCCTAGTTACTCAGGAGCCTGAGACAGGAAGGTCACATGAGCCCCAGGAGTTTGAGGTTGCAGTTAGCTATGATCACGCCACTGCACTCCAGCCAGGGCAACAAAGTGAGACACTGTCTCTTTAAAAAATAAAAAAAATAAAAAGGCCAGGGGCGGTAGCTGACGCCTGTAATCCCAAGACTTTGCGAGGCCAAGGCGGGTGGATCATGAGGTCAAGAGATTGAGACCATCCTGGCCAACGTGGTGAAACCCGTCTCTACTAAAAATACAAAAATTAGCTGGGCATGGTAGCGCACACCTGTAGTCCCAGCTACTCGGGAGGCTGAGGCAGGAGAATCACTTGTGAATCCAGGAGGTGGAGTTTGCAGTGAGCCAAGATTGCACCACTGCACTCCAACCTGGCAACAGAGCAAGAATCTGTCTAAAAAAAAAAAAAAAAAAAAAAAAATATATATATATATATATATATATATATACACACACACACACACACACAATTTTATGCCAATAAATTTGACAATTTAAAAAAATGAATTTATAGTTAAAGACTATCCCAGCTCAGAAGTCTTCACAGGTACATTCTACCAAACATTTAAGGAAGAAATAAAACCAATTCTACAAAAAGAAAAAAAAAAAAAAGCTTTTAGAAAATTAAAGAAGAAGAAATACTTCCCAGCTCATTTTATGAGATCATCATTACCCTGATGCTAAAACCAGGCCAGAAAAACTATGTAAGAAAACTACAGACAAATCTCCGTATTGAACATAGATGAAAAATTATTAACAAAATGTTAGCAAATTGAATCCAACAATGTATAAGAAGGCAAACACAGGGCTGGGCACAGTGGCTTACACCTGTAATCCCAACACTTTGAGAGACCAAGGTACGAGGATTGCTTGAGGCCAGGAATTCAAGAGCAGCCTGGGCAACATAGCAAGGCCTCATCTCTACAAAAAAAAATAAGAAATAATTAGCCAGGTATGGTGGTGCACACCTGTAGTCCTAGCTACTCAGGAGGCAGAGGCAGGAGATTGCTTGAGCCCAGGAATTCAAGGTTGCAGTGAGCCATGAGTGCCACTGAAGAAAAAGAAAGAAAGATAGAAAAAGAGGCCGGGCACAGTGACTCACACCTATAATCCCAGCACTTTCAGAGGCCAAGGCGGGGGGATCACAAAGTCAGGAGATCAAGACCATCCTGGCTAACATGGTGAAACCCTGTCTCTACTAAAAATACAAAAAAAATTAGCCTGGCATGGTGGCGGGCACCTGTAGTCCCAGCTACTTGGGAGGCTGAGGCAGGAGAATGGCGTGAACCCAGGAGGCAGAGCTTGCAGTGAGCCGAGATCGCGCCACTGCACTCCAGCCTGGGCGACAGAGCGAGACTCCATCTCAAAAAAAAAAAAAAGAAAAAGAAAAAGAAAGGGAAAACAAGGGGAGGGGAGGGGAGGGAAGGAAGGGGAGGAGAGAGGGAGAGAAAGAAATAAAACTTCCTCAGCTCAAAAGGAGCACCTATGAAGCATCTATAGCTAACGTCATACAAAATGGTGAATGGTTGAATACTTTCTTCCTAACATCAGGAAAGCAAGGATATTTAGTCTCATCACCTCTATTCAGCATTGAACTAGAGCTTCTAGACAATGCAGTAAGGTAAGAAAAAGACATTAAAATTATCCAAATTGGAAAAAAAGTAAGAGATCTTTATTCACAGACAACATAATCTTCTATGTAGAAAATACCGTGGAATCTACCAAGAAAAAACAGGCTATGAGAACTAATAAGCAAGGTTTCCAGATACAAGATCAAAATACAAAAATTATTTGTATGTATATACTAGCAGTGAAAAATTAGAAATTGAAATTAAAAGACTGCCATTTACAATGGCATCAAAAATATTCATACTTAGGTATAAATCTGACAAAAGAGGTATAAAAGACCTATATACTACCATAAAACGTTGCTGAGGGCCCAGTGTGGTGGTTCACACCTGTAATCCCAGCACTTTGGGAGGCCGAGGAGAGACCAAGAGTTCGAGACCAGTCTGGCCAACCTGGCAAAACCCGTCTCTACTAAAAATACAAAAATTGACCAAGCACGGTGGCACATGCCTCTTTAATTCCAGCTACTCCGGAGGCTGAGGCAGGAGAATCACTTGAACCCAGGAGGTGGAGGTTGCAGTGAGCCAAGATCGCACCACTGCACTCCATCTGGGTGACAGAGTGAGACTGTCTCCAAAAAAAATTTTCAATTAAAATATTGCTGAGAAAAAAATTTTCTTTTTTTTTTTTTTGAGGTGGAGTCTTGCTCTGTCGCCCAGGCTAGAGTGCAGTGGCGCAATCTCAGCTCACTGCAACCTCTTCCTGCTGGGTTCACACAATCTCCTGCCTCAGCCTCCCAAGTAGCTGGGATTACAGGCACACGCTACCATGCCTGGCTAATTTTTGCGTTTTTAGTAGAGATGGGGTTTCAGCATGTTGGCCAGGCTGGTCTCACACTCCTTACCTCAAGTTATCCACCTGCCTCAGCCTCCCAAAGTCTTGTGATTACAGGCGTAAGCCACCATGCCCGGCTGCTGAGAAAAATTCAAGATGATCTAAATAAAGAGACTGTGTTCATGGGTCAGAAGATTCATTATTGTTAAGATGGCAGTTCTTCCTAAATTCATCAGTAGATTCAGTACAATCTCAGTGAAAATTCCAGCAGACTATTTTGTAGAAATTGGCAAGCTGATTATAAAATGTATATGGAAATGCAAAGGATCAAACTAACTTTGAAAAAGAGCAAATCAAGACACTATGATAGTAACATAAAAGTAGATATAGAGGCTGGGTACAGTGGCTCACATCTGTAATCCCAGCACTTTAGGAGGCTGAGGTAGGAGGATCACTTGACGCCAGGAGTTTGAGACTAGCCTGGGCAATATGGCGAGACCTCATCACTCATACACACACACACACACACACACACACACACACACACACACACATATTTTTTTTTTTGAGACAGAGTCTTGCTGTGTCACCCAGGCTGGAGTGCAGTGGTGTGATCTCGGCCACTGCAACCTCCGCCTTCTGGGTTCAAGCGATTCTCCTGTCTCCGCCTCCCAAGTAGCTGGGATTACAGGCACGTACCACCACACCCAGCTAATTTTTGTATTTTTAGTAAAGACGCAGTTTCGCTGTGTTGGCCAGGCTGGTCTCGAACTCCTGACCTCGTAACCTGCCTGCCTCAGCCTCCCAAAGTGCTGGGATTACAGGAATACAAAAAATATTTTTAAATTAGCCAGATACGGTGATGCACACCTGTAGTGCCAGCTACTGCTGTGAGCTATGGCCATGCCACTGCACTCCAAAGTGATACCCTGTCTCCAAAACAAAACAAAACAAAAGTAGACAAACATAAAAATAGTAAAAGACAGAGTCCATAAATAGATTCATAAATGTAAAAACAACTGATTTTCAGTAAAAGTACAAATAAGCAAGGTTTGTCTCCAAAAAAAACAAAAGTAGACAAACATAAAAATAGTAAAAGACAGAGTCCATAAATAGATTCATACATGTAAAAACAACTGATTTTCAGTAAAAATACAAAGGTAATTCAGGAGAGAAAAGAGTATTTTTAACAATGCTGCGGGAATGATTGGATATTCCTATGCAAAAGGAAAAAAAGAACCTCAATCCATACCTGTTACCTACACAAAAATTAACTCAAAATGGGCCATAGACCTAAATGTAAGGGCTAAAAAAATAACACTTCTAGCAGAAAACAAGAGAAAATCTTTATGACCTTGGTTTAGTTTTTTAGATGTGACACCAAGATGGTTTTTTGGCTTCATCAAATAAAGACTTTCTGTTCCTTGAAAGACACTTTTAAGAGAATCAAAAGACAAGCTACAGACTGGGAAAAAATTTTTACAAGTCATGTATCTGATAAAGGACTTTTATTCAGAATATATGAAGAACTCTTAAAACTGAAAAATAAGAAAACAACCCAATTAAAAATGGGCAAAGAATCTAAATAGACATTTCTTCAAAGAAAATATACAGAGGTCAAATAAACACATGGAAGATTCTCAACAACTTCAGGCATTAGAGAAAGCAAATTAAACCCAAAAAGAAATATGATAGACCTATTACAATGTCCAAAACTAGAAAGAGTGACCATACCAAATGTTGGCAAGGATGTGAAGGAACTGGAACTCATACACTGCTGGTGGAAATGTAAAATGTTACAGCCACTTTAGAAAACAGTGGCAGACTCTTTAAAAGTTATGCTTACACATACCATATAATACATTCTACTCACAGGTATTTACCCAAGAGAAGTGAAAGCATATGTCCATCCAAAGAATTGTATGTGAATGTTCACAGCAGCTTTATTTGTAAATAAATACTGGAAACAACCCAAATATCCACTAATAGATGAATGGATAAAAAAAAAGTTACGCTATATTTATACAATAGGATGCTAAGTAATAAAGGAACAAACTTGATATATGCAGCAACATGGATGAATGGTGAAATAATTATGCTGAATAGAAGAAGCCAGATATAAAAGAATATGTAGTTTATGATTCCATTTATATGAAACTCTAGAAAATGCAAGCTAATATAGAATGTCAGAAAGCTGATCAGTCGTTGTAGCGGTGGGGTACAGAGAGGTACAAGGGAAAAATTATTACAAGGGCCTTAAGGAGACTTTTGGTGATGATGGATTTGTTTACTATCTTTATTGTGATGATGGTTTCACAGTTACATACACAATCAAAACATCAAATTGCTCACTATAAATATGTACAGTTTATTGTATGTTAAAGCTGTTTTAAAAAAATAAGAAAGCCAAAAAGAAAGTAGGACTCGCTACTGGAATTCTTACTACTCTAGCAAACATTACAGAAAAACTATGTAACTATATAAATTAATTACAGATACTGTATTTTAAAATACCTCAGCGGGGCCAGGCACAGTGGCTCACGCCTGTAATCCCAGCACTTTGGGAGGCCGAGGCGGGTGGATCACCTGAGGTCAGGAGTTCAAAACCAGCCTGGCCAAGATGGTGAAATCCCGTCTGTACTAAAAATACAAAAATTAGTTAGGCACGGTGGCACATGCCTGTAATCCCAGCTACTTGGGAAGCGGAGGCAGGAGAATCACTTGAACCCAGGAGGTGGAGGTTGCAGTGAGCTGAGAATCGCACCATTGCACTTCAGCCTGGGCGACAAGAACAAAACTCCCTCTCAAAAAAAAGAAAAAGAAATATTTCAATGGATATTTTTTAAAGCAAAGAACCTTTTGTAAAAGTAATCTTGACTGTTGAATGCATCTTTTTTCATGACTGCTATTGTGATATATTGTGTTTCCTTAAAGGGGATGTACATCAATTCAGCTGGGATAACGACAGCACAATTCCACATCTTTCTAAGAGCTGAGCAACTATTGCATTATGGCAATTGTGCTTTGCCTTGAAGTGGCAGAGGGCAGATGCAATAGCTGACTCTACTGAGTCTTCAGTGTGCAGACAGTTTGGTTCACTTGTTAAATATGTATTGTGATTTGATGTTTACTCTACTTGGCATCTCAGCCAAATTTCACCTTAGGAACTTACATATACTTCATCAAGACAACATTACAAATACTTCAAAATGATTCATTTCCTCTTCACACAAATCTAAGTTAGTCCTTGCATAGAGGCTATTTACATGTGAAATTTCTTTTTCAGCCTACTAACAAAATCAGAACCACCAAGTTTTAAAATACCAATGTGTTTTAAATGTTTTAAATGTTCTATTAAAAGATCTGGCTTTGTTACCATGGGGTAAAAGAATGCGGTAAGTAGGAAGCATAAAAGTCAGCTGTGGAACTTGACTTTACAGATATGTTTCCTGAGCTCATTGTACAGAGTAAGCACAAATATGCTGATTGGTAATTCCCCTCCTTCCTGCCATGCTCATGGCAGTGGGACACAGGAACCATGATGTTCTTTCTCACCTCCTCTCTCTGATCCTACAGCTGTGGTGACTCAGCCTTTCTTTCTTTCTTTCTTTGTTTCTTTCTTTCTTTCAGGGTGTGAACGGCATGTCTGTGGATGAGAAGCCTGACTCCCCCATGTATGTGTATGAGTCCACAGTCCACTGCACCAACATCCTCCTGGGCCTCAATGACCAGCGGAAAAAGGATATTCTCTGTGACGTGACTTTGATCGTGGAGAGGAAGGAGTTCCGGGCCCACCGGGCTGTGCTGGCCGCATGCAGTGAATATTTTTGGCAGGCGCTGGTTGGACAGACAAAAAATGATTTGGTGGTCAGCTTGCCTGAGGAGGTACAGTAATTTGGTTTGTGTGATTGTTAATGAATGTTTATTGACTTACAGAAAACTGGCTGACTAGGAGCTAGAAGATGTACTAGGTGCCATGTCCCCACTCAGGAGTTGATGTCCAAGTCACATGTTAGGTCTGTGGCATAGTCAGTTTCTATTTGATACACTTAAAGTCTCAGAGGCACAGAATGTGAATATCTTTCTTGAAGGGAACTGAACCTCACCTGTGGCTCAGTCACTTGTAGTTTCTAGTTCACTTACCCTTCAGGTTTTGAGTGGTTCAGCCTAAGTTTGGCACAGTCCTAGATGTGGGATCTGAATCATTGCTATGATTTCTGTCTTTCAGATGGTGTAAGGATCACTAGATTTCCCTTGAGAGTAAAAGATCGAAAGCATTCACAGCACCTTCTTTGCTTGGGGGAAAAATAAAAGCAACTAGTAATTTTCACCATTAATTCAGTAAGATTCTAAGAAGTGTAAACTTGCTTTTCTCACCGTTGTTGAAAACAGCCCACTCAGGTTTCTTAATCACATCAGTGAATACGGTTATTTTGGCACTTTGGGAACACTAGTAGCTGGACCTGGTCTGTCCAGAGATGACATTTAATTGGATGGTTTAAGTTGTAGGACCCCAAAAGATGGGCTTCACAATGGCAAACCATTAAATGGTCATCCTTTGAACCATATATACACTACCTCTTGGTTCATCATCCTGACTTCCGTCATTCCTATGGGACTAAGGATAATACTTTGTGTTCGGGCAGAATCATTCCCTGTGTACCACCAGCGCGGTGTGCATCTCTTGGGCCACCACCAACAGTTACACAAGCTTTGTACTTTGTAACTCCCAGGAGTACAACTCACATCCATAGTTTTTGCAAATAGATTCCCTAGAGTTGTGTGGTGTTTGACTAAGCAGCTCTTCACAGTGATCTTAGGAGAAACCAAAGACCCCATCACCCAGATATGATGCTGATGGTTACAACCAGTATTAAATCACAGAAGTCACAAACCAGACGCCTTCAGGGGCCTGGCAAATAATATAAATGAGTGAAGTAGGTTGTATATAGGACAGTAGGAAGTGATGGGGCAAGCACCTGCTCCACCAAAAGGCATCTAAATTCAACAAAAAACAAGAAGCCAGGTGCAGTAGAGTGCACCTGTAGCCCCAGCTACTCAGGAGGCTGACACAGGAGGATCCCTTGAGCCCAGCAGTTCGAGACAAGCCTGGGCAACATAGCAAGACCCCATCTTTAAAAAAATAATAACTTGGGAGGCCGAGGCGAGCAGATTATGAGGTCAGGAGTTTGAGGCCAGCCTGCCCAACATGGTGAAACCCCATCTCTACCAAAAATACAAAATATTAGCCAGGCATGGTGGTGTGTGCCTATAATCCCAGCTACTCAGGAGGTTGAGGCAGGAGAATGGCTTGAACCTGGGAGGCGGAGGTTGCAGTGAGCTGAGATCACGCCATTGCACTCCAGCCTGGGTGACAGGGCGAGACCCTGTCTCAAAAAAAATAATAATAATAATTAAAATTTTAAAACACTATTTGTGTTTGTCTATTTGATAGACAAACAAGATATGGGTAGTGGAGGTTTCTTCAAATCCCAGACCCTTGTTAAGCAACATCTGCTATTACCCCTGCTGAGCAGGAAGGCAACCAGCTGATAAAAATGAGGACTGGGGCCAGGTGCAGCAGCTCACACCTGTCATCCTGGTACTTCAGGAGGCCAAAGCGGGAAGACCACTTGAGTTCAGGAGTTCAAGACTGTCTTGGGCAACATAGGGAGACCCCCATCTCTACAAAAGATTTAAAAATTAGCTAGAGGTGGTGGCACACACCTGTGGTCTCAGCTACTCAGGAGGCTGAGGAGGGAGGATTGCTTGAGCCCAGGAGATCGAGGCTGCAAGTGAGCCATGATCACACCAGTGCACTCCAGCCTGGGTGACAGAGTGAGAACGTGTCTCAAAAAAATAAATAAATAAATAAGGACTGCATAAGCACTAGCGTTTTCACATTCGTATCCTTGTTACATACTCAAAATAGAATGCTCCATTACCACTCCACATACCACTAGCAAGTAGGTAGCTAGAGAGATCCCAACACTAGAAGCAAAAGGACAGATCAGCTAAATGACATACTGGGGCTGGGATAAGGAGTGGGGACTGGGTACCAAGTAACGGGAAGGCCGAGGAATGGCAGCTGCACTGTAGCCAGGGGATCCTGAGCTGGCCTTTCCTTAACTGCGCTGTTGGGGACATACTTAACTAGCTGTCCTGCCATGAGGACTAGGTGAGATGATAAATACAAAAATTCTCAGCACAGCCCTTATCCTCTAGTAGGCATTTGACAAACGTAAGTCTCTTTTTAAAGGTGGAGTCTTGCTCTGTTGCCCAGGTTGGACTGGAACTCTTGAGCTCAAGGGATCCTCCTGCCTTGAATTATTTACCAAAAATACAATACCAAGGCAGTAAAGTGTAAAGGAAACTGGGATACAAATGTATATGACATAACCTTAAAGTTTCTTTTTAGATCAAATCCCTGATAATTGCTTATTTCCATGGCATTGGAAAAGGCATTTTAAATAAGAGGCACACTGTATAGACATCGCACAAAAATCTATTTGGCCTTTTAAGTGAGAATTTGCTGTGTGTTCTCATTTAAGTGAGAATTTGCTGTGTGTTGATTTTCTTTCTTCCTCCCCCTGTAAAATGATTATCATCCCTGCATCATCTACATCCTCGAAACCATTGAAACATTCTGGTTGCTCACGTATCTGAAATCTTCAGGTAGAACTAGATCCTTTTTTTCTTATGAAACGCAAATTCATACTTTCAGTAATCCAGCTCTAAGTATCTTGTTGATGGAACATGCAAGCCAGCCCCAGTGGCATTTTCTTTTGAGGCTCTGTCATTGTTTCTGAGGCCTCCTTTGAAGAGCCCTCCCCCTCTGCTCAGGGCACCTGCCTGTGGACCCACGTGCTGGGCATTGTTTTCCTGACTTGCTGTGTGCACACTGAAATGTCCCTGCAGGCTCAATGGTAATTGTCACACTTAGCTCAGTGAGTGATTTCATAAAATTTGAATTAAGTGGTAAATAAGCAGACATTCTAAATACTACCTTAGAAAGTAGCTTTCTGGAACTAATCGGCATTTGGTTCATAGGATATAAGAAAAACCATTAGATTAGCTCCTTGGAAATCTTTAAACCTCATCATAATCCTATCGCCAAATTTGAATCAACTTCTGGCCCTGCCCTCCTCTTAGTCACATTTGACCCATCTACACTCCCTTGGCAGCCAACCGCTGTGCTCCTCAAGGGGGCCAGCACAGCCAGGCCTGAGAGTTCCTCCTAGGAGCCTGAAACTTCCGAACACAAACTGCCACTCCTCCCCCCAACTCCCCATCCACCTTAGGCCAAACCCAGATCTGCCGTCCAGCGACTGTCCAGTTGTGCAATTCCACCCCCAAATCCCAATTCCTGATGAGCCACGCCATTACCAGCACATTAGAGCCACTCACAGAGCCCAGCATAGTCTCTAAACTGAAAGACAGACAAAAATAGAGGGAGGCCTCCTTCTAGAAATCAAGGAATAATTGAATTATCTTGCGTTTTTAAAAAAAAACAAATGGCAATCCCTAGGATTTCTAGGACTTGAGTGTTTGTTCCCCACTGAAAAACACACCCAGGTAATTGTGTCAGCAAATAGTAGGAGATAAGCCACTGTACTTAGTACTTTCATTACATAATAAAGCAGATCATTCAATTTTATAATGAGTAAGTATATGTTTTGCTAAGAGATGAAGAGAAAGTAGTTGATGTGCTAAGCATTGCAGGGCCGTTCTTCCACTGCTCATTAGTATGACACCTCCTTAGCTATAGTCATGGAGGCCATTTCGGGCTGGATGCCAGCCATGACGGAAGTAGCATCACAACTATGAAGTTCAGTCTTATGGCGTGTCAAGTTCAGAGGACAGGGAGGGGATGTGCTTCCTTAGAAGATGCTCAGCCCACAGTGGGTTTGCACATCAACACTATTCTTACGTGGCTGCCTGGCTCCTTGACAGAATGCTAGGGGAAAAGTGGCTGTTAAAAGGTTACTGCCAAGGTCTCACCACCTTTCTCTGGCTTGCTTCCTGTGTCCTTGTACCCTCTAGAGAAGGGGACGGGTTCATGCAGGGAACAGCTACAGGCTGGGGGTGAGTATGGCCCCTGCAGGTAGACCTTATGTTTTCCTCGGTATAAATAGATTTCAGGTTTGTGCTCGCTTGTGCTCACTATCTTTTGCTTTCTCTCTCTCACTCAACATTTTGGGGCAAATCTCACTTTTCAGTGCTATACAGGAAAGAAAGCTGACCCAGAAGGATTCTAAAGAAAAGGCATTTGTTGTTAAGTCTTAACCACAGGCTGCAATAAAGAACATTCCTGCAGCAGTACTGCCAAGCACAGATGCCAACAAGGAAATTATGGAATCTTCTTGTCTGGAAGTTTTTAGAGGATATGAAAGCTGTTAATGTCTCTGGGATGGTTTAGGTTCAGTCTTAAGGAAGCAATAAGACAGTCATGATTATCTTTGGGCAACCCTTTCAGTATGTAATAGTACAGAAAGTAGTTAACGCCACAGCACAGGGTGACAACAGCATTCTGAGCCTGAGGGTGAGGACAAGGGAAGGTGGAGTTTTGGTGGGAAACAGGGGTGAAGTCTTTGGGAAGTGGCATGACCAGGATGAGAAGGGCAAAACACTCACTTAGCCCAGAGCACAGAGCCTGCCCTTTGGCCTCACCCCATTCACCTAAACAAAACTCTGAAGAAGACACCACCACTCTTTACCTGAAAAAGAGTAATGGGCAGATTTTTTTAAACTAGGATCATCAGCCTTGAGGGGCTGGGAAAACCACACTCTGCACCTTGGTATCACTGCATGTGAGGTCTTCAGCAAACTAGTCTTCCTCTCTGGGCTTCTGTTTCCTCACTCATTTATTTATTCATTCAACAAATATTTGTCAAGACCCTGCTATGTAACCAGGAGACATCATTCTAGGTGCTAGGCGAACCTAGCTCACATTCCAGTGGGGAGGAGGAGGAAAAAGAGGAAATTAATCAGTGTTAAATATACTTTGTTAGATGCCATTGAGGAAAATAAAACAGAGAAGGGAGTTAGGATACAAGTATTACAATTTTAAGAAGAGTGATCAAGAAAAGCCTGTTCAAGGGGGTGACTTTTGAAGAGAGACCTGGAGCAGGTGAGGGAGCTGGCTGTGCTGATGTCTAGGGAAAGGGTGAGCCAGACAGGAGGAATCACAAGGAGGCTGTGGTGGGCAGGGCGTGTTTGCCACCCAGGAGCAGAGTGAGCCAAGGCAGGGTGGGGAGAGGTGAGTCAGAGAGGTGATGGTCCAGACTGTGCACCTCACTGAGCGATTGGTCTTTTTTTGGAACGAGCTGGCCACTGGAGAGTTTCACAGGTCATTTTGAGTGCCACGTGAAAATAAATTGAAAGAGGGCCAGGGCAGAAGCAGGGAAAAGACACAAGAGGCTAAGACAGCAACCCAGGTGTGACCTGATGGCCTACACCAGGGTGATAGCAGTGACATGGTGGTTGGTGTCAGATTCTGGTGATATTTTGAAGGTAGAGCTCATGGGAATTTCTTATATGTTGGATACAAGGTGGGAGAGAAAGAGAGGAGTCACAGATAACATCCAGGCTTAGGGCCTCAACTATTGGAAGAATGGAGTTGGCATTAACTGAGATGGGTGAAGCGAAGACTGAGAGGAGTAGGATTGGGGACTCGGGTAGAATTGGGAGTTTTGTTTATTTTTTTGTTTAATTTTTGAGACAGAGTCTCACTGTGTTGCTCAGGCTGGAGTCCAGTGACACAATCTCAGCTCGCTGCCACCTCCACCTCCCAGGTTCAAGCAATTCTCCTGCCTCAGCCTCCCAAGTAGCTGGGATTACAGGTGTGCACCACCACGCCTGGCTAATTTTTGTATTTTCAGTAGAGACGGGATTTTGCCATGCTGGCCAGGCTGGTCTCGAACTCCTGACCTCAAGTGATCCACTTGCTTCGGCCTCCCAAAGTGCTGGGATTAAGGCGTGAGCCACCATGCCCGGCCTTCTATTTTGTATATATTAAGTTTGAGATGCCTGTTGACATCTAAGTAAAGATGTCTAGTATGCAGTTGGACTTACATGGCCAGAACTCATGGGAGAAGTCTATCCTAGAGATAAAAATTGTAATACCAGAATATTGGGAATACTAAAAGCAACAGGACTACATACGATCACCAAGGAAGTGAGTGGAGATAGAAAGGAAAAGAAGTCCCAGGATTGAGCCTTGGAGCTTTCTCGAATTAACAGGTCAGGGAGATGAAGAGGAGCCGGCAAGGTAGACCAAGAAGGAGCAAGCCTGAGGTGGGAGGAAAAGCAACAAAGCATAGTGCGTGGTAAGCCAGGTGAAGAAAGCATTTCGAGGAGGAGAGAGCCATCAACTAGGTCAAATGATGCTGACTGTAAGCTAAGATGAAGGCCAAAAACTGACCATCCGGCAATTTGGAGGCCATTTGTGATTTCGTTGAGCACTTTTGGGGGAGCAGTAGAAACAAAAACCAATTTGATTGTGTTCTAGAGAGAATAAGGCTTTTTGAGTGAAAGGGAACAGAGAAGTAGATCAGTAGCTGGAGGGAAACGGTGTCAAAAGAGGTTTCATTTGGTTTTTTATTTTAAGTAGGAAGAAATCCCAACATGTTTGTACTCTGTGGTGAAGATTACCATTGCTCACCCACACCCAGTTTTCCTCTTTCCTAGACACACAGGAAGACTAAATTTGTAATCAGGTAGGCCATATGACTAGATCTAGCTGATGAAATGTGAGGTGAGGACTCTGCTCCAAGGCAGTCAAAAGTAGGTATAAGCTCTTTATGCTTTGTCCCATCCACTTAGCTGGTGTCAAAGGACTCTAGAGTGATGAAGCTGTAGCCTAGGTCCCTGAGTCACTGTTGGAAGAGAGCCAGCAAAATCCATCTGACTCAAATCAGACTCTGACATGATGAGAAATAAACTTTTAAGTTAATTAAGCACTCAAGATTTGGTGTTTCTGGATGTGAAGGCAATCTGGCTGCAACATCTGTCACCCCAACATCGCCAGGTTGATTGGGCTGATCTGGCTGGCTCAGTGGGTGTCGTTTCCCTCCCTCACTGCTCCACGTGTGTCCCTCCTGAAGCTGCAGGCTTGGTTGAAGAGGACGACCTTCCCTGATAGAGGAGGACCGTTCTTCATTCACAAGTATATACATAGCTGTGCTGCCTGCTAGAAGCTCCAAACAATCTCTCAAGATGTGGTGTTTTATCTGTTAGCACAGCAAAGCCTAACCTGTCCTAATACCTGGGCTGAAGGGAAAGTTCCAAAAGAGAGAGAAAACTTGATGATACAGGAGACAGAAGTTCAATTGCCTTCAGTATGCAACAGAGGATGGGATCTACTAACCAAATGGCCAGACTCAATAAGTCACATCCTAATCTGAAAATGATGGATTGGGGCTGGATGATCTCTGAGATCCTAGCCTATGTCACACAGGTTTACAGTCCTTGAACTTGGCTAGCTTCCTGTTGGAGGAAGAGAGAAAAAATCCTGTTGGTCAGGAAGAGTGGAGGGATGTTTGGATTGAGAGGTAGGGAAAAGCCATAAAGATGGGAGGCAAACTGGCCAGGAAGGGAGAGAACCACAGGACTCCAGAAGAGGCACAAGCTCAGTTCTCCCACTTTTATGACTTTTCCCTGACTTTTCAGAAAGGGCCTTCCTTACAGGCATTCACAGGAGATGACAGCTAAAGAGCGGAAAGAGACTTCTGGGCTATCTGATCACCTAGAACATAGGCGGATCATGGCTCTTTAACCATGTCAGAAGGTGTTAAGATTTTGAGAAAATTAGTTCACATTTAATGACCTCAATTTCAATATGAGTGTACAAGGAGTAACAATGCTAGTTACCAGTTTGACTTGCAGGGCCGCTGTTCAGATAAATGAAATGTGATGTGTTAAACTTCTTGGAAGGATGGTGCTATAGAAACAGTAGGTGTTATTATTCCCCTAAAAGGAAAGAACAGTCTTCTCTGATGAAATGGCTGTTACCTCAGAATCCTCATTAAAAGCTGTGGTGCAATTTTCCAAGTTGCGTTAGTAAGACTTGGCAGCAGATGAAAAAAAAGCAAATAAATAAGAAGTCAAAATATTTCAGGTAACTACTTGCTGGCAAATGAGAAGTTTTCAAGTCCTAGAATCATACTGATAATTTTGAAATGCCTAAAGGCAGAACTTATTTATAGTAACGCAGAGGTGACTGCTAGCCCTGAAATGTGGTCCTCAGTCTCGGATGGAGTTGCGGTAAGGCAGCGCCACAGAAAGGGGAGCTAATACTATTGTGACTCCAGCCCTGGAGGCTGTGGTGCTGATACAGAGGGAGGGAAATCTAGTGTGAAAATAGCCACAGCAATAGCTAATTTTAAAACTGAGACACATAAGCTGTTTCCAAACCTCTTACATTTTTTAAATCCTGAGGCCAGTAAGCCTATTTAAAGAAACTTATGCAGAAATGTGTTCCTCTTTTGGCATAGTAGTAGGAGTTGAGTAGACAAAAACCTAAGACATATCTAAAAATCATTTTAAGTGACCTGATTTCAAAGCCGTTTTTAAGATTTCTTTTCACTATGTCTATTTATCCCTATCTGATGTAGGATGACCACAATAATCAACATTTTGAAATAGATTTATGACAAGGCCTCTGAAAGTAAACTTGTTTGCATCAATTTTTTTAAAATAGTTACCGGCGTATCTATTCATTTTTAAACTCCTCTGTATATGAACAAAATATCCTTCATGTTTCTTTCTTTCTCCCATTATGGAGTCTCTTAGCTATTTCAATTAAAATTAATAATAGCTTTAAAGACAAAGTTCAGAGCTATAAAGTTCCTCACTTGATCAGTCATCATAACTATTATTTTGTCGTAGTTAATCATAGAACCCGGGCCTTTACCAAGGTACTTAATTAAACTTTTTAATTTATGATAAGAATTTAAATAGCACTTGTGAGAGTTTTTCAAAATTATTTCTACTTCCCATCCAGATTACACCCTACACCCTTGGAAAAAAAAAAAAAAAGGTGTGACAAAGAGACATCATGGCTGTCAGCCAAGGGTATTGTAGGTCACGCCAGCACGAACTGGCAGCAAGCCATTGTCCAATTAGCATGGCTTCATCCTTGCAGAGTAATCACTCTTTGAGTAGATGGTTGAGTCACTCACGATGCAGTGGTGCTTCACTTGAGCCAGTCCTTCTTAGAATAGGTTTCCTGTTCGCTGTTAATACCTGTCCTCATTTGCCAATACAAGTGCAGGATCATTTAGGCTGAAAGCTGAATAGAAGGCAAACATTGATTATGTATCTCATTTCTCTTGCTTCCTGAAAACTGAGATTGCAGTTAAACAGTGAAAGCACGGTGTGTTTTTTAAGTGAGTTACAAGAAAACACAGTTTCCACACCAAAATACTCAGAGTTAGAATCCAAGAGTCAGTTTTTGTTCTGTCTTTTCTTTGGCAGCTTTAACATTTGGCACAAATCTGAGGATATCAATAAAGTTACCTAATAATCTTAATGGATTCGCATTCCATTCAAAAATTTGGAATGTCACCCAATGTCTTCAGGTTTCAACTCCATTGTTGGGGTGTTCATGACATTTCTGGTGGGTGTGCAGTTATAAAAGCAGACAGCTTTTGAAAGAGGCCCTTCTTATGGTGAGAACACCTGGAATCTTGGTTGGATAAGCTGTAAGCCAGGAAATTGATTCAGGAATTTTTTAATAAAATGGATCATACCCAGGCATTGGAGTGATGCATGGTGGTCAGTTAAAAAAAAAAAGGGAAAAAAGAAAGAAGGCTGTTCTTAAAAGCACAAAGAAAATAGAATAAAATTGTGGGCACTAATCAGTTAATACTTTTATTTTCTTGTTTGTTTGGGTTCTGAACCAAATTGCAGGCTAGAAAAGAATTGGCTTGTTTTGCTTTGAGGAGTGGAGAAGCAATTAAATAATAACACTTTTGGTTTCCTAGGATCTCGGAAGTGTTCTTTTTTGCCATTAATTTGGTACACATAGTAAAATTCATCACTTTGCCATAGACTCCTAAAATATGTTGACAGTCTCTGTAACTGACATTGGCATCACCTCCAAGCCAGCTAGTAATGCGGTGAGCTTTGCTGAGATGGACTTTCGTGTGCAGCCTGGCGAAGGCTGTTTGTGAAAAAGTTAATGCATTCCACACCCTGGGTGGGATGGAGCCAGGCCTCCAACGTGAGCACATTTTTGACTGACTGGCAGCAAAGAGAAATACTGGCAGCTGTTCCCAAGCAAGGCCAAAAGTTGGCCAAGGGAGGAAAAAAAAAAATGCTGGGATTTAGCCAATGAAAGATTCCTGGGCTTAGAAGAAAACCAAAGGAAGGATACAGAAGGTCACAATTACAGGCCTCCAGCTTGTTGAAGAAATACCTATTTCATTTTATCTTCTGTTTTATAAAGGACAGCTATTAAATGTCATTGTTACTCATTTTTTCCTGATTATTTTTAAGCCATCATTTTCTATTGATTTCTTTAATTTTTGTATTCTTTATATGCAAAACCAAATGACAGCTTATTCTTCCCAAAAGTGTTACATAGATGACATCATTCCTGGAGGTGGCATTAACAACCAGAACTGGGTAGGGCAGGGCAGTCTATGAGCAGTGGCCACACCCTTGGGTTTATCAAGCCAGGTTGAGTGGCACCAGTCAAATGGAAGGTTTATATGGGTCACTTTGAAGATCTATCCAGAGAAACCCTTCTGATGCCTCCCTGCTTATCTGTTTTTCTTGTTTTGTATGATAGTTAAGAAAAGAGAAGTGTAAGGAAAACAGGAAGTTACTAAAAAGGCCAGGAGAATGGCTGTTAACAGACAGGACCCTCAAGCGTCTTGCTCTATAAAGATGAACACTCTACTACCATGAGAGGCGTTCTGATGTGTGCACTGTTTGTTTCCCACTGAATGCCTTAGTCTATGTGGGAGTATTCTTTGTGTTTCTTATATCTGCCAAGTGGATCTGTAGTAGCACAGGAATTGAATTGTACCCTACAAATAGGAAGGTGGAAAGATTAAAAATGTGGAACACCCAGATTCAGGGTAAGAACTTCATAGTTTGGGAAATCAGGGAAGATAACTGAAGTTACTAAGGGAAGATAATTGAAGCACAGTTTTCGTAACTGGAGATTTTTTTGGATGAGTTAAATGCATTCAATTCACAAGGTGTTCATGTAGAGAAGTGCAGTAACCTTTCAAAGTTCTGTTTAACAAAGTCTTTCCATTCCTCCTATTTAAGGCTGCTTTAGTAGATGTTGACCAGATGTCTCATTCACTGACAAGAAGAAATAGCATCCCAACTATACAGGAGGGATTTCAGCTATATTAAAGGAGGATTTTGTAACAGTATAAGATGCTAGACATGGGAGAGAGGCACCAAAAAATACAGAATTACGTTCAGAGGAGCATGCATGTGTGTGTGTGTGTGTGTGTGTGTGCCCGTGTGCATGTGCTTAAACCAGATGCTTAATAAGACAAAATCCTTAAGTACAACACTTCATAGAAGCAGAGGAATGGACCACAAGACCCCAGAGGTCATTTCTTTGGGGGATTAACTTAGAAATGTAAAGCAAGATTACCTCCTTCAAAGAACCCACAATACAGTTGAAGAATCAAAAGAAAAACATAGAAATCAAAGGTGAGTGATTCAAGAGTATTCATTGTAGATGGCAGGGTACTGGCAGTTGTTTGTGCTGCAGAGGTTCAGGTGGAGGGAAGGACAGGATTTTTCTTCCATCTCTTTCATGAAGTTTATCTCACCTAAAATCAACACCCACAGGATGGACAGGACTTCACTAGGGAGCAAGTGGGGAGAGACCCTTCAGGAGAGGACACTGGTGTGGCAAAGACCCAAAAAGAGGCACTTGCAGGACTTTGAGGAGGCATCTTTTATCAGCACAAATGAGAGATTTGGGGAAATAAGTCAAAATATGGTCTCACTACATGGGGCCTTACTATGGAAGAATAAAATTTAGACAAAAGAATTTAGACTTGACCAGGTAAGCAATAGGAATTCATGAAACATTGTGAACCAAGAAGTGACATAATAAAAAACAGTTTAAGGAATATCTGTCTAGCAATGGAATGCATGTTGGATGGCAACAACAACCCACCACAGACAGAGAGCACAGTCAGGAGACACAGCCTGAGCCTAGCATAGGTGAGGAAGGTCTACACCTGGGTAAAGAACTGGGAGAATGAGGGGGCCTTTCAGAGATACCAAGAAATTGGGTAGGGAGCACATGGATGGTGAAAGAGGCCATCAAGATGGCCTTGATACGTATCCGTAGTGCTTTACATGTGCCTAAGGCACTGAGATCACAGAGCCAAAGGTATAGACAGATAGGAGGAACACCAGCATAGGCAATGACTGGAAACACTAGAAATCGCTGACCCCTTTGAGAAACAGGAAAAAAAAGGGGCAGGGGCTGAGATTGAGCTCCAACATTTAGGCTCCATGGCTGGTTCCTCCACTAAGAACAAGGTTTACTCCGAATTGCTGGTGTTAAGTTTATCTTCATTTATTTGGAACATATTTAAGCCCCAACAGTTTATCAGACTGAGGAATACATATAGAGTTGCTCCCTAAATTACCTTTTAAGGGGTATGCCTCCCAAGTGATATCGCGAGCATCAACTCTTACTTAGCATAGGTGAGTGCAAGATCCTGCAAGGGGATGCTAAATTTCTAAAGGACAAAGCACTTGTTCTCAAAGCTGTTTGTAATCTAGTGCCACGTATTGTTTTAAATGCCATGAACAAATTCAGGTACAGGTGATCACTCGGGGTCAAAGCCATTAAGGTGAATGTTTGATGGACACTATTATTATACCAAAACAACACATGCGGAAACAAAGTAACATCACACACACTCTTTTCTTGTCACAAGCGATAAGTCAGAACTGTGCATTAAAGGATCAGACTGTCTTCACAGTAACCCGGGCAGGGGTCAATCTGAGCCTGGAGTGTCAGCCAGGTGTTAGGTATCTTCTGATCCAAATATTCATGAAATACAATACCCTTCGCTGACAGCCATGATGTCTCTTTGTCACACATCCCCACTGGCGTAGTCGGTATGATTTGACCTTATAAAGCTTTGAGATATAACTTCCAGTGAGAGGAAAATAAAGGATTAGAGGAACAAGCTTACCAACACCATGAGGAAGCAAAGGGACAAATCTGGGGTCGGGGGATGGTGGTGGGGTGGGAGGGTGAGGGTAATTCTACAGGACAACTTCTTGCAGGCCTGATTTCTTCAATAAGTCAGTGACATAAAAATGGACTGCGCTAAGTTAAACAAGATTTAAGAGCTTTAAAAACCAGATGTAGTTCATGGTCCTGGAGTGGTTACTGGTTTACACAAACCAGTTATAAAGGACTCTGGAGTGGGGGAAATTGGAGAAACTCAAATATGACCCAAGTAGTTGATGAAAGGTGATGATCAGAAAAAGTGGTTGGAGGAACGATATGCCCAGTATGATCTCACTGTGGTTAAAAATACAAATGTGAGTGCAAGTGGTGTGTACATACGAAGAGCCATGAGAACGTGTGCAAAGTAAAAATATCAACAGGGTGACCTGTGAATGGTAGAAATGTAATGGAGTTCTTTTTCTTTGTGTGCATTTTCTAATTTCTTACAGTGTACATTATTACATTTCTATAATGAAGAAAGGGTTATTTGAATGGGTAGGTGGATGAAAGGGAAGGAAGATCAGGAAAAGGATGGGGCATAGTACTGGAACAATGAAACTCTGTAGTATGGCTTTGCTTGTGATTTCAAAGGTTCTGCATGCCCCATGGGATTTCTCTCTAAAGCCACCAGTGGGACCTAAGGGGACCAATGCTTCCTGGTCCCTTCCGTCCAACTCGGGGCTCTTCATTCTTCTAAGAACCAAAGTCCTAAACTTTGGCTGAATGGGCTTTCACTCACAGTCTCATTGGTTAAATGAAAATCCAAAAAGCAACAAAGGAACTCAATTAGATTTCTTCCATTTCCTTCTAATTTAAAGTTAGAAGACCTTTTCCCATATTTAAATTTGCCCCGACCATTGAAACCTACAGATGCCTTTGCATTCCTGTATGTTTTCTGGAGTTACATCTCTGGAAATGACTAGTGTCATTTTCAGTGGAAATAACTCGTATGTTTTTCCAACTGTCTGACTCTATGTCAGACACTGTATCTGACAGACAAGGAAATTCTTACCTTCTGATCAAATCTTGTATGACTGTGAAGGAAGCAGGGAGTGTGAGGAAAGGTGTCTCTCCTTTCCCATTCCCTTGGTATACACATACTGAAGTACTGAAGTTGAAGAAAACAAGACTGCTTTCGTGGTTATTTTCAAACAAATATAAATGTCTGTAAGCGTGTGCTTTGGTAAGTCACTCAATAAGCATAATGTACACTTTAGGCTCTGGTTGAGTATGGAATATCTCCAAGTAGCTGCTTCTTCAAGGATATATCACAATGTTCAGTAATAAGGGCATGTTTTCATATTAATCAGATGAATGATGACATTTTAAAAACTAATAGTAAAAGAGGCCATTTCCATCCTCAACTGGGTTTTATAAAAAAGAAGACATTTACCTTCTGAGCCAGTTTATTCAAGTATGAAATATAGAAAAAAAATTCAAAAAAAAAAAAACATAAAGTCACCCTAGATCCTGGAAGTCCTGGGCCCTGGTGTCCTTGGAGTTCATGCCACCTTCCTCCCTATCCACATGTCACTTGAATTGGAGTCTGGGAACCATTTACTGTGGACCCTGTGGTAATGAGGTGGTTTCCCTTCATCATGCCTAAGATGTAGAAGAAGACAACTTAATTGGTGTGTGACTGAGACTTCAGAAGAGTGAGTCAGAATAGAAGGTGATGCTATAATGGATCTGCACCTGTAAGGCTCACGCTAATGTTTAAAATGACTTCACGCAAACTACTCGGTGGTCCATGGATTGCCAGGGTTTTCCTTGCTTCCTTCTCAGGAGCCTCCAGAAATATCTTTTATCTTTTTTTCACTTTTTTATCACTTTTTTTAAATCACAGTTTATCAGACTGAGGATACATATAGAGTTGCTCCCTAAATTACCTTTTAAGGGGTATGCCTCTCAAGTGATATCTTGGGAGACAAGTTTTTAAGTTTTATTAAGTTAAGTGATTTTCTCTTAACTCAATCCTTAGCTTGTTTTCATGTGAATCTACAGCATTTAGCTCTTCTAATACATGTATATTATTAGTTCACTCAGGCTGCCATAGCAAAATACCACAGGCTGGGTGGCTTAAACAACAGAAATTCATTTTCTCTTAGTTCTAGAGGCCAGAAGTCCAAGATCAAGGTGCCACCAGGGTTGGTTTCTGTTAGAGGCCTCTCTTTGGGCTTACAGACAGCCGCCTCCTTGTGTCCTCACATAGCCTTTCCTCTGTGCGTGTGTGGACAGTGCTCTGGTGTCTCTCCTTCTTATAAGGACATCACTTCTATCCAATTAGGGCCCCACCCTTGTGACCTCATTTAACCTTAATTACCTTTGTAAAGGCCCTGCCTCCAAATAGAATCATACTGGGGATTAGGGCTTCAATATGTGTTAAAGAGTAAACTTTATAACAACCTACTAAAAAACTCTATAGCAACCTATGAAAAAATAGTAGATTCGTGCAGATACAAAACAACATGTGCACAAAGTTATCCACATACAGCCACACAATCAATCATGTACTGTGTAGCCATAAGAAAGAAAAAAGTTCTCTGTGAACCGATGTGGAGTAATTTCTTTGTTTTTTTTTGTTTGTTTGTTTGATTGTTTTTCTTTTTGTGTGACAGAGTTTTGCTCTTGTTGCCCAGGCTGGAGTGCAGTGGCACGATCTCAGCTCACCACAACCTCCACCTCCCGGGTTCAGGTGATATTCTTCTGCCTCAGCCTCCCAAGTAGCTGGGATTACAGGCATGTGCCACCACGCCCAGCTAATTTTGTACTTTTAATAGAGATGGGGTTTTTCCATGCTGGTCAGGCTGGTCTCAAACTCCTGACCTCAGGGGATCCACCCGCCTTGGCCTCCCAAAGTGCTGGGATTATAGGCATGAGCCACATCGCCTGGCCCCAATATGAGTAATTTCTGAGATATATTTTTAAGCAGAAAAACAAGTTGCAGAGGGATATGTACACTATATATGGTATGCTTCCTTTTGTGCAAAGAAGGGAAAATAATACATAATTGTAACACATAAATATATATGTGTGATTTATAAATATATACTCATGCATACATTTGCATACTTTGTAAAAAGAAACAGAAAGGATAAACAGGAAACTAGTGGAAAAGATTACCTATAGAAAGTAGGTGGCAACAGAGTGAAAGGTTTGGGATAGGAGTGAGACTCTGTATCTTTTTGTTCAGTATTGACTTTTGAACCAATTAAATGTTTTAAGTAGTCAAGAAATTAAAATCTAATCAACAAAGATGAAAATCAGCAGACTTAAAAATTTAAAACAAACAAAAATGAACTCACCGTATATTAAAATAATAAACTAAAGAACAAATAGATTAGATTAACTTTTAAACATAATGCTATGACTAGACATCCTCTGTGGAACATTCTTTAAGACAACTGGCCTGAACTTTTCAAAAATATCACTGTCATGAAAGACAAAATGATGGGGGGATTGCCCTAGATTAAAAGAGACTAATGAGACCAAATGTAATGAGTGATCCTTGATTGGCTCCCAGATTGAAAAAAAAAAAATCTATAAAGGACATCCTTGGAGCACTTTGGAGAATCTGAATGTAGACTATATATTAATTTATAATATTGTATCAACATTACTTTTTTTAGGTGGAAAAATGGTATTTTGGTTATGTAGAATGTTCTCGTTCTCAGGAGATATATGCAGAAGTATTTAGTGGTTAAATGTCATGGTGTCTGCAATTTACTTCCAAATGGTTCTGGGAAAACATATGCATGTGTGTGTGTGTGTGTGCATGCGCGTGCACGCTTACGTGAACAGGACTGTATAGATATACATTGAGAGAAGAGAGCACACAAATTTAGCAAATGTAATGATTTAACACAGTCTAGTTCCTCCCGACATTCCAGATTCACCCCCAGCTGAATCCAGACTAAAAGTAGGTGGATATATGATTCTTCCATCTTTTCTGTGGATTAGAATTTTCAAGATCAGGAAAGTTGGGGAAAATAAATAATGGATTTTGATTGGTTTTGTCATGAAGGTTCTCCATTCATTGAAGAAGTATTTACTGAGTACCTGCTCTGTGTTAAGCCGTTTTAAGTGCTAGGGTTATAGCAATGGATAAGACAGAGTAAGTTGGAGTTCTTATGGGCCTACAAGTATTGTGGAGGGCAAATAAGAAAACAAGACAGTTTAAATTATTGTAAGTCCTAGAAGCAAAGTAAAGCAGAGTGATGTGATAGACAGTAATTTAGGGAAGTGCAACGTTAGATGGGATGGCCAAGGAAGGCTTCCCTAAGGAGAAGAACTTTGTGTTGAGACCTGAATGACCAGAAGAAGCTGTTCATTCATTTAACAGATTTGCATTGAGCATCTACTGTGTGCACTGTTGCGGGTACTAGGGATACAAAACAGGCAAAACTCTGAGCTTTCACAGAGCTTATATCCCAATTAGGGATGACAGACAGTAAGCAGGAATACCTAAGTTAGTGATCAGCAACTTAAGAGAAAATAAATCTAGGAGGAGGGGAGTAGTTAGGGAGGACAGGAGTTGGAATTTTGAATACAGTAGTTAGGACAGGGCTCAGTGAGAAGGTGACATACGAACATGGACCAGAGGTTGGAGGGGTCGGTGGGGGTGGGTATTGGGAGGAGAGAGACCAGCCAAGGTAGATGGGTTGCCTTCACAATTTTAGTTTTTCTTGCAAACTGATTAGAAATGGGATGTGAAATAAAGAAAAAAAAAAGCCAGTATGACTATGGATTTTGGCCTGAAGAAGCAGAAAAGTGTCTGGGAGAGGAGACACAGGGTTGGGTAGGTGGATGGCAAGATGAGTAGGTGACCAGCAGCCATGAAGAAAGAGTCTAGTGGATGAAAAAGGCAAAAGCTTAAAGTTCTGTTGAGAATTTCGCAGCAGACTTGTGCAAGGATAATTAGGAGTTTGCCTTACAAAAACTCTTTCAATAGAATTTTTTCATTTACAAATTAACCTATTGGTAAGTTGAGCTCAATCAGCTCCAATGAAAATGTTAACTCCCAGTTTGCACCGACTCCTGTCTCTAAGGGTATAGCTCCCCACATGGAGCTGCTGTAGGAGGCCTCCCTTGTTCTTGGTGCTGGATGGAAGTTTTGGTGGGAAAGGGAGAATATGTGGTGAAGATGTGGCCCTATTCACAGTGACATATGAGGTGGCATTGTGGGAGTGGCCCCGCAAGGTTGAGCTGGAGTGTAACAGTGGTTCCCAGACATTTTTTGCCAGTGATCCCTCTGACATGTGACTAAATTTCACAGACTGTCTTTCAGTTTTGAAGCCAAATTTCTCTTCCTTCTATGCCCCACGCATGAGTCCATGAGGGACACACATTCTAAGCATATTTCGTTCCTCAAGAGCAGGCTCTGGCAGCTTTGAGACTATTCATTCGCATTCCATTGCCTCTTCTGCTCTCCCTCCAAGATTCCTACAGAGACTGCTCTTAAAATAATGCAGCCTTATTTATTCAGATTCCTCCTCCCCCAGGAAGATGCTGAGAGCATTTCATGAGAATTCTTCAAGAATTGCTGAGGTTCTATGGACTTCAGAGAATGTATTTGACATGGGGACAACTTGGGCCCTTAGTAGATGCTTCTTGATGGAGGTGATGAGCCTTGAGCCCACCTGCCAGGAGGACCTTCTCCTGCAACTATAATGCATGCTGCCAACATGCTCCACGCCCGGAGGATATCCCAGGATACTCCCTTTCTGGCCACCACCTAAGCAGAAGGGAGGTGGATTTGCCCTCTCTCTCTCGCTCTGTATGCCCTCCCTTCCCACCTCCCTGGGTTTATTTTCAAAGCTATATTGAAGAAATAAGCCCACCGCATAAAAAAGTTACTAAATGATTCCATTTATGTGACATACCTAAAGTACTCAAATTCATAGAAACAGAAAGTCAAGTGGTGGTTACCGGGGGTGTGAGGAGGTGGAAAAGGAGAGTTGTTGTTTAATGGGTATAGATTTTCAGATTTCCAAGATGAAAAGGTTCTGGAGATTTGTTTTACAATAGTGTGAATATATTTAACACTACCAAACTGTGTACATTTCTAGGTCACATGAAATATTTGTGAAAAGAGTATGATTGTCTTAGCATACAGGGCCTTCTTTCTTGCTCCATCTTGGAGAACTGGAGGGACATGCTCTGTGCCAGCACAGCCATCTGTGATCAGGGGCCATGAGAGGTCAAGAGAAGGTCCTTCCACTGCTCAATGCACAGCATGACACCTTGGTTCGATTGTTCACCTCAAATTTGTGTCTAGAGTTCGACCTAGATTTGGTAATTAAATCAAGGTTGCAGACCTGAGGGAACTACCCAAAAAATTTTAACCCAGAGTCAGGTGCTAACCATTGTCACAGAAAACAGATGGCTAAACAGGAGCTCTAGACAGGGGACCTCCAGGAGTTAGGCAGTCCCATCATTGCATGAACTTCTTTTTTGCCTTTGCCTCCAGTTGCTCATAAGAAACGATTTTCTTTCCTAATTTTTGCCCAGTCTTGATAAATAATAGATATGTATTGGATATCGACCATGAGTAAATGCCAGTACTTGCAGCCATCTTTTAGAGTATGTTCTTCACCCTCCTCTCCTTATTTCATTGTCTTGCGTCCTCCAACTCTTCTACTTGTAGTCAGATCTTCTGCTTTCTTTTCCATTTGTTAGCAAAGATTCTGAGATTACCCGGTTCTGTCCTAAAACCTGTCTAAGGAGCTATTAAGGAGGAAAGGCTTTGAGCTATTTTCTCCTGCCATTTTAGGGTGTATAGAATGGCAGGGTGTGTACAATATTTATAACTTTTTTGATGGCTCAGTTATTATGTCAAGCCCAAGAAAATACAAGATGGGGCAGGCTGCTGTCCATTCAAACAAAACTGTGGGTCTGTGTGACTGACTACCCTTGCTCACCTGATAGGCCTAAGTAGAAAAAGCTTATTTTTCAGTGAGGGAAACTCATGCCTGGAAAAATGCTGTATAAATGTGATGAAATTCAGACTGCTGTGGTCAACATTTATTTAATTTCAAGCTTCTGCAACAGTACAGATGGATTTGTGTTGAATAGGAATGATGGTCTTTGAAAACTTACATAAGAAATTATTGACTTGATTTTTTTAAAATACTGCCTTCTATTTCATCCTATCAATGCTCCCTGTGTTTCCTGCAAATTGTTCATGATCTCAGCAAACTGGTTGGACTAGGCCAGCATTCCAAACTGAAGTAGATCGAAGTAGGTGTCATTCATAGACTTATAGGAGACTTGGAGAAGTTCAAGAGAGCTCTCTTTGTTTTGCTAGTGGTATCCAGAGTAAATGAAAATACTATCAACCTTGTCTTTCTTCCTGGTCAACTTTATGCTGAGGGAATACTAAGAACCATAACACGTGTTGGGCTGTTGTGCTATAAGGGGAGAAGCATCAAGGATTGGAGGTTAAAAAATAAGGCATGTTAGAGTCCAGGCCCCATCCAATTTGGAATTTTTTTTTTATAATAATGGCATAGGTACCTCTTCAGCCTCTGCTTGAACACATGCAACAATGGGGAGCTCACCACCACTGAAGAGAGCTCCTTCCTCCATTTTATACAACCGTGACTACTAGCAAGTTCTTCCTTATTTGTGGCAGAAATCTATCTTCCTTAAAATTTCACTCATGATCCCGTTTACACCCTCTGGCATGAAAGAGAACAAATCTAATCTCATCTTTACATGGTAGCCTGTTAGCTCTCTGAAGGCAACTCTTATAGGGTGCCCATGAGTCTGCCTTTCTCAGTGTTTAATGTACTTCTGCCATTCCACATGCCACCTGGGGCATGGACTCAGTGATCAGTGTGATCCCTCACACACAGCCAGGACTAAGTTCGACAGCCTCCATCTGATTTGAGTGGTAAAGAGCAGAGCAGAGGCGTGACTCGCTTTCTGCATCACACATCTTTCAGTGTAGTTCAGGATCATCAGGGTAAGTTTCCTGTCACCTGTGTCACCATACTGACCCAACTCCTTAAGCCAGGACTCTCCCATCCTCTTCTTACAAAGTTGATTTTTTTAATCCTGATACAGGATTTGACATCTATTTTTGTTAAATCTTTCTGCATTTAACACATAATATCAGCCTGGGTCATCATTTGGGATCCTGATTCTATCTCCTGGAGTAGCTCACCAGTTGCCACTCACATCTTTTCTAAGACAGAGAGACAAGTTAAGTGTGACAGAGTAGGCGACGGAAGGCTGGGTCACATCACCAGACACTTCTCTTTGAGCTGCAGTTAACATTGATCCATCAAGCAGCTACTCATTGCTCAATTTTACTGTCTCCAGACCTCATTTTTTCGTATCATTCAAAGAGTGACCTAAAGATGTCAGCTGACATACTGAAATCCTGGGATGCTATTTCTGCTGCATTCTCTGAGCTGTAATCCCATCAAAACCAGAAATGAAGTTATTTTGGCATGACTTGTTCCTAATGAAGCTTGAATCATCTGCCACTTTCCTGTCTAGGTTCTGAGTGGGTGATGGTTTGTTTGCCAAGCTCAGAAAGATCAAGTATACAATTCAGATGGAGGTGGTGTTGAAAGACTTTGTTTTACTCACCAAGAGCATCAGAACATTCAGAGAGCGGGTGGAAAGGTTTTTTAAGTGCCACCTAAACATTCAAATTTAGTGACAGGGAAAATGTCAGAGAAAAGAATGCTCCATTATGTGTATTCATTATAAAAATTAAAAGAAAACTTTAAAAAAATCATTCACTACAATTCTTGGGAGAATGGCTGAAAAGATTGGGATATTATTAAAAACCAGAAATGGAAGCTGGATATTAGGGAAAAAACAAAAACTTTGAATCCCTGAAGCCCACAGTGCTGCAAATCTCTATTACAGAGAAAGCAAGTTGAACAAAAACGCAGTAGGAGGCAGCCTCTTTCAGGCAAGGCCAGCGATCCAGGGCCAGCGTCCCTAGGAGAAATATGCCCACAAGGATTCTGGACAATGGAATGAGCTTGTAAACCCCACAGGAAAAAAAAAAAAAAAACTCAGACTTTAACACACATACCGAAAAAAGCCATCCTTACAGAGCTCCCCCATCCATGGCCCAGGCACTAACAGCCCATCCCCTCCACAGGCAGGGGGCTGAGTTCAGTTCGCCGCCGCCACTATCAGTCTCCCCAGCTTTGTCTTTCCATTCTCTGGTCTCTGCCTTTCTCAGATGCAAGGCTTAAGAAAGCCTTACAAGTCCGGCTATAACAGGGCCAGGGAGCACGTGGGCAGCAGCCCACACCCGCATCCCTCCAGCCCCACACTGTCTTCCCACAGCTGTACTTTGGTTTCTCAAGCTTCTTTCCAGCATCAGAAATGACTGAGTCCTGAAAAATGCCACTGTGGAGTGATTGTTGGCTCCCTTCCTCCTAGCCCTGGTGTCTGCCTGCTCGTCCACAACCATTGGCAGCTGTTGGAAGGGGCTTTCAGTTGCCTTGCTTCTCACTGAACTGCTTTAACACCAGTTTCCTAAGAGCTCAGCTACACAGAAAAGGTGAGAGAAAAATGGCAGAAGAGTTACAGAAATCCCCTTTGTTTGAGTATTCCGATTTTCCCCCCATTTTGCAGGGAAACAGCCTCTGACAAAAGCTGCAGAGCCCCTGCCCAGCTGAGGCCCTCTGGAGCTAACCAGTTCAGATGATCTCATGTGTCTGCCCCAGGGGCAGCCCTGTGTCACTCTCAGGGACATGACCCAGGAGTGCCGGATGGACGGATGTCTGTGCATTGTTAATGTGAGAATCTTAGTGTCCCGCCCCCACTGGACTGCTGCCACCTCCCCACAGCATCTGGAGTTGTGAACTAGACAGAGAGGAGATGGCCTGTCACCACAGAGGCTGGAAGCTGCCGCCAGGGCCCCCTGAGGCCACCCACAAAACCCAGACTCCCACCAGCCCCGCCAGCAGATGAGAATCCCAGGTGGCCACCTCAGTTGTTTACTTCCCTGCAAAGGATTGAGAACCACAGTAGATGCTTGGAAACTTCTGTGCTCTCCTAAACATTAATCCGTTAATTCTCACTAGCCCCAGGAAAGATAGCAGTGCTGCCACTGCTGTTGTTGACTGATGATTAATGCTTCGTGTCTCCAACACTTTGCTACCTGTTAGTACTTCACCCCTGCAAGCACCCACCGCCCACCACACGGAAGTAACTCACAGTCCTATCCCTGGAAAATAGGAAAGGCACGGCCAAATGTCTCCTGCCCGAGGACTCAGCCAGGATAATTGTTTGGGTTCCCAGTGTTTCCCAGAATAGGAATATGTACAGCATAACCTAAAAGTGAAATGACTTCAGGTGGTATATGGAGAATTTTTTTCAAAATAATTGTGTTTATCTTAATATGTATTGCAGAAAGTATGATTCGTGTGTTAAACTTGAGATTTTGCAGATATTGCTTAGGACAAGTTTCTTTTTAAACTATATTTAAAGAAGAAAATGAGTTGCAATTAGAGAAAATATTACAATTCTAACAGTGGGTCCTAAGTACCTGTAGTTTGGGAAACAAACCATAATTCAGTACTTTTTCAGTCCACCAGCCCTGTCTGTTTTGTATAATCTCTACTCAAAGAAAACCACAGTGGCATCTTGTCAGGAGCACCTATTATCCTAAATTGTGTATAGAATATAGGAATAGGCTTTTAGGGTTCAGTACCTGTAGATGAACACACTTGTGTCTGCTTCTTTCACTCACCTATTCTTGGTTATCTGATATATTTTTTCCAAAATATCCTAGCTCTTCTGCTTGGATTCCCTAAGCATCTGTCCAGCCTCCTCACCTATTTCTGTAGCCCTCTTTATGGTGAGGGTAGAGAATGACATTCTAGCTTACTAGTGCTTTGTGTGGCATTACTTGTTTAGGACTAATTTAGATAATTTACAATAATCCTCTCGTTTCTCTGTGACCATATCTTCCCTCCTTTTCTCTTTTCTTGTGTTTCAGTTCAATGAAGTTATTTAAAAGGTCTGTCTGTTTGACTTTTGTGGACATCTTGTAATTGTAGATATTCTCCTACAGAATGGATGTGGAGGGCAGTGGGCTTGATATTAATAACCCCGCTTTCTGTTACTAAATTGTAGTTTATGGAGAGGACATGGTGGGAGAGAGGACAGGTCCATTGAGCCTGATTTAAACGAGCCTTGAATGCCATGCTTGAAGGGCTTAGGTTTTATTCTGCAAGAAGCAAAGAGATAAAGTCACTGTCATCAGGAAGGTCAGTCAGGCACCTATACAAAGGAAGGATCGGGGAAGAAAGAGACAACAGCCAGGTTGTTGCAACGGACTAAGCAAGGAGTAATAAGACCATGAAATAAGCATGTGTGTTATCCCCTATAACTGTATAACCATTCTAACAAAGTGGCTCTAACACATTTTCTTTTCCCCACTCCTGCTAGAATATGTTTTCCATTTTGATTACTCTTACATGTTTCAATACCGCTAAGTAGCCTTTTCTGTGATGATGGAAATGTTCTTCTGCACTGGCCAATATGGTAGCCAGTAGCCACGTGTGTGACTAAGGAACTGACTTTTTTATTTTATTTATTTATTTTTTGGACGGAGTTTCACTCTTGTCACCCAGGCTGGAGTGCAATGGCGTGATCTCGGCTCACCGCAACCTCTGCCTCCTGGGTTCAAGTGATTCTCCTGCCTCAGCCTCCCGAGTAGCTGGGACTACAGATGCCTGCCACCACACCCGGCTAATTTTTGTATTTTTAGTAGAGACAGCGTTTCACCACATTGGCCAGGCTGGTCTCGAACTCCTGACCTCAGGTGATCTGCCTGCCTCTGCCTCCCAGAGTGCTGTAATTACAGGCATGAGCCACCACGCCTGGCTATTTTACTTAATTTTAATTAGACAACATGTGACAACCCTATTGGACAGTGCAGGACTGGAGTACAAGTTCCAAGTGTCATGCCTGCCTTTTCACAGAGCTGAGCACATAGTAGGTACTCAATAAATATGATGGAATGAATAAATACAAAGAAGCACTATAAAACAGAAGCAAGGATGATGTCCTATTCAAATCCATATACTCCTTTCAGGAGAATTTTGGCACCTGCTTAAAGAAGGAGGCAGAGGATGGGGATTTCCTATAAACATTTAGGATATTCCCAGATTTTAAACTGAAGCTCTCAGCACCTGCAGGTGGGGTCAAATCAAGGCAAAGGGAACCAATGAAACTGGGTGATGGGCAAGGCCAGGGTCTGTCCTGTGGTCCCTGCCTTCTTGGTCTCTGTTTCTGGGTCTTCCAATGCCTATGCTTTTTTGAAACATGTTAAGGGTAATCATCAAAATGAAAAACATTCTGCAGGAATGGGGAAAAGAAAACATTTGTTAGAATGGCTGAAGAGATATGGGGGAGATTGTGCGTAATTTGGAATGAGGGGCTCAGAACCCAAGACCCGGCCCTGCTTGCCATGGCTCTGTAACCTTGATTAAGTTACTTATACTCTCCAAAACACCGTTGCCTAGAAAATGAGAATAAGAATCATAATACCTCATTTACCGAGTTGTTGGGAGGAACAAATAATAGGAAAATCGTGTTTTATAATCCATAAAGTATTGTTCAGATATTTATTATGGTACACACAAGCTGGAGTGATATCCGAACGTACTCCTAAAAAGCACAGCTATATTAAAATATAATTCTTATATGTGCCTTTCAGAAAAAGAAAAATAACTTATCAAATTCTATCTGCATCCAAAACAGAACCTAAACAATCCAAATCAGACTTTTATCTCTTTTAATATTAAAAACCCTCTGAGAAAGCTGATGCCACAGCCTTTTTCTAGTACCTTGTTATGATTCAGTATGCGTGCTGCCAGGATGTTCCTTGTGTCTTTCCATCCCATCTCTGCCCTTTTAGATGCAGTAGTGACCTCTCTACCCCACCCCCACGTGCCCAAGACCACCTCCCACTTGCCACTGTAGCCTCTTCACTCTCTTCTCTCATCTTCCCTGCTCTATATTTTACCACCTGCCTCAGGCCCACTGTTTTAGACTCTTTTCTCTATGAGCTGACCTCCCTGAACTTACAAATTCTCCTGCAGCACTTGTCACCTTTCCTTAAGAAATATCTTTTTGGCCAGGCACAGTGGCTCACACCTGTAATCCCAACACTTTGGGAGGCTGAGGTGGGAGGATTGCTTGAGCCTGTGAGGTAAAGGCTGCAGTGAGCAGTGGTCTCCCCACTACACTCCAGCCTGGGCGACAGAATAAGACCTTGTCTCCAAAAAAAAAAGAAAGAAATCTCTAGCAACCTGCATCTCACAGACCCATCACTTCCCCTCCTGCCCTACCCCCATATCCCTTTCTTCAGTCTCTGTAATTATAGCACAGAGTTGGTTATCAGGAGCTCCGTATAACTCTGTCAAATAATATATTGCATTGATTTAGGTGTATCAAATCACACGCTTCCTCTAGGTAACTCCTTACAAGAAAGGCTCAAAGCTTTGCCTGTGTGTCAACTTCTCATGCTGTTCCCCAGACCCAGGATTTTTAAAGAGAATCCACTTGAAAATAATGTTACCACTAGAATTATTTTCTCGCTAATAATTCCATTTCTCCAAGACTTTCTTAACTTTGACCTCTTTTCTGATCTTTTTATTTTTTTCTCAGTTTTAATATGCTTAAATAAGGAGCCATAAACTGTAGACAAATAGATGCTTGTCAATTCAGGGAACATGAATATCGATTGGCAGTTTTTGTCATTATATTCCCCAATACTTTCTCTCACTGAGAATGTGTTCTCTCTTTAACTCTGTTTAAAACAGGAATCGGCCAGGCGCGGTGGCTCACTCCTGTAATCCCAGCACTTTGGGAGGCCGAGGCGGGCAAATCACGAGGTCAGGAGATCGATACCATCCTGGCTAACACGGTGAAACCCTGTCTATAGTAAAAATACAAAAAGAAAAAAAAAATTAGCCAGGCATGGTGGCGGGCACCTGTAGTCCCGGCTACTGGGGAGGCTGAGACAGGAGAATGACCTGAACCCAGGAAGCGGAGCTTGCAGTGAGCCGAGATCACGCCACTGCACTCCAGCCTGGGCGACAGAGCGAGACTGTTTGTCTAAAAAAAAAAAAAAAGCGAATCACGATGAACCCTATTAGTTTTTATCATCTTTAAGCTAAAACAACTATTGTCTATCTTGCATTTGGGTTATATTTTTTTTCTTCCCAAAATACCAATATCTAATTAAGCCTAATCAGAATTTAGACCATTTGTCATCTTTAAACTTTAATTCAAACGTCTCTTTGTGGTTAATACACAAGGAAGAAGAACATTCTAACCCCATTCACTGGTTAAAAAAAAAAAAACTGAAAATTAACACCATACACAGTCAATAGTATGACACCTGATTGTGATGAGAACAAAAGGTTAAAATGGTAAATATGCTAAAACTACACAAGATAAACAGAAAGAAACCAATACATTTCAGAATCCTATGATATTAAGAAATAAGAAGTGTATGGACTTCAGAAAAGACTCAACACCTTCCAGTGGAGGCCAGCAGGGTTCTGCAGATCCACTGTTAGGTTATTAATAGACCCAAAGTCTTCTCAGGTGAATGTCCTCAGGGCCAAAAAACAGTAAAGAAAAACCACACCTAGCCCTTCTCCTCCCTCTAGATGGTGGCCACTGAGGCACTGTACCAGGTCATAACATTAGCCCTTGTGGTCTAGCTATGTCCCTGGACCAGCCACTGTGGGCAGCCTCACTTGATGATTGTCATCATAATGGCAATAATCATAACAATAGATTAACCTAGGGCACTTACTTATAATGCACTTTTCTGTACAGAGCAGCACATGGCCAAACAGAGCCCCATGCTCATGTGTGTGTCCAGGTGTGCTTTTCAGTTTTCATTTTACCAAGGATGATGTGAAATGAGGATCGTCCCCTAAAACAGATTTTTTTTTTTTTTTGAGACAGAGTCTTGCTCTGTCACCCAGGCTGGAGTGCAGTGGCACGATCTCGGCTCACTGCAACCTCTGCCTCCTGGGTTCAAGCAATTCTCTTGCTTCAGCCTCCGGAGTAGCTGGGATTACAGGCGCACACCACCACGCCCAGCTAATTTTTGTATTTTTGTAGAGATGGGGTTTCACCATGTTGGCCAGGCTGGTCTTGAACTCCTGACCTCTCAGGTGATCCGCCTACCTCAGCCTCCCAAAGTGCTGGGATTAAAGGTGTGAGCCACCACGCCTGGCCTCTAAAACAGATATTTTTAATACACAAGTTATATGACTGTAAGAAGAATCTTCAGTTCATATTTGCACTACTTGAAACATTTCCATTATCTCATGCATTTGGTTCATGCAAATGCAGGTTACATTTTCGGTAGCCCAGTGTCTAAGGAAGGAAGATTAAACAGTTTGGATAAATTACATTTCAAAAGTTTGTAAAGAAATTAGTTTGAACCCAGAATGTATTTTTTCCTAGAAACAGGTTATGAGTAATGGTTAGTTTCCTAAGTCAGCTCCCAAACTCATATCTGTATAGCATTTCTTTTTTGTTTCGGTTTGTTCAATGAACAGATATTTATCATCAATGAGAGACAGAAATTAATCCTATGGTCTAGGTATAAGTGAAGGGCTATGAAGGTACAGAGCAGGAACACGTAATTCTAATGAGAAGATGAGGGACTACATCGTGGAGAGGGAGATGTGGGTAGAATTTCAGTAGATGGGAAATGGCCATTTGGGGTTTAGTGTCCCTCTGCTGTATGTCTGTAGTACCTTCTCCATATTTGTCATAGCAGCTGTTACACTGTATTGTCATTGAGTTATTGCTTATCTGTCTTCTCATTTGGACAGTTAGTTCTTTGTGCAAGAATTGGAGGGGAGTGTTTTCGGTGTACAAATCTACCCTATATATCCAGGCCAACACAATAGCCATTTGGTGAATGTTTGTCAAATAAATGAAAGAGATCATTTAGCAAAGTTCTAGAGGCAGGCAAGTATGTGGTTTGTATTAGGTGAGAATGAGAGGAAGGATTGAAACCAGATCACTAAGCCCTGAAGCCTTGAATGCCAGCAAACATGGTATCATTGGAGAAAGAAATTCTGATGCGTTTTTTTCATCCACACTTCTGTCCATACAGTTATTTTTTATGGGAAAATCTCTTTGGTGTTCCAGCTAAGGAACCCATCTGCTTCCAGTATCAAGGAAACATACACTTTCCTTAGGGAAAGGCAGAGATCACAAGGCAGCAGTAATTTATCTCTATAGATTGGTATAAATGAGCTAGCGGCTCTTTCTCCACCAACCCCCTCGGAGTTCACAATTGGAGAACAAAGGGTAGTTGCTCCCACGAGCTTTCATGAGGACTTGCCTGCCATTCGGATTTAAGTACATACAGCTTATTCAGAAAGTAGGGGATGTTTATAAGTCAGGGACAGCGTGCATTTTATAAAAATGTTTTCAGTCTCAGATTCTCTTTATTTGTACCACCCACAGAAACATACATAGAAAATTTTGTTCAACTTTTCTTTGCATTATCAATTTATTTCTCTCCCTCCTCCACTTTAAAGTCTTAAGCTAATGTTCTGCTGTTTATTTTGCTTTTTTTTTTTTTTTTTTTTTTTTAAAGCCAACACAACCCAGTCAGAAAATTTAGGTCAGAGTGGCACTCACCCCAGCTGATGGCAAACAGCCTTGAATCAGAGCCTGAGCAGCCTTCTCTGGCTAACTGCAGAGTTCGCTCTCTAGGCTTCAGTTTCACCACTGTAATTATGAGCGAGAAGCCTATAGTTAATTACAATGCATGAATGGGAGATATTCCTGGACTTATTTGCATTCATTACTTGCTGGTAGTTTCTCTGTTGAGGTCTCCATCCTTGTTTTTACAGAGCTTTTGGCAGTGTTTCTGCAGTTGGTGTGTGAATTTTTATGATCTGTTGCATGTTATTCATGCAATTTCCTGCCCTGTAATGGTATCAGTTTTCCAGACGCAGAGGAATACAGACTAAAACCCAGGAGCCTGTATTAGCATAAAATGTCCCAGTTCTGTCAGTTTGATTAATTTGTCTCTTTGTCTCCACTCTATATGATAAGTGCTATTAATGGTTGCAGCACTTCATATGTCAAAGTCTTTCTTCCTAATGACTTGAAAATGCGGTTTATTTCCCCCCTTTTTGTATTATTTTTCTCATTTAGCATTCCACTCAAGTATAGATTTATGCCATGCTCTTTCATTATCTTACTGGTTGCAGCACTGGAGTGATTACATATGGTGTAGAGTATGCGTAAAGATGTGATCCCAGGGGCAGCAGCTGCTGATGCAAGCTGAAAATAGATCCAGCGTACGCTCAGCACTTTTCCCAGAGGCCTTTTATTTATTAGTAACAGTCTTCGTACAGGACAGCTTGGATCCTCATTTAGCAAGATGACTTTTTGCCTTTCTGAACACTGCAGTGACTTTGCTCTATTTACTGACACTGCTGTGTAATTTTTTTCAACCGCCTTGTATCTCAGCAATGACTTAACCTAACATAAATTGTAATATAATCTCGATATATAATGAACTCAAGAAGCGATAGGCTCCATTTGAAGTAATAGAGCTTGACAGATCTAAGGTTTAAATTAAATAATCCTATTTGTAAGACAGCATTTGTACATGGTACACTGCTTTAAAATGAATTTCTATTCTTCTCCAGTGGTTCTTACACCGTTTTTAGTATTCTCCCTTTCAAAAGGACTTTTCTTCAGAAAGAAATGGATTGCAAAGCCAGCAGCTCTTTCATAAGGAAAGAATAAGATGAAATGTTTTTTTACCCAGTTCAATCACTGAACTGGAACCAGCATCATTAATGATTTGAAATGGGTAGTTATTAATCCAAGCTGGCAAATCCAATAGCTCAGACTTCTCTATCAGCACAGTACATCTGTGATACAAATATAATAGCAGAATTTAGGATTAAGATAATAGCTAACCTTCTGTACATGGCTTTAGGTTCAAATATATATTTTTTCATAAATTTGAAAAGTCCCAATAATGAATATATGTATTCATTTTTCAAATAAATCCAAGAAGGGCTCTTATTTTGTATTCTTTTTGAGAGGTGTACTTTCAGTAGGATAAGGAGAAAGTTCATTGTATATCCTAGCAGATAGCATCTAGATAATAATTTCTCACTGCATGATAAAATTTGCCAAATTGCAAAAATGAAAAAGTATTAACATTAAAAGTTTACAGACAAATGACAAATTGAGAGTATTACTTATCGGCAGGACCTAGTCATATGAAGAAGCTTTAAAGAAAAGTGAATTTGTAAATAGCGAGCAGACCTTTTTCTGGTGAAGTAGTAGATAAGGGAGGCAAAAAGCTCAGGCAAGTTAATAAATTTGCTTTTTGCTATTTTATGTGTGATTTTTTTTACCTGCTCCAGAGCCAACGAGGTATCTGGACAATTATCTCCTAAAATCTGTTATTGCCTTTGGGCTAGTACCATGAGTTTTTTCTCTTTGGTAATAGAGATTTTATATGATCAAACAGGGCTAAACCCATGATTTCCTGCTAGGTTAGGTTAAAAATTAAAACAGTGATTCAGGATAGAGACATAAAGTGTGATTGTTTCGTTTTAGTGGGTACGTGACCCATAATGCTGTTGAAGGAACAGTCATTCAAACCGTTTCTAAAATAAGCAAAGCAAGGGACATTTGAGTTGAGTAAAAGAGAAGACCCCCTTTTCCTGCCCACACACACAATTGCAGGAGCAAGTATAAGGCCACAGCATATTGTCGGCTGTGATCATTGTGGTTCATATATCTTTCAAGTTTGTTTTGGAGTTTAGACTGCTAGTAGCCCACTGTAATGAGAGCAGCAGCTTGCCCCTGCCTTACAGATGCCCCCTAAGGCAGTAGTGAGATGGTAATAATAGGATAGAAGGCAAGCGGGAGCTTGCCTGCGGCTAATGTGCCTGCATTTTTACGCTTTATTTTTGTCTTCCTTTCTTTCTCTCCCATCCGGCTTCACGCTCTTGCGTACAAAGAGCACCCAAGCCAGTTCTCCAGACTCATCCCTAATTCCCTCCTTGTGACACAGTAATGTTATAGCTGATTTTATTCTCTGTCTAGTGGCCTCAGAACAGCGGGCGATCTTGCTTGCTATAGGAGAAGTGATACTCAGGCATGACAAGATGGATTCAGGATGGGGTTTAAGTATTAACTCTTAATTTCCTAGCTCTTGTGGTTCTAAATTAGATTCCATGTTGTTATAACTGTGAGAGAATGTGAGCATTTATATGTATGTGTGTCTGTCGCTGACACAGTGTTTGATCAATTGAATTGACCTTGTTTTTCTCCTGAAACACATAGACTGTATTATGAAGAAAGCAGTCCAAGTGAAGAAAAACATTTCACATATCTTGTCAAATATTTTATTGGGACCTCTGAAAGATGGTATTTCGTTTCTGCCACCAGATCCAAAACGAGAACAAAAGCACTTCATTTTGATAAGTGGGACTTTGTTTTTCTCTGCAACCTTATTTCCAGGATATCTTAGGAGAGTTATCTCTGTTTGGGCTGAGCTTCCCAAGAAATGATGTAAACTCTGAAGGAGGCTCTTGGAGCCAATTATTTAACAAGTAGTTTGTAAACCAAAAAATAAAGGAAGAAGTACATTACCAGACAGCGGCCAGGCAGAGGAAGAAGGAAGAAACCAACTTTATTGAGTACCTACTGTGTGCCAAGTGAATATGAAGGTAACTTGAGCAAAATTGCAAAGATGTGAGAGTCTGAGAAACAAAAGAAAGCTGAGGGACTTTAATGGAAACACTGTATTTTGCAGAAGTGTTTGAATAGAAGAGAGAAAATGGAAAAAGACAAAGAAAAAAATGAAATTGTTAAAGTCTATCTAAAAAAGTTAATAAAGTGAAAGGCTTCAGCCACTAGGACAGAACAGTATCAGTCGAGTTCCATACCAAGATAGTTGCTAGCAAGTAGAAATACAATATTCATTTTTATCCCTGTATTCCATTAGCAATTTCTGCCTCTTCAAATTCCTTGGAAAATAAAAGAAAAAATCTGCATCTGAAGCTTTGCTTGGCTCTCAATCTAAGGTCTGCCTCTCCCAGAAAACATCATCATGAAGCCCAAAATCAATGGGATTTTTTTCAATGGATAGTGCAAGCCAATTTTGAGTCTGATTTAAAATTCACTGTATAAATTCATCCTGGCTCGCTACAGCTGTGAGTGTACTCTATTTTCTGTTGCTGACTCTTTCAGTAAAACATGCATCCACTCCACTTTCCGCACTTCAGATTTCAAGTGGAGGACAGCTATTGGAAGGCCTGCTCTCAAAACTGACTTGTTAGACCTTGTAGAACTTGCTTTAAAAGCTACCATGAAGATACATACGTGTCTACTTTTTGAAAATGATCTTTGATCCAAGAAAATTATAGCATTTGTATTTATGGGTATGCAATTATGCATTGAGCTCTTTTAAGGGACGGTTGTAAACAAGCTGGAGCCCATATACCTCTAGTTTTGGCTATCCCTTGTCCCACGAAAAAGATACATATGCCTAATTAAGTTAGGATTTATTAGCGAGGCCAGAAGGTGCTAATGGGACAGTAATTTTTACGTATCAACTTTGACTTGGTGCCCTTTAATTGGCAGCAAGGAGAAATGTTAAAAGATCTTGCTAACACAGCATGATGCATGGAACGTGTGAGGACATCAGGGCGTTTTTTCTCCCGTGATATATGGGGAATCGTAAAACCTTAGTCTTAAAAAATTATCTGACCCAGCACTAAGAAAAGGACTCTGTTTTATCTTTTGCATATCCCTTGTGTCTAACACAGTGATGATGATGATGATTTTTTTAAATAACCTTTACTGAGCATCCAGGGTATGCCAGGCACTGCCCTGTGCACTTTACGTGTTTAACTCATTGACGCTATGGGATTGCTACCATTATTATCTCCATATGGCAGGTGAGGAAACTGGAGCAGGAGAGGTTAATTAACTTGCCAAAAGGTTAGCTCCTAAGCAGAGGAGCCAGGACTTAAGGCCAGGCAGCCTGACTCCAGAGCCCAAGTTCTCAACTCCTTGCTTCAATGACAAGAGTAAGACTCACTAAAGATGCAAATGTCTGTGTTTTTAACAGGTGGGAAACAGGTCCAGGGTCACAAACCAGTCAGCGGTAGGTTTGGAGACTCAGTGAGTATCTCCAGCTCTAGTTCAAGTTTCTCTGTACCACACAGAAGTCACCATGAACCCAGCACTAGAAATTTGCCTTTACACAAGAAATAATAGGATGCTGAAAAAAAATTGCAATGTAAAGTGATAACAGAGAGAATATCTGAAATCTGAAATCTGAAATAAATTTTCATCATTTTTCTTTCACTTTATCCATTAATGGCTCTCCTCAATTTACGTCAGTTGATCACATGAAGACATTAATGCCTGCATCACTTTAACTTACATAAGAACCTACCTTTGCCAGGGAACTCCTCTATTTTGAGACACCGAGAGAATAAGACTCCTCTAGGCAACCAGCTAGGCAGATTTTATAACCCGGTATAGCAGGCAGGATACTGGCCCCCAAAGATACCCATGTCCTTATCCCCAAAAACCTGTGAGTGTGTCATGTGACATAGCAAAAGGGACTTTGTGGGTGAGATTAAGTTAAGGGTCTTGAGGTGGGGGAGTGTCCTGAATGATTACAAGGGTCCTTAAAAGAGGGAGGCAGGAGGGTCGGAATCACAAAGTCCACTTTGAAGTTTGAAGTCCACTCAAGTGTTGAAGAAGCTTCTAAAGGTCCAAGTGGAGACCCTGGTCATAGAACTGGTAGGTTTGGTAGGTTGCTCCACAATTATCATGGAAATCAACAAACAGGTCCTGGGAGGAAAGTCAACTTTCCCCTGCCTTTTCCCCGTTTCTGACCATGGCTGTATGCAGCATCATCTCACATTATACTAGCTCATCTATTTTCCAATCACCTTTATTTTTTATATTTTCTTATTTTTTTATTTTCATTCTTTAGAGATGGGGTCTCAGTGTTGCCCAGGCTGGTCCTGAACTCTTGGGCTCAAACGATCCCCTTCCCTCAGCCTGCTGAGTAGTTGGGATTACAGGCCCAAGCCAACACGCCCAGCCATCTTTGTTTTTGTTGTTGTTGTTGTTTTGAAATGGAATTTCGCTCTTGTTGCCCAGGCTGGAGTGCAGTGGCACAATCTCAGCTCACTGCAACCTCTGCCTTCCGGTTTCAAGCGATTCTCCTGCCTCAGACTCCCGAGTAGCTGAGATTACAGGTGCCCGCCACCATGCCCAGCTAATTTTTTTGTATTTTTAGTAGAGACGGGTTTCACCATGTTAGCCAGGCTGGTCTCGAACTCCTGACCTCGTGATCTGCCCACCTCACCCTGCCAAGGTGCTGGGATTACAGGCTTGAGCCACTGCACCCAGCCCGTCGTTTTTTTTAAAGACCCTTTACATCCTGTGAGAACTTTCACCTCTTTCTCATTGCCAGATCAGAATGACTTACTGGGAAAGTGTGCTGTTTTTAAAAATCCTACATTAGGCAGAAACTGAAACAACAGACTGACATCAAAGGTGTCCATTTAAAGAAAGCCCCAGGCTACAGAATTCTGAGCCCTATCCTCCTCCAAAATTTATGACTCTGAAACCTAAACTGCCTTGGGTCTGCCTGGGAACCTGTACATAATTCCTATTACACACTGTAAAGCGTCCCAAATAGCTTCCAAAGATACCTTGTTTTCGTCAATGGGGTATCCAGGTTGTGGCTTTGGTTAGTTAGAAGCAACATGATGCTTTTTTTAGTCGTTCTCAGTCTTGAATTGGCCTATACTCTCAGACTTCGCCAACTCTTCCTCCTAATGGCCTCTCTCATCTGTCTATATTTCCCTTCCCAACACCACTGCCTGTATCCCGGCCACAGTGGTGCTTGCCTGGACTTCTGTGACTGGCTTGCCGCCCGTCTGGCTTGTTCCCCAAATGCAGCCAAAGGAGTCTCCCTCATACTCTCCTGCGCAACAGACTCCAGTGAGGCCCCTGGGCCAGCCTCGGCGGCGGACACGGAAGGACCTTCCCAGCCCGTCCCCTTGCTCCCTTCTCCAGTTTCACCTGTGCCCTTGCCCCAGCTGCTGCTCCTGCCACACCACACTGCATGCTATGTTCTCTCTTAGGTCTTTGCACATTTCATTTCTTCCATCTGGAACACCAGCTCCCACCCAAAACCTAACTAATCCTCCCTCAGGCTGCAGCTCATTTGTCACCTCCTCAGTTAGATGCCCTTCCGCCAGCAGCTGTACTTCCCCTGTGACATGGTTTGGCTGTGTCCCCACCCACATCTCATCTTGAATTTTAGCTCCCATAATTCCCATGTGTTGTGGGAGGGACCCGGTGGGAGATAAACTGAATCACGGGGGCGGTTTCCCCCATACTGTTCTCCTGGTAGTGAATAAGTCTCATGAGATCTGATGGTTTTATAAGGAGTTTCCCTGTTCGCTTGGCTCTCATTCTGTCTTTGCCAGCGGCCATGTAAGATGTCCCTTTGCTCTTCCTTCATCTTCCACCATGACTGAGGCCTCCCCAGCCATGTGGAACTGTGAGTCCATTAAACCTCTTTTTCTTTATAAATTACCCAGTCTCAGGTATGTCTTTATCAGCAGCATGAAAATGGACTTACACACCCTGTAAGTAAGAACCGTACTGACAGTTCTTATCATGGCTGTGTTGTGATTACCTGTTGACTTGTCTCTGTCCCAATAGCCTAGAACCTCTCAGACCAAGTACCGTTTCCTTCATATTCATTGTTTTATGCCCCCAGCACCTAAGACACAATAGAACCATGCAAAGTGGTCAGTATGCATTCGTTAAAGGGATAAGGTGATTTGTATCTTATATTGAAAAGGTGCCCACCAGTGACATCCCATATTGTGAATTCCTGTGGAGGAGAATGCCTGGTGTCATTACCTTGTTCTCAGCCTATAAACTTAATCCAGCTAAGTGCTGTAGTGTCACTGAAACTCACTGATCTGTGCCTGGGGCTGCATGCTTGTCGTCTGACGCAGTTGTTCCCATGTTACTGTGTGGCAAAGGTGAACTGAAACACCTAGGGGAAGGCAGCTAGCTGTGGAGTGTTAATAATTGCTGACAGATTTGGCAGTTCATAAAGTAATGATATCATTCAGGACAAACTAATAAATAAAATAGCCTTTATTCTGCATTAAATATAATTTGCTAAAAATGTATTCTATGTGATGAACAAACCATAAGTTCCAAATTCCCTTTTTATTGCACCTAAAAAATACACCGTTAAGATCCCGCATATATTTTTTGAGGCATTTGCTTCTCTTTGCCTTGCTCTCTTTCTGTGACTTTCCCTGCGACCCAGATATAGAAATATCTTGTGTTCTTGTGCTCCCTCTCCTGGTCTTTTCTGTCTTTCAGCCAGAGCATATTCCTAGAATTGCGCACCACCCAGGTGGGGGCCTGGGCATATGAACAAAGAAGCCAGCCAGCTCGGCAGTGCTTGTTGTAAGATCTGGGGGGGGCCAGAAACAAATTTCCTTCTTCATTGTTTGCAGTCCAGCTTGACTAAGTGAAAAAGGGCCGTACAGGTGCAGAAAAGAAACATGCCTGGTATCCTTTCTGAGAAATAAAATGTTCTTTAGAAAAACACACATACACACAAACATTATAATAAAAAACACCTGATATTATGTTTTTTTGAAGCTATGCCTCCCCGGAGATATACAAATGCATGTATAAATGTGTCCAATCTGTTCTGTTAATAGTGCTAATTACCTGATTATCTGGTCAGGTACAGTAATAAACCCCTTTGACATTCTGTTCCTTCCATATGCTAGATAAAGTGTTCTAATATCTGGTCTGTGACTGTATGCTCTGCCCGCCAAGAGTCAGGAGGTGGAAAGATCATCAAAGCCTGTCGGCGGCGCTTCACTTCGGGGCACAGAACTGGGAACAGGGCACTGCCAGGCCCTACCTTGAGGTGGCAGGACAGCACTGTCCTTACTCCTCACGAGGGTGGCCTGTACTTCACAGGGCCTCTGTTGCCCTTCACATCCTCCGAACTCTGACCCTGCCCACCTTCTTTCTCCTGTTGGAGTTGCTTTTAGACACTTTATAATTTCACCTATTTATCTAACATTCTTCTTTTTTCCCCATTTGACTTTCTGAAATGCCTTCTTTGCTAACTCTGTGGTCTTTCCTACTTTAGTGTAGAAGAGGATTTTTATTTTTTCCAAGCTGATCTAAAAGACAGTCATCCCCCAACCCCCACCATCTAAAATTCTCTTACTCTAACTTAGCAGGTTAAGGATGAACCAGTTTTGCTCACTCAACTCACCCAGCCTTCATTTCCAAGCCAGCTTGCAGTCTTTTCTCACCATCCTGCAGTTCCAGCAGGACTGGTATATGTGTCCTCTTCCATCTGTTTTGCTCCATGGTTTTCCGAGCACTGTCAGCCTCTTCCCAACAGATCGTTTCTCTTCCTGTCATGTCATTCCCTTTTATGAGCCCCATTTGAAGTTTCATTTAGGTGGGGTGGAGGGCACTGGTTTCTCAGGTAGAGAAGGGTGTTAATCCCAGGTGCATATGGCAGAGCCTTTCCTAGAAAGCATGAGGCTGCCAAGGTCAGGGTCACAATATTTGAAGGACAAAGGCTGACTCCTGTTGGTGCTGCGCTCTCTGTCCCCCACCTGCTCCCATCCAAGCGTAGTGGTAGAGTGGTGGCAGCCCACATCCGTCCCTTGTCTCTCATCTTCTGCTGCACCAGGAGTCTCAACAATGGATAGGTCAGCATCAATTATTCTCCTATTTGATTGTGATACATTGTGAGTTCCTCCAGGAATTCTTACCTTCTTAAGACTACATTTTTGCTGGGCACGGTGGCTCACACCTGTAATCCCAGCACTTTGGGAGGCCGAGATGGGCGGATCACCTCAGGTCAGGAGTTCAAGATCAGCTGACCAACATGGAGAAACCCCATCTCTACTGAAAATACAAAAAAATTAGCTGGGCGTGGTGACACATTCCTGTAATCCCAGCTACTCGGGAGGCTGAGGCAGGAGAATCGCTTGAACCCAGGAGGCGGAGGTTGCGGTGAGCCAAGATCGCACCATTGCACTCCAGCCTGGGCAACAAGAGTGAAACTCAGCCTAAAAAAAAAAAAAAAAAAAAAGACTACATTTTTAAGACACATTCTTTTTTTATTATTTTTCGAGACAGAGTCTCATTCTGTCACCCAGGCTGGAGTGCAGTGGCACAATCTCAGCTTACTGCAACCTCCGCCTCCCAGATTCAAGCAGTCTTCCTGCCTCAGCCCCCCAAGTAGCTGGGACTACAGGCATACGCCACCACACCCAGCTAATGTTTGTATTTCTAGTAGAGATGGGATTTCACCATGTTGGTCAGGCTGGTCTGGAATTCCTGACCTCAAGGGATCGGCCAGCCTCAGCCTCCCAAAGTGCTGGGATTATAGGCGTGAACCACTGTGCCCAGCCCAAGACAGATTTTTAAAACTACATTTTTTGCTTCTTTCAAGTTCACTTCAGCATCCAGCACAGTGAATGCTCAAGTAAATTTTTTGCATTGATTATTTAGTAACATTTATGCAAAATGCCTCATATGTACACAAAATACTTATGGCTTTAGCCTTTCTGTGATCTAATGATGTTTTATCAATTTAACTTTTCTTAAATACTGTCATCCAACTAGCATGAAAACGTGGACTTTTGTTAATTCTTTCTAAACATGTAATGTTATTGCCTTCTTAAAAAAATACACTTTCATCACAATGCAGATTTTTAACAGATTTTATTAGAATTTATGCAGAGGACATGTAAGAAGTGTAAGACTTGGTCCTTGACTTTGAGGAATTTCTAATCAAGACAGGTCCAGTGGAATATTCAGATAACAACGCAAAACAGCCCTCCTGTGATTAAATGCCCAAACTGATGGTCTGTAAGCAAGTGCTGATTGTCCAGGTCATAGAAGGGAGGGTCCAGTTTAATTGCCACCTCCTTTGCCAGGGTTTCCCCTGGCCCTTTCATTCCACATTGGTGGATACCATCTTCCCTGTCCTCCACAGTTTTCATATGTTGGAATTTTACAGTTGGAATTGGTGAAGTAGAGTCAGCAGTGCATCTAGGCAGTGGTCATGGCTTGGGCAAATGCTAGTAAGTCAAAGAAAAGGCTAGGAGTCAGGATCAAGAGGATAACTGGAGATGAGACTGAAAAGGGAGTAGATTTGGGGGAAATTTGGAAGGCCAGGCAGGAGAGAATCAGGTTTGCTTTCTAAACCAGGGAGTTGCTGCTTGAAACATAGTCCATGTCAGAAGCATTAACTCAGAGACTCTCCAGCCTCCCTTTGATTGACTATCCAGAGAGATCATGGAGGGGCAGGAGAGAGGAGAGATGGCATCAACAGAGAGGAGAGTTCATGAGCACAGAAGTGGGATATAAAAGCAGTATTAGTTTTCCCTTTTGCTTTGAGTCTCTGTATTTTTACCACAATGGTGCCTCTACCTAGAGATTCTTAAGCCCTGGCCTCCCACGCTTGTTAAAGAAAGAAATGACGATGCCATCCAGACACCTGCTAGCTTAGTTGAGGTTTTCAAAGCTACGCTTCTCTGGGAAGGTGCCATTAAACTACTGTGGATGAGCTCTATGAATCCTCCCTGCCATGAACCAGACATTTCTTGCTATAATAGTGCAAGGAAACTGGAGGGCTTATTTTTCCTTAAGGTTTCTTAGGTTTCTGATTTGCAACCTCGGTGACTAAAATTCCATCCAAATACTGGAACACCCGGGATGCTGTAGGTGTTTTAACTCACATCCTTAAAGGTAAACTCAGAAATAGTTTGATTCACCCAGAAAAAGAACACCTGGTGTTCTTGAGACTTGGTATTTGTCAAAAACCAAAGGTTCATTTTCAGGAAGTTTGGATATCTTTATTTCTAGGAGAAAAGGTGTTTTCCCAGTTACGAGCTATAAATAATGAGGTCTTTCATAACAGTCCCAAGCCATGTTCAAAATAGATGGCCCAGAACAGCCTCCAAGGTACCATTCTGAAGCACCTGTGACTTACTTCCTTTTCTTACCATCCCCTGTGTTGGTGTGAAAAGCGTGTTTCAGCCCCACAGAAACTGGACACAACCAACCAGTCATTGTTAGAAATTTCTTTCTCCCCTGCCTCAGCATCTCTGCTGCTGCCAGAGATGACACCATTGTCAAAAATAGGACCCTACCGGCCTATAATCCTAGCACTTTGGAAAGCCAAGGAAGGAGGATTGCTTGAGCCCAGAAGTTCATGACCAGCCTGAGCAACAGAGTGAGACCCCTAACTCTACAAAAATTAAAAATAAATAGGACCCTGCCTTCATGCCCCAGCAACCTGAAGTCCTGGACACACTGCTCTTCCCAGCAAAGGCTTGCACCCAGTCACTGTCAATGTCATTTATATGCCTGGAACCCTGGTGTCCTGGGGGAAGCTTCAGGACAAGAACCCAATGGCTTCAGGTAAAAATGGCACCCATGGCTGTGCTGATAGATGGTATCGGCTCCCGTTTCATTTCCTCCCTTGACAGACAGGAATAACATATAGAAAAGATTCAAACTCAGTTAAGAAGCAGGGAGGGGAAGTGGGTGACTGACAAACCTGACTTCATGCTCTTATTCAGGGGCGTGGGTGTTGGATCATAACAATTTCTGCATCCCTAAAAGCTACAGAGTGGTATGTTCTATCTGAGAGTCCTGTAGCTTCAGGGCAGCCATTGTCCAATTCACATATGGGGTTTTGTGTTAATGGCTGCTGTTTAAATCCTCACAGAGCACAGATGGTGCCTGCATTGCATCAGCATTAACTGTTCTCCATTGGCAGAGCCCATTGCAGAAGCACAAGAAGGGAGGAGAAATCAGAAGTGTATCGTCCCTTTGGCAAAAAGTCTGGTTTCCATGTATGATTTTTATCCCAGCTTACTGTACAGCTTTGAGTAGCCCAGTCAGCATATCTCAGCTTGTTACATGATGGTTGGTAAAGGACTTAGATGAAAGAGACTAAAGACTGTAGAAATACTATCATTGCTGCTGTATCAACCATGCTGATAAGGCATACTCTGTAGCTTTATTCCTTCTGTAAGCCACAGTAACACCATTTCTATTGCCAAGGAAAGGGCTCTGCTTGAGAAGCTGATACATACATCTTCAGAATTTTTAGTACTTTTCTCTCAAAAGCCTTTCAAGTATATTAACTACCTACATGTCTTCAGCTTGTCCCTATTTATTCCTATTTTGCAAATGAAAGGGACAAATGACAGCAGGTATCAAGGTCAGATTGCTTTCCCTGCTAAAGACCAGTGGGCCTCCCCTGGTAGCACCTGGGTTCTCAAGGCTATTGGAGGATTAGTGGTGTGTCAAGCTACTTGCTTCCAGAGGCAAGAAGAAAATAATATTTTCCATAAGAGACGTGTGATCTGTCAGTTCTTCAGTTCTGATTTCAGGTGGAAAATATGACTTCAGTTCTTGAAGAAAAAATTCCCTAACCAGGTATGACAGATGTCTTCAAATATGTGATGGATTGTCATGTGAAAGAGGGATTCAAATTGCTTGCCCAAGTGGGCAGTACTAGGGCTAGCTCGGTTTAGTTCAACTAATAGTTATTGAGACTCTAGGGTGTACAAGGCACATGCTTTCAATTGAAAGTGATGGAGTGGGGAGGAAGAGAGAAGAATATCTTGCTTAACTCATAATACCAATTAGGTCAGAACCCAGCAAGTTTGATATTGGTAGGAAAGTAAAATATTTGGTAAATCATGGGATAAATCAAGAAGTTACAGTCTCCAATGTCTATTCATGGTTGAAGCAGGAGTAATGTAAAAATGGACTTGGAGATTATTGCCACAGTGATAAATAGAATTTCTCAGAGAACCCAAGTAACCTGGTAAGCAGAAGGACATCACAGTGAAATATGGCTATGGGAAGGAATTCCATATTCAAAATAAAAATGTAACCACTGGAAAGACAAGCAGAGCCAAAAGTATATCTAGGCCAGTCACTGTGGCTTATGCCTGTAATCCCAGCACTTCAGAAGGCCCAGGCGGGTGGATTACTTGAGGTCAGGAGTTCGAGACTAGCCTGACCAACATGGCGAAACCCCTTCTCTACTAAAAATACAAAAAAATTAGCCAGGTGTGGTGGCACACGCCTGTAATCCCAGCTACTTGGGAGGTTGAGGCACGAGAATCGCTTGAACCTGGAGGCGGAGGCTGCAGTTAGCCGAGATTGTGCCACTACATTGCAGCCTGGGTGACAGAGTGAGACTCCATCTCAAAAAAAAAAGAATTACATCTAATAAGGTCTGTAAGCAAATCTAGAAACATAGGGCAGGGGCCCTCTGAAGAGCACTAGGAGATTAGAAGAGAGAGGAGCAAAATTGATATTGTAGGAGTTTATGGGTCCTATTGTCAGGACAATTAAAGGTTCCATGTTCCTATTCCCATGTACAGAATTAGGTCAAATAGCTACCAGAATTCTCCTCGACCAGTAGTTGAATACCTGAGTGGTTATTGATTTGCCACATTGGCAATTCCACCTTCCAGAAAGTAGAAGATGCAAAGGTAGAACTGCTATTCGGGTCGTAATCTGGCTAAAAGGAATTAATAAGAGTACACATGAGAAGATCTTTAGAAGAAAGCGGCAGTATCATCTTAAAGAACATGAAGTCAAAGAAGATTTTGTACGGTCCAAAATATTTCAAGACCTTTTTTATTGTGATTTTAAAAAAAATAACATAAAATTTACCATACATGTTTATGTGTACAGTTCAGTAGTGTTAAATAAGTTCAATACTCTTAAGTATTCACATTGTTGTGAAACAGATCTCCAAAGTTTTTTCATCTTGGAAAATCCAAAACTCTGTACTCATTAAACAACTCCCCCTCTTTTTCTTCCCCCAGCCCCTGATAAACGCCATTCCACTTTCTGTTTCTATGAATGTGACTACTTTTCTTTTTTTTTTTTTTTTTAATTATACTTTAAGTTTTAGGGTACGTGTGCACATTGTGCAGGTTAGTTACATATGTATGCATGTGCCATGCTGGTGCGCTGCACCCACTAACTCGTCATCTAGCATTAGGTATATCTCCCGATGCTATCCCTCCCCACTCCTCCCACCCCACAACAGTCCCCAGAGTGTGATATTCACCTTCCTGTGTCCATGTGAGAATGTGACTACTTTTCAATGCCTCATATAAGTGGAATCACACAGAAGTTTCTTTTTATGATTAGTTTAATTCACTTAGCGTAATGTCCTCAAGGTTCATCCATGTTAGAACACGTGACAGGATTTTCTTCCTTTTAAGGCTGAGAGTCCATTGTATGTATCTACCACATTTTGTTGATCCAGTCACTCATGAATGGAAATTTGGGTTGCTTTCACTTCTTGGCTATTGTGAATAATGCTGCTGTGAACATGAGTGTACAAACACCTCTTTAAGACCCTGCTTTGGATTCTTTTGAAAATATCCCCCAAACTGGGTTTGCTGGATCATATGGTAGTTCTATTTGTAATTTTTTAAGGAACCTTCATACTGTTTTCCATAGCAGCTGCACTATTTTGCAATCTCTTCAACAATGCACAAGGGCCAAATGCAGTGACTCACACCTGTCATTCCTGCACTTTGGGAGAACGAGGCAGGAGAATCACTTGAGCCCAGGAGTTCAAGACCAGCCTGGGCAACATGGCAAGACTCTGTCTCTACAAAAATAAGAAATTAACCGGGCATGACGGTATGTGCCTCCTGTCCCAGCTACTTGGGAAACTGAGATGGGAGGAGCACTTGAGCCTGGGAAGTTGAGCCTGCAGTGAACTATGATCATGCCACTGCCCTCCAGCCTGGGTGAGAGTGAGACCCTGTCTTAAAAACAAAAACAAACAAGAAAAATAAAAAATAAAACAGTGCACAAGGATTTCAATTTCTCCACGGCCTCGCTGACACTTGTTACTCTGTTTTTTTGGTAGTAGTCATCCCAGTGGGTGTAAGGTGAGATCTCATTGTAGTTTTAATTTTTATTTCTCTGTTAATTAGTGACGTTGAGCATCTTTTCATATGTTTGTTGGCTATTTGTATGTCTTTGGAGAAACGTCTATTCAAGTCCTTTGCCTACTTTTAGTTGGGTTATTTTATATTTTGCTGTTGGGAGTTGTAGGAGTTCTTTAAATGAGAGTTCTTTACATAGGGGTTCTTTATATATCAACCCTTTACTAGGTATATGATTTACAAATATTCCCTCCCATTCCATGAGTTGCCTTTTTACTTTGATTGTATCCTTTGATAGAATCAGATTTTAAGTTTGATATAGTCCCATTTGTTCATTTTTGCTTTTGTTTCTTGTGCTTTTGGTGTCATATCCAAGAACTCATTACCAAGTCCAATGACATGAAGCTTTTCCCCCATGTTTTCTTCTAGAGTTTTATAATTTTGGGTTCAAGACATTTTTAAACAGATTTTTATGTTAACAAGAAAAAGGTAGAAATTATGCATCTGTGGGGAAAGATGATTCAGGAGGGCTAGAAGTGTCCAAAACAAAGTTCACATGAGGACCCTTTTCTTGAAAAAGGAGGGTAAATTGTGCCAGCAGTTGTGTTTCATTCAGAGTTTTATTTTAAACACTGGAAAAACACGAACAACTATGGGAACATGTATGGAACCACAAATAAGGCGTTCAAGAAAACTCAAGCCCAAAATGAGTGGAGACCTTTCGAAGAGGACCACAGAAAACAAAAATGAATTTGTGGTTCTCTTTGGAGCGTAAAGATGAGGGAACCAACAGCTGCTCATTGGGGCTGACTGTGTAGTACTGAGGATGGCAAAAAGCCCAGAGTTAATTTTATATTGTGCATCAAGGAGAATGACTGAATGAATGACCATAAGACTGAAAAGTGAGAAAAAACTTGGAAAAGGGAAAGGAAGCCCTAGGTAGATGAACAAAAAGAAAATGCTAAGCTCCCAGACTGGATGAAGTAAAGCCCCCAAACTGCAGGGGGAATAATATGATTATGATACAACTTGCTATGGTCAAAATCTTTCAGGGACTGTGGAGCTAAGGAAAGTGTCAAAAGACTAGAGATCAGAAATTGCATCGTAATTTGCAAAACAAAGAGAAGAAAGTGGATCTTTAAAAATTTGACTGAATAGTAGTTTTTATAATAGGAATGATTTCTGAGTATCTAGACAAGTACACACTCTTGGGTCAAAAATTTGATTTTGCAAGGTTAAAATGGACACATGGCTTATCAATAGATACTGGGAGGAAATAAGCTCAGAGATGTTAATTGTAAATAATAAGTGACAGTGAAATCTGAGCATTTCTAGAAAATAGGATATAGACAGAGAGAGGTGATAGTGTGTCCTCTGTACCAATGATTGGAGCATTTATTCAATCCAGATATCTGCCAGGGGTGTAGTCGCAGGCAGTGTGGTTCAGAGGAGAGTAACAAGAAAGGTGTAAGAACTCATAACTGACTAAGCCAAAACTTCCATTCCTGAAACTTAACATGAAGAACCATTAGAAGGTGCTAATGAGGGGCCAAACTTCTCATCACTGGAAGCCTTCAAAAATGTTTTGTATTTTCTGGTTGAAGATCAAGTGGTTCATAGTTGGTTTGAAATGACTAGAGGGGTTGAGAGGGTGAAACCAGACCTTGAGTCAAGAAATTCTCGCCTAGGAAAATCACTGGTTTCTGGAATGGGAAGAGGGTCATTTAAAATGGAAATTAGGTAATTTTTTCTAAATCTTCTTTTTAAAAATAATTTTCTTTTGGAGGCAGTTTTTCGAATGAAACCATAAACCTTGATGCAGGTTTTACTACTTCATTACCAGTGAGTGGGATGCTTTTCACTTTTATTTTACACTGAAAAACGTGAAACATTACTACTATTTCATATCTATTTTAAGACCTACACTTATATTGAAATTGGATTTTTAAAAATTATTCTGTGAACTTCATTTTATAATCTTTCAGAAGGGAGATTTTCTGTTTTCACCGTATGCTTTTAGGGTAAATATGAATATAGTTCCTTGTATCTGTATCATATATGACTTTTGCCTGTCACTAACCTAGGAAATATAACCATCTATACCTGAATGGGAAAATTATGAGCGCCACATATGAAGGAGGTGAGATGAGATGGGCAAAACCACCCAGTTGAAACGAAGGTTCCACATACCCAAGGTGTCGCCAGTTCTCAGGAAAGACAATATGGAATGTTTGCTTTTGGGACCTTCTCCTGTTCCCATCAACCTTGAAACAACCAAAGAAATACCTAAGGGGCAGTTTCAGCCATTATATAGCCCCATAACCATTCTGAGCCGACTATCACAGAGAGGGGACACGTAACGCTCCCCCTAGACATCAGCTTCATCCGACTGCCATTCCACTGTGGAACAAAGCTCTGGTGCCATGTGGCACCCCGCCAGAAGGGCATTTCTGCTTTGTCTTCTAGATTCTAAGGACCAATACTTAGCTAGGCCTGATAATTTACCAAATCCCCATGTGGTAAAAGGGCTTCGTAGGATTTGCAGAGTTTCATTGAGCAGGAAAGGGACACAGCAGTTATCTTCATCCTTCAGGAGGAATGCAGACACTGGAAAAATAGAACCAATTATGAGATTCACCTTCTGCATACCAAAAGATGTACTGCATCCAATTGGCCAGACTTCTTTGGATAGAGCTATATAAAACAATATTTTAGAGAGAGTAATAAAATTTACAATAACATGTTTCCATATGAAATAGCATTTCTTTCCTAGTTCACTTCAGAGAAACAGCAACAGGTAGAAAGGGAGCATGAGAGTTGAACTCTGCGGTCGGAAGACATGAGTTTAGCCCTGGCCAGGCAGCCCTGTGACTTTGGGTAAATCCCTTCACCTTTCTGGGCCTTGGCCTCCTTGTCTGTAAATTGGATTGTTAAGTCAGGGAACTAGAAACCATGCCAGGTGTTTCAAATAGAGGGGCTATAAAACAGGAAATTGGTTACACAGGTGTTGGAAAACTGGAAGAACAGAAAAGGGAAGGAGAGCTAACCTAATGATTAATGACCGCAGAAAGTATCTACCACTCCTAGGGCTGGAGGGGATGAAAGGGACCTGTGAGCATGGTGGAGGGGCGGGTGCCTCGGGAGCTGCAGCTGTGGGGCAGACAGCCCCTTCCGGACACTCCACCACAGAGTCAGGGATGCAGCCACTTCCAGAACACACCGCCAAGAAAGGAAAGATAAACAGAGCAAGAGACAGAAGGAGCCACAGCGTCTTCATGCCTCCCACCTTCTGAGCTCACCCACCTGTGCACCTGTTGGCAGGTCCGATAATAAGTTAACCAGCAAAAGAGCCTAGGAAACAAGAGTTTTTGAACTCCCAGCCTCAGCAAGAGGGAAATATGAGAAAAGTGGATGTGAGTCCGAGAGACAATAGTAAATAACCAACATATGAGTTTACAACATCAAACTAAAATTCAGTCAAATAATAGAAGTCAAAATTAGTAGTTGGTAAGGACTATTTCAGTTTTCCGGTTATGTTTGTATTAAGGTAGTTAAGTTGTATTAAAGTAGTGTTACAGAGATACACACGCACAGAGAGAGTGATAATAGTTTTGGTTCTGGCCTCAACAGTTTCTGAATAATTTTTTTAGGTGTTTTTTAATTTAAAAAGTTTGTATTGAGTCATGATTTAGGAAAAAACTACAAGTACATTTCGGAAAACCCTGTGACAGGAGAAATCATAGCAAAAATGTGGGTTATGGTAGGGTCTGTCCTCAAGAATTCCTGAGAATAATTGCAGGGAGTCTGAGTCTGTTAACTGATTCAAGTCATGACTCTCTATCATGGGGATTCGAGTCAGGCCTTTGCTCACTGAGCCTACATGATTTTCCTTTTTTTACTAATCAAAAAGTACCTTGGTGGGCTGACCATGTTTTTCAGCCCAAAGTTGAAGTCAAATGGTGGTCTACTGTTTGACCTCCACCCTGGGATGCCATCACCCCCTCCTCAAATCAGGGAGTCCATTTCAACTGCAGGGAATAGGTAACTGTGTGTGTGTGTGTGTGTGTGTGTGTGTGTGTGTGTGTGTGTGTGTGTGCACTTGTGCATGCATGTGTTATTGACAGGGCCAGCTTCATGAGCATAAAACCTGTGCAACTAATTGCACAGGGCCCCATGCTCAGAGGGGTCCTGCACTTTGTTTAATGTTCTCTTGTCACTTGAAATTCTTAATCTCTGAACAAGAGGCTAACATTTTCATTTTGCACTAGGCCCTGCAAACCATCTAGCCAGTTCTGGTTTTGTGGTAGGGGAGGGCAATTGTGAATAGAGGACCAGGAAAGGTCTCAGTGAGGAAATGGCGTTTGAGGAAAAGCCGGAAGATGATGAGGGAGTGAGACATGCCTTTCTTTTACTTATTCTGAAGAACTTCAACTCAGCCCTCAACACTTGGCAAGTGTTACCTCCTCTAAGTAGCCTTACACTAATTCCCTTAGCAGTTACTGCTCCAGCCCTGTCCTCCCAGCATCCTGCAAATACCTCTGTTACGTACTCAGGTGACACTGTAAACATTTATATTGAACATCTGTCTCCCCAGTCACTTGTTAGCTCCTTGGAGAAAAAGGTGGTGTTTTATTCATATTTGTAGCAACAGCAATAATACTGGTTGTTACTTAATGCCAGGTCCTGTTCCAAAGGTTTTACTATAAGGCAGGCACTGTCAGTATCCCTGTCTTACAGTTGTAGAAACTAAAGCATAGAGAAACTAAAGCACAGAAAGGTTAAGTAACCAGCCCAAGTGACACAGCTGGTAGACAGCAGAGCTGAGACTTGAATCCAAGAAAGTGGAGTCCCCAGACCTTGCATAGTACACAGTGAGTGCCTAGCACATCGTTGGAGAATGAAAAAATGAGTATGGATGGACACAGTGGCTCATGCCTGTAATCCCAGCACTTTGAGAGGCTGAGGCAGGAAAATGGCTTGAGCCCAGGAGTTCGAGGCCAGCCTGGACAACATAGTGAGACCTCATCTCTAAAAAATAAAATAAAATTAGTAAACAAAAAAATTATAAGTGACTGAATGATCAGATAGAGTCTCAGGAGTAAAACTTACAAATAGGGGAAGGATTTTTACATTATGGCTGCAGATCCAAGTTCAAACCTGCACAGGAGAGAAAAGACACTCCGTTTATGTTTTAAGACATATTCACTAAGACAAATAATGATTTTCTTTAGCTAAAAGAACCACCATATGAAATGATATATGTATAAATCAATTTCAATGTTGATTTAGTTTTTATATTATTACCTTAGGAATAGAACACAAAATAAGCTCTATCTAAAATTCATAATAAAATTGCCCAGGCACAATGGCTAACACTTGTAATCCCAATACTTTGGGAGGTCAAAATAGACGGATTGCTTGAGTCCAGGAGTTTGAGACCACCTGGGCAACATAGTGAAACCCCGTCTCTACTAAAAATACAAAAATTAGCTGGGCATAGTGGTATATGCCGATAGTCCCAGCTATTCAAGAGGCTGAGTTGGGAGAATCACCTGAGCCCCAAAGGTTGAGGCTGCAGTAAGTGGCAAGATCATGCCACTGCACTCCAGCCTGGACAACCAGTATGAGACCCTGTCAGTAAATAAATAAATAAAATTAATACGAGGCCAGATGTGGTGGCTTACACCTGTAATTCTAGTACTTTGGGAGGCTGAGGCAGGAGGATCCCTTGAGCCCAGGAGTTCAAGACAAGCCTGGGCAACATAGGGAGACCCTGTCTGTAAAAATAGATAAAATAAAAATTAATACTAAAATAACCAGAAGCTTTGTTGAAATAGTAAGGTGAATTAATTTGACAAATACTTTCTAAATGTCTAGCATGCTGCTTTGGAAGAAGAATGTGATAATGTGGATATGAATTATAGAAAATTAAGATGAGGAGTGATGCCTGATCACTAAGTCAGTTTTCATCCTGCAGAGTGGGTTGCAGTGCAGTAAGAGAGTGGGAAGGGAGAGTTAATTGTCACCAGCATTGCTTTCATCATTTGACAAGTGCCTTGCTGTGCAAATACAACCCAGAGGGGTTGTCAGTGGTCTAGCGTTTTAAAAAGCCCTTGGGCAGGGGTTCATTACCTTTATCTTCCTGGTTCCTGCAGTGTGTAAGAGATTCAGCTTCATCAGGAAAGTGTACATGGTGTTGCTGAAGATGTAAGTTTCCCTTTTTTGTGAAGTTGTGATTAAGGGACCTTGAGAAGCGTGCCAGCCCTCTCCCAGGGAGCAGTCACCTGTCCTCCGGATTCATCTGATCAGCCTTCTGCAGATGGGCTCAATGCTACAGCCATGTGTATATACTGCCAAAACCAACTGGAGACACCTTAGTCATGTAGCTTATATAGAGAATGATGTTCCAAGTCTCAAAAATCCTCAAACCCTATTTTCAATAAATGCCTGAAGGCTGACTGCCTCATCCCTATCATAGTCCAGAGATGGAACTGTTGTAAGTATCCTCATAAACTCTGTCCTGCAGCAAAATGGATGTCTCATGAAACACTGAGCTCCCCAAAACACTGAGCTCCCCAAAACACTGAGCTCCCCAGCTTTGCAAACAGTGCCCAAACTTTCTCTACAAATTGAGTTTTCATCAGCCCATCTTCCTTTCAGCAGAGAGATGATATGTTAGAATCCAATGTAATGAAGGATTAAGGGTCATAGTTACAGTGGGTCAAATTTCAACACATTGTCAGCATGTTGACTTGCACCATCGGACACGGTACCCTGGCCTTATTTCTTTCAGGGTTGAACCAACTATGTGCCAACTGCTAGCTGAGGTCATCACCTCCTAGGAAGCAGTCTGTGGGAGGTTGGAGGGTTAACTTTCTGCCTTCTCCGAGGTCTCGCCCCCACATGGCACACTGTATTCTGGCCCCAATGTGTGATCCCATCTCATCTGTATCAGAATGAGTATTGCACAGTATGAGACCAGGTAGTTACATATTTAAGTGCAATGAAAAAATGTTCTTCGAAATGAGGCATTCAAAATATTTTCATTCAAAATGCAAGACTGTTATCCCAAGTTGTCCCTAACACCATATTTTGCATTTGTTTCTCATACCTTGAGGCCACTGCTGACCAGTGGATTTTAGTCTAGATGGGTCTGCTTAGAGCAGAGGGATGCAACTCCATTAACATCAGTGAGTTGGAACTATTCTTCTATTTATAGCCACTTCATTCCATTTTAACTTTATGATCATTACTTTTTAAAATACCATTTTATGAGTTGTTAGTTTTGCGTGTAATTCTCCACCTCCCACCCCCCTCTTATTTTTTCCCATTATTAGAGCCTTATTTGTTAAGAACAAAAAGTAAGTAACAATGCAGACTTGTGGTCACAGTTTCATGAACATACAGCTTTTCACTGGTACCTGAATATTTGCCTTCTGAGTATAATGAATGAATTTAAATGGTCCCTAAAAATGGGTAGACAGTGCCACCTTCTCAAGATGGAGGCTAAGCCAGTATTTAGAAAGCCTCTGCCTGTTGTAACACTTGCTGGCAGGTGTGATGGGCACTTGCTTTCTGTTTTGTGTATCTGGAGCGATTACCACTGCCGAAAGTAGACCAGAGATGGGTTCCTGGGAGGGACCCTTGTGACAGTTCCGAAAGTAGCCATCGTATCAAAGCAACCCTTGACCTAGAGCAGACACTCAAGGCGTGCTGATAAAAGTGTTCAAGGGGCCCCCTTGCTAGTCCCCTCAGCCTCAGTAGTCTCCTATCCTGAACTTGTCTGGATTTCTCAGTTGACAACTACTCATATAATCTTGCAATGGCTTTTCCATTGTTGACTTGCTTACATTGTTACTTAGTTAACTTTTCATCATTTGTACCTCTTCTACAAAGCTAAATCTTAGATCTCTTGAGCACAGGCCTGAGTCCTACACATATCCTTCCCTCACACCACTAGCACAGAAGAAGAAACAGACTGGACTTGGTTTGGAATCCTAGCTCTCCACTGACTAGCACTGACCATGGATAAACTCCTTCACCTCCCTGCTTCATAGTTTCCTTATCTACAGAATAAGGGCAGTCATGCCTGCCTTGCAGGGTGTTACAAGAGCACAGTGCTGGGCACTAGGAGATACTTGGTAAATGGTCATTCTGGCTCACCAAACAAAGCCTCACACACAGAAGCTGAGCAAAATCTTGCAGACTTAAATATGACAAAGCAGGACTGAAACCAGAATGGGAGAAGAGCTAGTTATGAGCTCTTGAACTTTCATGGTGAGGACACCATTTCCTCTGCCCTTGGGCTTAAGTGACAGTTTACAAACCAGATTTTTTATCTATGACTCTTTCATGACCATATGACGATCATTTCAAGCTCAGGAAGTTTCCTAAGCCTCAGTGATCTAAGGAGTGCCATTGATTTGTGATGTGGAGACTTTGCTCATTCACCTCCTTGGTCCAATTCATACATTTAAGCATCAGCTCGTCCCTGAGCGGAGATGCTTTCTCCAGCTCCTTGCAGCCATGTGGCAGAGGGTGACTCCCAGTACTGCTTCCTGATCTACAGATCCCCATGGATGTCCCTGGCTTCTTTAGAAATTTTCTTTACAAGAGGCCACAGTGGAAGATAGTGGTAAGACTTACTTAGACCTACAGCATCAAAAAAAAAAAAAATGGTGATAAGGATGGGAGTATGAGAAAAACTGTGTGAACACTCTGGGGACTGTTGTGGGGTGGGGGGAGGGGGGAGGGATAGCATTAGGAGATATACCTAATGCTAAATGACTAGTTAATGGGTGCAGCACACCAGCATGACACATGTGTACATATGTAACCTGCACATTATGCACATGTACCCTAAAACTTAAAGCATAATAATAATAAAAAAAAAAAGAAAAACTGTGTGAACAGTATAAATAGCATTGAAATTAGTTTCCTACATTTCCCATATAGTGAGCACCTTTGCCAAAACTCAAGAAGTGTCTTATCCACCCTTTTGGCAACTGGCACATTACAGAGGAGCATAGGATCATTACGAGGGCAGGGGTCAACTCTGCATTGATTTCACCATTTCTTTCTTTGTGGTGGAGCCATGTGGCAGTAAAGGAATAGGTCATGTGACATTCTTGTCATCTTCTTCAGTTACCTATAAATACACATTTCCTTGCTTTTTTACTTTCTTTTAAAGATTCTTGGAAGAAAAGGACATAAAACAGATGTATTGTCAGTACTACATTTGCTGAACCTATTACCATGTCAGCTTAGCAGGATACAAAAGTGTCGGTCAGACCTCCTTTTTAATACTGGTACTGTGACACGGGGCAAACAAAGACCCTTGCCTGCCTGCCTTTGATCAGTTGATCGGTTCAGTTAGTTGGTTTACATGATGCCTTGCTCCAAAAGTAACTTGAGACAACACTCTCTAAACATACTGTGTTGTCACCTTGCATACACAGTAGTAGTATGTTAGGACACAGTTTGACTCATGACATATTTGGTAACATACAAGCTTTTAACAAGTATTTACCATGTGAGAGACCCCAGGTTAGATTAGATGCAAGGTTACAAAGACAGACAAAACCATTCCTGATCTGAAGGAGCTTGCTGTCTTATGGTAGAAACAGGCACAATTAGGTATAATAAAAGGGAGATGGCACTGATTGCCCATATAGAATTTATAATGTGGGTCTAGCAGTCATGGCTTTTTGTTTTGTTTTTTTAACCAAATATCTCTGGACTCATCATCTGACAGAAAAATTTAATGTGGAATCTTACTTGAGTACTTTAAAAAGATTAACAATTAAAATCCCGTTCAGTTACATGTCTAAGAAATTTCCGTTACTGGAAAGAATGCAATGATATGAAATCAGTGCTGCCCTGGAGAATCCAGCACGTCTCCTCATCTGGCTATGAGAGCTGAGAGGACAATGTCATTCATTCTCTCTAAGAGGACTGGAGAGCACTCCCAAAGGAGTGAATGTCCAGGTTGAATCTTGAACATCAATTACAGGTCCTTGCAAGAATTTTGGCTCTGTATGCTGCGGTGAGTTTAATACACACAGAAGTCAGCTACAAAGTTTACCAGTTCACCTTGCTGTGCACTCACTCCCCCCGCTAAAATTTTGTATCACTGCTACCATAGCCTCTAGCAAGGACCCCATGATTGCTGCTTTCATTTGATTTGTACAGGATTTGTAGACATGCGTCACCTTCCTGTGTGGTCAGCAGTGCTTGCAAGAACCTAGAGGATGTGTGGTTTTATGTGCAGGGTAAGGAAGCTTACCCTGATGAACACCAGCAAGTTTAATCCATTTCCATCTGAAAAAACAATTGGCCTTAGGCAACATATTCTTAATTGTCTAAGTCATTGTGTGTGAGCAGGCATGCGTGTGGGCACACACGTGTTTGTGTGCATATGCAAGCTGTGCATAAATAGCACACTTTCAATCTTTGTAAAATATAACAGATAAGCAGCAAATGACAGTAGGCTTAGCCCCTGAAGATTTACCAGGAAAAAAAGACAGCTGCATGGCAAAGCTGCTGCTAATAATTAGGGAAGGAATAGCCCATACCCTGTGCCACTCAGCAGCTTCAACCATTTAAATGAGAGCCGGTTTGTTTAACTCTGCAACCCCCATTCATTATGGGCCAGGGGTTGATTTCATCTTGAGCACACCACTTTTGATTGTTGTCATCTCTGGTGAGATAATGAGATCATCATCATCATAAGATCAGGTAGACATGATGACCGAAAGTCTCAAGTAGAAACTGTGATGGATGAGCAAAACAGGAGTTGTTTTAATGTCTCTTTTAACATTGTAAGTGAGGAAAACCTATTTTTACAACTCCCTGGAGTTAGTTTTTTGCAGGGTCACATTGCCATTTTTGTGGTTGACAAGAAAACGTTAAGGCTCTCTTGGGCTCCAGCAAGCTGCAAGAAGTGTCACAACACTCCCCCCTCGTGTAGAATGGCTCTCAACAGGACTGATTGGGAGGGAAATTAATAGGCTCCCCATTGTCACCGTGCATTTTTGCCAGGATATTTCATTAGTGTAAACACTGAACCCGTTGTCATCTTGTTTAGCCACTTGACCCTGGTGATTTTCAATTCTGCCTGTGCTGTGATGGAGTACAACAGTGGCATGCACGAGACAGGCACTAATTATTGGAAGCAGAATCATTGCTGACCCAGTACTACAAGATTAACTGCCCCTTTGCAGTCTTTATTCTGGGACATTAGCACTGTCTGGTTATCTTGCTTCAGTTGAGGGATTCGGGACAATAGCAGTGCTGATGGTAATGTTGGCGATTTCCCTGTTTGTTTTGCAGGTCACAGCCAGGGGCTTTGGGCCGCTGTTACAGTTTGCCTACACTGCCAAGCTGTTACTCAGCAGAGAAAACATCCGCGAGGTCATCCGCTGTGCTGAGTTCCTGCGCATGCACAACCTGGAGGACTCCTGCTTCAGCTTCCTGCAGACCCAGCTCCTGAACAGTGAGGATGGCCTGTTTGTGTGCCGGAAGGATGCTGCGTGCCAGCGCCCACACGAGGACTGCGAGAACTCTGCAGGAGAGGAGGAGGATGAAGAGGAGGAGACGATGGATTCAGAGACGGCCAAGATGGCTTGCCCCAGGGACCAGATGCTTCCAGAGCCCATCAGCTTTGAGGCCGCCGCCATCCCCGTAGCAGAGAAGGAAGAAGCCCTGCTGCCCGAGCCTGACGTGCCCACAGACACCAAGGAGAGCTCAGAAAAGGACGCGTTAACGCAGTACCCCAGATACAAGAAATACCAGCTTGCATGTACCAAGAATGTCTATAATGCATCATCACACAGTACCTCAGGTTTTGCAAGCACATTCCGGGAAGATAACTCTAGCAACAGCCTCAAGCCGGGGCTTGCCAGGGGGCAGATTAAAAGTGAGCCGCCCAGTGAAGAGAATGAGGAAGAGAGCATCACGCTCTGCCTGTCTGGAGATGAGCCTGACGCCAAGGACAGAGCGGGGGATGTCGAGATGGACCGGAAACAGCCCAGCCCTGCCCCTACCCCCACGGCCCCAGCTGGGGCCGCCTGCCTGGAGAGATCCAGGAGCGTGGCCTCGCCCTCCTGCTTAAGGTCTCTGTTCAGCATAACGAAAAGTGTGGAGCTGTCTGGCCTGCCCAGTACATCTCAGCAGCACTTTGCCAGGAGTCCAGCCTGCCCTTTTGACAAGGGGATCACTCAGGGTGACCTTAAAACTGACTACACCCCTTTCACAGGGAATTATGGACAGCCCCACGTGGGCCAGAAGGAGGTGTCCAACTTCACCATGGGGTCGCCCCTCAGGGGGCCTGGGTTGGAGGCTCTCTGTAAACAGGAGGGAGAGCTGGACCGGAGGAGCGTGATCTTCTCCTCCAGCGCTTGTGACCAAGTGAGCACCTCGGTGCATTCTTATTCTGGGGTGAGCAGTTTGGACAAAGACCTCTCTGAGCCGGTGCCAAAGGGTCTGTGGGTGGGAGCCGGCCAGTCCCTCCCCAGCTCGCAGGCCTACTCCCACGGTGGGCTGATGGCCGACCACTTGCCAGGAAGGATGCGGCCCAACACCAGCTGCCCGGTACCAATCAAAGTCTGCCCTCGCTCACCCCCCTTGGAGACCAGGACCAGGACTTCCAGCTCCTGCTCTTCCTATTCCTACGCGGAGGACGGGAGCGGGGGCTCACCCTGCAGCCTCCCTCTCTGTGAGTTCTCCTCCTCGCCCTGTTCCCAGGGAGCCAGATTCCTTGCCACAGAACATCAGGAACCAGGCCTGATGGGAGATGGAATGTACAACCAAGTGCGGCCCCAAATTAAATGTGAGCAGTCTTATGGAACCAACTCCAGTGACGAATCCGGATCGTTCTCGGAAGCAGACAGTGAGTCGTGTCCTGTGCAGGACAGGGGCCAGGAGGTAGGGAACCCACATAAATTCAAGCATGTGACCCACTCTCTAGGCCCTTTATCTGGACTACTCCCTGCCCCCCACCACTCCCACATTGTTCTTACGTGCTAAGATTAAAGATGACAGTAGAGAGACTGCCTTCCCCATCCACAGAGGCAGGATGCTGAAGGTGATTCCACATTAACCACTTCTGTCCTAGAAAAGCACTTGATATTTGATCTGGATCTCAATACTCGACAAGCAGAGGCAAGCTGCTGAGTAAAAATATACTGAAGTCTAATGCATGAAGTACACTGAGGCACTCCAGACCCCCCTCTTTCTCCTCCCTCTCTCCCCCTCCTACACCTGCTTTGAAAGGATGCCATGTTCATCACCCTCATCCTTGCCCTTCACCCGTTCAGCGTAAAGGAAGATATAGAATCTCTTTCCAGATTGATTGATTGAAACCAAATAGATCAACACTCTCCCAGCACCTTTTAGATTTTCCTTGTCAACAGAAGACCCCAGGGCCATCCCATGTCCATCACAGTGAAGGTGATGGAAGCCTCACCGTTTATCCCGGTCCTGGGGTCATCACAGAAGCACCCTAGTCAGCCACACATAATGTATAATGGATCATTTCCCAAGCTCCCTCAAATGCTAGGAAGACATTTTGAGAAGTAGTGGGGTAGAGTAGCAGTTTCATCCACCCTGAAAGCAATGTACTTGCTAGGAAAAATGTCCAGAGGCTCCATGTGTGTCTTACCATTGCTGGAAGAGGGGAACAGGGGCAACAGCAGCCACATCGTGAGCAAGACTCACAAGACTAAGGAGAGGAAAGAAGAGGCCCCTGCAGAGGACCCACCTCCCCAATAACATGAACATTCCCTAGAAAGACCTGAGAGAGTCTGTGTCGTGACCTGGCGTTCACTGCACTGTCTTGCTGATTGACAAGGTACCAGCTTGAGACTGCTACCTGTGTCTCAGACCCCCCTCAGGAGCGGGATTGAACAAACCCAGTGACAAGTCCCTTCTCAGAGCTGTGTATCCCAAAAACACAGGAAGAAATGAAACATGGTCCTCCTGAGGCCGGCAACCTTGGTACCCATCTGTGCTCTCTGGATGTTACCAGCCTCTGTAAGGCAGAGATGTTAACCCAGCCAGAAAGCAGAAATGCCATACGGGATGAGGTGGCTTTTCACAGAGCCACGTGCAGTTTATTCAGCCTCTGCAAGATTGGCGAGAAGCACATGAGGTTTTAGTTTGGGCGTGTTTTGAAAATAGATGCCAAAGGCCCCTGTGCCAACTGCAAAAATGCCCTGTGGTCACTTTCTTTGCTTGCTAGCCTGGTTTCTGCCCCTCTCTTAACTGCCTAGCAGACATGGAGAAAGAGAAACACTGCAAGGATTTAATTTAAAATAAATTAGAAAGGAAATATGAATGGGAGCTATTCCCATGCGAATATACCACCTCCCCTTAGGTTTGGGGTGGTGGGTTGTGCCCAGTGCCCCAAGCCAGGCTCACATCTGTGTCCCTGACATTGGGAAGATTGAGCTTTCCCGAAAATAGTGAAAGGCTGTGTTTTCTCTCTCCTCACTCATTCTTTCCCTCTGACCTCTTTTGTGAGGTTTTCCTTTTGTTCTGAAACCGTGAATGAGCGTGCCTGATGTGGAAGGCAAGTCACTGCGTCCACCTCATCCGCATCATGGCTTCCTACCAAGGACTGGTGGAGGGAGAAGAGCACAAAGGCCTGCAGTCTTTGTTTTTTGTCTCTCCTTTAAGAGGAGCCTGGGGCCGGGCATGGTGGCTCAGGCCTGTAATCCTAGCATTTTGGGAGGCCGAGGTGGGTGGATCACTTGAGCTCAGGATTTCAAGACCAGCCTGGGCAACATGGTGAAACCCCATCTCTACCAAAAATATAAAAAAATAGCCAGGCGTGGTGGCTCGTGCCAGTAGTCCCAGCTACCTGTGGGACTGAGGTGGGAGGATCACTTGAGCCCAGGAGAAGGAGGTTGCAGTGAGCTGAGATGGTGGCACTGCACTCCAGCCTCGGTGACAAAGTGAGACCCTGTCTCAAAAAAAAATAAAAGGCTGGCCATTAAGCTCAAGGGAGGGTGGTGTTTTTATGACATTTGCATATGTTCAAAGAACTGTCAGTTTCAGATACATCTTCTTTTGTGTCCCCCCACCCTCGCCGCCAATATCCCAAAAGAGAGCTTAAAGTCTTGGGGCCACAGCAAGAACACATTTTTTGTGTGTATGTTGGGACCATGTCAGTTGTTTACTTTAGAACTAAAAATATTAACTCAATTAAAAGGAGGACTCATTCAACCTGTAAAATAGTCATGAACAGGACTAGCCTTCCCCCCTTGAGAAATACCGCTACTTTTAAAAATACTCTTATTTTTACCTTTAAAAAAGGAATCCATGGCTGGGCGCGGTGGCTCACACCTGTAATGCCAGCACTTTGGGAGGCCGAGGCGGGCGAATCACAAGGTCGGGAGATCGAGACCATCCTGGCTAACACGGTGAAACCCCGTCTCTACTAAAAAATACAAAAAAAAAAATTAGCTGGGCGTCGTGGTGGGCGCCTGTAGTCCCAGCTACTCAGGAGGCTGAGGCAGGAGAATGGCGTGAGCCCGGGAGGCGGAGCTTGCAGTGAGCCGAGATCGCGCCGCTGCACTCCTGCCTGGGTGACAGAGCGAGACTCTGTCTCAAAAAAAAAAAAAGAAAGAAAAATCCATCTTCTGCATTCCTGAACAGTGAAAGAAGAGACATTTACCAAAGCTCTATGCCATTTTGGAAAACATAGCCCCTCTCAGTGGTACAGTTTGGACAGGACAGTTACAGTAAAGTTAAGGTTTTTCCCAATTTGACATCTTAGTTTTCCTAGAGTAGAGGAGGTTAGGTTTCCAAGAACTGTCTCAGGGACTTGCCATGACTGCTGCTCGAGGAGTTGATAACCTGCTTTAGGGAGTTACTTTGACCCTGGTTGAAGTATTATCCCCAGTAATAGTGCTCAAGGCAGATCCTTCTCCACAAGTCAAAACTTGTTTTCCTGAACTGATCCAGAAGAAGCCAGCATCTATTGGGCTAATTCTGCCCTGCCCTGCTTTCATATGGGATCCAGGTGCCTTCTCTTTCAAGTGAACCCCACGGAGACACCAGAGTCAGAAATCAAGACAGGAGTTTCCACCCCTTGCCAGACGCCAGTGTAATACTTCGCGTGTGTTTTCCCAATCTGTCTTCCTCCACCCCGTAGGGAGCCAAAACGTTAGACCAAAAGTGAAGTGTTAACATACCTTGTATTCTGTAAGATGTTGTAGTTATACCGTGTTAAGCAGCCCTTCCATCTCACAGTCGTTGGCTTCTCCCATCCTTTTTAACTGTTCCCTGGCTTCGAGAAAGATCAAATTAGCGCAGTATTATCCTTTATCAATAATCAGCTTTTTAAAATGACATTCTTTTTTAAATTCTAGAACACAGCATACCCAGCCCCAAACATACCAAATTTAACAGGCTTTCTCTTTGCCTACAACAATATACAAATATATATTCACCTCTCTATGGGTTTGGGTTTTATTTTAATGGCATTATGTTGTAGAGTTAGCAGCTTCCTTTTTTCACGTAGCTGTCTACCATGCACGTGGCTGTAGGTCGATCACACAGGGCCAAGACATGTTTCTCCAATATCTCTCGTTCTCGTAAATCGTAGTTCATTCAGCTGTCACTTATCACCAGACATTTCAGTTGTTTTCAGTTTTTCCCTCTGATAAACATTGCTGCAATAAACATTTTGTGACCCTACTGTTAGTAGTGGTGCATTTATTTTTGTGGGTTAGTTTCAAAGATGGGCTAAAGGTTGTGCCCATTTATTAAATACTACCTAATGACCTACCCAAAATGTTGTAGCAATTCACATATTCATCAGCAACTTAGAGTGTCCAATTTCCCCTATTCTTGCCCATACTAGTTGTCACCAGTCTTTTTAATTTTTGCCAATTTGATGGGCAAAAAAATGGTGACTACTAATGAGGCTGACATCTTGTTTTATGTGTATTGAACATTTATATTTCCTTTCCTGTGAATTGCTGGTTTACCTCTTTGCCTATTTTTCTTTTGTATTGTTTAACTTTAAATCAACATGTAGGAATCTTAATCCCTAATATTAGGAATATTAACCCTTTCTCATAAATGTTGCTTAGATATTCCCTTAGTCTGCTTCTTTATTTATTGTACCTTTTCCCATATAAAAAAATATTAGTTTTATGTAGTCAAGGTATAAGTCTTTTTCTTTATGACTTCTGGATTTGCTATATTCCTTAAGAAGTCAGGTTGGGAATTTTTCTCTTCCAGTAAAAAAAAATGAACAAGTCACATAAGTGAAAATCACAAAGCAGTATGCACAAGGTCCTAGTTTGTTTCCTAAATATACACACCATATAAATAAAATCAGCATAGAGAATAAGAAAAAACTGGGAGCACCGTTGGAGAGGAGTGTAGGGAAAGTTTCATTTCTATGTATGTCTGTAATGTTTGAATTTTATGTATGTCTATCTTGCACAGGTTTATTTTTTAAATTAAGACATAATTCCCATATCATAAAATCCACCCTACTAAGATGAACAATTCAGTGGTTGTTGATATATCCACAATGTTGTACAACCATCACCACTATGTAATTCTAAAACATTTTCACCACCCTAAAAGGAAATGCTGTACCTATTAGCAGTTACTCCTCATTGCCCACTCCCCTCAGCCCCAGGCAACCAGTAATCTACCTTCTATCTCTGTAGATGTACTTGTTTGGGGCATTTGTATAAATAGAATCTTGCAAGATGTGGCCTTCTGTGTCTAGCTCCTTTCACTTTAGCATAATGCTTTGAAGGTTTACCCTTGCCATTGATGTACTCACCAGGTATATTGTCATGTATTAGTACTTTGTTGCTTTTAATTCCTGAGTAATATTCCATAATGTTGATCCATTTTGTTGACTAATACCACATTTTGTTGTTCATTGGTTGAGGGCCATGTGGGTTGTTTCCACTTTGGGGCTATTATAAATAATGCTGCTGTGAGCATTTGAGTACAAGTTGTTTTTAAGACATGTTTTCAGTTATTTCCATAATATTCCTAGGAGTGGAACTGCTAAATCATATAACTTTGTATTTAACCTTTTGAGGAGCTACTAGACTGTTTCCAAAGTGGCTATACCATTTCAAATTCCCACCAGCAGTGTATCAAGGATCCAGTTTCTCTGCATCCTCGCCAACACTTGTTATTGCCCATCTTTTTTGTTAGTGCCCTCTAGTGGGTGTGAGTAGTTATGGTTTATCTCATTATGGTTTATAGGTTTGTTTTTAGATGTTGGAAATTATAGAAAATTACAGTCATTTTCCAAAGTAGTAAGCCTCTTAGTAAGACAGCTTTGTAACTGGACCATTTCTACTTAATTGTAGATTTTAGTAAAGAAGCACCACAGAGAGTTTCTTTGCACAGTCAAAAGTATGGATTTTTGGACTTGCTTTATTAACATGTTTTACACTGAGAGAGATAAAAGTGTATGAGAGTAAGAGAGTGTGTTGGGGGCAGGCAGGGGGCGGGAGAGAGAGAGAGAGAAGGGAAGAGAGAGATAAAGTCCAGAGAAAACATGGAAATGGTACAGAATAGAAGAGCCATCTGACTCTAACTCTTCCCACCCCAATGCTGACTTTGAGACACATGTTGTATGTAAAATTTTCACAATCATTTTTGTGGTTTGGTGAATCAGGCAAGTTTTTAGAAGTGTCTGTAATTGGTCTGCTTAATAAAAAGAAACCTTGCTGGGCAGCATAGAAATCAGCCATATTTCTAATTAAAACAGTGTTTTTATGTTGTCTAGAACATTGTAAGTGTCTGGAATTCCAAAGCACATGTCTGTAAGACGAAACCATGTGACAGAGATAGATAGGGCTAATAAACAGAAATAATAATACCTTGTATCTATCAGGCAGTTGAAACTTTCCCAGGCACTTTCTCCACCTGTCATCCAGTTGTATTCTTCATAGCAACCCTGTAAGCTAAGTAGGGCAGGCGTTATCGCCCTGTGACTCCTAGATCCTCCAAGAACTTTGGGACAGACAGAATGAAGACTTGCCTGAGATCACACAACTAATTAATTGACGTATCACAACTGAATCCCAGGTGTCCCATATTTGTGCTAGAAACTGGACCATGAGAAGAGGGCGTGGAAGGACAATTGCGCGAGAAACATTTCTTCACCTGGGAGGGGAGATTTTGTCATTGCCATCTGCCCAGCACTGAGCTGGCTGTCCTGGTTCCAGCAGCACTGGAATCATCTCCAATGGGCATATTGCTTCCTCCCTCGACAGCTCCCTGGGATCTGAGGGTCTCCTCAGAGTACAGGCGTTAAAGACTTCGGAGAGCTGACCACACCATCAGTGTCTCAGGGTATCATGCTAATGTGACCCTACTCCCATGGGTTTCAATCAACATCTGGTAATAAAACCAAGAAATGAAGTAGGAAAAAATATTAACAAACTAGTCTTCCACTGAGATTTCTACAGGAAATATTTGTTTCTGGCTTTTTCTGCAAAATTTGCAGCTACTTTCCTGCTTTTCCAGTAAACTTCACCCAGCAAAGCAGAGACACTAGGCAAGCGAAATGTTTGTTGGGTGAGATAGATACAGCACCACTTGATTGCAACTCCTAAAAAAGATGCAGAGAAAACAAAGATCACGGGGAAATCTACCAGAGCAAGAGAGTCATCATTTGGGGATGAGAATTTTTTTTCCCTTCTTTTGTCTTATATTTTATGAAAGCTATATTTATATAATATGTAATTTTTATATAATACTTACAGAATAATCTATAATTATATAATACTTATATAATTTTTCAATGTTTCCTTTTAACTGGGAGGAAGGGGATGATGGTTTAGGCTGAAGAATGGTCGTGGCTGTTGGCAGGGAAGAGAAATAAAGCAGCCGATTTCTGTTTGGTGAGAAGGAAGCACCGGCATTCCAGGGCCCAGCCTACAGCCTCCCCTCTGCCTCGTTGGTGCAGACAGCATGCAAGGAGACATATGTAGGTTCCATGCACTGTCCAGATGTCACACCTGGACCTAAGAATCCCTGGACACACTGCAGGGACTATCCATTTTACTGACTGCTCAGGAGCTGGAGCCTAGCCAGGCGTGGTGGCTCACTCCTATAATCCCAACAGTTTGGGAGGCCAAGGAAGGAAGATAGCTTGAGGCCAGGAGTTTGAGACCAGCCTAGGCAACAGAGCGAGACCCTGTCTTTAAAAGAAAAAAAATGTGTAAAGCTGGAATCTCCAGAAGAACTAACCCTCCTATAGCCGTGCTTAGCAGGACAGGGCAGGTACCGTGCTAAAAACCCACCTCGGTCCTGCTGCTCCTGTCGTGTTCCAGAGGGGGAAGAGTCAACACTTTGCTGGGCTGAATAAAATCAACAGCAGCTTATTGTGCCAACTGTGGCACAGGCCTCTGGTGCCCTGTTTGGCCCTTGGCCTGCTGACTCAGTGGCTGCCCTGATTCTCCGATTCTCCACTGAGAACCAAAGTGGTAGACCCCTGGCTAAAGAGTGGCGCCCATGAATCCCTCGTGCCCTTCCCCTTATATGCAGCCTGTGTGTCCGGAGCTGTGTGTGGGTGGCTGAGTATAACTAGTGGGGATGGCGACAGTCCACAGGACTCTTCACCTCATCACATTGGCTGTTGGGACTCTTTAGGAAACCAAGCCACTGCTGGGAAGTGAGATCCTGGAGGAGCAAGTGTGTGGAGGGACAGTTAATAAGATGTTAAGCCCAACTGGGCCTGTTTGGCTCAGAATAATTATCTAGAAGGAAAAGAGGTGGGCCTCAACCTTCTTGATGTGTTTCCGCTTTCCAAGGTCTGTTGGCCTTCTCTGACTCCTCAGCCCCATTTGAGGAATGTTTTGAGTGCCGAGAGCCTGGGAGAGGCATGTCCTCCACGGGACCAAACAGTCAGTGGCTACTCCTTATTTCCAGACAAGATGTTCTTGGCTTGGAACTTATTACTCAAGAAACAACTTGGATGTGGTCAAGTTCCCACCCACCCCGACCCGGTGCCTGTCTGAGAACACCTCAGAGACCCCCGCATGTCAGTGAACATAAGTCCTCCCTTGCTAGAGGGGGAACCAAGACTTGTAAAGAGAAACAAGAGTGAGTTGGGGTTTTTTTCACCTGGGAGAAAGTCTATAGTTGACCCATTACCTTTTCCTCTGACCCTCTTTAAAAAGCAGATTGTGTTGCAGCAGCTCTGCTGAAGTGTTGTATGGCTTTTTGTCTCAAGGACTTTGAAACTAGCATTGGTGATTTTTTTCTTTTTCTTGGCAACTCTCCCTCCTATTCCCCTAGTGTTTTATATTCACTGTCTGGATGATTTAAATACAGTAGCTCTTGGTATAGACATCCTTTTGACTTTCCCTGTGGCCTGAACTATAGGGATATCTTCTTTCTGAGAGTAAGTAAACACATTTAGAGCAGAAGCAGAATGGCTTTGTTGTCATCAGAGGGAAAACTCCACAAGCCCCCAAAGCGCCACCACCTCTGCTGTGTTGGAACATCCACATCTCCAACAGACAGACCTCTGTGTTCCGGAGACACCGTGCAGGATCTGAGTGTGTTTGTTATCCAACGGGTATAAGAGGGAAATCAAACATTCTTTCATATCATTAGAAGCCCTGTGCAAACACAGCCCCGTGCACAAAGGCCTTTCCCGAGCCCATAACAAGGAACTGTTTGTCCTGGCTGCCTGTCTTTAGCAGTCGGAGCAGGGCCAAGCCGACAGTGGTGTCATGGGCCCTACTGCGATTTTGCTTTCTTGGACCAAAATTTTACAGGTGTCATGGGACAGAGCTCACCAGGTAGAAGTTGAATCAGATCACCTGCTGGGAACCTTCAGTAAATGCCACACTGCACAAGCTCGGAGCTGTGATGGAACCTGACAAAGAGCTTGCACCCAACCACAGAAAAGTCAAATGATCATTTTGTACATTTGCCTTTGTGCACGGGAATTGACTAGCCACACATGCCGGCAGCCGGGACTCGTGTCTGCCTGCAAATGATGTAACCAAAGAGAAACCTGGGCTCAGGATCAAATGTCTTCATCCTCACTCCCTTGAAGAACACAGACTTAACCCTGCAGCATCTGAACACTATCGAGGGGTTGGTTTCTTCACCCAAGAGCATTTTGATCAGTTCAGCCCAGACCCATATGTTTTTCTGGCTGCTGGGATTCATTGAGTCCATTTATTCTGTCTCCTAGAGTGGCACTGTCCAGTCCATTTGCCTCATGCTGCACGTGGCTGTTGAGCCCCTGAAAGTGGCTAGTCTGAATTATGATGTGCTGTAAGGATAAAATGTGCTTTGGATTTGGAAAGTTTAGCACAAAAAAAAAAAAAACTGTAAACTATCTCATTAATAATTATATTAGCTATATGTTGGAAGTATTTTTATCTATTGGGTTAAATAACATACAGTATTCAAACTCATTTCACCTGTTTCTTTTTACTTCTTTTAATGTAGCTGCTGGAAAATTTAAAATCACAAATGTAGCTCGTATTGTTTGTATTAGACAGGGCTGGGCTAGTGCTTGAAGGAAGTTTAGGTTTGTAGTGCCATCTGCTGGCTCATCCGGAGCAGACGTGAATGTAAACAAGAATGAAGCAATCTGAGCTAACCCACACGTTGTCTCTTAGCCTGGCAGCACACAACCTTTTTATTCCAGGAGCTTCTGAAGCAGGACCAGACTGAACCCAGAAGCTGCTGAATCCCCAAGAGCCTCGGGAAGGGGAGTGACAAACTGCTCAAAGGTGCAAGCCTGTGTCACCTCATGGGTGCCAAGGAGGCTCTTGAGATAGAGTAGTGGTTTGCTGCTCACCTTCCGCACTTGGGGCTCTTTCATGCAGTCTTTTTCACTGGTTGCTATTCTTAAGAAATATTTCAGGCCAGGCACCATGGTTCACCCCTGTAAGCCCAGCATTTTGGGAGGCCAAGGCGGGCGGATCACTTGAGACCAGGAGTTCAAGACCAGCCTGGCCAACATGGCAAAACCGCATCTCTACTGAAAATACAAAAATTAGCTGGGCATGGTGGTGCACACCTGCAATCCCAGCTACTCAGGAGGTGAGGCAGGAGAATCGCTTGAACCAGGGAGGTGGAGTTTGCCGTGAGTCAAAATCGTGCCACTCTACTCCAGCCTGGGTGACAGACCGAGACTCCATCTCAAAAGAAAAAAGAAAAGAAATATTTCAGGCCAGGAATAGTGGCTCCCACCTGTAATACCAACACTTTGGGAGGCTGAGTAGGGAGAATCACTTGAGCCCAGGAGTTTGAAACCAGCCTGGGCAACATTGTGAGACTTCATCTCTTTTTTTCCCCTTCTCTGTGGCGCAAGACCTCATCTCTACAAAAAAAAAAAAAAAAAAAAAATTTAATTAACTGGGCAGGGTTGTCCCAGCTACTTGGGAGGCCAAGGCAAGAGGATTGCTTGAGCCCAGGAGGTTAAGGCTACAGTGAGCTGTGATCATAACACTCCACTCCAGCCTGAGTAACAGAGCAAGACCCTGTCTCAAAAAAAAAAAAAAAAAAAAAAAAAAGAAATATAAGCAATCATTTAACAACATAGTAAGGATACAAACCCATCCTTCAGGAGACTGCTGTCCTCGCTTTAGATAATGCTTATTTGCCTTGATTTGTCAAGAATTGGAATTTGTCAAGATTTGGAATTTTGCTGGCAAGTACCTGCATCCAATGTCTATTGTTGCATAATAAATCACCCCAAAACTTAATGACCTAAAACAATAGTAATCACTTAACACCTCTTACAGTTTCTATGAGAAATGTGAATGTGAGTCAGGAATTCAGGAGTTGCCCATCTGAGCAGTTTGGGCTGAAGATCTCTCATAAGGTGAAGTCAGATGTTGGCTGGGGCTACACTCAACTGAAGGTTTGACTGGGGCTAGAGAATCTTTCCAGGGTGGCTTGTTCACATGACTGGCAAGGTGATGCTGGTTGTTGACTAGAGGCATCAGCCCCTCTCCACATGGGCCTCTCCACAGAGCTGCTTGAATGTCCTCGAGGCATGGCAGCTAATTTTCGACCTAGCCTCAGAAACTATACACCATTACTACTGCTGCATTCTGTTGGTCAAAAGGCAGGAAAAATGCATCTCACCTTTTGATAAAGGAATGTCAACATTTCATTGTAAAATTGGAAAATAAATTCCCAAAGTGCCCAACACTTGTATAGCACTGTACGGCTTTTTTAAAATGCCCTATTTTTCAGATGAGGAAATTGAATCTCAGAGAGGTGGAGTAGCTAGCCTGAGGTCTCATGTCTGGTGAGAAGGATGAAAGCCCGGTTCTTTTGACTCCTACTATATGCTAGTGAAGCCTATCCAAGTTATCTCCTCCTATCTCCCATATGCTATTGTAACTAAGAATCACACTGGGTTTTTTGTGTCTCCAGCATTTTCAGGATACATGGGGCTCTCTTCATTCAGGGGCTTTAGATATGTCCTTATGTGGTATCTCCCTATAACTTGTCATTTTATTGAGTTAGGCTGTAGGTCTTATGGAAGTACATTTCAACTAACTAGAATCTTTCTTACAAAAGTGCTACATCAATGAAAAATGACACATTTTCCAATATTGTTCATGTCATTTGCTTCAAAAATCTCAGAGACAATAACATTGCAATATATGTGTTCTTATTCTGTTTGATTATCCAGGTATTATTACATCTTATCTGTCTTTAAACAGGAAATAAGTAATCACTGCTTGCTTTCAGTAGTTTCCATATTACTTGGTCATCATAAAAAGGAGGTTTTATCATTTTTGATGTTCCGCCTGCCAGAATTAAAATCCAGCTGCCATAATCATTTTCTGTTATTCTTGGTTTCAGGTAAAACTTCCTTTTCCTGTAGATCAAATCACAGATCTTCCAAGGAACGATTTCCAGATGATGATTAAAATGCACAAGCTAACCTCAGAACAGTTAGAGTTTATTCATGATGTCCGACGGCGCAGCAAGAACCGCATCGCGGCCCAGCGCTGCCGCAAAAGGAAACTGGACTGTATTCAGAATTTAGAATGTGAAATCCGCAAATTGGTGAGTTGACCCATCCATTGTGATCAGCAACCTGAAGTGACCAGGACTAATGTAAAGTAACAGCAATGAAAGTTGGAAAAGTAGACAGAAGGGTCACCCTTTGCGGAAGTTTGGGTTTATTTTTTAAGAAGTTTCTCAACAGAAATAATAGCTTTACATCTGTGCGTGTGTGTGTGTGTGTTTGTGTGTCTGCACGCGCATGCATGCGCGCAGGTGTGTAATAGTGTGTCAATATTTTATATCCTTCAGTCATTATTCATATAGAGGTAGTTATTTTTTATTTTCCATCCAACATGTGAAAATAACTGATGTTGGCCAGATGTGGTGGCTCACGCCTGTAATCCTAGCACTTTGAAAGGCCAAGGCGGGTGGATCACTTGAGGTCAGGAGTTTGAAACCAGCCTGACCAACATGGAGAAACCCTGTCTCTACTAAAGATACAAAAAATTAGCCGGGCATGGCAGCACGTGCCTGTAGTCCCAGCTATTCGGGAGGCTGAGGCAGGATAATCACTTGAGCAGGGGAAGTGAAGGTTGCAGTGAGTGGAGATCACGCCACTGCATTCCAGCCTGGGTGATAGAGTGAAACCCTGTCTCAAAAAAAAATGAATAAATAACTGATGTTGATTATGAGCATCTATGGTCCAGGTATTCTTCTAAACTGTTTTTATGGATGATCCCATTTAATCCTCACATGAACGCTATGACTCAGGCACTCCTTTATCCCCATTTACAGAGGAGGGAACTGCAGAAGGGCTGGAAAACTTCCCAGTACTTGGTAGAACTTGAATGCAAACCCAGGTGTCTGATTCCAAATCGTGTCTTGTACCACTGCTTTCTCCTGCCTCCTGGCAGAAGAGAATGGAATAGAGATAGGACGCCTACCTGCAGAGGGGCCATTGCTCAGGAGATGATCTCCTGACATTCTTTGCAGGCCCAGGGTCCTTTCTTTTGCAGTTCTGCCTCAAGGTGGCTGTCATCGCCATCCCTGTGCCTGAGAGTGTTTTGTCACAGAAAACAAACTCCCGTCTCCCAGGCTCCCCCATACTCAGAGCTATGTGCCCCCGCCCCTTCTCCTTGATAAGCAACCATAAACTACAGAAAGTAAATCCAGGTGACCTCTGGCTCCTGACTGTAGCTTTGAAGACAACCAACTCAACCTCCTTCAGCTCCACCTTTCTGCCACCAAATAACAGAAACTCATCTCAGGTGCCATGTCTGTGTCAGGCTGAAGAAGAGGGAGGCCACATGGTATGGTCATGATCTAAGTGTGGCTCCTCAGACTGTTTGCAGCACCTCCTGGCCTCATGGTGAGCCACCAGCTAATGAGAACGAAAGCACAAGGATGAAATGTTAGAAAAGCACAGGATGTTATATGTTATCAAGATAGCCCTGGACGTCAGGGTTTTTTGTTATTGTTGTTGTTGTTGTTTTGTGGGTTTCTTTGACACTCACCACCAGGGAAAATGTCTGTGTTTAGCAGCTCCCATCACCAACAAAGAAAGTCCAAGCTTCTTAGTAGGATATCTCCTGCCATTTGTGTTCCAGTCTGTAGCTACCTCTCCAGTGTCACCATCCACTCCCTTCCTAGGACTTGATCCCTGATAAAATCAAACTCTGCACTTGTGCCTATGCCACTTCCTCTCTGCCTTGGACATTCCTCCACTTTTTCTATCTCCTTTGTTCTTTAAGAGTCAGGTCATGGCTGGGCACCATGGCTCACACCTGTAATCGCAGTACTTTGGGAGGCTGAGGCAGGAGGATCACTTGAGGCCACAAGTTTGAGACTAGCCTGGGCAATATAGCAAGACCCCATCTCTAAATGAATGAATGAGTCAGGTTATGCATCACCTCTCTAGGAAGCCCCTTTCCTGAGTCCCCAGTTAGGCTGGGCACCTGCCTGTGGAAGCCTGATCTGACCTCTGGCTTAGTGCTTATCACTTACTCTTGAGTTATCTATACATTTGTCTGTCTCCCCAGCCCTCAACTGTCAGTTCCTCAAGGACAAGGACAGTGACTTGATCATCTCTGAATATCCAGTGTTGGACCCATTGCTGGCGCCCAGAAAATGTCTATTGCCCTAAAATTCGCTGGACATTGTGACTATTCAGTTCAGGGGATTATGAGTTTCTTCTTTCTTTCAAATATTGCTTTAACATGTTTAATGTCGTTAAACAACAAAATTTAATTTAAATCACATAAGGAGACGACATTCCTGCTGGTGAGTGTGGGTCTTCTGAAAGCCTGCTGGGCTTAGGTAGTTAAGTCCACTGGGTGTGAGTCTACAGGGGCCTAGGCACATGTCTATAGTGCCCTGCACTCCTCTTAAGGTAGTAAAATAACTTCAGTCACCCACATTTGAGAAATGCCTGGTTTTGGTAATTTGCATTCTGCTTAGTGTAATTTTGTGATACTGAACAAATAAATTCCAAGCCACAGACCAGGCAGATATCTAAAGCGCTTTGCTAGCATTTTTCAACCAAAAAACCAAATTAGAGCATCATCTAGTTCTCCAACCACTTTTTGGCATCCCCTTAAATAACACGTTGTGTTTCAGTGCCGAATAAGAACACATTCATCAGTGTACGTCTGTGACTGAGAGCTTCATGGTTTTAACCAAGGCATGATTTGCAATGCCTTCCCCTGCTGCTGTCACACGCGGCACCTCATTTTCTTCCCCCTAGAAAGTGGCCTGGAACATTTAACAGATGAGTAGGCCTGGAGGGGTCCGTGCTTTGGCCGGGGTAATGTGGCAGAATGATCCTGGGGTTCCTCTCCCAGCGCCCAAGCAGTATTGCCCCTCACATTGCAGATTTCTGTACTAAAAGGGGAGAGCTCCAGGTTGCACAGCCACCCATATAAGTTTTTTCCCTAAGGAGACATCCCAGATGTGTTTTGTTTCTTATCTGCCACCCTGTGGTGAGGATGCTATGTCCTGACAGGGATGGCGCTGGTGGGCGGAGCAGCTTCCACCTCTCCCCAAGTCCCTCCCTGCCCTGCCCGGTCCCCAGCAGGCCCTGCACTCACTCCCCACTCCCACGCCGTCTCCCACACACCCGCCACTCAGCTGTTGCAAACTCGCATAATGTATTTCTCTCAAGTTGCACTTGTACATCTGTTTATTTTTCATTTTTAAAACATATTTTCTTGATAAATTTATAAATATTTTAGGAGGTGCCCTTTCCCGGTGTAAATCTCTCTTTCCGACACACATGCCCACGCCGCCTGCCAGATTGCATTCATGTTACGGCACATGCAGCTCCCGTGTCGGAGACCTGTTCCTTGTGCGTGTCGCATGCCTGCTCCTCCCTTTCTCCTCTTCATTTTCTCTCCCGTCCTCTTCTCCTGCCTGCGCTTGCAAAGGGTTGGTGAGAACTGACTTCATGCTGCTTCAGATGCCCCTTTTCTTCATCCACTTCATTGTGTGTGCCTCATGGAACCCCATCTCCTCCCCTCACCCTCACGCAATTTTTTTTTCTTTTTTTTGAGACAAAGTCTCGCTCTGTCGCCCAGACTGGAGTGCAGTGGTGCAATCTCGGCTCACTGCAACCTCCACCTCCCGGATTCAAGCAATTCTCATGTCCCAGCCGCCTAAGTAGCTGGGATTATAAGCACGCACCAACACACCCAGCTAATTTTTTGTATTTTTAGTAAAGACAGGGTTTCACCATGTTGGCCAGGCTGGTCTCGAACTCCTGACCTCAAGTGATCTGCCCATCTCAGCCGCAAAGTGCTGGGATTACAGGCATGACCCACCATGCCCAGCCCCCTTCTCACAAATGTTGATGGTAAAACCTTAATTAGTCTCCAGTCTGCTGCTGAAGTCACCTCTCTATTGGGATGGTGAATTTCAGTAACACAGGAGCATGTGTAGGATTTTGTTTAAGGAGAAGAACATCTCAGAACCTTGGGCTAGTACTCAAGGGTTCAGGCTCCATCCTTACTTCTCCCTTCCCAAGTCGGGGAGAATCGCTGCTCCAGACTGCACTTTTCCCAGCTGTCCTAGGGAGGGTCCCTCCTGTTCAGTCTGCTCTGCTACCAAGGCCAGAGAGCCTGCTGATACTGGGTTCTATATGAAACTCCGTATGTTAGGCAACGACAGGAAATTGTTGATGACTTTTTTTTTGTCTTTTTTTTTAATAAACTTTTTTTTGGTGCGGGGAGACAGGGTCTCACTGTATCACCCAGGGTGAGTGCTGTGGCACCATCTCGCTCACTGCAGCTTCCACCACCCGGGCACAAGTGATCCTCCCACCTCAGCCTCCCAAGAAGCTGAAACTACAGGCGTGTGCCACCACACCTGGCTAATTTTTGTATTTTTTGTAGAGAAGGGGTTTTGCCATGTTCCCCAAGCTGGTCTCAAACTCCTGAGCTCAAGCGATCCGCACAACTTGGCCTTCCATAGTGTTGGGATTATAGGTGGGAGCCACTGCACCCAGCCTGACTTACTTTTTTAGGAGCAGTTTTAGGTTCACAGCAAAACTGAACACACTATACAGAGAGTTTCCATATGGTCCTGTTCCCACACACACAGCCTCCCCCACTGTCAGCATCCCCCACAAAGTGGTACATGTGTTAGTCAATGAACCTACACTGACACATCATTATCACCCAAGTCCATAGTTTGCATTAGAGTTCACTCTCGGTGTTGCACGTTCTATGGTTTTGGACAAATGTATAATGACATGGATCCACCAGTATAGTGTCATACAGAGTGGCTTCACTGCCCCCAAATCCTCTGTGCTCCACCTGTTCAACCCCTTTTACCCCTAACAACCACAGATCTTTTTACTGCTTCCATAGTTTTGCTTTTTTCGAAATGTCATACGGTTGGAATGGTAGATTTTTGCCTTTCAAAAATGGCAACCTGATACATTTGGGGGAGATTTTCAGTCACAAGATTGGGACTGAGAGTTTTTCATTTAACTCTCTACAAACCCCAAATTCCAGGAAACCAAAACATGGACTCTGAAGTTTTCTGATTCGTGACGATTTTGCCGGTTGTTTGCCCGGGCCTTGGAGAGGGATGAAGAGATGTCCTGGGGAAGGTGTTGGCATCAGATGGAAGGTGTGGCAGAAGCCTGTGTCTGGGCCCCCTGAATATGTATCTTTAAGTTTCTAGAGCCTGACCTAGTCATTCTTGAGTTACATTATAATGGAGGATGCAAAACAAAGGCTGGAAAACCTGAAACGAGGCCTTCTGTCCTCCAGTTCAGGCTTGATCAACCCTTCTCTTTTTTTCTCTACTGTCCAGGTGTGTGAGAAAGAGAAACTGTTGTCAGAGAGGAATCAACTGAAAGCATGCATGGGGGAACTGTTGGACAACTTCTCCTGCCTTTCCCAGGAAGTTTGCCGAGACATCCAGAGCCCCGAGCAGATCCAGGCCCTGCATCGGTATTGCCCTGTCCTCAGACCCATGGACTTGCCCACGGCCTCCAGTATTAACCCTGCGCCCTTGGGTGCTGAGCAGAACATTGCGGCCTCCCAATGCGCAGTGGGGGAAAACGTGCCCTGCTGCTTGGAGCCAGGCGCGGCTCCCCCCGGACCCCCCTGGGCACCCAGCAACACCTCCGAGAATTGTACCTCTGGGAGGAGACTAGAAGGCACTGACCCGGGAACCTTCTCAGAGAGAGGACCTCCTCTTGAACCCAGGAGCCAAACAGTGACCGTGGACTTCTGCCAGGAAATGACTGATAAGTGTACAACTGACGAACAGCCCAGGAAAGATTATACCTAGTGACTCGGCTCTGCCTCCCAGTCCGCACACCTCTCCCATCCAGGCGTTCTTCAGTCAGCCTGTGGCACTGTTCATCTGCTGTCCCGAAGAAACCGAGAACACATTTGGTGCACACTACAGCGGTCTTAGCAGCAATACTGTTCCGAAGTATCCTCTCCTCTTCTCGAGCAGGAGTGATAGTTACCTTCACAATGGTGCTACCCCTTGCCCAGGCAAGGAAAGACAGCAGTGATGACACTGTCTGTCTGTGGCTCAATTTCAGTCTTCACAGGGATAGACTACAACACCTCTAGGCCCCAACCACGGATTTTTTTTCTCAGTGGCCCATGTCACAAACCCTATCTCAGGAATTTCTTCTGAATGTTCAATTTTTTTCATTGAAGACAGCTTCTATACACATCAAAGTTTTATAGCTAGACTGTACATATTATATATAATATATATATAAAATATATATATATATATATATATATCCATATGCAAAAGTCCTGCATGCCTCAACTTTCTCATCCTAAAACTGGAAACTTATTTCTCATTTAGAAACAGGTTCCAACATTCCTCTTCTTTTGTCTCTGATGCTAGAACTAGTTTGGTAACTGTTAACATGGTCATTTTTCTTGCTTCACAGTTCAATTTTCAATTCGTACTTATTTATGGACAAAATTCAGTGTTGGAAGCTTTTTCCCAAGGTTTTATTTCAGATTTCTTTTTCGTTTGGTTTGGTTTTGGCACCTCCAAGTGGTGTCATTTGAGCATTGTAGGTTTGTTTTTTGTTTGTTTGGGGGGTTTTGTTTGTTTTTGTTTTTGTTTTTGTTTTCCTTGCAGATACTGTACAGTAATGGTCAACTTTGCCACTTGCACTGAGTTTTGGGTCAAACCTATTTTCTTAAATGAAGTTGTAACTTCGGTATAACTCAAGTATACTGTATATTCTTTGCTTTTAGTTAAAAAAGTAAAACATTTTAGCTAATTAAAAAGCACTCAGGTGATAATTATGTAGGAAAAACAATCTTGCCAAATAATGAATTCATCCTAGGATGTGTAGACAATAATCTGCTTGAATATTTTTATATTTCACCTCCTCCCCACCTTTCCCTAAGCAAAGTTTAAACGCAGATAGAGAGTTCAGAGTTGATGCTGGATGTTCAGATTCCTAAGTGGGGAGAGAGTTTGGACATCTCACTCAAAAGTACATCAGAAAAACAGGAATCCGTGATTTTATACCAGAACTCAGCAGGCATTGGCTCCTAGAAATCAAGTTAGAAAGTTTTCACCCAGGGAGTAAGTCCCATTCATTTCAACACGTCCTGAGGCCTCGGCTTGCTCTTGGAAGTGTTGTGCAGTAGGACCTGCTCCCCTGAAGGACGGGGCCAACCAGCCACTGGCTTTCCTGCCCAGGCTTGGCCTCCCAGGACATCTGGCCTGAGGGGATTTGAATCACAGCCCCGAAGGTCCTGCCTTCACCCCATTGGGAGAGAGCAGGGCATCCTGGCATCTGCGATCCATCCCTGACACAGGCTGACACATTCTTTCTCCTTTCCTTCTCCAAAGGCTTGGAGTTTTCTTCTGAGGTTTTTCTGCCAGTGTCTTGTCTGAAGGCAGACTTCATTCTGAGGCTTTGGACAAGCTATCACCGGGAACCCTCCCTGTCCCCTTCCCGAATCACACACATACCCTACCCTCACCTGATGATAATTTTCTCTTCTTGCTGCAAAACTGGTTGGCTTGCAACCCAGAGAGAGCAGCTTCCCTTGGCTCTGGGGCCGTGTTGGCCCCAGCCACGTTTACAGGAAGGTGTGCCCCAGAGGAGGAGGAATCAGCTCCCTCGCTCCAGTGGCCTTGGGTCCGGGTCTCACTGAGCAGCCCGAGGGCCACTCCAGCCCGGCTGGGGAAGAGAGTCCTGAACGGTTTGATGTGGGGATGGGGTGGTGGGCAGTGGGGAATAGATGGTTGACTTTGTTTCTTTATTTGTGCCATTGTTTGGACAATATTAAAGCTGCATGTAAAAGGGGAAATTAGTATATGATGTAGGCTAAAAGTGAAATCATAGTAACATATGTTTTAGTATTATTAACTTTTTTCTGTACAAATATTAGCACTAAATGTTTAAATATGTATGAATGCCAGAAATTTGTCAGTTCATGCAGTAGGATAAAAAAAAAAAAAAAAAAAAAAAAAAGGCTTTTCTTTTTAAACAGTTCCACTTTTAAAACCTGCCTCTGGGTTTTTGTTTTTTCTTGTTTGTGTGTGTGTGTGTGTGTGTGTGTGTGTGTGTGTGTGTGTGTGTGTGTGTCTGAAACAGATCTTGATAAAGCTCTGTGTTGGAGCTGCTGGTTTTTGTTATGGTTGTTGGAATTTCTTGGCCTACTAGGACAGTTCTGTGCTTCACCATGAGGTTTGCCTTTGTGGAAAACTGGTGACAGTGAGAATATAAACTCAATGTGAATCACGTGATACTTCGCAGGCGTGTGTTACAGTGGAGTCAGCTGACAGTATTTTGCTTTTTAACTCTATTGTTGCCTTTCCAAGTGACCTCTCCTCTTCTTTTAAAAAAAGAACACTTTCTGCTCATATCATAACCAGGTCCAACCCAGCTTCTTGGCATGAGGTTTACCCTGGTAACAACTCATGTGCAACTGGTAGTCTTGACCACATTCCATCCATTTCCTCAGGTTTCTGTGGTTCAGTAGCCCAGACCTGTTTGGCAGCCATTTCTAGCAGGGGCGGGGCCTCTTTATTTCTCTCCACCCTAACTCAGACCTCACCTTCCTCCCACCCACCCCTGCCTTGCTTTTCTTCCTCTTCCCCCAACCTAACTTCTGCCATGGGAACTGGTTAAAAACACTGCTCTAAAAACCATCTTCCAATTTCATAGAGATTTCTCACAAGTTATTTCATTCATAATCCACCATGAACAGTGACTAGCTTCGTGCAGTTGTTCATGTGATGTGTGTGTGTCTTTTCCTATTCAGAACTATGTGCTTGTCAAAATTATTTCTGGGTTGATTCAAAGGGAGGACTTGCTGGGGACCAGAATCCAAACGGCCTCAAGTGGAATTTTAAAACCTAGCCTGTCTCTTTTCCCTGGGATCCCTCTGTCAACCCCACGCCTTTTAGGAAAAAGAAAAGTGAGTGAACAGCAAGGAAGAGTGTTTGCACAGTACAGTAACATTTGGTTGTTCTTAAGGCTCTTTTCTTACAAAAATAAGAGACCCTCCAACCACGGGCTGTTTAGGAGGATGCCTGCTTGGGTCTCCAAATGGCTGGGGTAGGAATGGTTGTTGGGGCAGAGCCAGTGGAGGTGAGTGACCCTGAGACTAATGAACATCCCACCTAAATCCAGTCCTCCCCTTGGATCTGCCTTTGTCCTGCTTGTGTATCCAGGCAACCTCTTTTCAAGTTGGTCAGGCTTTGGACAGGTGAGTGATTTGCTGTATGTGTTTGTTTCTCTGCGTTACCTGGGGGTGCCTTGATTAAAATCGAACTTTATTACATACTGATTCTGGAACAAAACAGTTAGAAAAACTTTAAAAAAAAAAAAACCGACAAAGTTACGAGGCCATCCTGCTATTTATCTTCTGAGTTCCCAGCAATGACTCAGGCATCAGAGATGATGCTGCAGTGGAAAACCTGACTCTGTGTGTCTGCAACTGAATGTTGTGCGAGTAATTTATTAACTGTCTTTCTAAAGGTTTGCTGCTTTTAAGATGCACTATAATTCGGGATGTAATCCTTACATTGCTTTTCCAAGGAAGGGAACAAAAGTCTAGTGATTAGTATGCCAACTGCCACTACTCCTTCAAAAGGAGCCAGGACCAGCGACAAGACTCATGAGAGGACTGGCTAAAGTGAAGTGTGCACAGTGTGAAGTTTAATGCTGTTGTCAAGAGGCCTAAACCCACATTTTCTCTTTTAATATTTTATGATTGCCATCAAAGAAGAAGAAAAAGAAGGAACAGACAAAGGTTTGAAAATGATAAGCCTGTTAAGACACCAAAAACTCCTGTCCCGTGAAGCTGCTTGACATCCTGTGGAGTAGCATAATCCTCTCAAAATGAGGAAGAGCTGCCTGCAAAGCTTTCTCAAGTCCCTATTTGGCTACCTACTTCTCTACATTATGCCCCATTTAAACTAGGAGCTGTCTTAGAAATGACTTCAAACTGCTTCACTATTGCTTACAGTTTAGGAGGAGTCTCAGATCCAGAAGGAGCAAGAATCAAGTTTGGTCCTCAAATGACTGTAAATAGACTAAAGAACAAGGTGTTTTTTGTTTTTGTTTTTGTTTTCTAAGAATAAAGCTGTTCGTTGTATCATGAGTTAGTGTTTCTTCCCCAAACTGAAGACTGTGTTGGAAGTGCAATTTCTGGTGAGTCAGTCCACAATACAATGCCCTGTGTGGAGTTGGTATTCATACAGGAAATCTGTGTGCACGAGGCATTGTGTGTTGAAAGTGTATGTTTATAGTACTGCCTGAGCCATCTCATGACCCCAGCGTCCAAAACCGATGCTGTAGAACAGAACATATCTGTACACAAATAGTGTGTGCAAATAGCATTTGTACATAGAAAAGTCTCATTGTGGCAGATTGAGCATAAATTATTCAACTGACGGTGCAAAAACATTACTTGCAAAGAAAAGTTTATAGTATTTTCCTACACTCCACCCTGGGAGATGATATTTCTATCAAATGAATATCAGTGCATTTTAAATGTAATATGAAAACGATGCTGCCATTTTGTGAAGAATACCCACTTGGTTGCAGAGGCCAACTTTCATAGCTTTGATTTAATGTTGTGACACGGTGTATGCATTTTGCTGTCAAGCAATGGATAAACAGCTCTGACTTTCATTCTCATTCCAGTTTATTGACCTCAGATAAAACACTGGCCCTTCTTAGAAGCAGAAGTGTGCACCAAGACCATTCATTTCAGGTAGACTCACATTCAGTGCCAAGTGCTCCCATGGGAATAATCAGACGCATATGTTGCGAAAGAGTGAAGGGACTTGGACAAAGAGGGGTTTTCCTACAGATGGATGCTCAGTCTTCTACCAAAACATGTTTGGAGGCAGAACTATGACCTCCCCTTAAGTCCTAACAATGTATTTTGTGTGTGCAAATCCTGGGATGCCCGTTTCACGCTCTGACATAAAGACATGGCACCTCTAGTGAGTGATCAGGAAGATTCCATATGCATTTGGGAGCTTCAGGTGCTTGTTAGACACAGTGAGCCATTCAAGGCAAGCACCACCTTTGCTAGTGAGGCCAAGAGAGCCTGTGACAATTTGACAATTTGTTCCAGAACCAGTCTGATGCAAGTGCACCTCTAATATATGCCTTACAAACTCCAGAGGCCATATTCAAAACAGGGTCTTCTCAGTGTATGCAAGGGGCTGCAGCCCCTCTTCTCTTCCTCCCCAGGTTGAACAATACGGACAGTTTTCACACATATCTACCTGTATAACCCTCTGTACCTCTCATAACTGGTCAACGACTGTAACAGGTTACATCAGGTGTTTTTCTACATACTTTTTACACAGATTCTATGCGATTAATGTAATTTAATTCAATGCATCATTTTATTGTACTAGTTCTTAGGCTTGTCCTTATTTTTTTCTAAGTGATTGTGGTTTTTCTCGTGGTTTTTATTGTAAAAAATGAAAGGCTGTTGATGCTTATTCTCTGTAACTAAGAATTTTTACCTTTTGGGGGAAAAAAGCATTGCTATGAACTAATGAATTGAAACTTCATTTACTCATTGTAAATACACTATTGTGCAAAAAAAGTTTTCACTCAATTGAATTGCTAGTGTTAACTGAATTTTGTCTAGACACCATTTCTGTTGATGAAATAAAGACATATCATTATGCATTGTAAACTGATTTTCTCTGCCTCTGATCCCTATGTTCCAAATTACAGAGTGAGAAACCTCAGGAAATCTTTTTTCCTAGAGGCCATTTCTCTTCCTCTAGTTTGGACCCTTACTTGCTACCTGATTAATCTGATTAGGAATCTTTAAAATTGGATAATATTAATGTGATTCCTAAACTCTGAATTTTAAAAATCCCTAGTGCCTGTGAGAGTAGATAAAAGGCTTTAAACCCAATTTCTCGGTTTTGATATTGTGCTATCGCTATGCAGAATGTTACCACGGGAGAAAACTGGGTGATGGGTATCATTTCTTGCAACTGCATGTGAATCTGCAATTATATCCAAAATAGGCTGAATTTTTTAAAAACTAAATGAAAGTAAATGAGAAAGAACATTAAGCCAACACCAAGATGCAGTGAGTTGCAAGGAAAGATGTTTAGAATTGTGGTTGAGGAATCCATACAGTCATGCATTGGTTAGTGAAGGGGGTACGTTGTGAGAAATGCATCCTTACGCAATTTCCTATTGTGAGAACATCAGGGTGTGCCACACCAACCTAGATGAGAAAGCCTATGACACACCTAGACTAGATGTTCCTAGATTGCAAACTTGTGCAGCATGTAACTGTACTGGATATGGTAGGCAATTGTAACACCAGGGTAAGTAGTTGTGTATCTTAACATAGAAAAGTTGCAGTAAAAATAGGGTTTACAATCTTATGGAACCGCTGTCATATATTCGTCCCATCATTGACCAAAACATGGTTATGCCATGCATGACTGTACAGTTTAAAAGTTGTATTCTAAAAGTGTATTTGATAGTTATGTCTTCGATTTTGATGTAAAGAGAAAACAAGATATCAAATGGTGGGCAGGTCGAGTGACCATGAGCGAACACTGGACTGGAGCTCGGAGGTGAGAGAAAGCCACTAGAGCAGAGCAGGGGGGTCTGAGCTGTCAGCGAGGCTGTAACCAGTGCATGCGCATGGTATCCGGGCAGGGCAGGGCTGTGCTGCCGAGATTCACGCTTCAAGGAGTGCATGCGACCGCCAGATGGGAAAACGGAAATTAAAAACTGCCAAGTTCTGCTCCCTCGGGCGAGTCTCCATGGGCACCTATGGAGTCAAGGAAGGCTTCCTGAGAGCAGGTCATGGGTTTTGCAAATGTGTGCTGCTGTGACAACGTCGCAGTCATAACATTTTCGGTACAAGAGGCGGATTACCTACGCCTGAAGATGTGAAGTTAATCCACTCTGAGAAAAACAGGTGGGTCAGAGTCCCAAAATTTTCTGTGGGAAAACCTGGTAATTTAGAACTGATGGTCATGTGCACCTTCAACCCTGACATCTGCTCTTGTGATACAAATAATGGTCATGCATTGAAGGAAAATAAACCTCACCAGCTGTTGCGTCCTGCAAAACAGGCGTCCCCGACCCCTGGGCCGCAGACTGGTTCCGGTCCATGACCTGTTAGGAACAGGCCGCACAGCAAGAGGTGAGCAGCTGGGGAGTGAACATTACTGCCTGAGCTCCACCTCCTGCCCCATCAGCGGTGGCACTGGATTCCCATAGGAGCGCGAACCCTACTGTGAACGGTGCATGTGCGGGATCTGGGTTGCAGCTCCTTATGAGACTCTAATGCCTGATGATCTGAGGTGGAACGGTGTCATCCCGAAAACATCCCCCCACCCCCGCTGCCTCTGGTCCGTGGAAAATTTGTCTTCCACGATACCAGTCCCTGGTGCCAAAAAGGTTGGGAATCGCGGCTACAAAAGAGCTTTTAAGCACTGTCCAGCCCCAGGTGGACAGCAGCCATTTTCTTTCCTACTTTACATGTGCTTCTTATGGGAAATTTGTATCTGCCTCTGGGGCAGTGAGGACAGGTTCCTTCTACACCAGGCCCTGCCAGCAGTTTTGTTGTATGTATTTGGAAATAACTGAGCTGTTCTTTGAAATCATTTTAGAGTCTTTCACTCTTCTCCAACCCACCACCTCACCCAACTCTGCCCCACCACTTGGGATGCATTAGCAAGATTGTACTTAATGTTTAACAGCAGCTGGTGAAGGTGCCGTGAGCAGAAATGGGTTTCCAATTCTCCTCACTGAGCACCTATGCCTTCGTGGTACAAGTGAACACAATACTTCCTGGTGTCAAAAAATCAAGGCCCAAAGAGATGGAGAAAGCCACACATCCCATTACGCAAGTGTCTTTCATTTCACTCAAGAGCATGACGCCTTCTGTCTCCACACCCGTCCCTGGTTCCTGCAGATCCTGACACACATCTGCCACTGGCCTGCTTAGCCACAAAGAGGCATTGCTGATTCTCCATGGCTAGTTCTTACTCTTTCTTCTTGAAGATAAGTGCATCCCTGAGACAGTGCCCTTCATCCCGAAGCAGTGAATGGAAACCTTCAGAGACATGCTAGCAGTCACTGGAAACATTACATTTTACACTGGGCCCTTCAGACTTTGTTTTTTCTTCTTTGTAGAGACAAGGCCTTGCTATGTTGCCCAGGCTGGAGTGCAATGGCTATTCACAGGCATCATCATAGTGCGCCGCAGCTGTGAACTCCTGGCCGCAAGAATCCTCTCACCTCGGCCTCCCAAGTAGCTGGGACTACAGGTGGGCCACCAGGCCCAGCTCAAACTTGTTTTTGTTGTTGTGTTGTTTTGAGACGTGCTCTGTTGCCAGGCTGGAGTGCAGTGGTCCAATCTTGGCTCACTGCAACTTCCGTCTCCCAAGTTCATGCGATTGTCCTGCCTCAGCCTCCCAAGTAGCTGGGACTACAGGCGCACACCACCACACCCAGCTAATTTTTGTATTTTTAGTAGAGACGTGGTTTCGCCATGTTGGCCAGGATGGTCTCGCTCTCTTGGCCTCATGATCCCCACACCTCGGCCTCCCAAAGTTCTGGGATTACAGGCGTGAGCCACCACACCCAGCCTCAAACTTGTTTTTTAAAACCTCCATTTGTGCTGTGTTTTTGACAACCCTGTAAAGACTTTTCAGAGTGAAAGAAATTGAAATTACAAAAAAAGTTGCCATAGAGGCCTCTGAAACCTATTGACAAACTTATTGACACAACATGACAGAAAGTGAATAAGAAATAAAGACTGGAAAATTGGAAGCAATGGGTAAGGTATTGCCTTTGGTGTTTATACATAAATATATATTTATTCAACCAACACTGTGTTACATGCTAAGCATCCAAGATGTCAAATACCTTACCCTTACAGCTTTCACAGGCTAGTTGGGCAGAGAGATGTACAAATAAATCATTGCCCAGGGGCTGCTGACTTTTACAGAAAGGAGAACAAGGATTTCTGAAAGGACTGTGGGCCTCAGAGCAGCTGGATATGGATTTGAATTCCAGCAGGCACTTCAGCCGTGTAATCTTTAACTGTGGAGAAAATCTCTTTGAGCCTTGTCTGATCTATAAGATGAAAATGAACAATAACAACTTGACAAGTTGTACAAGGTATAGATAATGTGAGCACGTGGAATATAGTATGCCCCTTAAAAAGGCACATTTTGGGGGCCGGTCATGGTAGCTCACACCTGTAATCTATGTAAGTGCTATGGGGGCGCTGAGGCAGGAGGATCACTTGCAGCCAGGAGTTCCAGACTAGCCTGGGCAACATAGCAAGTCCTCATTTTTACAAAAAAAAAAAATTGTTTTTAATTAGCTGGGAGTGGTGGTGCACCTCTATAGTGCCAGTTAGTGGGAAGGCTGAGGTAGGAGAATTGCTTGAACCCGGGAGGCAGAGGTTGCAGTGAGCCAAGATCACACCACTGCACTCTAGCCTGGGCAACAGAGCGAGACCTGTCTTTTAAAAAAAACAAAAACAAAAACAAAAACCCTATCATCTACCCCCCCACCGTTACTATAATTACAGGGCTGCCACAAAGAAAGGCATGGTGAGTGAATGGGGTTGGCCGAGAAGATATGTTGGAACTGCCTCCATAAAAATAATGAGTCCCCAAAAGGCAGCCACAGGATAGGTGGACACTGTCCAGCAGCAGACTGCTGGGTGGGCAACAGCAGGTAGGAGCGGCAGAGCTGCCACAGCTGGGCTACAAGTGAGAAGCGGGGAATGAGGTCAGAGGCAGGGGCCAGTGCCTGAATTTCCTGTGGCTTTTATCTCATAGGACATAGATGATGCCGAGCCTTATAACTTTCAACCAAATTGATTCTCCTTATAACCTGAAGCCTTTATTATCAAGTGTGTGGCCAGGGTTGGGGGCCACTCTGGCCATGGGGTGGAGGACGGGGAAGCTAAGAGGCTCTTTCCATGGGAATTGAGTCCACCTTTATGGCTCTAAAAACTCAGGGTTGGGCGCAGTGGCTCACGCCTGTAATCCCAGCACTTTGGGAAGCCGAGATGGGCGGATCACCCGAGGTCAGGAGTTCAAGACCAGCCTCGCTACCACAAGGCTAAAAATACAAAAACACAAAAATTAGCCGGGCTTGGTGGTGGGCACCTGTAATCCCCGCTACTTGGGAGGCTGAGGCAGGAGAATGGCTTGAACCCAGGAGGCGGAGGTTGCAGTGAGCCAAGATCGGCCAAGTAGCAACCCGCGGAGCAGCCTCATGGGTTGGCCAGTCAGTGCACATCACAGAGCACTCTCCCGGATGACTCAGGACCACTCGGAGGGCGGGCAGGGTGAGGAAGAGGTGCTGGCTTCTACCACTCCCAGGAAGCTCCTGCAGGGGCACAATCATGGCATCACCACTACTCATGAATCATCCCAGAGGGATACAAAAAAGGCATGCGAGTGTTTGCCAGTGTTTTAATCAATATTTTATTTCCATGCCATTGATGAATTAAAAATCCAACTGGTTCATCCTCAAGAAATGAACTGGTGAGAGGAAAAGCCTGAAAAGTTTCTTGTCAACCTCTCCTTTATAGACAGGAAGCACATCTGACCTCAGGCTGAGCACAAAGCTCCAGTCCTGCTCTGGACCCATGTTTAAGGGGCCAACTGCTACTGTTGCTGCCACTGCAGAGCTGGGGTACTGTCTTGCAAAATATCCCACTAGGCTGTGCTGGGACTGGGGAAGAGGTGACATATACCAATCCTCCTCCTCGAGGCAGAGCCGCTCTTGTCCCTAGATCTCCTCTGACGGTGTACAGCTCCTCCCTGCCCGAGCATCAGACCTCCCTCAAGCAGTGTGCCCAGGCAGGGTGAGAACCTGTCCCCAGCCCCCATAAGGGAAGGGTCTCCTGTGGAAGTGAGCCCAGGCTGGGAGCACCCTGAACAGGGCCCTTCGCCTGGTGGGTGTCTGTAGAGGGTGTGGGTCCCAAAGCGCTTCCTGCAGTTTGAGCTGACAAAGGCACAACTCTCCTCCTGCAGGTACCAGCTGCTCCTGATGCATTATTTTTTCATAATAGATGAAAGTTCTAGAAGCATGTTCTGAAAGAGATAGGAAACCAAAAAACAAAACAGACTCAAACAACTTGTAAGAGTCAGCCCTACCCACCCACCTGGGATTCTATATATGTCAAAAATCCTGGGGATCAAAGAGCTGCTGCAGACGGCAGCTGTCCCTGTGTTTCCCCACAGGTGAACGTCCATGTAAGAGGTGGTGCTCAATAGCATTACAGTGAAAACTCTGGATCCTTCCTGCTGCCTCCTCTGCCTGTTGTGGTTTTTGTTGTTTTGTGCAAAAATTCAGGCCTAAAACTAAAAAGTCAATTTGTTCCTAAGCTTCATCTTAGTCCCCTGAAAATTAGCCGGATTTTTTTGACTTTACATAATATGGAAAGCGAAAACTAATTCAAATACAGAATTGTCTATTTTATAACAGTCTATCTCTGATGCTAAAAATATGCTAAACTCAGGAGGCCATGTGCCGGGAGAGCAAGGGGCAGCCATGGGTGTAGGAACAGGAGCTTGGGTTGAGTCAGACGCTGAGGGTCCAATTCCAGCTCACTTGCTCATCCAATAAATATCAATTCATCCCCTGCTTTGTCCCAAGGACTGTGTTTCACACAACCTAATTGTGTGACTTAGGACAAGTCACCATTTTTTTTTTTTTTTTTGAGACGGAGTCTCGCTCAGTCGCTAGGCTGGAGTATAGTGGCGTGATCTCGGCTCGCTGCAACCTCCGCCTCCCGGGTTCAAGTGATTCTCCTGCCTCAACCTCCGGAGTAGCTGGGACTACAGGCGCGCACCACCACACCCAGCTAAGTTTTGTATTTTTAGTAGAGACGGGGTTTCACCATGTTGGCCAGGATGGTCTTGATCTGTTGACATCGTGATCCGCCCGCTTCGGCCTCCCAAAGTGCAGGGATTACATGCGTGAGCCTCCGTGCCTGGCCGCAAGTCACCTATTTCCTTATCTGTAAAATGGAAATTAGCACGTGGCTACAGAGAGGAAGTCCACAGTGTGTCCAGACTATGATCCAGCCCTCAATAAAGTGGTGTCCTTCCTCATCTTCTTCACATTCTTTGGTAATTGTTAAATTGTGTAAAACTTCTCAGCCAAAAGGTTCAATAAATTATAACAATCCACCCTCCAAATATCCACCTCATAATCCTTGTTAATAATGTTGAGTTGGGCTGGGCACAGTGGCTCATGCCTGTAATCCCAGAACTTTGGAAGGCCGAGGCAGGAGGATCGTTTGAGCCCTGGAGTTCAAAGCTGCAGTGAATGAGGCCACTGCACTCCAGCCTGGGGGACAGAGTGAGATCCTATCTCTAAAAAAATTAAAGTAAAATAAATAATAATGTTGAGTTGAAAAATACCTTCCCAAACGAGACAAAGAACCTAGAAGGCAAAGAGATTTTTCATACTAAATATAAAATTACAAGTTTAAAGATGTCATAAACAGGGAAAAAAGACAAGCAGACTGGGAAAAAAGATCTTTCAATGTCTATATAGACAAGAGGTTAATATAATACCATACAAGAGCTCCTAGAAATCAGAAGAACAATAAATATCCCAACAGAAAAATAAACAATGACAATTCATGGTAGAAATACAGATAGCCAATAAACATATGAACGACCTTAGTAGTAATCACAGAAATGTAAAATAAAACAAAGAGAAATATTTTTAGTTCATCAGATGGGGAAGGGAGTAAGATAATGTCTGCTGTTGGCAAGAGTATGAGAAAATGGGTGCTATGCTGGTGAGAGGTTAGTTGGAATAGCCCTTCCTGAGCAAAAATTGGCAGCATGTATCAAAACGAAATGTAGCCAGGTCTGGTGGCTCATGCCTGTATTCCCAGTGCTTTGGGAGACCAAAGTGAGAGGACAGCTTGGGCCCAGGAAGTCGAGACTACAGTGAACTATGATTGCACCACTGCACTCCAGCTTGGGCGACAGAGCAAGACCATGCCTCTAAAAAAAAAAAACCAAAATGAGCTGGGCACAATGGTTCATGCCTGTAATCCAAGCACTTTGGGAGGCCAAGGTGGGGGGATCACTTGAGGTCAGGAGTTTGAGACCAGCCTGGCCAACATGGAGAAACCCCACCTCTACTGAAAATACAAAAATCAGCCGGGTATGGTGGTGCATGCCTGTAATCCCATCTACTCAGGAGTCTGAGGCAGAAGAATCACTTCAACCCAGGAGGCAGAGGTTGCAGTGAGCCAAGATCGTGCCATTGCACTCCAGCCTGGGTGAGAGAGTAAGACTCTGTCTCAAAAATACACACACACACAAAACACACACACAAAAAAGTGTGCATGTCCATTAAAACCAACAACTCCATTTCTAGGTACCTATCAAAGATACATGCAGGAAACATTAAATGCAACATTGTAGTAGGAAAAAAAGAAACAGCCTAAATGGCCATCAGATATCTATGGTTCATCATACCATGGAAAAGTACGAGCTGAGATAAACACCAAGGCAACTCTATAGGGACTGACAAAGATGCTTGAGATAGATCATTAAGTGAGCAAGAGCAAACTGCAGAGACATTTCCAGAGTATGGTCACATTTATATTTTAAAAAACAAACAATAGGCTGGGGGGCTTCAAGAAGGCTGACTGCATGCATATGGTACTCGCCTCTTCCATAAAAAGGAACCAAAATAGCAAGTAGATAATCACACTTCAAACAGATCATCTAAGAGAGAGCACTGGAATTCAACAGAGGAATGGGAAACACCAAAAGCAAGGAAGGAGAGGGAAGCAAAACAGCCTGCTCATCCAGGATTGGCTGGGATCCTGGAGAGGCCCCTTGAAGTGGGGAAAGGGTAAGTGAGAGACCCCCAGCAATCTACATTTCCACCACAGACTCTTAGCTGTAGGAGAGCCCCTCAACCTTCAACCCCAAGGGCCCTGAGACTAAGGTAGGGAGCTGCCTGGAAACTGAACGGCAGCACTGCTGCAGAGAGGGAGCTCATGCTGTGTTCCACACACTACCAAGCCCTAAGCAGCAGCAGCATGGCACCATTTTAAGAGCCCAGCCCCCTCCACACTGGGGCTAGGCAGGAGCCACTGACAACAACCACCCAACTGCACCCCCAGCACAGAGGCAGCCAGGCATTTTCACATGCCCTGAGGACAAATTCCACTGCCTGCAATGGCAGCGCTGTGAACTGCTACGGTGCCCCAGCTGCTCTCACTGAAAGCAACCCTGGCCTCCCCAGTAGCAGGGCCACAGTGCAATTGCTGCTGTCCCTACCTGAGCATTCCACTGGCAGCCTGGGGATCACCCCACCCCTGTCTATCACAGCCAGCACCTGCACATATCACCAGGGGGCCTGAGGGCAGGTCTACCCAGCCCAGCTCTAACCCTCAGCCCAGTACCTGAGTATTCCATCCCAGGGTGTGGAAGTTGCCCAGCCCAGTCCACCACCACTGACACCTAAGCATTCCTCCCATAGTCTCTGGTCAGGCCCACCCAATCTCCCATTACCACTAGAGCTGGCACCCACCCACATATACCACCTATAGGCCTAGGGACTGGCCTTCCCAGACCATTGCAGCCACCACCAACACCAGTGCAGACCACTTGGATCCCTAAGAGTTATCCCACCACTGCAATTGCCATCATCCACACCAGGCCTGCTGCTAAGGGGCTCAAGAACCTGCCCACCCACCTAGCCCATTGCTGCTATTCCCGCCACCCAAGCAAGCCACCTGGAGGCCCAAGAATTGGCCTGATTGGACACACTAATACCTGTGCCGGCATAAGCAACGCTGGGGTGCAAGAACAGGCACGCCCAGCCCACTGCTGTCACCACTGGGGCCTAAAGACTGGCCCACCTACTGGCCTAGCCCACCTACTGGCCTAGCCCACAGCCAAACTTCAACATAGCCTCCACTAATAATCACACCATGAGCCACCAAGAAAATCACAGGCAACACTGACACTGTTTACAGCCGAAGAAATCATACAGAGACTACTCCAGCGCATGCACCAAGAATCAAAGTGCCCTACCCAAACAACCACAGATACATCTTCAGGAAAAAGTCTCCCCTATGAAAGCAAATTCAAAGACTAGAAAAAGCAACTTTTACAACAGATGCACAGATACCCATGTAAGGACACAAGAAACACGAAAAAGCAAACAAATATGACACCTCCAAAGGAACACAATAATTCTCCAGTAACAAATCCCAATCAAAAAGAAATTTATGAAATCTCAGAAAAAGAATTCAAAATATTGACATTAAGAAGCTCAGTGAAATATAAGAGAATACTGAAAAACAATACAAAGAAATCAGAAAAAGAATGCAAGATACAAATGAGAAGTTTACTAAAGATATAGACATCATAAAAAACAACCAAAAATTCTTGAACTGAAGAACTCATTGAATGAAACACAGAATACATTCAAAAGCTTCAACAATAGACTAGATCAAGCAGAAGAAAGAAACTTAGAACTTGCAGGCAGGTCTTTTGAAATAACCCAGTCAGACAAAAATAAAGAAAAAATACTTTTAAAAAATGAGCGAAGTCCATGTGATATATAGGACACCAATAAAGTGACAAAATGTTCATATTTTCAATGTCCCCAGAAGGTGAAGGGGTAATGAAAACATTAGAAAACCTATTTAACAAAATAATACATGAAAACTTCCCAAATCTAGCAAAAGATTTAAACATCCAGATTCAGGAAGCCCAGAGATCCCCAAATAGATACAATTCAAGAAGGTGTTCTCCATGGCACACTATAGTCAAACAGCCAAAAGTCAAAGACAAAGAGAGAATTCTAAAAACAGCAAGAGAAAAGTGTCTAGCACTTACAAAGGAACCCCCATCAGACTAATGGCAGATTTCTCAGCAGAAACCTTACAAGCAAGGAGAGAACAGGACGATACAGTCAAAGTGCTGAAAGAAAAAAACTGCCAGCAGGCCAAGTGCGGTGGCTTGCACCTGTAATCCAAGCACTTTGGGAGGCCAAGGTGGGTGAACTACTTGAGTTCACAAGTTTGAGACCAGCCTGGGCAACATGGGGAGACCCCATCTCTACAAAAACATGCAAAAATTAGCCAGGCCTGGTGGCACATGCCTGTAGTCCCAGCTACTCAAGAGGCTGAGATGGGGGGATGGCTTGGGCCCAGCAAGGCCACGGTTGCAGTGGGCCGAGATGGCACCACTGCACTCCAGCCTGGGTGAGAGAGTCAGACCTTGTCTTGAACAAAAACAAAAACAAAAACAAAACAAAACAAAATGTCAACCAGAGATACCATACCTGGCAAAGATATTCTTCATAAATGAAGGAGGAATAAAGTCTTTCCTGGACAAGCAAAAGCTGAGGGAATTCATCACCCCTAGACTTTCCCTATAGAACTGCTTAAGATAGTCCCATACCAAAAAGTGAAAGAATAATATGAAAATCATGAAAATGTAAATACCACTGGTCAAGCAAGCACACAAACAAGGAAGAGAAAAGACTCAAATGTTACCACTACAGAATACCACCAAACCACAATGATAAACAATAAGAAAGGAACAAAGGATATACAAAACAACCAGAACTTAATTAATAAAATGACAAGAATAAGCCCTCACATATCAATAATAACCTTGAGTGTAACAGATTAAACTTTCTACTTAAAAGATACAGAATGGCTGAATGTATTTTAAAAACATGACCCAACTATATGCTGCCTAAAGAAACTCATGTCACAGTTGAGATGATACACATAGACTGAAAGTAGAGGGATGGAAAAAAGATATTCCATGTAAATGGAAACCAAAAGTAAGCAGGAGTAGCTATGTTTATGGCTGATAAAATATATTTTAAGTGAAAACAGTAAAAAGAGACAAAGAAAGTCATTATATAATGATAAAGGGATCAACTGCAAGAGCATGTAACAATTCTAAATATATATGCATCCAACACAGGAGCACCCAAATACATAAATCAAATATTATTAGATTTTAAAAGAAAGGGAGATAGACTCCAATACAGTATTAGTTGGAGAATTCAACACCCCACTCTCAGTATTAGACAAATAATCTAGACAGAAAATTAATGAAGAAACATTGGATTTAAGCTTAACATTAGACCAAATGGACCTCACAGACATTTATATAACAGACATTTCATCCACCAGCTACAGAATACACATTTTTCTTATCAGCACATGGAATATTTTCCAGGATAAACCATATTTTAGAACACAAAGTAAGTCTCAACAAATTTTTCAAATATCTAGTATCGTCTCAGACCACAGTGGAATAAAATAGAAATTATTTAACAATAACAAGAGGAACTTTGGAAACTATATAAATACATGGAAATTAAACAAAATGCTCCTGAATGAGCAAAGGGTCAAGGAAGAAATTAAGGAGAAAATTAAAAAGTTTTTGAAACAAATGAAAATGGAAACACAGCATACCAAAACCTTTGGAATTCAACAAAAGCAGTGCTAAGAGGGAAGTTTATAGCAATAAACACTTACATTAAAAAGTAGAAAGGTTTTAAATAACCTAATGATGCACTTCAAGGAACTGGAAAAGCAAGAACAAATGAAACCCAAAATTAGTAGAAGGAAAGACATAATAAACATCAGAGCAGTGGGCCATGCACACTGCTGTAATCCTAGTACTTCAGGGGGCTAAGGCAAGAGGATCACCTGAGACCAGTTCAAGACCAATCTGGTCACATAGCAAGACTCCATCTCTACAATAAATTAAAATTAATCAGGCATTGTGGCGCAACCCTGTAATCCCAGCTACTCAGAAGGCTGAGATGGAAAGGTTGCTTGAGCCCAGGAATTCAAGGTTATAGTGAGGTATGATCATACTACTGCACTCTGGATGACAAAGCAAGACTTTCTGTAAAAGCAAAAACAAAACAAAACAAAAACCCATCACTAATCATCAGTGAAATGCAAATCAAAACCACAATGAGATATCATCTTACCCCAATTAGAATGGCTACTATTAAAAAAACAGAAAACAAACAAATAGATGCTGGTGAGGATGTGGAAAAAAGGGAACTTTTATACACGTTGGCAGGATTGTAAATTAGTATGGCCGCTATGGAAAACAGTATGGAGGTTTCTCAAAAACCTTAAAGCACAGCTACCATATGATCCAGCAGCCCCACTACTGGATAGTTATCCAAAGGAAATCAAAAGGATACCTGCACTCCCATGTTTATCGCAGCACTATTCACAATATGAAATCAACCCAAGTGTCCATCAACAGACAAATGAATAAAGAAAATGTGGTATATGTACACAATGGAATACTATCTGACCATAAAAAAGAATAAAATCATGTTATTTGCAGAAACATGGGTGGAACTGGAGGTCATTATGTTAAGTGAAATAAGGCAGGCACAGAAAGGTAAATATCACGTTCTCACTCAGGTAAGAGCTATAAACGTTGATGTCATTGAGGTAGAGAGTGGAATGATAGATACCAGAGGCTGGAAAGGGTATGTGGGTGGGAGGGGGGTGAAGACAGATTGGTCAACAGGTATACACATACAGTTAGATAGAAAGTTCTAATGTCTGATAGCAGAGCAGGGTGACTATACAATGTATTATATAATTCCAAGTAGCTAAAAGAGAGAACTTGAAATGTTTCCAACACATAGAAATGATAACTATTCAAGGTGATGGATACCGCAATACCCTGAAATGATCATTATACATTCTATGATGCAACAAAATATCACATGTGCCTCATGAATATGTAAAACATTACATATCACTTAAAAATATTTTTTAATAAAAATAAAAAACAGGCTGGGCGCAGTGGCTCACGCCTGTAATCCCAGCACTTTGGGAGGCCAAATCACTTGAGGCCAGGAGTTCGATACCAGCCTGGACAACACGGTGAAAGCTCATCTCTACTAAAAATACAAAAATTAGCCAGGCATGGTGGCAGGTGCCTGTAATCCCAGCTACCTGGGAGGCTGAGACAGGAGAATTGCTTGAAACCTGGAGGCAGAGGTTGCAGTGAGCCGAGATAGGGCCACTGCACTCCAGCCTGGGTAACAGAGCAAGACTCTGTCTCTAAATAAATAAATAAAATAAAATAACAAACAATAAATATGCGTGGACATATATTTGTCTTCAAGGATTGATTATGAAGGCACTGAGGAAAGTACCAGTGACACACCCTATGGTGTTCACAGAGGACAGAGGCTGCCTTGGGGGAAAAAAGTAGAGGTTGAGTCCAGATGAGAACAAGAGGAGACGAACTTTCCCATGGTCAGGTTCACATTTTACTCTATGTTATTTTATATTGTTTGAGTTTATTTAAATTAGCATGTATTACTTTAATTTGAAAAACAATAATTCTTTTAAAAACTGTCGTTCTTCCAAATCAGTAAGAGTTGTACCCCTGGTCTGAGCCACCCTCATAGCTCACTGAACCACTGCACAGTCTCCTACCTGATCTCCCTTATTCTACTCTTACCCCTACAATTGATTCTCCAAAAAGAGTGATTGGTTTTTATAACATATGTATCAGCCCATGACTATCCCTGTGCTATCCAACTCAAATTTCTATTCACGGTCTCAAAGGCCTACACATCAGGACCCTGCCCATTCCAACCTCATCCCTATCCCTCCCCTTCCTGGTCACCGCCACAAGAGTGATCTCCTTCTGTAGTTCCAGAGAGCCGAGGACCTTTGCACTTACCGGTCCCTCTGCCTGAGAGGCCCCATCCACCCAGGACTTCAGCACCTTTTCAAGAGCCCACCTCTGATAACCTCATCTAAAGTAATACCATCTACTTCCCAGTGTCCCTTTGTCCACATCACTGTGTTGTTTTCTCCTAGCACCTAAAACTATGTGAAGTTGCTTTAAATATTTGTTTATTTTTCTCTACTGTGAGAAAAGGGACTGTGTTGTCCTGTGAGCTGTTATATCCCAGCACCCAGCATCCAGTGCCTGGTACCTAGTAAGCATTCAAAAAACACTTCACGGGCCAGGCTCACACTTGTAATACCAGCACTTTGGGAGGTCGAGGTGGGTGGATTACTTGAGCCCAGAAGTTCAAAGCTACAGTGAGCCATGATCATGCCACTGCCCTGGAGCCTGGGCGACAGAGCAAGACCCTGTCTCAAAAAAAACAAAAACAAAAAATTAATTAAGAAAGAAAGAAAGAACAGATTTGGGGGTGGTAAGAAGACAAATAAAACAGAAAATTTCTCTTTTTGGCCTATATATTTCTATGTTGCCTGAATTTTTACAATTTAAACACTTATTTGCACAAAATAAATATTAAGGAAACAAGTTTCTTTTTTAAAACTGTAGGCTAGGTCCTACAGATTATATGGTATTGGGAAGGGGAAAGTGTTTCTCTATGTTTCTAGGAGCAAGTCTTCTCAGTACATTCTTCATCTCCCTAACATCCTAAAAGATTGGAAGAGTTCACAGGGCAACTTTCTTCCTAATGCCAAAATCTCCTTCCTCTGCAGCCACAGTTCTGAACTCTGGCTGCAAATTAGAATCACCTGGGAGAGGCCAGGAGTGATGGCTCACGCCTGTAATCCCAGCACTTTGGGAGGCCGAGGTGGGCAGATCACGAGCTCAGGAGATCGAGCCCATCCTGGCTAACACGGTGACACCCCGTCTCTACTAAAAAATACAAAAAAAATTAGCCGGGCGTGGTGGCGGGTGCCTGTAGTCCCAGCTACTCCGGAGGCTGAGGCCGGAGAATGGCGTGAACCTGGGAGGCAGAGCTTGCAGTGAGCTGAGATCGCGCCACTGCACTCCAGCCTGGGCGACAGAGTGAAGACTCCGTCTCAAAAAAAAAAAAAAAAAATCACCTGGGAGCTTTACAAAAAAGAAAGAAAAAAGGAAGGAAGGAAAGAAAGAGGAAAAGAAGGGAGGAAGGAAGGAAGGAAGGAGAAAGAATGAAAGAACGAAAGAAAAAGAGAGAAAAAGGAGGGAGGGAGGAAGGAAGGGAGGGAAGGAGGGAGGGAGGGAGGAAAGAAAAGGAAAGAAAATCATGGCTCTATCAGATAGCTTTCTGACCTTCTAAAACACAATGGATTCCTTTCACAGGACAATTCTCTGTAAGAAACAGCATAAGTGGCCAAACAACTGGTTCTATCAGGAGTCATTTCACTCTGAAATGTCAACTGCTGTAATCAGAATGTATCTGGCTGAGTAATAGAAATTCTGCCATCTTGAACCTAATGCAACATAACAGGTAGTTTACAGTTCATTTATTGAAAGTAGAGGATTATTATTATTATTATTATTTTAAATCTGAATATTTAATTCAATTTCTCAATAAGATTCCATGGGGTGCTGGAAAAGATCTAGAAACTAGAAAAGATCCTAATAAAGAGGGAGACATCTGAGAGCAGGAAGTGTAGCAAGGAGACAGAAACCACAATAGCTCTGGTGGGAAACCATGATGGAGGCTGTAAATAGCAGACAAGACACGGAGAAAATAAAATTAACATGACCAAGGGCAAAATGATAAAAAGACGAAAAGAAAGAGGCAGGCGGTCAGACACGGGGGATATAACCTGGGAATAATCGGAATTCTGGAGAGAACAAAACAGACATAGGGAAAGCAGTATTCAAAGAAATGGGAGGGGAAAAGTTTCCTGCTGTAAAGAAAGAACTCAGCTGGAAACTGAGAGCATGTTCTGACTTCCCAGCAAAGTTAATGAAAAGAGGGCCCCGCTTAGACACACTAGGATGGAATTCTCAAAGTTAAAAAAGTTAAGAAAATTGCCGGAACATACACACAGACACACCCTTGAAATAGGAAACTGAAAGGGAAGAGAGATTTTACTTTACTTGAAAGTAGAGGATTATTATCCTTTGTTTGCTACACTAATTTCTTTTTTTCTCTTTTCCTTTTTTTTTTTTTTTTTTAAGAGACAGGATCTCATTGTGTTGCCAAGGCTGGGCTTGAATTCCTGACCTCAAGCCATCCCCCAGCTTGGCCTCCCGAAGTGCTGGGATTACAGGCATGAGCCACCGCACCTAGCCCCTTACACTAATTTCTAATGAAAGATCCATCTGTTTACAAGAAGCACCATGTGTCAGCCACTGGTCTGTGGAGTTGAGAGCTGCGGCCTCAATTCCCAAGTGTTTCCATCATTTGGGGAGTGAAGTGGGCTGTCATCTCTGTAAAAAGCTTGGGAAAAGGTGACCATAATTAGGAAAGCTCTGTGGTCAAAGGCATTATTTATAATTCCTAGAAACATAAAGAACAAAGAAGAAAGAAAAAAAATGAAATAAGAAAGAGGGCTCCAGTCTGTAAATATAAGGAGCTTAGAAGTAACCACTCTGCCCTAGCAATAAGTAGAAATCTGAACAAACTAAAAAATCAGCAATTCTTCTTAGATTTGTTAGAGAAGAGAGGTTACTGGACAAACCACTGCCTTCAAAATTAGAAAGTCTAGGGTGCAAAAGATTAAGACCCAGTCATAGGACTATAGAATGTTCCCCTCCCCCCATACTGACCACCACACCACTAAAGGTCTACTTACCAGAGTCTTTTCTCTCTTTTCTTTTTCTTGAGATAGGGTCTCACTCTGTCCCCCAGGCTGGAGTGCAGTGGCACAGTCCCAACTACTTGGGAGGCTGAGGTAGGAGAATTGCATGAGCCTGGGAGGTCGAGGTGGCAGTAAGCCATGACCATGTCACTGCACTCCAGCCTGGGGGACAGAGTGAGACCCTGTCTCAAGGGAAAAAAAAAAGGAAAGAGAGACAGGGTTTTGCTATGTTGCCCAAGCTGCTCTCGAGCTCCTGAGCTCAAGGGATCCACCTGCCTTGGCCTCCCAAAGTGCTGACATTACAGGTGTAAGCCACCACACCCAGCCCCACATTCTTTTCATCTCTACAAAATATTCACATTTCAACAAAAAAGCACAAAGCATACTAAAGGGCAAAAAACGCAGTTTGAAGAGACCCAACGAGCATCAGAATCAGAGTCAGATAGGGCACAAATGTTGGAATTATCACACCAGGAATTTAAAAGTATGATTAATATGCTAAGGGCTCTAATGGAAAAAGTAGACAAGATATAAGAACAGGTAGATAATGTAAGTTAGGAGATGAAAAGCCTAAGAAAGAATCACAGAAAAGTGCTAGAGATCAAAAACACTGCAACAGAAATAAAGAATGCCTTTGATGGGCTCATTAGTAGACTGGACATGGCCGAGGAAACAATCTCTGAGCTTGAGGATATAAAAATAGAAACTTCCAGGACTGAAAAACAAAGATTAAAAAAGACTAAAACAAACAAAAACAAAATAGAACAGAATACCCAAGAACTGTGGGACAATTACAACAGGTATAACACACATATAAACCAGAAGGAGAAGAAACAGAGAAAGGAAGACAAGAAATATTTGAAGCTATAATACTAATAAGCTCCCAAATCTGATGTCAGACACCAAACCACACATCCAGGAAGTCCAGAAAACACCAAATGGGATATATGCCAAAAAAAAAACTACTTCTAGGCTTATCATATTCAAACTTCAGAAAATCAAAGAGGAAAAAAGTCTTGAAAGAAGACAGAGAGAAAAAAAACACTTTCCCTACAGAGGAGCAAAGATAAGAACTATATTTAACTTCTCATAAACGATACAAGCAAGAAGACAGGAGAATGAAATAGTTAAAGCATTGAGAGGAAAACACCACACCACCAATCTAGAAGTCTCTATCCTGAGAATTATCCTTCAAAGTGAAGGAGAAGGCCAGGCGCAGTGGCCTGTAATCCCAGCACTTTGCGAGGCCAAGGCAGGCGAATCGCTTGAAGTCAAGAGTTCAAAACCAACCTGGCCAACTTGGTGAAACCCCATCTCTATTAAAAATACAGAAATTAGCCAGGTATGGTGGCACACACCTGTGATCCCAACTACTTGGGAAGCTGAGGCAGGAGAATCGCTTGAACCCAAGAGGTGGAGGTTGCAATGAGCCGAGATCACACCACCGCATTCCAGCCTGGGCAACAGAACGAGACTCTGTCTCAGAAAACAAACAAACAAAAAAAAAGTGAAGGAGAAGTAAAGACTTTCTTGGCCAAATAAGAATTGTAGGAATGTGTGGCCAGTAGCCCTGCCTTGTAAGAAATGTTAAAAAAGAGTCCTTCAGAGAGAAAAAAAATGATATAGGTCAGAAACTCAGATCTACATAAAGAAAGGAAAAACATTAGATAGGAAATAAGAGAAGGTAAAATAAGAACTTGTATCTTTCATATTCTTAAGAATAATGTACTGACACACATATGTATGTTTATATGTTTATGTATGTATGAAATGAGTGACAGCAATAATATAAGGACAGGAGGGAGGCATTAGGAATTTTTTTATTAAATGGTAGTTATACTACCATAAAGTGGCATAGTGTTATCTGAAAGCGAACTTGGATTAGTTGTAAATGCGTATTGCAAACTCTAGGACAACCACCAAAAAAAGTTTTAAAGGAAGTATAATTAATACGTTAAGGAAGGAGAGAAAGGCCGGGCTCAGTGGCTCACGCCTGTAATCCCAACCCTTTGGGAGGCTGAGGTGGGTGGATCATGATCGTGGTCAGGAGTTCAAGACCAACCTGACCAAAATGGTGAAACCCCATCTCTACTAAAAATACAAAAATTAGCCGGGTTTGGTGGTGCATGCCTGTAATCCCAGCTACTCAGGAGGCTGAGTCAGGAGAATCGCATGAACCCGGGAGGCGGAGGTTGCAGTGGGCCGAGATCGTGCCACTGCACTCCAGCCTGGGGGAAAGAGAGAGAGACTCTGTCTCAAAGAAAACAAAAAAAGAAAGAAAGGAGAGAAAATGATGCCAGGCATGGTGGCTCATGCCTGTAATCCCAGCACTTTGAGAGGCTGAGGCAGGTGGATCACCTGAGGTCAGGAGTTCGAGACCAGCCTGGCCAACATGGTGAAACCCCATCTCTACTAAAAATACAAAAATTAGCCAGGCGTGGTGGTGCATGCCTGTAACCCCAGTTACTCGGGAGGCTGAGGCAGGAGAATCACTTGAACTGGGAGGTGGAGGTTGTAGTGAGCCAAGATTACACCACTGCACCTGCACTCCAGCCTGGGTGAGACAGCGAGACTCCATTGCAAAAAAAAAAGGAAAGGAGAGAAAATGAAATCATATAGAGTGCTCAATTAAAACCACAAAAGGCAGAAAAGGTGTGCATGACAAAAACAGGAGCAAAGAACAAGGGCGACAAATGGAAAATAGTAATAAATATACTAAATATTAATGCCATTATATCAATAATCACTTTTCATGCCAGTCATCTAAATACACAAAATACAGAGATTGTCAGAGTGGATCAAAAAACAAGACACAGATGGGGCATGATGGCTCACACATGTAATCCCAGCACTTTGGGAAGGCCAAGGAAGGAGGATCATTTGAACCCAAGAGTTCAAGACTAGACTGGGAAACATAATGATAACCCATCTCTACAAAAAAAAAAAATTAAAAATTAGCTGTGCTTGAAGCGGTGGCTCACGCCTGTAATCCCAGCACTTTGGGAGCAGAGGCGGGCGGATCACCTGAGGTCAGGAGTTTGAGACCAGTCTGGCCAACATGGTGAAACCCCATCTCTACTAAAAATACAAAAATTAGCCGGGTGTGGTGGCACCTGTACTCCCAGCTACTTGGGAGGCTGAGGCAGGAGAATCGCTTGAACCAGGAGGCACAGGTTGCAGTGAGTCAAGATCATGCCATTGCACTCCAGCCTGGGCGACAAGAGTGAGACTCTGTCTCAAAAAAAAAAAAAAGAAAGAAAAAAAAATTAGCTGAGAGTGGCAATGTGCACCTGTAGTCCTAGCTACTCAAGAGGCTGAGGTGGGAGGATCACTTGAGCCCAGGAGGTCAAAACTGCTGTGATCCATGATCATGCCACTGCACTCCAGCCAGGCAACAGAGTGAGACACTGTCTCTAAAAAAATAAAAATAAAAACAAGATGCATTATATGTTATCTGTAAAAAACCAACTTTGGCCGGGCACGGTGGCTCACGCCTGTAATCCCAGCACTTTGGGAGGCCGAGACGGGCGGATCACGAGGTCAGGAGATCGAGACCCCGGTGAAACCCCGTCTCTACTAAAAATACAAAAAATTAGCCAGGTGCGGTGGCGGGCGCCTATAGTCCCAGCTACTCGGGAGGCTGAGGCAGGAGAATGGCGTGAGCCCGGGAGGCGGAGCTTGCAGTGAGCTGAGGTTGCGCCACTGCACTCCAGCCTGGGCGACAGAGCGAGACTCCGTCTCAAAAAAAAAAAGAAAGAAAAAGAAACCAACTTTAAATATAAAGGTATATATAAAGTAAAAGTAAAGAAATGAAGAAAGATATATGATGCTCACACTAATCAAAAGAAGGCAGGAGTAGCTATATTAATTTCAGACAGAGAAGACTTCAGGAAAGTTATCAGGGATAAAGAGGGACAATGCAAATGATAAAGGGGTGAATATTCTGAGAAAAAACAATCCTTAATGTGTATGTACCTAACAACAGAAGATCAGAATATGTGAGGCAAAAACTGCTAGAACTGCAAGGAGAAATAAATGAATCCACTATTATAGTTGGAGACCCTAGCTTCATTCTATCAGAAATGGACAGATCCAGCAGACAGAAAAGCCAAAAGGACATAGTTGAACTCAACAGCACCATCAATTAACTGGATATAATTGACATCTAAAGCTGATGGGAGGATTGCTTGAGGCCAAAAGTTTAAGACCAATTTGGTCATCATAGTGAGACCACATCTCTATAAAATGTAAAATAATTTATTAACAAATTAAGGCCGAGCTCGGTGGCTCATGCCTGTAATCCCAGCACTTTGGGAGGCTGAGGAGGGCGGATCACAAGGTCAGGAAGCCGAGACCATCCTGGCTAACACGGTGAAACCCCGTCTCTACTAAAAATACAAAAAAATTAGCCGGGCGTGGCAGTGTGTGCCTGTAGTCCCAGCTACTCGTGAGGCTGAGGCAGGAGAATGGCGTGAACCCGAGAGGCAGAGCTTGCAGTGAGCCGAGATCACGCCACTGCACTCCAGCATGGGCGACAGAGCGAGACTCCATCTCGAAAAAAAAAATTAAAAAAGAAAAAAATTGACATCTATTGGCTACTTCATCTAGTAACAACAGAATACACATTCTTCTCAAGCTCACATGAAACACTTACCACGATAGACCACATTCTAGGTTGTGGTCTTCTCTCTTTTAAATTTTTAAAAATAGAAATCATACAATGTCTGTTTTCAGATCACAATGGAGTTAAACTAGAAATTAATAATAGCTGGGGCCAGGTGCAGTGGTTCACACCTGTAATCCCAGCACTTTGGGAGGCCAAGGCCGGAGGGTTGCTTTAAGCCAGGAGTTCAATACCAGCCTAGGCTACAAAGTGACATCCCAGCTCTACAAAAAAATTTAAAAATAAGCCAAGCATGATGGTGCACACCCATAGTCCCAGCTACTGAGGAGGCTGAGGTGAGAGGATCACTTGAGCCCAGAAGTTTGAGGCTGCAGTGAGCTAGGTGACAAGCGAGAGACCGTGTCTCTTAAAAAAAAAAAAAAAAGAAAAAAGAAAGATAGCTGGAAAATTCTAAAATACTTGGAGATTAAACTATACATTTATAAATAACACATAGGTCAAGGAGGAAATCTTGGAAAAAAACATATTTTCAACTAAACAAAAATGATAACACAACTTATCAAAATGTGTGAGATACAGCAAAAGCAGTGCTTAGGGAGAAATTTATAGCATTGAATGTATAATTAGAAAAGAAGAAAGATCTAGGCTGGGCATGGTGGCTCATGCCTGTAATCCCAGTACTTTGGGAGGCAGAGGCGGGAGGATCACCTGAGGTCAGGAGTTCAAGACCAGACTGGCCAACATGATGAAATGCCGTCTCTACTAAAAATACAAAAATTAGCTAGGCGTGGTGGCGAGAACCTGTAATCCTAGCTATTAGGGAGGCTGAGACAGGAGAATCACTTGAACCCAGGAGGCAGAGGCTGCAGTGAGCCGAGATCGTGCCATTGAACTCCAGCCTGGGCAACAAAGCGAAACTCTGTCTCAAAAAAAAAGAAAAAGAAAAGAAGAAAGATCTAAAATCATTTATCTACTTTTAGGAAACTAAAAAAATAATTAAATCCAAGGGAAGCAGAAACAAAGCAATAATGAAAATTAGAGCAGAGATGAATGAAATTGAAATAGGAAATTAATAGGGAACATCAACAAAACCAAAATCTACCTCTTTGAAAACATCAATAAAGTGTGTAAGTCTCTAGCCAGGCTAATATCATTTGCATATTTGTCCCTCCCCAAATTGTAATCCCCAGTATTGGAGGTAGGGCCTGGTAGGAGGTATTTAGATCATGGGGGCAGATCCCTCATGAATGGCTTGGGCCATCCCCTCAGTAATAAGTGAGCTCTCACTCTGGGTTCCCATGAGATCTGGTTGTTTAAAAGTGTGTGGCACCTCCCCTCTCACTCCCTCGCTCCTGCTTTCACCATGTGACATGCCTGCTCCCCCTTCCCTTCCACCATGATTATAAGTTTCCTGAGGCCTCCCTAGCAACTGAGCAGATGCCAGAACCATGCTTTCTATAAAGCCTGCAGAACGCTGAGCCAATTAAACCTCTTTTCTTTATAAATTACTCAGTCTCAGGTATTTCTTTATAGCAATCCAAAAACAGCCTGATATACAGGTTAACTAAGAAAAAAAGAGAGAAGAAACAAGTTACTAATATCACAAATGAAAGAGAGAACATCAGTACAGATCCCACCAACATTAAAAGAATAATAAAGGAATATTATGGACAACTCTATGCCCCCAGATTTGATAACCTAGAATGTACCAATTCCTAGAAAAGACACAATCTGCCAAAACTCACACAAGAAGATATAGACCATATGAATAGGCTTATATCTATTAAAGAAACTGAATCAATAATGATCAACCTTCCAAAACATTAGATCCAAATGTGTTCAATGGTGAGTCTAACAGACACTTATGAAAAAAATTGTATCAATTCTCTACCATCTCTTCCAAAAGATAGAAGCAGAAAGAGTACTTCCTAACTCATTCTATGAGACCAGCATTACCCTAATACCAAAACCAAAGACATGCAAGAAAAGAAAACTACAGACCAATATCTCTCATGAACATAAATGTAAAAATCCTCAAAAAAATTGTCAAATCAAATCCAACAATGTATAAAAAGAATTATAGGCCAAGTATAGTGGCTCACGTCTGTAATCCCAGCACTTTGAGATGCTGAGGCAGGTGGATCGCTTGAGCCAAGGAGTTCAAGACCAGCCTGGGGAACATGATGAAACCGTGTCTCTACCAAAAAATGCAAAACTTAGTTGGGTGTGATGGTGTATGCCTGTAGCCACAGCTACTCAGGAGACGGAGGTGGGAAGACCACTTGAGCCCAGGAGGCAGAGGCTGCAGTGACCTGAGATCATGCCACTGCACTCCAGCCTGGGTAACAGAGTGAGACCCTGTCTCCAAAAAATAAAAATAAAGGGCCAGGCACGGTGGCTCACGCCTGTAATCCTGCACTTTGGGAGGCCAAGGCGGGCAGATCACGAGATCAGGAGATCAAGACCATCCTGGCTAACATGGTGAAACCCTGTCTCTAATAAAAATACAAAAAAATTAGCCGGGCATGGTGGCAGGCACCTGTGGTCCCAGCTACTCGGGAGGCTGAGGCAGGAGAACGGCGTGAACCCGGGAGGCGGAGCTTGCAGTGAGCCGAGATGGCTGCCACTGCACTCCAGCCTGGGCGTGACAGGGCGAGACTCTGTTTCAAAAAATAAATAAATAAATAAATAATAAAAATAAAGAATTATACACCATGACCAAGTGGGATTTATCCCAGGTATGCCATGCTGGTTCAACATTCAAAAATCAGGCTGGGTGTGGTGGCTCACGCCTGTAATCCCAGCACTTTGGGAGGCAGAGGCGGGTGGATCACTTGAGGCCAAGAATTCGAGACCAGTCTGGCCAGCGTGGTGAAACCCCATCTCTACTAAAAATACAAAAATTAGCTGGGCATGGGGGCACATGCCTGTAATCCCAGCTACCTGGGAGGCTGAGGCATGAGAATCACTTGAGCCTGGGAGGCAGAGATTGCAGTGAGCCAAGATTGCACCTCTGCACTCCAGCCAGGGTGGCAAAGTGAGACTCTGTCTCAAAAATAAAAAAAAAATCAAAATCAATTAATGTAATCTGTCACATCAACAGGCTACCAAAGAAAAATCACATCCCATATCAGTAGATGCAGAAAAAGCATTTCACAAAATCCAACACCCATTGTGATTAAAAACTCTTAGAAAACTAAAAGGAGAACTTACTCAACTTGATAAGGAACCTCTACAAAAAAATCTATAGCTGACGTTATATGTACTGGTAAGAAACTTGAATCTTTCTCTCTATAATCAGGAACAAAGAGAAGGATATACCCTCTTACAACTGCTTTTCGAAATTGTCCTGGAAGTCCTAGATAATGCACTAAGACAAGACAAGATGAGATAAGACAAAAAAGTAAAGAAAGGGTATATGGATTGGGAAGGAAGAAATGACTGTCTTTGTTCCCGGAAATTATGGTTGTCTACACAGAAAAATCTGAAAAAACTGCACTGGCGCGGTGACTCAAGCCTGTAATCCTAGCACTTTGGGAGGCCGAGACGGGTGGATCACCTGAAGTCAGGAGTTTGAGACCAGCCTGGACAACATGGTGAAACCCTGTCTCTACTAAAAATACAAAAATTAGCCGGGCCTCGTGGCGCGTGCCTGTAATCCCAGCTACTTGGGAGGCTGAGGCAGGAGAATCGCTTAGAATCTAGGAGGCAGAGGTTGCGGTGAGCTGAGCTCGCCCCACTGTACTCTAGCCTGGGTGACAAAGCGAGACTCCGTCTCAAAGAAAAAAAGAAAGAAAAGAAAAATCAGAAAAAGTTGACAGAAAATACTCCTGGAGTATTTATAGTATTTATATCCTGGATTTCAAGATATAAGGCTAATGTGCAAAAGTCTATGACTTTCCTATATACCAGCAATGAATAAGTAAAATGTGAAATTAAAAACATATTACCAGTCAGGCTCGGTGGCTCACGCCGGTGATCCCAACACTTTGAGGCGGGTGGATCGCCTGAAGTCGGGATTTCGAGACCAGCCTGGCCAGCATAGTGAAATCCTGACTCTACTAAAAATACAAAAATTAGCCCGGCGTGGTGACAGGCACCTGTAATCCCAGCTACTCGGGAAGCTGAGGCAGGAGAATTGCTTGAACCCGGGAGGTGGAGGTTGCAGTGAGCCAAGATCGTGCCATTGCACTCCAGCCTGGGGCAACAGAGCGAGACTCCATCTCAAAAAAAAATTATATATATATATATATATATATATAATATTTATATATATATTATATACACACACACATACACACACACACAAAGAATACTTAAAACTCAACAATAAGATAACTTACCAAGGAAGATATAGATGGCAAGTAAGCATAGGAAATATGTTCAACAACATAGGTCATTAGGGAATTGCAAATTAAAACAATATACTAGCTGGGCGCAGTGGCTCACGCCTGTAATCCCAGCACTTTGGGAGGCCAAGGTGGGCGGTTCACTTGAGGTCAGGAGTTTGAAACAAGATACCACTACACACCTATTAAATGGCCAAAATCCAAAACAATGACAATAGCAAGAGTATGAAACAACAGGAACTCTCATTCATTGCTGGTGGGAATAAAAAAATGGTACAGCAACTTTGGAAGACAGTTTGGCAGTTTTTTATGAAACAAAGCTTACTCTTACCATATGATCCAGCAATTACGCTTTTTGGTATTTACCCGCATTAATTGAAAATTACATTCATATAAAAACCTGCACATGGATGTTTATAGCAGCTATATTCATACTTGCTAAAACTTGGAAGCAACCAAGATGTCCTTCAGAAGGTAAATGGGTAAATAAACTGCGGTACATCCAGATAAAAGAATATTATTCAGTGATAAAAAGAAATGAGCTATCAAGCCATGGAAAGACATGGAGGAAATCTAAATGCATATTACTAAGCATAAGAGGCCAATGTGAAAAAACTACATATTGTATGATCCAACTGTATGACATTCTGGAAAAGGCAAGGCGTTAGATTCAGTAAAAGATCGGTGGTTGCCAGGGCTTGAGGGAGGAAGGGATGAATAGGGGAAGCACAGAGGGTTTTTAAGACAGTGAAACTCCTCTGTATGATACTATACTGGTAAATCCATGTCATTATACATTTGTCCAGACCCATAGAATATACCACACCAAGGGTGAATCCTAATGTAAATATGGGCTTTGGGTGATAATGATGTGTCAGTGTAGGTTCATCAGTTGTAGCAAACGTACCACTCTGATAATAGGATGTCAATAGTTGGGGAGGTTCGCACATGTAGGGGAACAGTGGGTATATGAGCACTCTCTGTATTTTCCATTCAACTTCACTGTGAACTGCTCTAAAAAATAAAGTTGATAACCCTCTGTACAGTGACTCCATGGCTCTCAGCAGCCTTGAGTGGTGCCATCCCACCTGGCTCCCTCTGTTGTTATCTACTGTTTCCTTTTCTCTCCTGTCCTTGTATCTAAGTCAGGAAATAAGAGTGTCAAATCCCATTATGTCTCTAATTTGACAACAGGATTGGATGTTGTGTATTGTGGAGGTTTTTGTTTATATTGTTCCTAAGGTATGAAAAATAAAGGGGAAAACGTTGAATTGGAAGAAAACAAAATGCTGTAACATTCAAAGAGTAAATCAGGCCTGATTAGACGTTCATGTCTTGTATTTATAAGAGGTTAGTGGCCAGGCGCGGTGGCTCACACCTGTAATCCCAGCACTTTGGGAGGCCAAGGCAGGCGGATCACAAGGTCAAGAGATCGAGAGCATCCTGGCCAATATGGCGAAACCCTGTCTCTACTAAAAATACAAAAATTAGCTGGGCGTGGTGGTGCATGCCTGTAGTCCCAGCTGTTTGGAAGGCTGAGGCAGACTTGCTTGAACCCAGGAGGCAGAGGTTGCAGTGAGCTGAGATCACGCCACTGCACTCCAGCCTGAGGACAGAGTGAGACTGTGTCTCAAAAAAAAAAAAAAAAAAAAAAAGGTTAGTGATGCATTTTCTCAGTGCAAATTATTTTTTACTCCTACTTATATTTATGAATACAATATAGTCCATACAGAAAAGAAAAGAGACAGCCCATCAGTTTCATCATCTTCACTCCAGGATTCTGAGCTTGGCTGGCCTCTCCCAAAAGATAAACTGAAGGATTAAGAAAATCTATCTCGGCTGGGTGCGGTGGCTCACGCCTGTAATCCCAGCACTTTGGGAGGCCGAGGCGGGCGGATCACGAGGTCAGCAGATGGAGACCATACTGGCTAACACGGTGAAACCCCGTCTCTACTAAAAATACAAAAAAAATAGCGGAGCATGGTGGCAGGTGCCTGTAGTCCCAGCTACTCCGGAGGCTTAGGCAGGAGAATGGCGTGAACCCAGGAGGCAGAGCTTGCAGTGAGCCGAGACCGCGCCACTGCACTCCAGTCTGGGCGACAGAGCAAGACTCTGTCTCAAAAAAAAAAAAAAGAAAAAAGAAAATCTATCTCACCTAAAAACTGCCATATCTCCCTCAACAGTCTGCCAGTAAAAGGCTTCTCTTGCATGTAAGGTACAAGAAAAAGAAAATGATGAAAATTGTATTGCTGACTTTGCAAATGCAGATAAGAAGCAGTGGATGGTCTGAATGCAGTGAGTTATCCCAACTGATTGTTCACAGTCAGTTACAGATTGAACTCCTTGTTCTACTCTTTCCCCCCTTCTTACTACTGCACTTAACAGGAAGGAAGGAAAGAAGGAAAGGAAGGAAGGAAGGAAGGAACGAGGGAAGGGAGGGAGGGAAAGAGAAAGAAAGAAAGAAAAGGAAAGGAAAGGAAAGGAAAGGAAGGGAAGGGAAGGGAAGGGAAAGGAAAGGAAAGGAAAGGAAAGGAAAGGAAAGGAAAGGAAAGGAAAGGAAAGGAAAGGAAAGGAAAGGAAAGGAAAGAAAAGAAAAGAATTTCCTCATTGCCCAGGCTGGAGTGCAATGGTGCGATCTCGGCTTACCGCAACCACTGCCTCCTGGGTTCAAGCGATTCTCCTGCCTCAGTCTCCCCAGTAGCTGGGATTACAGGCATGCACCACCACGCCTGGGTAATTTTGTATTTTTAGTAGAGACAGGGTTTCTCCACGTTAGTCAGGCCAGTCTCCAACTCCTGACCTCAGGTGATCCACCCGCCTCGGCCTCCCAAAGTGCTGAGATTACAGGCGTGAGCCACCACACTTGTCCGAAAGAAAGGAAATTTTTAAAAAAAGAAGTAGCTGCCACTGGCCAAATAATTCTATTTTATTTATTTATTTTTATTTTTTAGAGACAGGGTCTCAGTCTGTAGCCCAAGCTGGAGTGCAGTGGCATGATCATGGCTCACTGCAGCCTCAACCTTCCAGGCTCAAGTGATCCTCCCAAGTAGCTGGGACTACAGGCATGCATAACCACACCTGGCTAATCTTTGTATTTTTTTTTTTTTTTTTTTGAGAAACAGGGTTTCATCATGTTGCCCCGGCTGGTCTTGAAGTCTTGAGCTCAAGTGATTCACCTGCCTCGACCTCCCAAAGTACTGGGATTACAGGCATGAGCCACCATGCCTGGCCTCAAGTTATTCTAAAACAGTGGTTCTTAACCCTGGCTGCACATTGCACTCACCATGGGAGTTTGAAAAATATTCATGCATGCATCCCACCCACAGAGATTCTGGTTTAATTAGAATTGGATGGGTCCCGGGCATGATGGCTTTTAAGCCTCCCAGATGACTGTAATGTATGGCAAGGGTTAAGAACCCTGCTCTAGTTTGGCATAGGTTTCTAAGCACCCATGCATTGATCCTAAACAGTCTCCTAAATAAATGGCTGGTCACTGACAAGAAATGAATATCAGTTTGAGAGAAGTATTTTAGTAAAAATCCAAGTAGGTTGATTTGAATTCATGGTATGTCTGTAGTACAGTAACATCAGTATCTAAACCCACAGGAGATGTAAAACTAGGGTAGAGGGATTCAGTAATTATCAACACAAAAAGTGGAACAAAGGAAGAAACAAGCAGGTGAGCTCAACTCAGAAGCTCTCCCACCAACCTTGGGGGAATTTTCTTTTTAATGGAAACAGTTGACTATTGGGAGCAGTGAGTAATCAAGTGTCGTCCTTTGTTCCAGAATTGAGAAGAATCCACAGTAAATATCCATTTCATGTTTATAATGGGTAAGAAATGTTTAATCCCACAGTGATTTTTCAGAGAACAAAATTAAAATCATACAATATTGATTCTTGTCTTTGTAAAATATATCACCAAATATTTGTATATGACTTTGAAATGTCAAAAGTATTAAAAGAATGAAGTACACACTCCTTTTTTAGTGAGATGAGGGCAACTCAAGTTACAAATGATCCCTCCTCTGGACTGTTTTCCACACTGTGACAGAAGGACTTTCTAAACTGCAACTCTGATCCAGTCCCTCCTCTGCTCCACATCCTCCGTCAGTTCTCTATGGCTTCCCTACAGGGCCTCCATGCCCACTTCTCCAGCCTTCCCTCCCTCTGCACCCTCCTACCACCCTGTGCTCCAGCCACACACAGCTCCTCAGACAGCACTGCTATGTCTCACTCTTAGGCTTTACCTGCACTGCTCCCTCTACCAGGACAGCTTCTTTCATGTGCCCCAGTCCTTCCGGTTTTGGAAAAACTTGCCACATCTTTCAAGATTCAGCTCAAGGTAACTTCAACTATGAACTTTTCCTGACCCATCCATATGATCACTCCCTCCTTTGCTCACTCATTCCCACTAACGTGACGCCTTACACTTGATATATTTACATTTTACCTGCCTAAATTTTACTCCTACATCCTGAGTCCTTTGATGTCAGAGACTGTATTTTACCCATTTACATGCCCAGCACTTATAAGAGCGATTGATATAATAAGATTTTTCTAAGTCTATTTTATGAATTGAATTTAACTGAATGTATCGAATGAATAATTTTATCTCTCCATAAATAATCTCCCCCTCCATCTGCCTCTCTGTCAACACAAACATACATACACACCCCAGGAAGAAAGAAAGGAAAAAGAAAGCATCCAGAATGGAACAGCTCTTGTGATAGTTCCATGATCGGTAGGGCTGCCTGTCTTACCATTGATGTTCTGTGCCCAGTGACTGAAGGCAGAGGTGAGGGGCTGTTTTCCCAGTGAGGAAAATCCAAGCAGGAGCTATTCCGAGAACCAGAGCTTCCTGAGTCACTGTGCAGATGTCGCTTTTCAGACAACAATCTGGACAGAAAGCTGGCCTTGCGACTGCCTGGGCGAGATCTGTCTATCCAGACCCCACTCTCTCTCATGCTGCCTTCACTGTCTCTGCAGTGACTATGAAGATCTGTGAGAGGCTCACCTGAGGGTTCTGGGTCCTGGGACTGCTCCCAGGTTCCTACTGCAAAGGATGGACAGTTTCTAGGAGCCGTAGTTGTACCTAGCCAGGACTGAGACATTGTATTCTGCAGGCCAAATGAGGAATGGTCTGATTGCTGTCCCAGGTGCTGATTTCCAGCACTGCCAGCCCAGGGACACGGGCTGTGAACATGGAGCTGTCCGCTATGCTGATCCTTCTCAGACCAGTCCTTTTTCCCATTGGAAGGGTCTACTTCAAGTTGCCTTGGCTGTGGGATTTGCCACATGGTTTTAGACTTTGGCACATTAACTCGAATGACTTGCTGTTGATTGTTAGCTTGAAGTGGAGAGATTCTTTCAGGCAATGAAGAGCAAATCATACACTGCTGGGCCACAGAATATTTCTTCAAATGGAATGGAGGGCCTGTTTCATCCTCAATGCCCTCACTGCTGGATTTCTTATAAAGTGTCCTCATAATTTTTCTGATGCCTAGATGAAATATTTCCAGTATATTGAGTAACAAGGAAATGGCTGCAATGCTGTGCATAAAAAGCATGAAAATTGTCTTCTCAGTGGGCCTGGATACAAAGCAATCCACCGCATTGGGGCAAGGAGGTTGAGTGCATTTGTAAAGGGGGTGCATTTGAAACCCATAGAGAATATATTGGCCTATCATGAATCCTACTTCCAGCACAGATCTGGTCAAGATGTGTAAGACATAAGTACGCAGCAGACATCCTTTCAGAGGGACTTTATGGATCCTCTTCTGCTCCTCTAACCTCCTCAGTTCCCTATCTATTCTTTGCTGCTCCTCCAAGTCAAGATCTGGATTCTCCATCTGGGCTCTAAGGTGTGACTTTTTCCTCTGCCTGTCTTTCTCAAAGGCCCTGAGCCTATAAAGTGCATGGCCCATATAGACCAAAGAAGGAGAAGACACAAAGATGATCTGTAAAACCCAGAACCTGATCAAAGAGATAGGGAATGCATCATCATAACAGATATTGTTGCAACCTGGCTGCCGGGTGTTGCAGGCAAATGCTGACTGTTCATCATCCCAGACATCCTCAGCAGCCACACGAAGTACCAGCATTCGGAAGATGAAGAGGATGGTCAGCCAGATTTTCCCCACTATGGTTGAGTGGGAGTGAACTTCCTCTAGGATGCCACCCAATAAGTTCCAGTCCCCCATGGTTAAAGACTAATGTCTGAAATATACAGAAAACACTGAGGTTAATAGCACCCATGGTGGTAATATATAGACACAAGCTCAAAAATACAGCAGGTTCTTTTGTATGTCAGCAAAATTATGAAGGATCTTCCAGCCCTAATATTTATAGCCCATGCTTAAAATAGGACATTTCCAAATATATTAATTTTTGAAAAAACACTAAATACCCCTCACAATTTCAGCAGTTTACTTCTTCCTATTCTCTTTTACTCTCCCCCACAAAGCTGCCTGTTATTCTAGTATACAAATAGGTCTCCATATTTGTACAATTCATTCTAATTGCACAATTGTATTCATTTTTCTATCCACATGAGATACGCTACTTACCATACATCTGACATGATCGTAAAGGAGTCTCAATTCCTCAGGAAGTGTTCCCTACCCATCCCAAGTTGTAGTTATTTTTCCCTTTCCTGAATCCTCACAACACTATTATTAATATTAATCACCTGGGACTGTGCCTAAATGAGTTTTGTGATGGTTGTGTTCCCCTTCCTGGAAAGGTACACCCCTTGCAGATAGAGACTCTTTCTAAAGCATGTTGGTCATCGCACACACAAGGCGTCAATATATAATAGTCAATGGAATTGTCTTTTCACTTTAAAATTCTGTTCCTTGACCCTATCACCAAAATAACCATCAATAGGCAAAATAAAGTAGATCCTCATGATATATTATCCAGGGCTTTCACTGCAAGACAAAGTATAGGTAAAGAAAATACAAATCAGTCAAACCCTCAGGAACTGGCTCATATCAGGGTAGCAGTAAAGATTAGGCAGACACAGAAACAATACCAGCAATAACACATAATTACATCCATTAAGCCACATCTGGAACATCATGTTTTCATGGAATTTTTGCTAACTTAGAAGAAAAGTGAATATAAACTGCTTCTCTAGCAAGCTTAGGATCTGGGAAACAATACAGGTATAGCTGACATGAACAGGTTACTTGGTTTATCCTGAAAAACTAATGTTTTTCAAGGTTCAATAAGGTTAAAATACTTAGTAGGTTAAAGCTTTCTAAGATATGGAAGACTTCCAGATAAGAAAGATACAGAGGAAAAATAGGAAAGTATTATTAAGTTAAAATAGATAATGAGGCTGGACGTGGTGGCTCATGCCTGTAATCCTAGCACTTTGGGAGGCTGAGGTGGGTGGATCACCTGAGGTCAGGAGGTCGAGATCAGCCTGGCCAACATGGTGAAATCCCGTCTCTACTAAAAATAGGAAAACTAGCCGGTGTGGTGGCACGCGCCTGTAATCCCAGCTACTCAGGAGGCTGAGGCAGGAGAATCACCTGAACCCAGGGGGCAGAGATTGCAGTGAGCTGAGATCACGCCACTTCACTCCAGCCTGGGCAAAAGAGTGAAACTCTGTTTCAAAAAAAAAAAGATAATGAAACAATTCTCTCCTTCCATAATTCATTCATTCAGTAATATTTGCTAACATCTTGCTATTGGCTGGGCGCAGTGGCTCATGCCTGTAATCCCAACACTTTGGGAGGCTGAGGCGGGCGGATGATGAGGTCAGGAGATTGAACACAGCCTGGCCAACATAGTGAAACCCCGTCTATACTAAAAATACCAAAATTAGCCAGGTGTGGTGCTGTGCGCCTATAATCCCAGCTACTCAGGAGGCTGAAGCAGGAGAATCGCTTGAACCTGGGAGGCGGAGGTTGCACTGAGCCAAGGTCATGCCACTGTACTCCAGCCTGGGCAATAGAGCAAGACTCTGCCTCAAAAAAATAAATAAAATAAAATAAAATAAATCAAACCTTGCTATCGCTTAGGCATTGGGCTAGATGCCAGGAATTCAATAACAAAATATATTTGGTCCCAGACCTCACAGTACTTGATCACTAAGGACTCCCACTAACCTATAAAATGAATCAATACTGATAATACAAAAATGAATATCAACCAAAAGAAAAAGAGAGAAAAACCTGGAATTCTTAGATTTTTTTCCAACTTATCTCCAAACACAACAATTGATTCCAGATGGAACATAATATTAATTGTAAAAAAGTAAACCATAAAAGTATTAAAATAAATTATAAAAGAATATGTTTTGTAATCTTGAAGTAGAAGGCTTTTTAAGCACATTAGTGCCAGAAATTATAATTAGAAAAAAATCCAGATTCTAGCTGGGCATGGTGGCTCACTCCTGTAATCCCAGAATTTTGGGAGGTGGAGGCAGGAGGACTGCTTGAGCCCAGGAGTTGCAGACCAGGCTGGGAAATATAGTGAGGCCCCTGTCTCTACAAAAAATAAATGTAAAAAGTTAGCCAGGCATGATGGTGAGTGCCTATAGTCCTAGCTACTAGGGAGGCTGATGTGGGAGGATCACTTGAGCCCAGGAATTTGAGGCTGCGGGGAGCCATAATGACACTACTGCACTCCAGCCTGGGTGACAGAGTGAGACCCTTCCTCAAAAAAAAAAAAAAAAGAAAAAGAAAATACAGATTCTACCAGCAAAACTGAATGGCAAAGGTGGAGCTGTCCAGAAGGTATCTGGGTCTAGAGAACAACGACAACAAAAATGGTACAAACAGGAGATAAACATTTATGAATTATCATTGAATAAGTAGAGAAGATCCCTCAGAGACAAAAAGAAAAAGTGAGACAATGACAGAACCCTGAGACTAATATAGAGGAAGAAAGAGTGAAGGGGTGGGTTGCCCCTCCACACCTGTGGGTGTTTCTCGTTAGGTGGAAGGAGAGACTTGGAAAAGAAAGAGACACAGAGACAAAGTATAGAGAAAGAAAAAGGGGCCCAGGGGACCGGCATTCAGCATACGGAGGATCCACGCCAGCACCGGCCTCTGAGTTCCCTTAGTATTTATTGATCATTATCGGGCATGGCAGGATAATAGGTTAATAGTGGAGAGGAGGTCAGAAGGTAAACACGTGAACAAATGTCTCTGCATCATAAACAAGGTAAAGAAAAAAGTGCTGTGCTTTTGATGTGCATATACATAAACATCTTAATGCCTTAAAGAGCAGTATTGCTGCCAGCATGTCCCACCTCCAGCCCTAAGGCGGTTTTCCCCTATCTCAGTAGATACAATCGGCTTTACACCGACACATTCCATTGCCCAGGGACGAGCAGGAGACAGAAGCCTTCCTCTTATCTCAACTGCAAAGAGGCGTTCCTTCCTCTTTTACTAATCCTCCTCAGCACAGACCCTTTACAGGTGTCGGGCTGGGGGACGGTCAGGTCTTTCCCTTCCCACGAGGCCATATTTCAGACTATCACATGGGGAGAAACCTTGGACAATACCTGGCTTTCCTCGGCAGAGGTCCTTGAGGCCTTCCGAAGTGTTTTGTGTCTCTGGGTACTTAAGATTAGGGAGTGGTGATGACTCTTAACAAGCATGCTGCCTTCAAGCATTTGTTTAACAAAGCACACCCTGCACAGCCCTTAATCCATTTAACTCTGAGTTGACACTGCACATGTTTTAGGGAGCACAGGGTTGGGGGTAGGGTTACAGATTAACAGCATCTCAAGGCAGAAGAATTTTTCTTAGTACAGAACAAAATGGAGTCTCTTATGTCTATTTCTTTCTACACAGACACAGTAACAATCTGATCTCTTTCTTTTCCCCACAAAAGAATCTACAAATAAATATGAGAAATGGCCAAGGAGAAAGAGGAGGAAAATCATGAGGGTGCTGTCTCTGAAACCAAAGCCCAAAGCCAGAGTTTCAAGAAGGGGAATAGTTGACAATGCCAAATACACACACACACACACACACACACACACAAACACACCACTATATAAATTAATTTAATTTAATGGTGATATACCATGCTCAGGGATTGAAAATTGCAATATAGGTAAAGATGTCAATTCTTCCCAAATTAATCCAAAGATTCAGTGTGGAATTGTAAATCACTCAGTAAAACAAAATTCTATAAATGTACATGTATATGTATGCATGTGTATATGAGATATATATGTATGTGATTTAATTGAGCATGGAGAAAAAAATGCAGAAGGATACACACCAGGAATTTAATATAGGTTACCTGAGCTGTTGAAGGTGATGAGAGTGGACGGGAAGTTAAGGTGGAAAAAAGAGAGGCTAAAAAGAGAAAGGAAAGGAAAAAAGACTTCTAAGAAAGCATAAGTGATTTTTATCAAAAGTGTATGTTTATGTACATTTTTACCTGTATGTACGTATATAAATATAAATAATTTTTTAATGAAATTGAAAAAGTGGTAGATACCTCTCAGAATTTGGAAGAGGTATTAATGAGACTTTTATAATTTACTCTATATACTTGTGAATTGTTTGAGATTCAAAAATTAAGAATGCAGTCATTTATATTACTTGCAAATAAAAATTAGATATTAAAATGAGGACTCAGACCTCATTAACCAAAAGCAATAATTTACTAAGTTCTATCCTGTCTTAAAGTTTTGGTCTTTTCCCATAATTATTCTCTTAAAACTTTCTGGTCATTATTCTTTATTTTAAAAAGGGATTTCCTCTGCAGGTAGAGATCCGGAAAAAAAATAAAGGATTCCTTTAGCACTTAAAAAAAATCTATAGCTTCTATTTTATATAAAAACCCTGAGGTGGGAAAGCTAACTTATGTCAATCTTATTCCTATTTGGCAGTACTAAACTATATAATACTTCTTTTTGCCACTATCTCTTTAAAATGTGGAAATTATTATTTTTAAATAGCAAGGAAAGGAAAACCGAGCTTAGCCTATACGAAAAACAAAAATACAATCTTACATACTAGAATACAAGACATTTTGTCCTTTAGACAACTAGTCCGTTTTCTAAAAATAACTACTTTTTACCATTAAATGAATGTGGGTCTTAGAAATATTACTGAATTTTCTTTTATTATCAAATACAAATTTAGCATATCCTATGTAAAATGCTGATGGCCCTTTTCTGCATATTATTTCAGATCTTGTTTTCTATACCCACAAGGATTTTCTATATATTTCTCATAAACAAGAGAGTCCACATATTTACTACTTACCTTATGAGTGAACAAAAAAATCACGATTGGGTTCGCAGAACCTCAAAGTTGCACCGTGTGTGGCTCATTAGTGGAAAAATTGCTGCTGGTTGCAGATATAAAGGCTCTGATCAGGTGGCTGTGGGGCCCTAATCCAGAATGAGCACAGTTATTTTGATCAATGGAGTCTAACCTAGTCCTCCCCCAAGGTTCAAAATGTCCTCTGGTGCTTTGCAATTTTCTTACAGTATTTTTTTCTAATTGATACCAAGCTGGGACCTCTCCTGGTATATCATATTTGGAAATGAAAAGTGAAACAAATGAGAATTTTCCTTTTGCGTTGGTGAATGCATACAGTGATTTAAGTTTGGGTGCATTTCTTTCAGTCTGTTGATTGTTCTAGGAATCGATGCTCACAGATCAATGAGTCATGTCCGATTTCATAAACAACTGCCTGGGGTGAGTGTGGCCTCATAAATGTGAACAAATAGTAATGGAGTGGCAATCAAACCTAAAGTGTTACTGCAAATCATGCCATGCTGAAAGAAGAAACATCTCAAAAAGAGAATAAACATTTTTAGGGTCGGGTGTGGTGGTTCATGCCTATAATATCAGCACTTTGGGAGGCCAAGGCAGAAGGATTGCTTGAGGCTAGGAGTTGGAGACCAGCCTGAGTAACATAGTGAGACCCCAGTCCTTACAAAAAAAAAAAAAAATTAACAAAGGATTGTGGTGCATGCCTGTAGTCTTAGCTACTCGGGAGGCTGAGGAGGGAAGACAACTTTAACCCGGGAGTTCAAGGTTGCAGTGCTATGATTGCACCATCGCGTTCCAGCCTTGGTGACAGAGCAAGACTCTGTCTCAAAAAAAAAAAAAAAAAAAAAAAAGAAAGAAAGAAAAGAAAAAAGACCAGTACGTGGTGGCTCATTCCTGTAATCCCAGCACTTTGGGAGGCCTCAAGCAGGTTACTTGAGCCCAGGAGCTCGAGACTAGCCTGAGCAACACTGCAAAACCCCATCTCTGCAAAACAACACAAAAATTCGCTGGGCATGGTGTTGTGCACCTGCAGTTCCAGCTACTCGGGAGGCTGAGGTGGGAGGATCACTTGAGCCCAGGAGGTGGAGGCTGCAGTGAGCCCAGATCGCGACACTGCACTCCAACCTGGGCAACAGAGCAAGACTCCGCCTCGAAAAAAAAGAAAAAAATAAACCTCCCTCTCCTCCTCTCTCCCTCCTCCTCTTCTTATTCTGCCTCTTCCTCTTCCTCCTCTTCTCCCTTCCCCTCCCCTCCCCTTCCCCTCTCCCTCCTTGGAATAGGAGGGTTCCAGGAGGTGGTGCCCCCTAGGCGCTGCACAGCCTGCTTCCTAGGTACAGACACCCACGCGGTCAAGCCCTACAGGCCCCGCCTTCCAGGATGGCTAGCAGCCGCCTGCCTCCCAGGCCCCAGCACAGGGCACATGGGGTGCGAGGGCACACGGGGTGCTAGGGCACACAGCCAGGCTCTCCACTGGGCCGCGGGTGGCACAGAGCTGCCTCGAAGTGAACAGGTCCGTTGGGGCGGGAGGGTGTGCAGACGTCCTGGAGGCTGACCCCTAAGAAGCTGGTGTCCACCGGGACTGGCTGTTGGCCGGAGTCGCTCCCCGGGCTCCCTTCTCTGGAAGGGATTTCACGTGGATCTGGTTGCGCAGCACAGCTACCCTCAGCATCCGGCCTTTGGCGCGGTGCTGAAACTCCCTGCCGATCCGCAGAGACTTCTCGAAGGTGGTGCTTGCGCTGATCCACATCCCGGGCGTCCAGGATCTTGCTGTGCGAGTCCACGCGGGCGCGTCAGCCCCTCCCGGACTTGCTGCGTCAGCTCACCCTCCCGGGCTGCCACAGCGGGGCTAAGGGCACGGCCACCCTGTGCGAGTTGAGGGCAGAGTTGCGAATCTGGGCGTACAGGGTCCTGACGGTGGGGCGGTGAGGGAGTGGGGGTGGGGGAGGTACACATGTCCAAGAGCAGGTCGTCCTACATCTCCTCCTTTGTGTGTGTGTGTGTGTGTGTGTGTGTGTGTGTGTGTGTGTGTAGACAGAGTCTCTCTTTTTCTCCCAGGCTAGAGTGCAGCGGCGCGATCTCGACTCACTGCAAACTCTGTCTCTCACGCTCAGGCAATTCTCTTCCCTGAGCCTCCGGAGTAGCTGTGATTACAGGCAGGCACCACCACGCCCAGCTAATTTTTGTATTTTTTAGTAGAGACGGGATTTCGCCATGTTGACCCAACTGGTCTCAAACTCCTGGCCTCAAGGCTAAAGGTGCAGCATCTTCAGACACGAGGCATCGTCCAGCATCTTCAGACACGAGGCACGCTTGGACTCGTGGAATTAGAAGACGATGTCTCCAACCTGCGGCTCCAGCTCCAAGAACAACTTGAAGGAGCTGCTGGAGATGAGGCGGCGCTGCAGCTTCTGCCGGTCGAAGGTGGCCAAGGCGCATAGGCCCCCACAGACGGCCACGTTGCTGGGGGACAGCAGCTGGGGGACGTCACAGTGATCAAACGAAGCCAGCAGGAAGCATTTGGCAGCCTGCTTGTACTTCCTCGCGACCAGCTCTGCCAAGCCTCCAGCGCATTGAAGCTGGGTGAGGACCGCCTGCGCCTGGCTGGCTGCCCCTCTGTCCTCGCTGCTAGGCAATCTCCAGGGTGGACTCGGCCTTGCTGACGCGGCTCAGCACGTAAGGCCAATTTTGCAAGTAGACGCTGACCTTGAAGACGTTGAGGACATGTTGATGGCGTGCTTGGCGCTGCTGCAGTAGTCTCAGGCCGTGAGTGACACTTGAGGGCATTGCTGAATCATCATGGCCGCGCCTGGTGCGCTCCTTGGTGGAGTTGCGCTTGTAGTTCTTCAGGTCTGCGTCCGGCTTCTCCAGCTTAAGCAGGGCCTCTTTCTGAGTGGCCTCCACCCAGGCCGTGTCCAGGGACGGGGGCTCCACGCCACTCTCAAGGATGGCGTCGGGTGAGTTCCTCAGATTCCTGGTGGCCTCCGAGAGCTTCAGGTGGACCTCTTCGAGAGCTTCCGGTGGACCTCTTCGTACAGGTCCACGTTAAAGATTCTCTGCAGGAAGGAGAGCGCCATATTCAGGGCATCCACCCGCAGCAAGGGGCAGTAGTCAGTCAGCAATAAACTGCAGCCGCTCAGTGCACATCAGGCCGCTGCAACTGGCAACGCACTGCTCCAGTTCCAGGGTGGCGTCCACCAAGTAGTTGATGTCGGGTGCATTCTGCAGGTCCTCCGGGAGGTCCTTGTCGACTTGCATGGGCTCCACAGCCGCCTCCTCAGAGTAGCGTACAGGACGACAGGCTGGAGCTCAAGATTAAGTTCCTGGCCATGCCAGGCAGGAGGAGGTAACACCTACAGCAAATGTGTGTGTGTGTGTGTGTGTGTGTGTGTGTGTGTGTGTGTGTGTGTGTGTGTGTGTGTGTATGTATGTATTTTTTTTTTAAATGAGGTGGAGTCTTCCTCTGTCGCTCAGGCTGGGGTGCAGTGGCGCCATCTCGGCTCACTGCAACCTCTGCCTCCTGGGTTCAAGCGATTCTCCTGCCTCAGCCTCCTGAGTAGCTGGGATTACAAGCATGCGCCATCATGCCCGGCTAATTTTTGTATTTTTAGTAGAGACGGGGTTTCACCATGTTGGCCAGGCTGCTCTCCAACTCCTGGCCTCAAGTGATCTGCCCTCCTCAGCCTCCCAAAATGCTGGGATTACAGGTATGAGCCACCGCGCCCAGCCCCTACTGCAAATTAAACACCTGAACCCGCAGCGGCATCTTGCACCAGCCCCGCCACAGCATGCCGTCCATTTCTGTGCCGATATTCTATTAGTAGTAGTAGTAGTAGTAGTACTAGTATTTTAAAGATAGGGTCTTGCTCTGTTGCCCAAGCTGGACTCCAACTCCTGGGCTCAAGTGATCCTCTTACCTCAACCTCCTGAGTAGCTGGGACTACAGGTGTGCATCACCATTCTTGTTGTAGCAATATTCTATTAGGTCAAAACATATGGCTCAAGAAAATATTTTTCTTTCTAAATAGAGAATCTGGAAGCCAGTAGTAGCCTTAGAAACCTAGGTCTGATTTTTGTAGAGAAAGAATGAGAATTCCAGAGAGGTCAAACGACTTGCCCAATGCTGATAGACCAGGTCTCCAAACTCTCAGTGTGCAGCATCTTTCGCTAGTCACATCTCAAGCATATAATCTTCTTGCCATCTTAAGAGGTGTTGACCGCAAGGGCATCACTAGAACCCAATGAGGGTTTCAGATCACAGCTCTGAGGCACATTTCTAAGCCTGCTCTTTTCCATATAAAATGTAGAAGTGCATAAAATTACTGATAGTTCATCGTTATCATCTGCCTATTCTATTTTTGGTCATTTAGTTTTTAAAAAAGGATGATAATGAAAGGTAGACAGGTGACATTAAACTTCCACTAGCCTGGCACATCAGCCCAAAGTACAAATTATCTGTCAGAATTAACTAGAGGTAAAAACATATGATGTATTAATAACTGTATTTGTATAGTATTAGGTAAAAAGTCACCTGAAAAGTAATGAATGTAATACATTGAATGCATTTTGTCAGAGTCAGAATATTAAACATTGATAAGCAAAGGATGCATGTGTAATCTCTTAAACATTGATAAGTAAAGGATGCATGTGTAATCTCTCAGAGAACAATAAAGTTAAGAGAGGTAAAATTGAATTAAAAATAATCAACCTAAAAGAAATTAAAGAAGAGGAGAGGAAATAACACAGAGGAGATAGGACATAATAGAGGAAAGAGTTGGATGGAAGATTTAAATTCCCCCACAAAAAAACAATACTTCATCCTCAGGGCAATTGCAGAGATTAGTGCAATTGCAGAGATTAAAGTCTTGAAAGCGGCTGAGCACAGTGGCCCTTTTCAAGGGGCCAGCATTTTGGAAGGCTGAGTCGGGTGGATCACTCCAGGCCAGGAGTTCCAGACGAGCCTGGGCAACATGGTGAAACCCCATCTCTACTAAAAATACAAAACGTAGCCACGTATGGTGGCGCATGCCTGTAATCCCAGCTACTTGGGTGGGTGAGACACGAAAACTGCTTGAACCGGGGAAGCAGAGGTTGCAGTGAGCCAAGGTCATGCCATTGCTCTTCAGCCTGGGGCCTGGGCAACAGAGTGAGACCCTGTCTCAAAAAGAAAAAAGACACTAAATGTGCTGCATGGTACTACCTATCTCATCCTTTGTACAGAAAAAGAATAATAGATCTTAGAAAATTATCACCTTAATCATGCACTGACTCCAATTGCAGTTACTGCTCCAGATGTGGTATCTTTAATGGAAGAAATCGAATTAGTCTTGTCACACAGTATGCAGCCATTCACATGGCAAATGCTTTTTCTCTATATCAATTTGCAAATATTAACAGAAGTCATTTGCCTTAAAAAGAAAACAAAGTGGGCCGGGCGCGGTGGCTCACGCCTGTAATCCCAGGACTTTGGGAGGCCAAGGTGGGTGGATCACGAGGTCAGGAGATCGAGACCATCCTAGCTAACATGGTGAAACCCCGTCTTTACTAATAATACAAAAAAATTAGCCGGGTGTGGTGGCGGGCGCCTGTAGTTCCAGCTACTCGGGAGGCTGAGGCAGGAGAATGGCGTGAACACGGGAGGCAGAGCTTGCAGTGAACCGAGATCACGCCACTGCACTCCAGGCTGGGCGACTGATCAAGACTCCGTCTCAAAAAAAAAAAAAAAAATGCCGGGCGTCGTGGCTCACCCCTGTAACCCCAACACGTTGGGAGGCCGAGGTGGGCGGATCACGAGGTTGGGAGATCAAGACCATACTGGCAAACAGCGAAACCCCGTCTCTACTAAAAAATACAAAAAAACTAGCTGGGCGTGGTGGCAGGTGCCTGTAGTCCCAGCTACTTGGGAGGCTGAGACAGGAGAATGGCGTGAACCTGGGAGGCAGAGCTTGCAGTGAGCGGAGATCGCGCCACTGCACTCCAGCCTGGGCGACAGAGTAAGACTCCGTCTCAGAACAAAACAAAGTGAATGAGTCTGTATTAACATAAATTTCAAAAATATTCTTAGTGACTGGGCGCAGTAGCTCACACCTGTAATCCCAGCAATTTGGGAGGCTGAGGCAGGTGGATCACCTGAGGTCAGGAGTTGGAGACCAGCCTGACCAACATGGTGAACCCCCGTCTCTACTAAAAATTACAAAAAATTAGCCAGGGGTGGTGGCACATGCCTGTAATCCCAGCTACTTGGGAGGTTGAGGCAGGAGAATTGCTTGAACCTGGGAGGTGGAGGTTGCAGTGAGCCCAGATCGCACACACTCCAGCCTGCGCAACAAGAGCAAAACTCCATTTGAATAAAAAGAAATCTGAGTGAATAAAGGACATCACAGAACAAAACATACTTTGGAATACTCTCATAAATTTAAAACTCTCAATTCTATATGTTGTTTATAGGAATATATATTTTTATGAAATATATATATGTACATATATATATATTTTTTTAATTCTAAGCTTCCATGAGCTGAGCAGGCCTGACATCTGAGAATGGCTACTTTCTTGATTTTTATAAGGCCCTGGAGTGTTAGAATGTATGCTGCCAACCTCCAACAATTTGCTTTTATCTGGCAGGGTCAACAATACATCTTTCACCATCTTGCCTAAGGGCTTCATCAATTTTCCTGTTCTCTGCCATAATCTAGGCCACAGAGGTCTAGATGAGCTTGATAACCCCCAGAATATCATACTGGGTCACTACATTGATAACATAATGCTGATTAGACCTGATGAGCAAGAGAAAAGTACTGTCGATATTTTAGTAAGAAGACAAATGCAGGCCACAGGGTAGAATACAAGCCCCACAAAAATTAAGGGACCTGCCACTTCAGCAAAGTTTCTAGAGATCCAGTCCTCCCCAAGTGAAAGTAGTTTCTATCCCTTGCACTATAACTACCACTACCACCAACACCATACAAAAAAAAAGGTGCAATGCTTGATAAGCCTTTGTGAATTATGGAAGTCATTTGATATGCTACTCTGGTCCATTAAATGAATAACCTGTAAGGCTGTGAGATTTTCCTGGGAAACAGAGAAAGAAAAAACTCTGCAGTAAGTTCAGTCTGCAGTGCAAGAGTGTGCAAAATCCCAGCAAATTAGATGAATTCAAAGAAACTTTAGCTAATAAATATGTGATATGGTTTGGCTGTGTCCCCACCCAAATCTCACCTTGTATTGAAATAATCCCCAGGTGTCCAGGGTGGGGCCGTGTGGAGATAATCGAATCATGGGATGGTTTCCCCCCCATAGTGTTCTTGTGGTAGTTAATAAGTCTCATGAGATCTAATGGTGTTGTAAATGGGAGTACCCCTGCACAAGCTCTCCGGCCTGCCACCATGATTGTGAGGCCTCCCCAGTCATGTGGAACTGTGAGTCCACTAAACCTCTTTTTCTTTATAAATTACCCAGTCTTGGGTATATCTTTATCAGCAGCATGAGAACTGATTAATACAATATGTCACATGGAGGCTCTAGCAAGCCTTAATAAAAGAATCACAGTGCAGAGCTTCAGCATTCTGGAGCATAGCTATGCCCTGTTAGAGACTGAATGCCTGACCATGGTACGTCAAGTGACCAGGTGACCTGAGATATCCAGAATGAACTGGGTATTATCTGATCCATGCCACCATAAGGTTGGGCACACACAGCAGCAATACATCAATAAGTGTAAATGTTATATAAAACATCAGGCTGAAGCAGGTCTGGAAGGTGTATTAGTTGCATAAGCAGATTCCTCTGATACCCAATACTGTACCTGCTTCTTTTCTCACTCAGTCAACACCTAGAGCCTCATATGAAGTTCCTTATGACCGGTTAACTGGGGGGGAGAAAAAATATTTGGGCCTATTTTCCAGATGTTTCTGACTGATGTGCCAGCAAAGGCCAGAAATAGACTGCTGCAATGTTACAATGCCAACCAGGAGATAATGTTGAAGGGAAATTCTCCTGGGAGGTAGAACTTTGAGCAGCATATATGATTGTCTTCTTCAACTGGAGTGGGAAAGGGCCAGACATAGGATGTACATTCAAGGGAAGTGGTTAAAGGTTTGGCTGGATGGTTTAAGACTTGGAAAAAACAAAATGTGACAAGGTCTAAGAAAAAAGTATCGTGAAGGGACTTCTAGGATTAGAGACAAAATGTGAAGATATTTGTGTTTTATGTCAGTGTTCACCAAAGACACCTACTGTAGAAGAGAATCTCAATAGTGAAATGAACAAAATAATACATTCTGGGGATGTCAGTCTGTGTCTTTCCCTTGCAAATCCAGTGCTTGCTCAATGGACCCATAAACAAAATCACCATGGTGGTGAGAAAGAAGGCTATGGGCTCAGCGACATGGATTTCCACTCACCAGAGCTGACCTGGGTGCCTCCATTGTGGAAGGCTTAGCATGTCAAGAACAAAGTCAAAGTTAAGTCCCAATATGGACTAGCCAACTACCTACTAGCAGGTTTCTTACATCAGACTGACCCTATCCATGGAGGGGAATGTAATTTGTTTTCACTGGGAGAGACGTATTCTCCAAGTATGGATTTACCTCCCTGACCTTAATGCTTTTGTCAGCACCACCAAGCACAGCCTAATGGAATACTTATTCGCCATTATGGCATTGTACACATTTTCTGTTCAAGAAACAGATTTCACAGGAGAATAAGCTCAGCAATGGGCTTATGCTCACGTTTTTCACTGATCTTATCATGTAACTTTTCAAGAATTTAAAAAGAGGGAACACATTCCAATTCACTTTACAGAGTCAGCATAACTTGGATACCAAAACCTTACAAGACATTAAGAAAGAAAAAAATGGGCCAGGCACAGTGGCTCACACCTGTAATCCCAGCACTTTGGGAGGCCAAGGTGGGTGGATCATGAGGTCATGAGTTCAAGACTAGCCTCGCCAAGATGGTGAAGCCCTGTCTCTACTAAAAAAATACAAAAATTAGCCGGGTGCGGTAACAGGTGCCTGTAAACCCAGCTACTCAGGAGGCTGAGGCAGGAGAATCGCTTGAACCCAGGGGGCAGAGGTTGCAGCAGTGAGCAAGATCGCGTCGCTGCACTCCAGCCTGGGTGACACAGTGAGACTTCATCTCAAAAAAAAAAAAAAAAAGAAAGAAAGAAATGTAAGCCAATTTCACACACACACACACACACACACACAAACAGAATATCCTAAACAAACAGTATAGTAAACTAAATCCAACAATATATTTAAAAAGGATATAATACATTACTTTAAAGTTGGGTTTATTATTGTGTTGACAAGGAGTTTTAAGAAAAAATGAAATAAAAGTAAAGTTTATTCTGAAACTGCAAGGTTTAATTTTTTTAATGATTTAATTTACCACATTTAATAAAGGAGAAAATAAATAAAGGAGGTACTTTTTTTTTTTTTTTTTTTTGAGATGGAATCTCTCACTCTGTCACCCAGGCTAGAGTGCAGTGGCACAATCTTGGCTCATTGCAACCTCTGCCTCCCAGGTTCAAGCGATTCTCCAGCCTCAGCCTCCCAAGGAGCTGGGATTACAGGTGTATGCCACCACGCCCAGCTAATTTTTGTATTTTTAGTAGAGACAGGGTTTCACCATGTTGGTCAGGCTGGTCTCGAACTCTTGACCTCAAGTGATGCACCCGCCTTGGCCTCCCAAAGTGCTGGGATTACAGGCGTGAGCCATCGCGCCCAGCCTAGAAAGAAACTTTTGTAAGCTGATAAACAGTATACATTTTTTCCTTTTTTTTTCTAAGACGGTCTCACACTCTCTCCCAGGCTGGAGTGCACTGGCAGAATCATGGCTCCCTGGAGCCTTGACTTCCCAAGTCCAAGCAATCCTCCCACTTCAACCTCCTGAGTAGCTGGGACCACAGGAGTGTGCCACCACACTCCGGTGCCACCACCACGTCTGGCTAATTTTTTTTTTTTTTTTTTTTTTTTTTAAGAGACAGATTCCCACTATGTTGCCCAGGCTGGTCTTGAACTCCTGGGTTCAAGTGATCATCCTGCCTAGGCCTCCCAAAGTGCTGGGATTACAGGCATGAGCCAGTGCACCCTGCCAAGCTTTGTGTTCTTGATGTAGAAGCTGGTAAAAAAGTAAAATTAAATAAATGAGTACAGAACAGAAAGCAGGGGCCCAAATATGAACAGCTGTGTTCATAATACTCCACAGTAGCCTAAATGTGGAAACAACCCAAATGTCCACTGAATGGTTAAATAAAAAGTGGTAGGCTGGGCACAGTGGCTCACGCCTGTAATCCCAACACTTTGGGAGGATAGGAGGGGGATTGCTTGAGCTTAGGAGTTCAAGACCAGCCTGAGCAACACTGCAAAACCTTCTCTCTACAAAATACACAAAAATTAGCTGGGTATGGTGGTGTGCGCCTGCAGTCCCAGCTTCTTGGGAGGCTGAGGTGAAAGGACCACTTGAACCCAAGAGGTCGAGGCTGCAGTGACCAGTGACTGCACAATTGCACTCTAGCCTGGGCAACAAAGTGAGACCTTGTCTCAAAAAAAAAAAAAAAAAAAAAGTAAATAAATAAATAATAAAATAAAATAGGCCAGACATAGTGGCTCATGCCTATAATCTCAGCACTTTGGGAGGCCAAGGTGGGTGGATCATTTGAGGCCAGGAGTTTGAGACCAGCCTGGCCAACATGGTGAAACACTGTCTCTACTAAAAATACAAAAAAAAGTCTGAATGTGGTGGCTCATGCCTGCCTGTAATCCCAGCACTTTGGGAGTCCGAGGTGGGAGGATCACCTGAGGTCTGAAGTTTGAGACCAGCCTGGCTAACATGGAGAAACCCCGTCTCTGCTAAAAATACAAAAAAATTAGCCAGGTATGGTGGCGGGTGCCTGTAATCCCAGCTACTTGGGAGGCTGAGGCAGGAGAATTTGTTGAACCTGGGAGGTGGAGTTTGCAGTGAGCCAAGATCACGCCACTGCACTCCAGCCTGGGCAACAAGAGCTAAAGTCCATCTCAAGCAATTCACCTGCCTCAGCCTCCCAAGTAGCTGGGACTACAGGCGCCTGCCACCACACCCGGCTAATTTTTTGTTTTTGTATTTTTAGTAGAGACAGGGTTTCACCGTGTTAGCCAGGATGGTCTCGATCTCCTGACCTCGTGATCTGCCCGCCTCGGCCTCCCAAAGTGCTGGGATTACAGGCATGAGTCACTGCGCCCAGCCAATGGCATTATTTCTAACAGTTCTGAACTAGAACACAAATGTCTATGACAGTAGGATAGATAAATTGTGGTTCAATTGAAATACATACAGTAGTGAGAAAGAATTTAGTATTGCTATACTCAACACAGGCATGAACCTCACATATTGCTTAATGAAATAAGCCAAATAGTATCTACAGTTATAATTCCATTTGAAAGTTCAAAGACAAGCAAAACTAATCTATGATAATATAAATCAGAGACAGTGTTCTGATAATGTTTGTCCCTAGGGAGAAGGAAGGACTATTACTAGGAATGGGGGGCACTCTGGAGGGCTGGTAATGTTCTAATTCTTGATCTGGGTGCTGTTACACAAGTGTTTACTTTGTGAAAACTATTTCTTTCATGCACTTTTCTACGTGAATGCCATACCTCAATTTTAAGTGTGGCATTTTTATGTCTATACCTTCTTCCTAACAAGGCAAGAACTGTAACATTTGTATACTTCCTTGATCTCCTCTACTCGCCATTATGTTGATACTGTCTAAAATTATAATTCTGGTTTATTGCTTTCTAAAAAAATCTTTCTCCCCCTATACACATCTTACCAAGGTATCTGAACACTGTTATCCCCACAGATTTTGTAGTATCTTCTGGACTTTTTGAGTATTTTTTCCAAAATTTTCAATGCGAATCATTGGCAAATCTTTTTTTTTTTTTTTTCTTGAGACGGAGTCTTGCTCTGTCACCAGGCTGGAGTGCAGTGGCCCTATCTCGGCTCACCGCAACCTCTGCCTCCAGGGTTCACGTGATTCTCTTGCCTCAGCCTCCTGAGTAGCTGGGATTACAGGCGTGCACCACCACACCCAGCTAATTTTTGTATTTTTAGTAGAGATGGGGTTTCACCATGTCGGCCAGGATGGTCTTGATCTCTTGACCTAGTGATCCGCCCACCTCAGCCTCCCAAAGAACTGGGATTACAGGCGTGAGCCACCCCACACGGCCCAGCAAATCTTTTTTTCATTTTTTAAAAAAATTTTTCAGTACCTTTAGAGGTACAAGTGGTTTTCAGTTACATGGATGAACTGCACAGTGCTGAAGTCTAGTATTCTAGTGCACCAGTCACCCAAGTCGCAAACATTGTATTCAATATGTAGTTTTTCATCCCTTCCCTGTTCCACCTTCTGAGTCTCCAATCTCTGTTATACCACTCTGTATGCCTTTGCATACCCATTTATAAGCGAGAACATGTGGTATCTGGTTTTTTTTTCCTCTGGTTCCCAAGTTTTATTCACAAACTCATACAAAATATTCCAGATAAATGAATTTTAATCCTCATCTTCCTCCTATTTGTCCTGGCTAATTTGGAAGTAACGTAATTCATAACTTTCTTCGCTGTTAGCAACTACGTGCAACCAATCACACAGATTATTCTTCTTCAAAATTTTTTTGTGAGATATTTCAAATACCTTTAGGAAAAAGTCACCTCAGAAGTCATGGTGATCTTGCTCTTGGTCCTCCACCTAGATTCCCAGCTTTTCCATTCACTTTGATCCCCTCTTGCAAAAACTGCTCAAAATTAGCAGCATCCATGATTCCATCTTCTACAGTGGGTGCAATTAAGAGTAAACTTCAGAAACCTGCTTCTTTTTTGTTTTCTGCCCTGCTTTGCCACAAGCTTTTTCATGAGTGCCATGGTGGCAGTGGAAGCAGAAAGGGGTATCTGGGTTTTTTTGTGTTTGCTTTTTGATACGGAGTCTCGCTTTGTTGCCCAGGCTGGAGTGCAATGGCACAGTCTTGGCTCACTGCAACCTCCGCCTTCCAGGTTCAAGTAATTCTCCCTGCCTCAGCCACCTGAGTAGCTGGGATGACAGGCGCCCGCCACCACACCCGGCTAATTTTTGTATTTTCAGTAGAGACAGCGTTTTGCCACGTTGGCCAGGCTGGTCTCAAACTCCTGACCTCAGGTGATCTGCCCGCCTCACCCTCCCAAATTGCTGGGATTACAGGCGTGAGCCACCACACCTGAATGTTATCTGGTTTTCAATTCCTGAGTTACTTCACTTAGAACAGCCTCCAGTTCAATACAAGTTGCTGCAAAAGACATTATTCTTTTTGTGCAGCTGAGTAGCACTCCATGATATATGTATACCACATTCTCTATCCACTCATCAATTTATGGACACTTAGGTTCATTCTATGTCTTTGCAACTGTGAATTGTGCTGCAATAAACGTGTGTGTCTTTCTGATAAAGTGACTTCTTTTCCTTTGGATAGAGATCTTTGGTAAATCTTAATGTTTTTATTAATTCCTCACATGTGAATGACAAATTTAGATAGACTAAAACTTTAAGTCCGGTACTTTAAATATGACATTATTTTCCTGCACCCAGTATTGCACTTGAGAAGACTGAAGTCAATCTTATTCTTGTTCCTTTATACATTTACTCTAAAAGCTTTTAGATTTTTCTCGTTACCTTGATACTCTTCAATTTCAGTATGTCTCTCATTTGGCACCCTATGGCCCTTTCAATCTCTATTTTTTTCCTCCTTCTAGGCCTCTTACCTGAATGTTGGCACACCTACTTCTGGCTTCCATCTTGCTTAAATCCGCTTTCATATTTCCTGTATTCTTTTTCTTGCTTCCTTCTGGTGGTTTCTCAGCCTGATTTTCCAACTAGTTTATTCTGCACCTGTATCTACCCTTTTTTTTTTTTGAGTCTCGCTCTGTTACCCAGGCTGGAGCACAGTGGTGTGATCTTGGCTCACTGCAACCTCCACCTCCCGGGTTCAATTCTCTGCCTCAGCCTCCCGGGTAGCTAGGAATACAGGCACCCACCACCATGCCCAGCTAATTTTGGTATTTTTAGTAGAGACAGGGTTACACCATCTTGCAGGCTTGGTCTTGAACTCCTGACCTCATGATCCACCTGCCTCGGCCTCCCAAAGTGCTGGGATTACAGGCATGAGCCACCACACCTGGCCTCTATCCTTTTACTCCATTTATTATGTTATTTACTTTAAATGTTTCATTATTTCCTGTATCACGTTGCTAACATCTTTTAATGTTTATTAGTTTCATTTTAGATTCTGAAAGTCTTATGTAATCCAGTTTTCTTTTGAACCAGTAGTATCTTTCGGTTATCATATTGTTTGTGAACTCACTTACCTGGTGGTATGAGATCTTCTGAGTGAGAGTATGCACTGCAGAAGGACTGATGGCCAACCCTCTAGTTGGTATTAAGGGTTCAAAGAGAGGGAAGGGGACAAGCCCCATGTTGGAGAGCCCTAGCACTACAAAACCACTGCTATTTATTTCAATGTGTAATCTTTTAGGACAGGGCTTCTTCCTTTGGACACCCTGAGAAAAATGGCAATGAGAAGAGGCACTTCCTAGAGTCTAGGGCCTAGATTATTAACTGAGAAGTTCTGTGAGTCTGAAGGCTGAAGGGTGAAGAAGTAATGCCCAAGCTAATCAATCCTTACACCTGTTTTCTCCAAAGCTTCACCCAAAAAGCTCTTGTGCTACTCTAATTTTATCTGTGAGGACACCTGCAGCAGAGATATGGTTCACCGTTCTAGTACTTGCTGTGAGAAGGCAGGCAACAGCAATCAGTTTTCTCAATCTACTCAGAACCATTCAGCCAGCCACACCCCAACCAGGAACCACTTCAAAATTGCACCCTACGTCCCCTAGGACTTTTACCTCTTTTGATTTTTTAAATTATTACCTAAACACAATAAAAGTAAAAGAAACATTCGAATCAAAATACAACAAAACTTTACATGGTTTTATTATACATTACTGTTATTGAAAGCAAACTTTATACAAAAAGTTTTATACAGATAAAAAAAATCCTTGGCTAGGCAAAGCCGTTTATGTGTGTGCATATACAGAAACACACATACATACATATACACACGGTATTTTACATCATAATTATACATATTTATAAATACATTATTTAAATTATTTTACAATATACCAAAACAAGGAGGCAATTATAAAAGCAAATAAAAAATGGATGAACAATTGAACTAAATAGTCACTAAGTTTAAAATGCTACAAAACTATTTTTTTAATCTAGAAAGTCATTTCTTTAAAATATCAAAACTAAGATTTCAATACATCACTGTTGCTTTCATTTTGGTAAGTTCTAACATGTTTAAAAATAAATATTTTGACCAAAAACAGATAAGCAAATCAGAATGATGACTAGCACAAGCTGAACATGCTGATGTGAAATTAGAGAGTCACTGAGTAATAACAAATATAGATTATCATCTGGTAACCAAAAAGGTGATAAACCTCCCTCTAGTGCTCATTTAAAACATGAGGAATTTGAAGCTTCTGTGTAGTATGCAATATCAGTTAAGAGTCCCAGGAATTCAGCAACTTATCTGTAATGTAAGAAAATGCTAAAGTTATTATTCTATTTTTCTGATAGGACTATCTCATAATGTGTTATCTTAAATGAGCTCCATTTAGACGATATTGGTGTTTAATAAACTAGCTTTCTCATCTTCCAATTGGTCTCAAAATTTAAAAAAAAACCTAGCTTTTGCAATCAGTTTGGTAACTATCATTATACTTGATATTGACAAAAATTTAATAGGACTACAGTACTTGTGGGGAAAAAAAATCAGTTAAGAGGCAAGCTACGAATGAAATAACCCACAATATGTGCTATCCTGCAAGCAAAGAAATCTCAAATATCAAATTCATTAAATGGTTTTAGATTTTTGGCCAGGTGCAGTAGCTTACGCCTGTAATCTGAGCACTTTGGGAGGCCAAGGCAGATGGATCGCTTGAATCCAGGAGTTCGAGACCAGCCTGGGCAACACAGCGAAACCCCATCTCTGTTTAAAAGAATTTACATTCTCTTCACAAGAGAACGGAAATCATACTTTAATATAACATTAAGGTAAAAAAAAGAAACGATTTAATTTCTTAAAGGCAGCAAAAATCTTAAAAAGCACAGTTAATCTAATAAATAATCAAGCCACTTTTGCCCAGAGCTTTTTAAAAAAAAGTTCTTTAGAATAAGCTTCTTCTCCAAATTCCCCATTATTCAAGCTTACAGTATTCTGTTGTGTTTTGTTCAAGTGATTCTCCTGCCTCAGGCTCCCAAGTAGCTGGGATTACAGGCACGTTCCACCATACCCAGCTAATTTTTGTAATTTTGGTAGAAATGAAGTATCATCATGTTGGCTGGGCTGGTCTCGAACTCCTGAACTCAGGTGACCTGCCCACCTTAGCCTCCCAAAGTGCTCGGATTACAGGCATGAGCCACTGCACCCGGCAACATTCTGAATTATATAAGTAGAAATTTAACGTCATAATCACTTGAACCCGAGAGGCAGAAGTTGCAGTGAGCTGCGATCATGCGGCTGCACTCCAGCCCGGGCGACAGAGTGAGACTCCGTCTCAGAACAAACAAAAGAAATTTAACATCATAGTAAACTACTACACATATTTTGAAGATTTCACTAGCACTGCGCTCTATGTCCAAATCAAGTTTTTGTTTTTTTTTTCTTTTCTTTCTGAGAGGCAGAGTCTCACTCTTTCAGGCTGGAGTGTAGTGGCGCAATCTTGGCTCACCGCAACCTCCACCTCCCAGGTTCAAGCGATTCTCATGCCTCAGTCTCCCAAGTAGCTGGGATTACAGACACGTGCCACCATGCCTAGCTAATTTTTGTATTTTTTGTAGAGATGGGGTTTCACCATGTTGGCCAGGCTGGTATAGAACTCCTGGCCTCAAATGATCTGCCCACCTCGGCCTCCCAAAGTGCTGGGATTACAGGTGTGCCACTGTGCCCGGCTAATTTTTTGTATTTTTAGTAGAGACGGGGTTTCACCATGTTAGCCAGGATGGTCTCAATCTCCTGACCTTGTGATCTGCCCTCCTCGGCCTCCCAAAGTGCTGGGATTACAGGCGTGAGCCATCGCGCCTGGCCTGACTCCATCTCTTAAAACATTTTTTTCACGCCTGTAATCCCAGCACTTTGGGAGGCCGAGGTGAGCAGATCACATGAGACCCAGAGTTCAAGACCAGCCTGGCCAACACAGCAAAACTCCGCCTCTCTAGTAATCTACTAAACATACAAAAAATTAGCTGGGTGTGGTGGCACACACCTGTAATCCCAGATACTCGGGTGGCTTAAGCACAAGAATCACTTGAACCCAGGAGGTGGCGGCTGCAGTGAGCCAAGATCACGCCATTGCACTCCAGTAAGGTCAACAAAGCAAGACTCTGTTTCCAAAAAAAAAAGACTGAATGAAACTAACTTTAATTCAAAAAGAAAAAAAATTCAATCTAAACATTTATTTATTTACTTTTGTCTGAAACAGGGTCTCACTCTGTCTCAAGCTGGTGTGCAGTTGCATGATCACAGCTCACTGTAGCCTCAACCTCCTGGGCTCAAGTGATCAATTTGCCTCAGCCTCCCGAGTAGCTGGGACTACAGGTGCATGTCACCATGTCCTGCTATTTTTTTTGTTTTTTGTAGAGACATGGTCTCACTATATTGGCCAGGGTGGCCTTGATCTCCTGGGCTCAAGCGATCCTCCCTCCTCAGCCTTCCGAGCTGAGACCACAGGTGCACACGACAGCACCCACTAATTTTTTAAAATTTTTCTGTAGAGGCAGAAGTCTTACCTTGTTGCCCGGATGGTCTCGAACTCCTGGCTTCAAGGGATCCTCCCACCTTGGCTGTGCTGGGATTATAGCTGTGAGTTACCACACCTAGCCTAAATCTTAAGTATTTAGAGTAGCAACATCTGTGAACCAATAGAGATGTAAAAATTGGGTAGTTACCTGATTTGGATTTTTATCCAACTTGGCGGCTAAATATGCAAATGTTTTAAATGATGGCCCTCTTTTCTGACACTCCAATAAAATTTCCCGGTCATCATTTCTGAGGAGGAAAAAATTGTATTTAGTTTTAGTACACTGTATTAGAAAGGTAATAAAAATCCCACTGCCTTGAAGTCCACCAACCAGGGAAATTTAAACCCATAGGAAAAAGGAAAAGTGTATATACCAAAATATGGACAATGGGTGTCTCTGAGAAATAAGATTTAGATGATTTTGTTCTGAGTTCATATGTATTCTATAACAAATCTACTGATTTTCTTAATGACAAAATTAAAGTATTTCTTTTTAATTCTACCTTTAATGTATACACTAAAAAACTTAGGGCCCAAAGATGGTCACAGACATAATAAGCAGAAGAACCAGAACTAAAATAGAATCCTATCTTCTAATTCCCAGACCTCTGCTTTTTCTACATACTCTGACCAAATGGGTATTAATACAATTGCTGAGATATTATACTGCCATCTGCAAAGTTACCTGCAATGGGGATTTGAGGACTGTGGAATTAACAAAACTGATCACCAGTTTTCACAAAACTCAGCTTCTCTCATTCAGCATTCTAGTCAAGTATATCTACCTCTAGTCCAATGATTCATAACTGGTTACTTTTACATCTGAATGGGGTCTTGATTTTCTTAAACAGTTCATATAAAACTCAAAAGTGTACAGGCACAGCATCTCATGCCTGTAATCCAGTACTTCCTACCTACAATCCAGCCTGACCAACACGGAGAAACCCTGTCTCTACTAAAAATACAAAATTAGCTGGGTGTGCCCTTGTAATTCCAGCTACTCGGGAGGCTGAGGCAGGAGAATCACTTGAACCCGGGAGGCAGAGGTTGCAGTGAGCCAAGATGGTACCATTGCACTCGAGTCTGGGCAACAAGAGTGAAACTCAAACAAACAAACAAACAAACAAACAAACAAAAACCCTCAAAAGTACAACCGGTTTACAAAACTGTAAACTTCTAATCTGGAGGAAAAATCAAACTATTAGGTTGCTGCAAAAGTAATTGTGGTTTTGCAGCACCAACCTATACCAACACTCGATTTTTTGCTGTGTTTCATCACTTGTCATTCCTTCTAAGATGTGCTTACAGCAGTTCCTTCCAAATGAAGTAAGTTTTTAATTTAAACAGTGAAGTTAAAACACACTTTTTCCCTTCACTTTTTAACTTTTTTTCACTTCACTTTTCTTTTTTTAACTTCACAATAGAGCTTTTCGAAGTGAAAAGCTATATCCATGGTATTACTGCACACCTCTGGTTAAGAGCCACTGTTCTAGATTGTACAACAGTACAGCAGGTCTGTACTCTAGAATGTATCTTCAACTACCTTTGGCCACTTTTGAAGTCCTCATTTTCCTTATTTTAGGATGATAAAGCTATGAAGACATGACAGATTAGATATCTTTAGGTTTTCTTTTCTTTTTTTCCAGAGGGAGTCTCGCACTGTCACCCAGGCTGGAGGGCAGTGGCGTGATCTCAGCTCACTGCAAGCTCCGCCTCCCAGGTTCACGGCCATTCTCCTGCCTCAGCCTTCTGAGTAGCTGGGACTACAGGTGCCTGCCACCATGCCTGGCTAGGTAACTTTAGGTTTTTTTTTTTTTTTTTGAGACAGAGTTTTGCTCTGTCACCCAGGCTGGAGTACAACCTTCGCCTCCCAGGCTCAAGTGATCCTCCTGCCTCAGCCTCCCAAGTAGCTGGGACCACAGGCCTGCACCACCACGCCTGGCTAATTTTTGTATTTTTTTTCTTTTTTTTTTTTAAGACAGTCTCGCTCTGTTGCCCAGGCTAGAATGCAGTGGCGCCATCTCGGCTCACTGCAAGCTCTGCCCCCCGGGTTCATGCCATTCTCCTGCCTCAGCCTCCCAACTAGCTGGAACTGCAGGTGCATGCCACCACGTCTGGCTAAGTTTTGTATTTTTGGTAGAGATTGGGTTTCACCATGTTAGCCAGGATGGTCTCAATCTCCTGACCTCATGATCCGCCCGCTTCAGCCTCCCAAAGTGCTGGGATTACAGGCGTGAGCCACTGCGCCCGGCCCTAATTTTTGTATTTTTTTGTAGAGACAGAATTTCGCCATGTTGCTCAAGCTGGTCCCAAACTCCTGGGCTCAAGTGATCCACCTGCCTCAGCGTCCCAAAGTATTGGGATTACAGGCATGAGCCACTGCGCCCAGCCAGACAGATTAGATTTCTGAGTGCAAAATTTCCTGGTGATTTCAATGTCTCACAAGATTCTTACCTTGTCCATAAAATGATAATTTCTCCCTTCTTTTTAATAACATTTTTTGCAGAAAGACTTGTAGAAGTGGCAAGTGCTGCTGATGAATCCTTAATCCCTGGGGTTGCCTTTAATGATGAGGGATCTTTAGTCACAGGAGGGGCCTTCTTCTTACTGGCTTTCTTTTGGTGAGCTTCAGTATTCTCACAAGAATCTTGGGTAGGTTTCTTGGTCTTTTCCTTATTAGTTAAGTCTGTTTCCTTTCTTTGTTTTTTATGAGGATGATTTAGATCAGAAATGTTTCTTCTCTTTTTGTGAGAATTATGCAAAGTCCCAGGCAACTCCGAGTTATCACAATTTGATCCTGGCTCTGATTTTAACTCATCTTTTTTTACTTCACATGAACTGGGAGATTCTGTGGTCAAGTCGATATAGGTTTCCTCAACAATGCATTTTAAAGGCCTGTTTGCCACTTGTGCCTTTTCTTCCTTACAATTATCTTCATCTACCTGTATCACCCCACATCCCAAGTCTTCCACAGCTAATGCAGGATGATTACCTTCACTTTTAGCCTCACTTGAAGCATCTTGTGTCAAATCAATAAAAGCACCTACAGTATCAGCCTGCAAAGAATTGTCTAATATTTGAGCACTCTGATTTAAATTGCCTCCAGAACATCCCAACTGATCAATATGTAAAACTGTTACTTCTATGAATTCCCCCAAGTTTTTGGTTTCAGTGACTGGATCTTTCGTTAGATCTACGTATGTGTTTGGAAGATGTTCCCCAACAGAGTGTGAGATTTCTTCCATTGAAGGCAATTCTTCAATGCTTTCAGGCACTTTTGTTTCCCATACTTGATGCAATTTGAAACATTCATCAGCCACTTCATCACTATGACCCATCTTATCTGAAGCATCTTTAAGAAATTCATATATATCAGGAACCTGTGTTTGTATCATAGAGCTCTGTTCTTCATGAGTTGACTTGCTGCCATCAACATTTTTGTTGGAGTTTTCCAATTCCTCCACAGATTTAAAAACTGTGTTCTGACATGAAATATATTCTTTCTCTGGTCCTTCATCAGCTTCCTTTCCATGTCTGGGCAAAGATGTCAATAATTCATCAGGCATCATACTCTGTTTAAGGCCAGAAGAGGTAGATGGTGTTGCACGTCGTATTTTCACAATGAAATGATCATTGGACTTTTCCATTATGACGGCATGCATAGGTAGATTAGGGTGGTACTGAAAGCCTGGAGCAACAGATCGGCTTGTCCAGGAAGAAGAACAACTTGATTTACTGCTTGAATTATCAGACTCCAGAGCTAAATGAATATCTTGCTCAGATGCATCCTCTTCCTCAAGTAAGGCATCTTCACTAAAATGAGCACTAATGACTTCTTCAGGAGTTGAACTGGACGACATATCAGGCTTTAAAAAACTGAGATGACCATCTGACTTCAGAGGCGATGGTACTGTTAAAGAGACTGCTAGATCTTCAAGAAGTATGGAAGAAACGCAGGGCTTGCTCTTTTCTACACTACACACATTATCTTTACTTAAAGGTAGGTTAGTAGACACTTCAAACATACAACTTTCATCCAACACATCAGGATGAACCGGCAATGAAAGCCCTGAAGACAGAGATGGACCTTTTTCAGATGATAATAATGACCAATTATCATCACTAATCATTTTAGGACATGGAGAAGCCACCCCTGAAACTAGCTCTTCTGTTGTACAAGCTGGTATAGACTCGCACTTAAGAGTCTCTAGCAGCTGCTTCTCTGGAGTCTTTAACTCCCACTCACTTTTTTCAGTACAGTTAACACTGCTGTCTAAAAGATCAGAACCTTGCAACAAACTTTTAAATATTTCACCCATTTGTGCATCACTCACTAAATTAAAAGTAAGGCTCGATGCTTGCTGTTCGGTAAGAATCTCGAAACTTCGTTCTGGCTTCAAAGTTGCATGCTGGGATGTCTGTGCATCCTCTATGCTGCTTCCTTCGTTTTTTTCTGACTTTGGGGTGCTTGGACAGTGTACTTCCAAGGAGCGCTCTTCGGATTGAGAGTTCTTTATATTATCAAAGCAGATGTTAAAATTTTTTTTAATGTCATGCTTTACAGTGTTAATACTGGAGTTATTTTGGTCTTGATAATTTTCCTCAGATTTTTTACATCCCACTAAAGACTTATAATGAACAGGGTCTTCTGATTTTGATAATTTTTCTTTCAGCAATTCTCTGTTGGAGTTGTCCACACTCCTTTTCTGACTATTTGAATACTGTGCATTCTGTTTACTTGTTTTTTCAAGTTTGCCTTCATCACTATCTCTTCCAAAGCTTTTGGAATCACATACTAAGATTTTCTTAAGCTTTGCAAACAAATAATCAAGTTGGTCATCTACAAACTTCCACAATTTTTTTTTCATATCTGGTAGTTGCTGTTCAAATAAACGATCAACTATGCCATTCTTTTTAACTTGCTTAAGTTTAGACTCTATAATATCACAGAGATTCTTCTGTAAGGTAGTCACTGACTTAGAGATTTTGTGTAAGTTGAGATGTTTAATTAAAGATGTAAAACTCAAAATTGCTGACTCAATAATTCTGTGAAATTGTATTAATGAAAATTTTGCCTTGAATTTCATATAATTTTTTCTTACATGTTTTCTTATCATTCGTAACATGTGCATGATCTCTTGTTCAGAAGAGGGTACAGCAATAATTGGAACTATTTTTTCCAAGCTGGAAGTGCTCATCACTTTATCTTTCTTCTCTGTTTTTGAAGATCTGCTAGATTTATCAGGTCTTTTATTCCATTTGTTATTGGTCTGATGGATTCTTACATGTGTTTTCCTACTGTCTTTATCTAAACACACAGTACTTTTCCCACGTCGTGGGATAGTCTTTGACTTCCGCACATCAGCTGACACTCTACGTTTGGAATTTTTTTCAAAACTTTCTTGTGGTTTAGATGTTTCACTATCACTTCTAATTTCTCCTTCTTCTAATTCATCTAATGGTGAATTCTTACATGTGTCTGCTTCTGTACATTTGTCAGATTTGTAAATTGGCTTTTGATTTTCCTTATTGAGATCAGACTGACTCTTAGAGGTAGAATGAGCTGAATTTGGTAAAAACACATCTGTAGAAGAGAAAAATATATTAAACACATTTATAGAAGATAAAAGTATATTAAAGTTTAGTTATTTGACATGTCCATATTAAATATTACATATAACAAAAAATTAAATACTGAGGCAATTCACTGTTTGTTTTTTTTGTTTTTTGAGATGGAGTCTCGCTCTGTCGCCCAGGCTGGAGTGCAGTGGTGCAACCTTGGCTCACTGCAAGCTCCGCCTCGTGGGTTCATGCCATTCTCCTGTCTCAGCCTCGCGAGTATCTGAGACTACAGGTGCCCGCCACCACGTCTGACTAATTTTTTTGTATTTTTAGTAGAGACGGGGTTTCACCGTGTTAGCCAGGATGGTCTCGATCTCCTGACCTCGTGATCTGCCCGCCTTGGCCTCCCAAAGTGCTGGGATTACAGGCGTGAGCCACTGCGCCCAGCCGGCAATTCACTGTTTTACTAGTTCTTTTTGAAGCAGAATGTTAATGCCTAATACTTGTATTATTGATTTTTTTTTTGAGAACGAAGTCTTGCTATGACACTCAGGATGGAATGCAGTGGCGCAATCTTGGCTCACTGCAACCTCTACCTCCCGGGTTCAAGCCAATTCTCCTGCCTCAGCCTCCTGAGTAGCTGGGACTACAGGCGACTGCTCCCACGCCCAGCTAATTTTTGTATTTTTTAGTAGAGATAGGGTTTCACCACACTGGCCAGGCTGGTCTCGAACTCCTGACTTCATGATCTACCTGCCTCAGCCTCCCTAAGTGCTAGGATTACAGGTGTGAGCCACCATGCCCCGCCTGTATCATTGGTTTTTATTGACCTTAAAAAGTGCTTGGGGCCAGGTGTGGTGGCTCACGCCTGTAATCCCAGCACTTTGGGAGGCTGAGGAGGGCTGATCACGAGGTCAAGAGATCCAGACCAACCTGACCAACATGGTGAAACCCCATCTCTACTAACACAAAAATGAGCATAGTGGCAGGTGCCTGCAATCCCAGCTACTTGGGAGGCTGAGGCAGGAGAATCGCTTGGGCCTGGGAGGCGGAGGTTGCAGTGAGCTGAGATCGCACCACTGCACTCTAGCCTGGCGACAGAGTGACTCTCTCTCAAAAAAAAAAAAAAAAAAAAGAAACAAAAAAACAACTATGGCTGGGTGCAGTGGCTCACGCCTATAGTCCCAACACTTTGGGAGGCCGAGACGGGCGGATCACGAGGTCAGGAGTTCAAGACCAGCCTGCCCAATATGGTGAAACCCTGACTCTACTAAAAAAAATACAAAAATTAGCTGGGAGTGGTGGCACGCGCCTGTAGTCCCAGCTACTTGGGAGGCTGAGGCAGGAGAATTGCTTGAACTCAGGAGGCAGAGGTTGCAGTGAGCCAAGATTGTGCACACTGCACTCCAGCCTGGGGGACAGAGTGAGACTTCATCTAAAAAAAACCAAAAAACAAAAAAACCCTCCATGTGCACTTCTAGATAACAGGGGCTGAGTAATATGCTACTTTTTATGTTATCAAAAAAGAAAAAGCACCAATTCATCTTATGTATTTTACATTCTCATAAAATGCAAAGTTATAGAAGATAATACAAACTATTACCTTTATGACTGTTATTATACACTGGAACTTGAGGTGGGCTTTCATTTCTAAGAACTTTTGCTACAGGTCTCACTGGACTATTCAGAGGACTGATGGCTTCTGGAATAGGTCTCAGGTGATTAAGGTCAATGCTCAAAACCGAGTTATCATCATCATGATATACTGAGTTTGTTTCACCAGTTGCCATTCTGTGGTCCATTAACTCAGTCTGCTGAAGTGAAGAATCTAGAGTCTCTTTAGGTAAGCAAGGCTCCAGATGACACGACTTACTCTCAACCAGTGGTGTAACTATAACAGAAGGCTCAAATTTTGGGTTATTATCTTCTGAAAGCATTATTGGCAAAATATCAGCTTCCTCAATTGAAGGCTGCAAAATGCTTTCAGTGGTTTCACTCACTGTTGTTGAAAGTGCCACCTTCATCTCCATACCTTCAGAAATACCACAATAATCTGAATTATCATTTCTTTTGGTATCCAATTCCAAGCCAAAGTTTTGAGACACATCTGTTTGTAATACATCCATTACCACAGGAGCTGCTGCCCTTCCATTATTAATGGTTTGTTTCATTCCTGTTGATGGAAACAAGGATTCTGTCTGTTGTATTTCCATAGGAGATGGGAAGGAAGTCTCTGTACCACAAATGGGCTCTTCACAATGCATAGTATTGTCAACAGACCTAACTAACAAACTATTTTCGTCTTCCTTGTTGGTTTCTGAGATACCGATCCTGGGTTCAGTCACTGCTAGAAGAGCAACCTTTGGTTCCAATAACGTTGACTTGGTTTCCCCCATGGTATGTTCACTGACAGCTGCTTCCCCCAAGATATGTTCACTTATGGAGGGAACATATGCCACTGTTTTAACTTGCATTGAAGACTCTGAATCACATACACCACTGGACTTGGGAATATCAGTTATTTTATGCTGATTATCCTGGGAAACAGGTTGCTTTTTAGCAGGAGAAAGAGTTAAGTTCAATTTTTTCATAAAACTCAATTTTAGGTCCTTGTTTTTTGTTTCATTTGGACCACTCTCAGCTTTCATTGCAAGCTCTTTATTATCTGCTCCTTCAGAAACACCATTATCAAGGACTTCTCCCTTATCAGTCTTTGGTTCATTCTGTTTCTTTAAATCAGTAGTGGTTTTCTTAGTTTCCTTATTAGTCTTCTGCAAATGTTCTGTAGGTACTCTTTTTTCATTTCTAATATGCCTATTTTCTTCTTTGCTTTCTTGTTCTCTTTTCCTCTTATCTTCAGTTCTATGTCTTTCTGCTTTTAAAGGTGTATTTTCCCACTGATGCATGGCATCAACTTCCTTAGAGTCAATGTTTTTGTGAGTTCTACTGTTTGAAAGAGAAGATGGACATCTTCCATCTTGAAAACTATGACTGTTTACACTCTTGTCTCTTTTACAATCTTCCCATCCTCTTCTCTCTTCTAGATGGTATTTACTTGAATTATGAGAAAATGTTATTTCATTCTTGGAATGAGGAAGTGATGCTCGTTCAGATCTTCTCCAGTGATCTTGGTCCTTTACTACTGATTTAGGTTTTTGATCAACTTTTCTTTCTTCTTTGTCTTGTGATTTAACTTCTTTCCTATTTATATTTTGTGATCTTTCACTTTGTCTTTCTAGTTTTTTGTCACTTTGAGAGTCTACTCGACTGTGTGACCTTTCTCCAGGGGTCTCTTTCTCCCAAGAAGAGTTAATGCGTTCACCTTTATAGTCAGAATCTGAGTTACTTTTAAACTTCGAACTTTTGCTTTCAGTCTTTGGTTCACCTTTACCATATTTCTCAGGATGTCCTTGTAGCCTTTGACTAGCCTCCAATATCCTTGGTTCACCATCACCACAGCCAGTACTTAAGTCTTTTCGTACTCTTTCAGTTCCTCTGTTAAACTGGCTATGTCTAATATCTTTTCTTCCTCTTCTACTATCCTCATTTGAGCTACCCTCGCCAACCTGATAATGAGAACGTGACCAAACACCATTAGTGCAGTGTTTCTCAACAGATGTAGGTAAATGTGAAGTACTCCTTTTATCAGAATGTGGTTTTCCTTCCTTTTCCAGATTTGGCAGTGAAGTGCTATGATGTACATCTTTAGAAACATCACTTTTAGCTCTGTGATCAGTCTTTGAACAATCATCCAAATGTGGAGATCTAGATTTAAGATCTTTTGTTTTAACTGTATCAAATGTCCTTGCAGTTTTATGATTATTTCGAAAATGTGGAAACTCAGACAATCTATTATGAAATAAAAAAAAAAGTTAAATTATATTTAGCAATATTCCAAACTTCATTCACATGAGTAATTCATGATTAAGAAATTACCAGCTTTGGCCAGGCATGGTAGCTCATGCCTATAATCCCAGCACTTTGAGAGGCCGAGGCAGGTAGATCACTTGAGGTCAGGAGTTTGAGACCAGCCTGGCCAACATGGCGAAACCCCGTCTCTACCAAAAATACAAAAAAATTAGCCAAGCGTGGTGGCAGGCACCTGTAATCCCAGCTACTTGGGAGCTGAAGCAGGAGAATTGCTTGAACCTGGGAGGTGGAGGTTGCAGTGAGCCGAGACTGCGCCACTGTATTCCAGCCTGGGTGACAGGGCAAGACTCTGTCTCAGCCTCAACCTCCTGGTTGAGAAAGAAATTACCAGCTTTGGCCAGATGTGGTGGCTCATGCCTCTAATATCAGCACTTGAGGAGGACAAGGCGGGAGGATCATTTGTTTGAGCCCAGGAGTTCATGATCAGCCTGGGCAACATGGTGACATCCTGTCTCTAAAAAAATTTTTTGTTTTAATTAGCCAGGCATAGTGGTACATGCCTGTGGTCCTAGCTACTCGGAAGGCTGAGGTGGGAGGATCACTTAAGACCAGGAGGTTGAGGCTGCAATGAGCCATGATTGCGCTATTGCACTCCAGCCTGGGTGACAGAACGAAGTGAGACCCTGTCCCTAAAAAAAAGAAGAAAAAGAAATTACCAGCTTCCAACTAAATTAGCCTGTTTTTAAAACATGAAATTCTCTTTCATGTGCCTTGCTCAAATAAGTTTTGAGGACCTGAGGATCTATCCCAATACTTGCCAATGGCTCTTAGACTTACTTCACTACAGTGCATAACTCCCCAGCTAACCACAAGTTCACTTCTTTTAGAACAAGTGACATTATTTTCTTGCCTTATTCATTCTAGCTCAACTGAAACACAAGGAAAAGTAAAATCTTGCTAAACAACAGACATGAACAAAGTAAAACTCTACATAATTCTCTATCCTAGTTTTCTGTTTCACATACAATCCCACAGCAAGCCAAAGCACCAAAGGCCATCTTAAGATGTTATATACTACGCAAAGTAAAAAGGAATAAAGAGTTGTAATTCTTTCCTAGGAGAATGGTATATATTTACTGTTTAAAACAAACAAAAATCTAAGTCTTAAGGTTTTATATTAGTGTTTAAAAAAACTGGTAGGTTTCCTAGCAATAAAATGTAGATAGCTCAATTTAGCTTTTTTTTTTTTTTTTTTTTTTTTTGAGACAGGGTCTCCCTCTTTCACCCAGGCTGAGTACAGCGGAATGATCATGGCTCACTGCAGCCTTGATGTCCTAGGCTCAAGCAATCCTCTCACTTCAACCTTCCAAGTAGCTGGGACTACAGGTACAAGCCACCATGCCCAGCTAATTTTTAATTTTTCGTAGAGATGGGATCTCACTATGCTGCGCAGGCTGGTCTCAAACTCCTGGACTCAAGCAATTCTCCTGCCTTCGCCTCCCAAAGTACTGGGGTTACAGGCGTGAGCCACTGTGCCTGGCCTATATTGGCTTCTGGTAATAACTTCATCTTCCAGAAATTCCATAATTTCTCTGAAATTTCATATATCTTTTTCTAATCAGTAGCAAATGTGTAGAAAAACCCAAAACTTAAAAAACTCAGAAATATAGGCAGATTGTTATAAGAGAGGATTAGAAAAACACACAACCTAAAACAATATGTAAGCCTCATATGAACCCTGTTATGGATTGTGTCCCCTCTCCTGACCAAATTCATAATTTGAAGTTCTAACCCATTGTTCTTCAGAATATGACCTTATTTAAAGGGTCTTTACAGAAATAATCAAGTTAAAGTGATGTCCTCAAGGTGGGCATGCAATATTACTGGTGTTCTTATAAAAAGGGGGAAATTTGGACACAGAGATACATTTAGAAAGAGGATATAAAGAGACATAGGAAGTAGACAACCATCTAAGAGTACAGAGGCCTGAATCAGATCCTTCCTTCAGAGCTCTCAAAAGAAACTAACTTTGCTGACACTTTCATTTTGGACTTCTAGCCTCCAGGACTGTGAGACAAATTTTGGTTGTTTAGGCCACCCATTTCTGGTAGTTTTGTTACACTAAGCCTAGGAAACTAATATAGATACTGACTCAACCGACCAACTGTTGGTAGATACCTTTGAGATCATTGGGGAAATGTAAACACGAAAAGCACTAACCACAAAAGGAACACCCTTGAAGCTGGGTGCAGTGGCTCATACCTGTAATCCCAGTACTTTGGAGGGCCAGGCGGGCAGATCACTTGAGATCAGGAGTTTGAGACCAGCCTGGCCAAAATGGTGAAACCCCGTCTACTAAAAATACAAAAAAATCTTTTTTTTTTTTTAAATTTTTTTTTACAGGTGGTGCATGCCTGTAATCCCAGCTACTCGGGAGACTGAGGTGGGAGGATCGCTTGAACCCAGCAGGCAAAGGTTGCAATGAGCTGAGATCACACCACTGCACTCCAGCCTGGGCAACAGAGCAAGACTCTGCCAAAAAAAAAAAAAAGTCTGGGCACAGTGGCTCACGCCTGAAATCCCAGCACTTTGGGAGGCCAAGGTGGGTGGCTCACCTGAGGTCAGGAGTTCAAGACCAGCCTGACCAACATGGTGAAACCCCGTGTCTACTAAAAATACAAAAATATTAGCTGGGTGTAGGCTGAGTGCGGTGGCTCATGCCTGTGATCCCAGCACATTGGGAGGCCGAGGTAGGTGGGTCACCTGAGGTCAGCAGTTCGAGACCAGCCTGACCAACATGGTGAAACCCCGTCTCTACTAAAAATACAAAAATTAGCCAGCGTGGTGGCGGGTGCCTGTAATCCCAGCTACTCGGGAGGCTGAGGCAGGAGAACGCTTGAACCTAGGAGGCGGAGGTTGGAGTGAGCCAAGATCACGCCACTGCACTCCAGCCTGGGCAACAGAGCGAGACTCCATCTCAAAAAATAAAAAAATTTTTTTTTAACTAGCCGGGTGTGGTGGCGAGCGCCTGTAATCCCAGCTACTCAGGAGGCAGAATCGCTTGAACCTGGGAGGCGAAGGTTGCGGTGAGGTGAGATTGCACCATTGCACTCCAGCCTGGGCGACAGAGTGAGGCTCTGTCAAAAAAAAAAAAAAAAAAAAAAATGGCCGGGCACAGTGGCTCACGCCTGTAATCCCAGCACTTTGGGAGGCTTGAGGCAGGCGGATCATGAGGTCAAGAGATCAAGACCACCCTGGCCAACATGGTGAAACCCCATCTCTACTAAAAATACAAAAATTAGCCAGGCATGGTGGCGCGTGCCTGTAGTCCCAGCTACTCAGGAGGCTGAGGCAGGAGAATTGCTTAAACCCAGGAGGGGGAGGTTGCAGTGAGCCAAGATCGCGCCACTGCACTCCAGCCTGGCGACAGAGTGAGACTCCATCTTAAAAAAAATAAAAAGTGAGTTAGCAGAAAGAAAGAAAATGAAAACAAGTTTACAAGTTTAGACAACTTTTTCAGAGGTTAGGCTATGAAAATATGAACCTCTCTGGAGCAAAATATTGCCTCCAACCAATAAAAGAGAGAAATTAATGGAGAAAATCCCCTTGAGAAAGAAAAGAATATACAATTGAGAGATAGTATAAGGGCTGTTTATTAATAGGGTATATGAGCACAGATGCCCTCTTGATATTTTAGTAATTTAGTGGGGACCTAGAAGAACCCATGACATATATACCATCATCTCATCAGGGCAAACAGTATTAGAGCAAGAACTCAGTGTTTTAGGAAACTAAATATATTCAGATAAATATGTGGCAATGTTCTATTTTTATTTGCTTCCTTTTTTTTTTTTTTTTGAGATGGAGTCTTGCTGTCACCAAGGATGGAATGCAGTGGTATGATCTCAGCTCACTGCAACCTCTGCGTCATCCCAGGTTCAAGCAATTCTCCTGCCTCAGCCTCCCAAGTAGGTGGAATTACAGGCACCCACCACAGGCACCCACCACCATGCCTGGCTAATATTTTTTTTTTTTTTGAGATGGAGTTTCACTCTTGTTGCCCAGGCTGGAGTGCAATGGCACAATCTCGGCAACCTCTGCCTCCTGGGTTCAAGAGATTCTCCTGCCTCAGCCTCCCGAGTGGCTGTGATGCTGGGTATGCGCCACCATGTCCAGCTAATTTTGTATTTTTTTTTTTTTTTTTTTAGTAGAGATGGGGTTTCACCATGTTGGTCAGGCTGGTCTCGAACTCCTGACCTCAGGTGATCTGCCCGCCTCGGCCTCCCAAAGTGCTAGGATTACAGGCATGAGCCACCATGCCCAGCCAAATTTTTGTATTTTTAGTAGAGACAGGGTTTCACCCTGTTGGCCAGGCTGGTTTCGAACTCTTGAGCTCAAGTGATCTGTCCCCTTCAGCCTCCCAAAGTGCTGGGATTACAGGTACGAGCCACTGCGCCTGGCCACAATGTTCTATTAATAATCACATATGGGCCAAGCATGGTGGCTCACCCTTATAATCCCAACACTTCAGGAGGCAGAGGCAGGAGGATCACTTGAGGCCTTGAGTTCAAGACCAGTGTGGGCTACATAGTGAGACCCTGTCTCCACCAAAAATAAAAAATAAAAAAATTAGGCAGACATGGTGTTGTGCACCTGTTATCTCAGCTACTTGGAAGGCTGAGGAAGGAGGATCTCTTGAGCCCAGGAGGTGGAGGCTGCATTGAGTTATAATTACACCACTGCATTCCAGCCTGGGTGACAAAATGAGACCCTGTCTCTAAAAAAAAAAAAAAATTAAAAAATAAAAAATAAAAATACATTATTTTCATCTTTCCTCTAAAAGTTAAAAATATTCCACATATCAATACCCACGTAATTTATAACAGCTACACCGCTCAGTAATACCTTTGGTGAAGATTACTTATTTCTTCATCCTTGCGGTTTATTTCCACTCTGGCAGTTTTGATAAGTGCTGAAATATTCTTCTTAAGAGACTGGTTTTCGTTTATTAAGCTGAAATTCTAAAACACCACAAACTATATTAATAAAGTACATACCTATAGGGTTACTAATACTACTACATACATTAGCTGATAATTATTGAATGTTAACTACATGCAGGCATCATACATTTATAAGCCCTATGAGGAGTACTATTTATCCCCCTTATACAGGTGGGGAAGCTGAGACTATGAGAAGATAACTGGCACCAGAAATAGTCCCACTTAAAGTGAAACTACTTAAAACAGAGATTGAAATGAAAAACCAATGAACAGCAGAAAAAGTAAGTTCTGCCTGGGTCATGATCTTGAAAATTGAAAATAAAAATGGTAAGAATTAGGTTATAATTTAACAGCTTTGGTTAAACTTGCAAAGATGTATTAGTCCAGTCTGGGCATGGTGGCTCACGCCTGTAATCCCAGCACTTTGGGAGGCCGAGGCAGGTGGATCACCTAAAGTCAGGAGCTCAAGACCAGCCTGGCCAACAGGCCAAAACCCTGTCTCTACTAAAAATACAAAAATTAGCCAGGTGTCATGGTGGGTGCCTGTAATCCCAGCTACTTGGGAGGCTGAGGCAGGAGAACCGCTTGAGCCTGAGAGGCGGAGGTTGCAGTGAGCTGGAGGTTGCAGTAAGCCGAGATCGTGCCACTGCACTCCAGCCTGGCGAAGCGCAAGGCTCCATCAGAAAAAAAAAAAAGATGTATTAGTCCCCAGATAAACAAAGAAAGAATTGAGAGTTCACTGGTTCTTTCAGGGGGAAGAGAAGGAAGAGATACAATTTTACCAAAAAGTAAAAACTAGAACAGGACATGACATTCCTGATTTTTGCAGCACAGTCACAAAATAGGTCATTTTGGCAAAAGCTGTGAAGGCATCAACAGTGTCCCCCAAGAGCCATTTTAAACCCGTATCTTTGCTCCTCAAAACCATTCTTTTAAACCAGTTGTCATCATCTCCACAATTTTCTATTAATTAACTATTAATTGGCCTAAGTCTAACAGACCCTTTATAATCAATGTCATTTAATAAATCAAGCCGTTTTCCTTTATCAGTTTCATCAACTCGGAAAATAATGCATATTTGCCACATTTGCTATTTCATTCAATTTCATCAACTCAGGAAATAATGCATACTTGCCACATTTGCTATTTCATTTAATACTAAAAGAAAGCTTCCTTATAAACTGTCAACACTTTAACATTTTAATTTCTATTTATAACAACTTTTTTTTTGTTGTTTTACTTTTTTTAAGTGACAGGGTCTTGCTCTGTCACCCAGGCTGGAGTGCAGTGGCACAATCACAGCTCACTTTAACTTCAAACTCCTGAGTTCAAGAGTCCTCCCTCCTCAGCCTCCTAAGTAGCTAGGACTACAGGGGGCCATACACAGCTAATTGTTTTATTTTTTTGTAGAGATGAGGTTTCGCTACCTTGCTAAGGCTGGGCTCAAACTCCTGGCCTCAAGCAATCCTCTCACCTCTGCCTCTCAAAGTGCTGAAATTACTGGTGTGAGTCACTGTGCCTGGTAATTTGTTTTTTATGTTTTCATTTATACTCTACCTGTGTCTGTATTTCTTTAAATTTTTTCATCAGCTCTTTCATTTGTAGTTGACATTTTCCATATTCTACTTGCAACTATAAAATATAAAAGGATTAATTGAAGTATCATTCAAAATTATTTTCTTAGCTTAACTGGCATTTCTAAATATTTTAAATTTTGCAAATCAATTCACTAAGAAGGCAGATGAGGTCTACTTCTACCAGAAAGATAACCAGTTTTAAAGTTAAGCCTACAAATAATCTATTTTGTTTAGTTTCACATTCAACATCCAAACCTTAAAATTCAAATATAGTAGAAAGAAATAGAAGTCTGAGGACATTTTATGCAACATATAATTTAACTTTGTACATATCATGAAAGAAAAAATGTTGTAACACTGTTTGCCTGTTGAGGTTTTATATTCAGATGCTTAAATTGGGTCAAGCAAAATTATAACTAAATTTAGACAAGTATTCAGAAAACATTCCTTTAAAAAACAGGTCTGAAGACAAAAACTGACTTAAATATTTGTTAGTCTAAGAGCTAAGTTCCTAAACAAAATATCTGTTCAAAACTAAGCAGCTGACTGCTCTTCAGAAGCTACAAAACAGTAAATAACTGTCCTTAATAATTGTGGCAACCCATACATCATTATATGTTGCCTCCTTTGCAGTTCCTTCTTCAGTCAGGATCTCTTCATATAAGTCCAAACAATTTCTTGATGGTACACAGGATTTGGAAGCGCTGTCTAAAAACAAACAAACAAAAAAAACCTTCCATAAAAATACTTGTTACACTTTTTTCTTTTGTTTTTTTGAGTCTCGTTCTGTCACCCATGCTAGAGTGCAGTGGCAGTGGTGCAAATCTTGGCTCACTGTAGCCTCACCCTCCCAGGTTCAAGCCATTCTCATGCGTCAGCCTCCCGAGTAGCTGGGATTACAGGTGCACGCCACCACGCCCCACTAATTTTTGTATTTTTAGTAGAGATGGTGAGATGGTGTTTCACCATGTTGGCCAGGCTGGTCTCGAACTCCTGACCTCAAGAAATCCACCCGCCTTGGCCTCACAAAGTGAAAATATTTGTCACACCTTTTTTTTTTAGGAGTCTCCCTCTGTCACCCAGGCTGGAGCGCAGTGGCGCTATCTTGGCTCACTGCAACCTCCGCCTCCTGGGTTCAAGCGATTCTTCTGCCTCAGCCTCCCTGAGTAGCTGGGACTATAGGCACGTGCCACCATGCCCAGGTAATTTTTTTTGTATTTGTAGTAGAGACGAGTTTTCACTATGTTGGCCAGGCTGGTCTCCAACTCCTGACCTCAGGGGATCCGCCCGCCTCGGCCTTGCAAAGTGCTGGGATTACAGGCGTGAGCTACCGCGCCCAGCCTTGTTACACTTTTTGATATTTTATCTACTTCAAAGATTATACATTTCTCCATCTCCCATACTTCATCCTACATTTCACTTATCCTACATTCCAAATTTATACTGATTTTACAGATGGACTACCAATTTACCTAAAATGGTTGTGTCAACCAAATTAGGTATGAAGATCATAACTGTTCAAAACTCTGAGAAATCTGATTATGGAAAAGGTTTCTAATTTGAATAGGTCATTAGATTCTCAGCATATCACTCTTACTGATACGTTTAAAAATATTTATAGTAACTTACACTTTTCAAATGTTCTAATATCATATAACCTTCAAGAGTATGAGTGCGGCCAGGTGTGGTGACTTATGCCTGTAATCCCAGCACTTTGGGAGGCTGAGGTGGGCGGATCACGAGGTCAGGAGATCGAGACCATCCAGGCTAACATGGTGAAACCTTGTCTCTACTAAAAATACAAAAAATTAGCCGGGTGTGGTGGCACGTGCCTGTAGTCCCAGCTACTTGGGAGGCTGAGGCAGGAGAACCACTTGAACCCAGGAGGCGGAGGTTGCAGTGAGCCGAGATCAAGCCACTGCATTCCAGCCTGGGCGACAGTGTGAGACTCCGTCTCAAAAAAAAAAAAAAAAAAAAAGAGTATGAGTGAGTAGTAACAGACACCAGCACTAGTTGCACTTCAATAGTAGAAAATGTTTTTGCACAAGGCTCAATTAAATCTGAGACTGAGATGAATAAAAAACCTGTGTGCTAATTTGTTTTTCTGATCAAGCTTTGGTTAAGATTGGGTTCTGGAAGTTACTGTGGGGGAAAAGAAAGAAAAGAATTACCTCAGTGTAATTACAAAGAATGAGCAAATTCTTTAGGAGCTATGATATACCAGGATTTAGTAACCACAAAACAATGAACTGACCAAGAAAATGAAACTATTTTTATGGAATTCACATACCAGAAACAGCACTGTCCAACCCAGCGTATATGTCCAGTGAGCCTTCATCATTGTTCTTAAGAGGAGAAGCTGCAAGAAAGGCAAAGATTAGTTAAAAATGACTTTAGGCACTGAGATTTTTCCATTCCTACACTAAAGGACCAGGAAAAGAATGAGATTTAACAGTTTTGCTTTAAATAAGAGATAAGCCAGGCATGGTGGCTCACGCCTGTAAACTCAGCACTTAGGGAGGCTGAGGCAGGTGGATCGCTTAAGCTCAGGATTTCAAGACTAGCCTGGGCAACGGGGCGAAACCTCATCTCTACTAAAAATACAAAAAAAGGCCGGGCATGGTCGCTCCCGCCTGTAATCCCAGCACTTTGGGAGGCCGAGGTAGGCAGATCACTTTTCAACCCAGGAGTTGGAGACCAGCCTGGACAACACGGTGAAACTCTGTCTCTACTAAAAATACAAAAATTAGCCAGGAGTGGTGGTGCATGCCTGTAATCCCAGCTACTAGGGAGATTGAGGCACGACAATTGCTTGAACCCGGGAGGTGGAGGTTGCAGTGAGCCAAGATCGTGCCCCTGCACTCTAGCCTGGATTTCAGAGTGAGACCATGTCTCAAATTAAAGAGAGACAGGGAGAGAGAGACACAGACAGACATTGTCTCTACACATAGTTATAAACAGGAAGATTTTGGCACACTGATTTATTTATTGACTACCTCAGATACAGACTTTAAAAATTCAGTTTCAAAAATATACTAGTGAGGCCAGGTGCAGTGGCTCACACCTGTAATCCCCCGACTTTAGGAGTCTGAGGAGAGAGGATTGCTTAAGCTCAGGAGATCAAGACCAGCCTGGACAACATAGCATATCAAAAATAAAAATTAGCCAGGTGTGGTGGCACATGGGAGGCTAAGGTGGACTGCTTGAGCCCAGAAGGTCAAGGCTGCAGCGAGCCATGATTATGCCACTGCACTCCAGCCTGGGTGACAGTGCGAGATCCTGTCTCATATATATATATTCTACTGAAAGAGTTCCAATTCCAGTTATAGCAGAGTAGTTTCTATGAAACCAATCCTCCTGCAGGCAACTACTGTTGACACTAAATAAAATATGTGAAGCTATCTAAAGAGCTAGAGAACAACCTAAAGCAGGCAAAAACTAAAAGGGTAATGACAACTGAAAGAAAATAGCACCTCCCAAGCTCCCTGTCCCCTTTTATTACTGCTTTTTGTATAAAGACAGGCCCTAGTTGTAGCTACACTGGGCAGTGACAACTCAAGATAGAAACCTCCAGTCCTAGTAGCTTGAAGAACCGGAGAAAAGAATTTGTCATGATAACAGTGACTAGTACATGAAAGGGGAATTACAGAAATCCACAAAGAGCATTACTTAAATTCTGCCCAAATCTCTGGGTGACCCTCAAAAAAGGGTAGAACTCCAAAAAGCCAGCTAAATCTAAAATAGAGATTTCAGTTGCTATTACAGAAGAGACCGAATTGTAAGTTCAGCTAAGTTAAATATCTGCTAAAATTAAAAACAACTCTTCAGAGGAATGTTAACAGCATCCAGTGTCTAACATTTCATTTACAATGTTGACTATTCAATCCAAAGTTACTACATGGTGGCCAGGTGCAGTGAGTCACACCTGTAATCCCAGCACTTTGGGAGGCCAAGGCCAGAGGACTGCTTGAGCCCATGAGTTCGAGACCAGCCTAGGTAACATGGTGAGACTCTGTCTCTACAAAAAAAATTAAAAGAAAATTAGCTGAGCATGGTGGCAGATGCCTGTAGTCCCAGCTACTCAGGAGACTGAGGCAGGAGGATGACTTGAACCCAGGAGGTCGAGGCTGAAGTGAGCCATGTTCATGCCACTACACTCCAGCCTGGCTGACAGAGAAAGAACTTGTCTCCAAAAAAACCACACAGACAAACACAAACTTACTACATAGAAAATCTCAGAAACAATGAAAAAGAACCAAATGAAAAACCTACAACTGAAGATTACAATATCTAATATAAAAAATTACTGGATGTGCTTGACAGGAGAACCACTGAACTTGAAGACAGATCAACAGAAATTACCCAATCTGTAGATGAGAGAGCACTTTCTTAAAAAAGAACAGAGTCTTAGTGACCTACATGATAATATCAAAAGTCCTCACATAGTGTATATGTGGAGTCCAGAAGCAAATAGAGAATGGGGGGAAACTGCTACTAGAGGGATACCAAAGAATGCTAGGACTGGAGATGGTAAATAAATGAGTAATCGTAAAAGACTAATTTTTCTTCTTAATTTAAGATCCATAGAACTGTTACAGTAAACACTATAGCATTTTTTTTGTTTTGTTTTGTTTTTGTTTTTTTGTTTTTTTTGGGTTTTTTTTTTGGTTTTTGTGAGACAGAGTCTCGCTCTGTCGCCCAGGATGGAGTGCAGTGGTGCGATCTCGGCTCACTGCAACCTCTGCCTTCCGCCTCCCAGGTCCAAGCAATTCTCCTGCCTCAGCCTCCCAAGCAGCTGAGACTACAGGCACACACCGCCACACCTGGCTAATTTTTTGTATTTTGGTAGAGACGGGGTTTCACCGTGTTGCACAGGTTGGTCTCGAACTCCTGTGCTCAGGCAATCCACCCGCCTCGGTCTCCCAAAGTGCTGGGATTACAGGTGTGAGACACCACGCCCGGCCCAGTAAACACTATAGCATTTTATTGTGGGGTTCTAACATGAAAGGCAAAGAAGCAGATAGATGCAACCATACATGCAAGATATTGTAAAAAGGTACAATACTAGTAAACAGACTACAAAATGTTAAAGATGTATACACTTCCTCAAACAAATACTAAAAATAATACAAACAGGTATAGTGAAAAAGCTCATACATAAATGAAATGCATTTCAAAAATACACTCAAACATTACTAGCAGTTAGCACTAGTGCTAAAGGGAGAAAAAAAATTTAAAAATTTAAAATAAGTAAATAAATATATACTCAAATAATATTTGAAAGAAAATCAGAAAAAAATAACTGATGAGAAAAATTGAAGTCAAATATTAAAATGACCTAAATCCAACTACAATAATAAAGAACATCATTCGCTGGAATAAAAATAGCAAATCAAATACAAAAGTATTTTATCAGTGTTAAATCTAATGAAACTGAAATTACACTGTGGTTATATAAGAGAACCAACTTTTCCTTATGAAATACATACTGAAATACTTAGGGGTAAGGGGCCATAATGTATACAACTTACTCTCAAATGGGTCAGGAAAAAAAATGGGTGTGCATCTAGACGTGTGTGTGTGTGTGTGTGTGTGTGTGTTTACAAAGAGAGAGTCTAGGCTGGACGCAGTGGCTCATGCCTGTAATCCCAACACTTTGAGAGGCCAAGACAGGCGGATCACCTGAGGTCAGGAGTTTGAGAACAGCCTGGCCAACATGGTGAAGCGCCGTCTCTACTAAAAATACAAAACTTAGCCGGGCATAGTGGCGCACACCTGTAATCTCAGCTACTCTGGAGGCTGAGGTAGGAGAATCACTTGAACTCGGGAGGCAGAGGTTGCAGTAAGCTGAGTTAGCACCGCTGCACTCCAGCCTGGGTGACAGAGCGAGACTCCGTCTCAAAAAAAAAAAGGCAAGACACAAAGCAGAAAGTACACCGTAGCTGTGACTATTTTTAAAATGTACATGCTTTTCCTACTGCTTCACTTGATTAGCCTAAAAAATATATATATGGGCTGGGCGTGGTGGTTTATGCCTGTAATCCCAGCACTTTGGGAGGCTGAGGCGGGCAGACCACGAGGTCAGGAGATCGAGACCATCCTGGCTAACACAGTAAAACCCCGTCTCTACTAAAAATACAAAAAATTAGCCAGGCGTGGTGGCGGGTGCCTGTAGTCCCAGTTACTCGGGAGGCTGAGGCAGGAGAATGGCGTGAACCCGGAAGGCACAGCTTGCAGTGAGCCGAGACTGCGCCACTGCACTCCAGCCTGGGCGGCAGAGCGAGACTCCAACTCAAAACAACAACAACAACAACAACAACAACAACAACAACAACAACAAACAAACCTGGCCGGGCGCGGTGGTTCACGCCTGTAATCCCAGCACTTTGGGAGACCAAGGCGGGCGGATCACCTGAGATCAGGAGTTCGAGACCAGCCTGGCCAATATGGCGAAACCCCGTCTCCACTAAAAATACGAAAAAATTAGCCGGGCATGGTGGCACGCTCCTGTAATCCCAGCTACTCAGGAGGCTGACAGTAGAATTCCTTGAACCTGGGAGGCAGAGGTTGCAGTGAGCCTAGATCATGCCATTGCACTCCAGCCTGGGCAACAAGAGCAAAACTCTGTCTCAAAAAAAAAAAATGTGTGTGTGTGTGTGTGTGTGTGTGTGTGTGTGTGTGTGTGTGTGTATAGACAGCAACTTGACAGTGATACATAGAAATAAAAACAGCTGCATCCAGAAAATCAGATTAAATTGTAGTTTTGTCCTTCAAATTTTAATCGTTGCAGACGTGATGAAATTTAATCATTTGTGAATCTAGGTGACAAATAATGCTGTTCATTATATTATAGTTCCAATTTTTCAGTTTGGTGGCTTAAATTTTTTTTTTTCTTTGAGATGGAATTTTGCTCTTCTCCCAGGCTGGACTGCAATGGCAGGATCTTGGCTCACTGCAACCTCCACCTCCCAGTTCAAGCGATTCTCCTGCCTCAGGCTCTTGAGTAGCTGGGATTACAGGCGTGCACCACCATGCCCCGCTAATTTTTGTATTTTTAATAGAGATGGAGTTTCACCATGTTGGTCAGGCTAGTCTTGAACTCCTGACCTCAGGTGATCCACCTGTCTCAGCCTCCCAAAGTGCTAGAATTACAGGCGTGAGCCATCGCACTCGGCCTGGCTTAAAATTTTTCAAAGGAAAAAACATCAAAGAGAATTACATAACAGAATAACAACTTGAAACTACATCAGCAAAAATAAACACCAAATAACACCACCCAGAATGGTTATAATGGCCATAGTTGGTGTGAACTCTTCCATATCTATGAATTGTTTAAAACATTATTTTAAGCAAAAATGGAATTCTACTAAACATGTTTTATAACTGTCCTTCTTACTCTCCATGGCATAGGAATCATTATTCTGGTCAATAAACATATGCCCATATCTCAACAAATTCAATGAGGTCACAGCATGATTATCATTAAAAGAAAGAGATAATAATGTTATGTCAGTGTTTGGAAGTTTACCTTCTGCATATTATTTAAAATATTTCTATTTTGGGCTGGGCACGGTGGCTCACACCTGTAGTTCCAGCACTTTGGGAGGCCAAGGTGGGTAGATCACCTGAGGTCAGGAGTTCAAGACGAGCCTGGCCAACATGGTGAAACCTCGTCTCTACTAAAAATACAAAAATTAGCCAGACATGGTGGCAGGCACCTGTAATCTCAGCTACTCAGGAGGCTGAAGCAGGAGAATTGCTGGAACTCAGGAGACGGAGGTTGCAGTGAGCCGAGATTGCGACACTGCACTCCAGCCCAGGCTGACAACAGCAAGACTCAATCTCAAACAAAAAAAAAAAGAAAGAAATTCTATTTTATGAGCTTATTTTAATACCAGGTATTGACAGTTATCTCTTTTTCAAACTAATCATCCATTGTGACTATCAATTTTTTTTTTTTTTTTTGAGACAGTCTTGCTCTGTCATCTAGGCTAGAGTGCAGTGGCACAATCTCAGCTCACTGCAACCTCCACCTCCTGGGTTGAAGTGATTCTCCTGCCTCAGCCTCTTGAGTAGCTGAAATTACAGGCACATGCCACCATGCCCGGCTAATTTTTGCATTTTTAGTAGAGACGGGGTTCACCATGTTGGTCAGGCTGGTGTCGAACTCCTGACCTCGTGATTCGCCCGCCTTGGCTTCCCAAAGTATTGGGATTACAGGAATGAGACACTGCACCTGGCCCAATTTTTTTCTGAACAACAAACATCATTGCATTTACTAGAAATATTAACTTCAAGAGTAACAAAAACCTATCTTATATATTTTTAGGTATAACAATAAAAATCATTATCATTCATATTAGTAAAATCACTAATTTGACTACATTCTGAGGCTTGAAAGCATACAGTAAGTTCACACTTATTAAGCATTCCCATGTCCCAGGCATTTTATTTTATTAATTCATTTATGTATAGAGGGAAAAGGCTGATAATGACTGTGTTTCCAATGAGAATAGGTAAATGATTTTGTAATTTAAAAAGTAAAGTTAGGCAAGGCATAGTGGCTCACACCTGTAATCCCAACACTTTGGGAGGCAAAAAGGGAGGGTCGCTTGAGTCCAGGAATTAGAGACCAGCCTAGACCACACAGTGAAACCTTCTCTCTACAAAAAATAAAATGATTAGATGGCCGTGGTGGCATGTGCCTGTAGTCCTAGCTACTCAGGAGGCTGAGGCGAGAGGATCCCTTGAGCTCCCAAGTCTGAAGTCATAGTGAGCTATTAATGGCGCCACTGCACTCCACCCTGGGCAACTGGGGGAGACCCTGTCTCATAAAAAAAAAAAAAGGAAATTAGAAAGACAATTAAATGTAGCTCTTACCAGAAAAGACATCAAATAAACTTGTTCCATCACCATTGTCATCATCTGCTGCCATGATCCTATTTCCTTTTGAGAGTCACCACCTACGGTATTAAATATTTTAAAATTTCCACTGTTAAAATAAACCTCACAATTCAGAGAATAAACCTAGCTTCAAAACAAAAAGCAATTTTCGAATTTGGACACATTGAAAAAGTTCACTCTATCATTCTTTGTTTTTGGAGACAAAGTCTCACTCTGTCGCCCAGGCTGGAGTGCAGTGGCTTGATCTCTGCTCACTGCAACCTCTGCCTCCTGGGTTCAAGTGATTCTTGTGCCTCAGCCTCCCGAGTAGCTGGGATTACAGGAGTGTACCATAGCTGCGATTACAGGAGTGCACTACCATGCCTGGCTAATTTTTGTAATTTTAGTGGAAACCGGGTTTTGCCTGTCTGCCACGTTGGCCAGGCTGGTCTTGAACTCCTGGCCTTAAGCAATCCACCCACCTCAGCCTCTCAAAGTGCTGGAATTACAGGTGTAAGCCCCCATGCCTGGCCTTTCTCTCTAACATTATTAAAAGCAGATTTGTGTTATCAAAAAAAGTGCCTAATATTTTCCAGGAAAAAGTCAAAACTATAAAACAAAAATTTTAAACTTGTTAATATGGCCACGCATGGTGGCTCATGCCTACAATCTCAGCACTTTGGGAGGTCAAGTCAGGTGGATCGCTTGAGCCCAGGAATTTGAGACCAGCCTGGGCAACATGGTGAAACCCCATCTCTACAAAAAATACAAAAATTAGCCGACTGTAGTAGCCTGTGCCTGTAGTCCCAGCTACTTGGTGGCTGAAGCAGGAGGATCGCTTGAGCCTGGCAGGGAGAGGTTGCAGTAAGCCACGATAGTGCCACTGCACTGCAGCCTGGGTGACAGAGTGAGACCCTGTCTCAAAAACAAAACAAATAAACAAAAAATTGTCATTAAGCTATGTACAGAGTAAATGATAATTTTATAAAACAGACCAAAATACAAATTAACTTTTTTTTTTTAGATGGAGTTTCGCTCTTGATGCCCAGGCTAGAGTGCAATGGTGCAACCTCGGCTCACCACAACCTCCACCTCCTGGGTTCAAGCGATTATCCTGCCTCAGCCTCCCAAGTAGCTGGGATAACAGGCGCGCACCACAACGCCCAACTAATTTTGTATTTTTAGTAGAGATGGGGTTTCTCCATGTTGGTCAGGCTGGTCTCGAACTCCCATCCTCAGGTGATCCGCTGGCCTCAGCCTCCCAAAGTGCTGGGGTTATAAGCATGAGCCACTGCCCCTGGCCAAATTAACTTTTGTACTAAAATAAGAACCATCACTACTATCACAACACACACACACACACACACACACACACACACACACACACACACACACACATTAATACTAACAAGAAATACTGATACCAGGCCAGGTGCGGTGGCTCACGCCTGTAATCCCAGCACTTCGGGAGGCCGAGGCGGGCAGATCATGAGGTCAGGAGATCGAGACCACCCTGGCTAACATGGTGAAACCCCGTCTCTACTAAAAATACAAAAAATTAGCCAGGCATGGTGGCGGGCGCCTGTAGTCCCAGCTACTCTGGAGGCTGAGGTAGGAGAGTGGCGTGAACCTGGGAGGAGGAGCTTGCCGTGAGCCGAGATCGCGCCACTGCACTCCAGCTTGGGCGACAGAGCAAGACTCCATCTCAAAAAAAAAAAAAAAAAAAAAAAAAAAGCAAAGCTTTTGGAACTAAAAGATGTTTGACTTAATAATTAAGGAAACACAAATTAAAACAATGAGATATGCCATGTTGTGTAGGAAAGTGTTGGCATAGCCAGGCATGGCTACTTATCCTTAGAAAGGCTGCTTACTAAGGCCCTTGGCTGGAGTCTAAGAACTCAAATTTCAGGAGGGTTCCCACAATTTCCAGACTGATAAAAAGTGGCTCAATGTGCCTAAACTGTTCATACAAACAATTTGGTTTATCATAAACACCTGTTTCCTTCTGGGAGTCTTAAAATTTTAGTACATGCCAGGCAGAGGTGGCCTATGTGACCAGCCCCCAGTAAAGAGCCTAGGCACTGAGTCTCCAACATGCTTCCCAGGTAGACAGCATTTCACACCTGCTATCACTAGTTGCTGGGGGAATAAACAGATAAGTGCATGACTCCACTGGGAGCAAAACCATGGGAACTTTAACCTGGTTTCCTCTAGACTTTACCCCATGGACCTTTTTTCCCTTTGGTGATTGTGCTTTGCATCCTTTCATTGTAATAAATCATAGCTGTAAGTACAACTACATAGTGAATTCTATAAGTCTGGCAAATCATCAAACTTAGGGGTGATTTTGGGGACTCCTGACACGTTTTCACCAACAACATAGTAAGACAAGCAAATAACAAAAAGTTTGATAGTACACTAGGTTGACAAAGGTATGGGAAAAGATGTACTCTCATAGCTCTCTCAAGTGTACACTGGTAAAAGCTCCATGAAAGCAATTTGGCAACAGCTTTGATTTGATTAAAAATTTGATGAAATGTTTAAGTACAATACTCTGACCCAAAAATTTCACATCTAATAATCTGTTACCAGTGTTGTTTATGGTAAGACTAGAAACAACATAAGAATCCAAAACAGTAAAAAAACAAAAACAGGCTGGGCCGCAGTGGCTCATGCCTGTAATCCCAGCACTTTGGGAGGCCGAGGTGGGCGGATTACTTGAGGTCAGGAGCTCGAGATCAGCCTGGCCAACATGGTGAAACCTCGTCTCTACTAACACTACAAAAATTAGCTGGGTGTGGTGGCAGGTGCCTGTAATCCCAGCTACTTGGGCGGCTGAGGCAGGAGAACCTCTTGAACCCAGAAGGCGGAGGCTACAGTGAGCCGAGATCACACCACTGCACTCCAGCCTGGGCAAAAAGAGTGAAACTCTGTCTCACACATACACACACACACACAAAAAAAAGTCTCTCTTCACTAACTTATCTGGCATCCTCTAATCTGCCAGTAAAACCCAATGAATGATGCTTATGGCCACTGAACTGTGGCCACTTGGGGCTATGAAATTATTAGCAAGCCTGCACCTGCATACTACTGCTCCCACCAATTGAGATATATGCTTATATCTCAATGCTTAATCTGCTGCCTGAATCCTGAAGGACAGGAGGTGAGCCAAGGCCATGGTGCCAGCCTGAAGAGCAAGTACCCCTGAGAACCCAAACATCCCGGGGAGTATCTGAGAACCTACCAAGAAAAACAGTCTCATGGCTTAAATACAGTAGGCAATGAGCCAGAAAGTTAGCTTAAAAATAGTTTGCAGACAAAGGGCAGCATGGATCTCTACAGCTGTCCTGCTGCCATCCAGGAGTGCCTTGTAATAAATAAACTTATTAGTCCTAGTAAATGTATCTATTCACCAACCTGGACTTGTGAGTCATCCTTTGGTCTCCTGGCTCCCTCTTAGCTCGGGGGAAGGTTTTCTATATACGATTCTGGGTTTTTCTCAAAGCTTACCAATGTGCATTTATTATCAAATCAATTATGCTCATTTTCCTATTTTTCTAAATCACAGTATGATGAAAGATCACAATACCAAAGGGAGTTATTTTCTAGTGAAAACTAGGCAGAATGCTATGGAAAGACAGGTAACAAAACACACACACACACACACCTCTGCATGTCAAATCAAGTGAAGACAAAATGATCCAAAGTACTAGGGGAGAAAATCTAGTCTATACTCAGATCAATTAAAAAGTATGTAAGTTTTTTTTTTTTTTTTTTGTTTTTGTTTTAAGACAGAGTCTCCCTCTGTCACCCAGGCTGGAGTGCAGTGGCATGATCATAGCTCACTGCAACCTCCCTGGGCTCAAGCAAGGACAAAATAAAAACTGAAAATCATGGGCAATGTCTTACGGGTGTAGTTTACGCAAGAAAGACGTCAACACTCTCATCATTGGATTCATATTCAAAGAAAAGATCATGGTTCTACCACAAGAGATAAATAAAATCAAGGTGTATTTTTTTTCTCCATTCCTCACATTCCTCAACCTAACATTTGTTTCAATTAGTTCATTTGATTAGCTGTTATAAAATAGCCTGCACAATTACAAAAAGCACAAATAACACGATCACGTTTGGTAAATAACACAACTGACTCTTTGCAAAGCAAAATTCAACTGGTGAAATCAGATACTCAGAGGTTTCCTAATGAGAAATCTACTATTAGTAGCTGTAAGTGGTCACATGGAGAGGGGAGCATTAGTCATGAGGTGTCCTCTCAGAATAATGGAGAATCTAATGATTTGGTTAAAGAGATCAAACAGATCAAAGCTTTCCCTGCACTATTATTTCATACAGTTTTAGTTTATACTACTGGCAGGGATTACTTTAAAAAAAAAAAAAAGGTGTGGTAACTCACACCTGTAATCTCAGCACTTTGGGAGGCTGAGGTGGAAGGGACTGCTTGATCCTAGGAGTTTGAGACCAGCCTGGGCAACATGGCAAAACCACATCGAGACAAAAAAAAATACAAACAAACGGGCTGGGCATGGTGGCTCATGCCTGTAATCCCAGCACTTTGGGAGGCCGAGGTGGGCAGATCATGAGGTCAAGAGTTTGAGACCAGCCTGGCCAACATGGTGAAACCCTGTCTCTACTAAGAATATAAAAATTAGCCAGGAGTGGTGGGGCGTGCGTGTAATCCCAACTACTCGGGAGGCTGAGGCAGGAAAATCACTTGAACCCGGGAGGTGGAGGTTGCAGTGAGCTGAGATTGCGCCACTGCAAGCCAGCCTGGGCGACTGAGCAAGACTCTGTCTTGAAAACAAACAAAAAACCTCACACCTGTAATCCCAGCACTCTGGGAGGTCAAGGTGGTAGGTTCACTTGAGCCCAGGAGTTCGAGACCAGCCTGGGCAACATAGGGAGACCCCATCTCTATTTAAACAAAATAAATTTAAAAAAAAAGTAGCGAGGCATGGTGGTTCACACCTATAGTACTATCTACTTTAGTAGCTGAGATGGGAGGGTCAATTGAGCCTATGAGGTGGAGGCTACAGTGAGCTGTGATCATGCCACTGTACTCCAGCCAGGGCGACAGAGTGACAGACCAGACCGTGTCTCAAAAATAATAATTAGAAAAAGACTTGACCTAGTAAGTTAAACCTGGAAATAAATATAAATCTAAGAGACCTGGTAATCCTGGGTGTCTTTTTTTTTTAACAACTAGTCAAGGGGGGAAATAGTAGAACAAGAAGTTTGATCTGTAACTGATTGTGAACAGCCAACTGAGAAAACACTACTTTCGGACCAGCTAAACATGGATCTTTTGCCCCCATCTGTCTTAAATTTTTCTCCAAATTTTTTGTCAGATCATTATCTCCACATCTTAATTCTAGGTCCCCACCACCAAAGGTATTTTTTAAAAGATTATTTATAAATTTAAGAAGTGGATGCTCATTTCTTAATTGTGTCACATGATGCATTAATAGTCCTTCAAAATTTCTGAAAACATACACAGTAATATAGAGAAGTCATCAAAAGAAGTTATATGTGTGTGGTTTCTCACTGTGTACACATGAAAAAGTTAAAGGTTCTTAGCTTCCTAGGCTGTAGGAAAAGGAAAAAAGTAGTTAAAGGGACTGTGACAGTTATGCCTCTCAATTCCAAATCCATCCTTCTGTGATAATGGAGCTAGGCCTTGTAGATATTTCTCCTTTGCTAACTGGCACAAGGTTAAACCTTATCAGCAGAATGGTGGAGGAACACTGGAAGAGGAAGGGGGATTCTTTCCCTAGTTTCAGTGCATCTGGCTAGCAAAGCTCCTACAGAGCCTGCTGTCTCCAGCATTCAGTTCCAGCAGGGCGGTTTTCCACAGGCTCACTTCCTGTACATTAGGCTCCTATTATGATTGGCTCCTGCAGAATACGGCTTCCTCCTGCTAGGTTCATGGAGAGGGCAGCTTCTCCAACTCATAGATCCTTTAGCACCCAGGAGCTTCCCCATACACCTCCTCTGGCAGATTTAGAACAGAGTAAGACACTTAGCAACGTCTCCACCATCCAGTTGACCCCCCAGCAATGCTCTTTCCATGAGGTCTGGATCCCATCCTTAGAGTGAAGGAACACAGCTCTTCTTTGGATGATCTATCAAAACCCTAGAGGTCATAGCTGCTTCCTATATCTTATATTCCTATATTTTTCAGTTATTCTTTAACTATTACTTGACAATTACTAGTTACTTCAATCCTGTCAATAATTCTTTTTTTTTTTTTTTTTTTTTGAGACGGAGTCTCGCTCTGTCGCCCAGACTGGCGTGCAGTGGCGCAATCTCGGCTCACTGCAAGCTCCGCCTCCTGGGTTCACGCCATTCTCCTGCCTCAGTATCCCGAGTAGGTGGGACTAAAGGCGCCCACCACCACGCCCGGCTAATTTTTTATATTTTTAGTACAGATGGGGTTTCACGGCCTTAGCCAGGATGGTCTCGATCTCCCGACCTCCTGATCCGCCCGCCTCGGCCTCCCAAAGTGCTGGGATTACAGACGTGAGCCACTGTGCCTGGCCTTTTTTTTTTTTTTTTAATTTTTTTTTGGGACGGACTCTCACTCAGCCGCCCAGGCTGGAGTAAGTGGCGCGATCTCGGCTCACTGCAAACACTGTCTCCCAGGTTCAAGCGATTCTCCCGTCTCAGCCTCCACAGAGTAGCTGGGATTACAGGCACCCGCCATCATGCCCGGCTAATTTTTGTATTTTAGTAGAGACGGGGTTTCACCATGTTGGCTAGGCTGATCTTAAACTTCTGACCTCAGGTGATCCGCCCGCCCTGGCCTCCCAAAGTGCTAGGATTACAGGCCTGAGCCACGGAACCCGACCAATAATTCTTTATACTAAACTTTCCCTTTCAAATTAGTATGTGGTTTTTGTCTACTGACTGGACCCTGACCGATACAGATAAGTAAGTCACAATAGGCCGGGCGCAGTGGCTTATGCCTGTAATCCCAGCACTTTGGGATGGATGGTGGGTGGATTGCTTGAGGTCAGAAGTTCGAGACCAGCCTGACCAACACAGTGAAACCTCCTCTCTACTAAAAATACAAAAATTAGCTGGGCGTGGTCGTGGGTGCCAATAAAGCCAGCTATTCCAGAGGCTGAGGCAGGAGACTCACTTGAACCCAGGAGGCAGAGGTTGCAGTTAGCCGAGATGGCACCACTGCACTCCAGCTTGGGCAACACAGCGATTCTGTCTCAAAAAAAAAAAAAATTGTTACAATAGAGATTTTAACATACTTTTCTCTGATGATCAAGCAGTTAAAGAAATTTAAGGATATAGCTCTGAATAGAAAATTGACAGGTTTGATCTGATAATTTTATAACCCTGCATACCACAATTAAAAGAACTTACACTACTTTTAAGCACATTTATAAAAATTGTCTATGTATCAAGCTGCAGTGCAAGTTTCCACAAATATCAAAGAAATGTTTCCGTCTAGCCCAATAAAATTCAAAGTTAACAATGCACTTTCAAATTTCCCTGTTCAATTGGAACTTAATAAACATAGGTCAAAGAACAAATACTAATGGAAACTGGGAAAAAGTACAGAACTGAATAACAATGAATACAACACAGAAAATTCATGGGATAAAACCAAAATAGTACTTTTAAAGGCAAAGTTACAGTACTAAATGTATAGGAAGAAAGGACAAAATATTAATGAGGCCATCAATCACCTCAAGAAGTCAGAAAAAGAACAAAGTAAACCCAGATAAATAAAAATATAACCAGCAAAAACTAACAAAAATAAACAAGCACTAGAAAGATCAATAAAAATAAATGTTGGCTCTGTCAAAAGAGAAATAAGCATATCTATGGCAAAACTAATCAAGAAAAAGAAATAAGGCACAAACACCACAAATTTTAAAACAGTTAGGCCGGGCACAGTGGCTCGTGCTTGTAATCCCAGCACTTTGGGAGGTTGAGGCGGGAGGATCATTTGAGCCCAGTTCAAGACCAGCCTGGGCAACATAATGAGACTCTGTCTCTAAAAATAATAATAATAATAATGAAAAGTTAATCTGTTCCAGACAACAGAAAAAAACTATTTGTGAATAAGCAAATAATTTTTTGAGGCGAATACAACCTCAATTTCAAAACTGGTTGGGCCGGGCGCAGTGGCTCATGCCTGTAATCCCAGCACTTTGGGAGGCCGAGGTGGGTGGATCATGATGTCAGGAGATCGAGGCCATCCTGGCTAACACGGTGAAACCCCTTCTCTATTAAAAATACAAAAAAATTAGCCGGGTGTGGTGGCAGGCACCTGTAGTCCCAGCTACTCGGGAGGCTGAGGCAGGAGAATGGCATGAACCTGGGAGGCCGAGGTTGCAGTGAGTCGAGATCGCGCCACGGCACTCCAGCCTGGGCGACACAGTGAGACTCCGTCTCAAAAAACAACAAAAAACAAACAAACAAAAAAACTGGTCAAGAATAGGGCAAAACAAAAAAACTACAAGACCAGACAACTACAAGCCAATCTTTCTTATGAACATAAACAGAAATAGCCTTAAAAAAAAAAATCGGCCTGTCATCCCAGCACTTTGGGAGGCCAAGGTGGGTAGATTGCTTGACGTCAGGAATTCGAGACCAGCCTGGTTAACATGGTGAAACCCCGTCTCTATTAAAAACACAAAAATTAGGTGGCCATGGTAGCACGCACCTGTTATCCCAGCTACTCAGGAGGCTGAGGCGGGAGAGTAGCTTGAACCTGGGAGATGGAGGTTGCAGCGAGCCAAGATTGCACCACTCTCCAGCCTGGGCAACAGAGCGAGACTCCGTCACAAAGAAAAAAAAATCAACCAACTGAATCCAGCAAGATATTAAACGAAAAAGCACTACAGACAAGTGAGATTTATCCCAAAAATGTGAGGATGTCTAACATTAAAAAACCAATTAGTGGGCTGGGCACGGTGGCTTACGCCTGTAATCCCAGCACTTTGGGAGGCTGAGGCAGGCGGATCACGAGGTCAGGAGATCGAGACCATCCATCCTGGCTAACACGGTGAAACCCCATCTCTACTAAAAATACAAAAACAAAATTAGCCGGGTGTGGTGGTGGGCGCCTGTAGTTCCCGCTACTTGGGAGGCTGAGGCGGGAGAATGGCATGAACCTGGGAGGCGGAGGTTGCAGTGAGCTGAGATTGTGCCACTGCACTCCAGCCTGGGCGACAGAGCCAGACTCTGTCTCAAACAAACAAAAACAAACAAACAAAAAAACAATTAGTGGCCAAGTATGGTAGCTCATGCCTAAATCCCAGCACTTTGGGAAGCCTAGGCAGGCGGGCAGATTTGAAGTCAGGAGTTCAAGACCAGTCTGGCTAACACGGTAAAACCCTGTCTCTACTAAAAATAAAAAAAATTAGCCAGGTATGCTGACGCACACCAGTAATCTCAGCTACTTAGGAGGCTCAGGCACAAGAATTGCTTGAGCGTGGGGAAGGCGGAGGTTGAAGTGAGCCGAGATTGTCACACTGCACTCCAGCCTGGGCAACAGAGCAAGACTGTCTCAAAAAAAAAAAAATTAGTGGCTGGGTGCCAGGGCTCAGTGGTTCACACCTGTAATCCCAGCACTTTGTGGGCCCAGCACTTTGTGGGGAGGCCGAGGTGGGTGGATCACTTCAGGCCAGGAGTTCGAGACCAGCCCAGGCAACATGGCGAAATCCCATCTCTACAAAAAATACAAAAATTAGCCAGGCGTGGTGACACACTCCTATAGTCCCAACCATACTTAGGAGGCTGAGGTGGGAGGATTGCTTAAGCACAACCAGGAAGCAGAGATTGCTGTGAGCAAAGATCAAGTCACTGCACTCCAGCCTGAGTGACAGAATGAGACCTTGTCTCAAAACAGACAAACAAACAAATGCTAACATTAATAAACACATTCCTGTAGGTACAAACTCACCAAGTCCAAAACAAGAGATCATCTTTCCATCCATATCTGCTCACCTCCTCATTTCTCTAATTTCTTGGAGTAGCACTAACATTCCCTAACAGACTACTGATTTACTGATGCTACCTCTGAAATATTTCTCCCATTTATTCCCATTCTTGCCATTTCGATTTGTTTCAGGACCCCACTATAGCTACCTAATTATTTCCCCACTCCAAATACATGCTACGCACAACTACTGGGTTAGTTCTACCGCAATCCTGCTCAAAAACTTTCCGTTACTTCCCAATTTCTATAAAGTACAAATTCCTTATCCTGACTGGGTGCAGTGGCTCATGCCTATAATCCCAGCACTTTGGGAGGCCAAGGCAGGTGGATTACGAGGTCAAGAGATCGAGACCATCGTGGCCAACATGGTGAAACCCTACCTCTATTAAAAATACAAAAAAATTAGCTGGGCATGGTGGTGCATGTCTGTAGTCCCAACTGCTGGAGGCTGAGGCAGGAGAATTGCTTGAACCCAGGAAGGGGAGGTTGCAGTGAGCCGAGGTTGTGCCACACAGCTAGACTCCATTAAAAAAAAAAAAAAACTTCCTTATCCTGACATAGACTGACACCTACCATTCTAGCTCCATTATTCACTATCTCAAGGTTTCCAAAATCCCAAGGTTCAATTAAATTAGGCTCACATTGGCGAACACTTCTTGACACGATCTCCCCACATCTGTTCCCCACCACATCTGTCTATAAGTTCACAATCAAGTATGGGTGTGAACACCTACAGAATAGAACATGGGAAGGCAAGATCAGAATGTGAGAATAAAGTTTAGGAAGTCACAGGCCCCGAGGCTGCAGTGAGCCAAGATCGTGCCACTGCACTCCAGCCTAGGTGACAGTGAGACTCTCTCAAAAAAAAAAAAATAAAGGTCAGGGGATGTATTATGTGATTAAGATACTTGGATTCCATCCAGAAGGGAATGGGGGAACCAGTGAAGGTTTTTAAAGTAGGGCAATATAATGATCAAATCTGCATCTTAGATGTTTAACTCTGGCAAGAGTCTGGAAAATATGAGTGGGAAGGGAGATAGAAAAGGCTACCAAAACAAAGCAGAAGACAACGAGGTGTCACTGTAAGTTCTTAGTAGTGGAAATAAAAATAAGAAACAGATCTTGGCTGGGCACGGTGGTTCATGCCTGTAATCCCAACATTCTGGGAGGCTGAGGCAGGAGGACTTCTTATGCCCAGGAGTTCAAGACCAGCCTGGGCAACACAGTGAGACTCCATATCTACAAAAAAAAGAAAAGTTAGCTGGGTGTGGTGGCACATGCTTCCGGAGGCTGCAGTGAGCTGTGATTGCACTGCTGCACTCCAGCCTGGGTCAAAGAGCGAGACTGTCTCAAAACCAAACCAAAAAACCCACAAAACACTAAAAACAGATCTGAGAGGTAGTCAACAAGATTTAATGGAAAGTGTATTCAAATGGACAGTCTTCCCCCATTTCAAATTGTTCTTCAAACCTCAGCATGAGTTGTCTTTTAAAAATGCAAACATGATCGTGTTCCCAACTCTGCTTAAACACTTCAGTGCTTAGGCTGGATGTGGTGGCTCACGCCTGTAATCCTAGCACTTTGGGAGGCTGAGGCAGGCGATCACCTGAGGTGGGTGATCATCTGAGGTCAGGAGATCACCTGAGGTCAGGAGTTCGAGACCAGCCTACGTCATCTCTACTAAAAATACGAAAATTAGCCAGCCGTGGTGGCGCATGCCTATAATTCCAGCTACCTGGAAGGCTGAGGCAGGAGAATTTCTGGAAGCTGGGAGGCGGAGGCTGCAGTTAGCCGAGATCACGCCACTGCACTCCAGTCTGGGGGACAGGAGACTTCGTCTCAAAAGAAAAAAAACAAAAAACAAAAAAAACCCCACCAAAAAGCCCTTCAGTGCTTCCTGCTGATTTCAGGATAAAAAACAAATTTTGAGGCCAGGCGCAGTGGCTCACGCCTGTAATCCCAGCACTTTGGAAAGCCGAGGTGGGCAGATCAACTTTGTTCAGGAGTTCGAGACCAGCCTGGCCAACACGGTGAAACGCCATCTCTACTAAAAATACAAAAATTGGCCAGACATGGTGGCACACACCTGTAATCCCAGCTACTTGGGAGGGTGAGGCAGGAGAATCACTTGAACCTGAAAGGAGGAGGTTGCAGTGAGCCGAGATCATGCCACTGAACTCCAGCCTGGGCAACAAAGAGAGACTCCATCTCAAAAAAAAAAGGAAATATGCACTTTTTTTTTTGAGACAGAGTCTCACTCTGTCACCCAGGCTGGAGGGCAGCGGCACAATCTCTGCTCACTGCAACCTCTGCCCTCCGAGTTCAAGCGATTCTCCTGCCTCAGCCTCCTCAGTAGCTGGGATTACAGGGGCCTGCTGCCGCGCCCAGCTAATTTTTTGTATTTTTAGTAGAGACAGGGTTTCACCATCTTGGCCAGGCTGGTCTTGAACTCCTGACCTTATGATCCACCCGCCTCGGCCTCCCAAAGTGCTGGGATCACAGGCGTGCACTACCGCACCCAGCCCTATATATACACTTTTAATGTGTAACTTTTGTATGCTGAATGGTACTTTTTTTTTTTTTTTGCTTTTGAGGGAATTAATAAGATATAATTAATTGTGTCTTAACTTTTGAAAGAAATTTTTAGATGGAGGCAACTGGGATGTTTGTGATAATAGATAAGAAAGACACCACTGACCTGTAGTTAAATTGGTTTGAATTGCAGATATTCATTATTGAATTTATTCCTGTTTTCTCATACTTTAGAAAAGACACCTGAACAATAAATGAATCCTGGATAGTGTACTGTCCTTCAAACAATGAAGTGATATTAATACTTGCCTGCAGGAGATGCATACTACAGGAGAGAACCCTTAGACTATGTCAGGCCACACTATGAACCTCCCCCCACCTGCCTTTTTTCTCCTTTATGTTTCTGTTACCGTACTAACATTGTGGATTAACGACACTGAAATTCTGCATAATGTGAACAGGATAAACTATTTATAAATCGAAAAAAAAAAAAACAACACAGGGCTTCTGCAGGGAATATTCTTTCCTCAATATTCTACTTTCACTTAGCTCTTCTTTGATATTTTGCTTAAGCCATTTTGAGTCTCCCCTGTCCACCCTCTCTTCCCACTAAGTCAGGCCCTCTGTTATATACTCTTACCCCATTGTGTCCTTTCCCTACATGACCTCTTCTTGAAGTTCATGATTCCATTTTTGTGGGATTCCTGGAGAAATGTCCATCTCACCCAATGGACCACCCAATGGTTCTCCATAAAGATTAGGACCATCCCTGTTCTGTTCCCCAGCTCTCACTGTATCCCCAGCTCTCAGCAGGCCTAGCAGAATGGCAAGTAATAAAAGAATATCTGTTGAATTAAAGAAATACCCAATTTGTTAAAGATGATTCTCATGTTTCTAGCTTTGGAGGACAGTCATGCTTTAACTGCAATGGACAACCAGTGAAGTCATGTTGAGTTATCTGTAGGACATCCAGATAAAGATGTCTAACAGCAGCTGGGGGTGGTGGCTCATGTCTGTAATCCCAGCACTTTGGGAGGCCAAAGCAGGTGGATCACGAGGTCAGGAGTTCAAGACCAGCCTGACCAACATGGTGAAACCCCGTCTCTACTAAAAATACAAAAAAATTAGCTGGGCGTGGTGGTGCGCACCTGTAATCCCACACTCGGGAGGCTGAGGCAGGAGAATCGCTTGAACCTGGGAAGCGGAGGTTGCAGCGAGCCGAGATCGCGCCATTGCACTCCAGCCTGGGCGACAGGGCAAGACTCCATCTCAAAAAGAAAAGAAAAAAAAAAAAGGCCGGGCGTGGTGGCTCATGCCTGTAATCCCAGCACTTTGGGAGGCCGAGGCTGGTGGATCACCTGAGTTCAGGAGTTTGAGACAAGCCTGGCCAACATGGTGAAACCCCATCTCTACTAAAAATACAAAAATTGGCTGGGCGTGGTGGCATGTGCCTATAATCCCAGCTACTCCGGAGGCTGAGACCAGAAGAATCGCTTGAACCTGGGAGGCAGAGGTTGCAGTGAGCTGAGATCGTGCCACTGCATTCCAGCCTGGGAAACAGAGCAAGACTCCGTCTAGGGGAGAAAAAAACAAAAAACAAAAAGATGTCCAACAGCTGGAAATGTCATACAGAAAAGGCATGGTAGGTATTATGATTTGGGACTCATCAGCACCTTAGTGATACGTGAGATTACACTCTTGAAATCATATAGGCCAGTGATTCTCCTGGAAGGAGAGGAAGGAGAGGAGGAAGAAAAATGTATCAGAATCTCTTGGAAAATGGGTCTTTTTCACTTTTCCTCACCTTCTCCCATTTGAGGATCTCGATATATGAGAGTTGCTACCGACAGAAGTGATGCACCTGTGAAAGTGTAGAGGCAAAATTTTCCAAGTTGAGAACTATCATGCTGAAAAAGAGTTTGTATTGGGAGGCCGAGGCAGGCGGATCACCTGAAGTCAGGAGTTCAAAACCAGCCTGGCCAACATGGTGAAACCTCATCTATACTAAAAATACAAAAATTAGCCTGACATGGTGGCACACACTTGTAATCCCAGCTACTGGGGAGGCCGAGGCAGGAGAATCGCTTGAACCTGGGAGGTGGAGGCTGCAGTGATCTGAGATCGTGCCACTGCAACTCCAGCCTGGGTGACAGAGTAAGACTCTGTCTAAAAAAAAAATGTTTGGCCGGGCGTGGTGGCTCAAGCCTGTAATCTCAGTACTCTGGGAGGCTGAGGCGGGCGGATCACAAGGTCAGGAGATCTAGACCATCCTAGCTAACAGGGTGAAACCCGTCTCTACTAAAAATACAAAAAATTAGCCAGGCGTGGTGGCAGGCGCCTGTAGTCCCAGCTACTCGGGAGGCTGTGGCAAGAGGATGACATGAACCCGGGAGGCGGAGCTTGCAGTGAGCCGAGATCGTGCCACTGCACTCCAGCCTGGGTGACAGAGCGAGACTCCGTCTCAAAAAAAAAAAAAAAAAGTTTGTAAGCAGATTTACTCATGCATAATCTTTTCTGGGACAATTCCAATGGATTCAGATGTGAAAGCAAAGTAGACAGGAGAAGGATCACATAGCCTTTCGTTATAGGCAGTCTGAAGGAAGTTTTCTTTTTAAAATTGAGAGAATGTGGCTGGGCGGGGTGGCTCACACTTGTAATCCCAGTACTTTGGGAGGCTGAGGGCAGTCTGATCACTTGAGCCTAGGAGTTCGAGACCAGCCTGGGAAACATGGCAAAACCCAGTCTCTACAAAATACAAAAATTAGCCAGGCATGCTGGTGCACACCTGTAGTTCCAGCTACTTGGAAGGCTGAGGTGGGAGGATTGCTTGAGCACAGGAGGTCAAACCTGTAGTAAGCCGAGATCTTGCCATTGCACTCCAGCCTGGGCTATAGTCTCAAAAAAAAAGGAAAAAAGAAAAAGAAAAATCATTACGAAACTGAGAATGTGTCCTTAATGTAGACGCTAAAAGACAAAAAATAAAATTTAGAGAAAAACACAAGCATTTGTAGAGAAAAACAGGAAAAAGCCAGAGAAGACAGTGTATTTTTACACTCATGGGAAAGGCTAATACAGCAAGACCCCAGAAGAAGAGGTAAGGGGCAAATACTAACAAAAGCTATCATATACGGCACATTTACTATGTTCCAGGCACTAACCTAAATGATCTAAATACATTATTCACTTAGTTTAAATCCTCCCCAGAGTTCTATGAGGTCCATATTATTCTTTTCCCCATTTTACAGATGAGGAAAACACAGACGATCAAGAAATTTGCACAAGGCAACCACCTGGTAAGTGGCAGAGCTGAAATTAGACCCCAGGTCTGTCTGTAAAGCAAGATGGCCAAAATCAAGAATATTCAATACAATATAAATGTTTTTGGAAAGAAGGCCATCTCTTGTAAAACGGAACGCCAGGAAAAGATAATTGGAGGGCATAGCGGGGATAGGAAGGGAGATGGGAGAATCCCTGCCATGAAAGCCTCTGTCCCCCTCCAGTCAAAGAGGCGCTGAGGGAGATGGGGGGGAAAGGCCTTGAGGAGAGGCGAAAGGTTTGCTGCTGGAGGTGTGGAGAATGGAAAAAGACCAAGGAAGAGTCGAAGAGTCAAAGACAACTTGATGCCTGAAGCACAAATGCTCAGCTCCTACGAATCCTACATTCACATCTGAGTTAGGGCCTACTATGTGCTAGGAATGAATCTAGGCGCTGTAGAAATGAAAAACTTATTTAGGCATGTTGGTTTGATGCCTAAATAAACATTTCAGAAACAATCAACATCAATGATCACCTGACACTCCAGGAAACCCATTTCTCCAAAGAACTCCATCCGAAAGATTTTAAGAGTATATTCCAAGGAGAGACTGGATGGTGGGGGGGAGGGGCAGGACGAGAGGCCGAAGGGACAATTCCTGGGCGCGCCCACCCATAGTCCCCGCCCAGACCCTCTCGAAGGACCACAGAGGGACGCAGGGTGCAAGCCCTGAAGCTGCACCGGGGGCGGAGGGAACGTGGCTACCTGCGGCCAGACGTCAGGCGCGGCCCTTCCCCGACCTACTTGGCCGCTCCAGATGGACTCCCTCCGACTCTCTGGTTTCCCAGGGGCAGCCGACCTCCACTCGGGGGACTACCGCGCCATGCAGCCTCTTCCTTAGCAGTCCCTCACGGACCGGGCCCCTACGACAACTTACCCGCCCTGCCCGGCCCAAGACAACCCGGTTCCTTTCTGCCCACCGAGGTCTCCCTGGCATCTCCACCAATACCAGAGCGCTATCAGGGTATGGAGGCGGGACTGAGTGCCTACGGCCAATCATATCAGACGCAAAGCACGTCGCAGCGCCCACAACTAGTTCCCGCCTTTGGAAGGGAAAAAAAAAAACACGGTTGGCGCCAAACTCCAGTAATCTTCCTAGGGCTTTAAGAGAGAGGGGCGGGGTGTAAGGTGGCGGGGAAGGCGATGGGGCGGGGCTTCAATAGGAAGGGGCTGACCTGAGTGGAGGTAGGGGCGTGGCCTGAGAGAAGCTTTTTAGTGAAAGACAGGAAGCCTTGAGAGGTCTGTCATTTATTTAATACTTTATCTTAAAATTCTGCTGTCAGCTGCGTGCGAGACAAAGTGCTGGGCTCGATTACGATGAATAAATTTGTTCCCTGCCCTCAGACGCGTTCCTGGATGATAGGCAGACAAACAACTTAGCTTCGGATGTTGGGAGCCTTAAGGAGGGGATACTAGTCTAGCGGGGCAGGAGAGAGAAGAGCTTTTTACAGGGTGGAATACCTGACTTGCCTTATAGAACCTGTAGGAATGGGGGGTGCCGGTAGGTCTAGCCTCAGGAGCTCAGCCTGAGCATTGATAGGTGCGAAAATAAGGCCACCTTCCTCGGCTACTTATAGTCTGCCTATATTCATCCCTACCCATTTCCTCGTTTGTCCACTTAGCTTTTTTTTTTCTTTTTGCTTTCAGACAGGGTATCGCTTTGTCGCTCAGGCTGGAGCGCAGTGGAGCGATTTCGGCTCCCTGCAACCTCCACCTCCAAGGCTCGAGAGATCCTCCCACCTCTGCCTCCAGAGTAGCTGGGACCATAGACGCGAGCGACCACCACCCCTGGCTGTTTTGTTTCGTTTTGTTTCTGAGATGGAGTTTCACTCTTGTTGCCCAGGCTGGAGTGCAATGGCGCGATCTCGACCCACTACAACCTCCGCCTCCGGGGTTCAAGTGATTCTCCTGCCTCAGTCTCCCGAGTAGCTGGGATTGCAGGCATGTGTTACCACGCCAACCTAATTTTTGTATTTTTAGTAGAGACAGGGTTTCGCCATGTTGACCAGGCTGGTCTTGAACTCCTGTCCTCAGGTGATCTGCCCAGCTTGGCCTCCCAAAGTGCTGGGATTAAAGGCGTGAGCCACCCACGCCCGGCCACCCCTGGCTAATTTTTTAAAATTTTTGTAGAGATGGGGTCTTGCTATGTTGCCCAGGCTGGTCACGAACTTCTGGGCTCAAACAATCCTCCCACCTCAGTCTCCCAAAGTGCTGGGATTACAGGTGTGAGTCACTGCACCTGACCCCATTTAGTCTTAACTGCCATATCAACCAATTTATTTTTATTTTTATTCTTTTTTTTTTTTTTTTGAGACGGAGTTTCACTCTTGTCACCCAGGCTGGAGTGCAGTGGTGTGATCTCAGCTCACTGCAACCTCCGCCTCCGGGGTTCATGCGATTTTCCTGCCTCAGCCTCCCAAATAGCTGGGATTACAGGGGCCTGCCTGGCTAGTTTTTTGCATTTTTAGTAGAGATGGGGTTTCGCCATGTCGGGCAGGCTGGTCTCAAACTCCTGACCTCAGGTGATCTGCCCGCCTCGGCTTTCCAAAGTGCTGGGATTACAGGCGTGAGCCACCGCGCCTGGCTTTATTTTTATTATTTTTTTAGAGACAAGGTCTCAGTCTGTTGTCCTAGCTGGAGTGCAATGGTGTGATCATAGCTTACTGCATCCTCAAACTCCTAGGCTCAAGCAATGCTCCTACCTCAGCCTCCCAGGTAGCTGGGACCACAGGCACACAACACCACACTCGCCTTTCTTTCTTTCATTTTTTTTTTTTTTTTTTAATATAGACAGGGTCTCGCCATGTTGTTGCCCAGGCTCGTCTCCAACTCTTGACCTCAAGCAATCCTCCGACCTCTGCCTTCCAAAGTGCTGGTATTACAGGTATGAGCCACTCCACCTAAGTTATGTATTTTTATTTGCACATATGCATGGCTTTTTTTTAATTAATTAATTAATTAACTTTTTTTTTTTTTTGAGTTGGAGTTTTGTTCTTGTTGCCCAGGCTGGAGTGCAATGGGGCGGTCTCGGCTCACTGCAACCTCCACCTCCCAGGTTCAAGTGATTCTCCTGCCTCAGCCTCCCAAGTAGCTGGGATTACAGGCACCTGCCACCAGGCCTGGCTATGTTTTTTGTATTTTTAGTAGAGATGGGGTTTCACCGTGTTGGCCAGGCTGGTCTCAAACTCCTGACCTCAGGTATTCCGCCCGCCTCGGCCTCCCAAAGTGCTGGGATTACAGGCGTGAGCCACTGTGTCTGGCCGGCTTTAATTTTTTTAATAAGAGCTTTACTGGGATATAATTTACATACTATATAATTCACCCAAATAAGTTGGGTGTGGGAGGGTGTTAGATACACAGTCTGCCTCTGTCACCCAGGCTGGAGTGCAGTAGCACAATCGTAGTTCACTGTAACCTTGAACCCCTGGGCTCAAGAAATCCTCATGCCTGGGCCTCCCAAGGTACTGGAATTACAGATGTGAGCCACTGTGCCTGGCCCCAATTAAACTGTTGAGTTTTCAGCACCATAAGACAGGGTGAGAAAAATAAAAACTAAATTAATTAATTACTTTTTGAGTTTGTATTTTTATAACCTTTCACTTTTGAACCATGTAACTGTTTCACATATTCAAAGACTGAGTTAAATCAGAAAGAAAAAAATCCTAAAATGGAAAATTATTTGAAAAAGTTAAACTGTAAAAAGAGAGAAATGTAACCATAGAGAAAATAATTCCTTGAAGTGACATTTAAACATAGTGCTCTAATTATTGTGAGACAAAGTAAAAAGGGTAAGAAGCCATTTTGCTCATTTCTGCTTGCCATCTAATTTCACAAAGCCCCTCACTCTGTGAGGAAGTGCAGCTCTCTGAAAAGATGCTTTGAAGGCAAACCAGGATAGTGCACACAGCCCCCAACATCTCTTGCCTGAGTCACTATATTGCTTAAAGGAGGAATATGGACGTGCGCAGTGGCTCACGCCTGTAATCCCAGCACTTTGGGAGGCCGAGGAGGGCGGATCACGAGGTCAGGAGATCGAGACCATCCTGGCTAACACGGTGAAACCCCGTCTCTACTAAAAAATACAAAAAATTAGCTGGGCATGGTGGCGGGTGCCTGTAGTCCCAGCTACTAGGGAGGCTGAGGCAGGAGAATGGCGTGAACCCGGGAAGGGGAGCTTGCAGTGAGCCGAGATCGCACCACTGCACTCCAGCCTGGGGAACAAATCGAGACTCCGTCTCAAAAAAAAAAAAAAAAAGAAAGGAAAGGAGGAATATAGTGCCTTTTCCTACACATGAGATAACGTCTGATAGGGTTAGTGATTATGCCTCTGAAATCTATAACTAGATGTACTCCTGCACCAAAACTTTAATGTGATTTTGCACATACTGAACCTCCACCACAGGTATATAAACAGTGGGCTGAAATACTGTGCTGCAGCAGTCTGACAGAACTCTGAAGGACAGCTCCTGGGCTGTAGACCTCAGTCTATAGTCCTCGGTACGACTATAGACTGAATAAAACTAACATTTTTTTTGAGCTGGAGTCTGGCTCTGTCCCCAGGCTGGAGTGCATGATCTCAGCTCACTGCAATGTCTGCCTCCCAGGTTCAAGCAATTCTTATGCCTCAGCCTCTTCAGTAGCTAGGATTACAGGCGTGCACCACTATGCCCAGCTAATTTTTGTATTTTTAGTGGAGACTAAAATACAACATGGTGAAACTCTGTCTCTACTAAAAATACAAAATTTGCCGGGTGTGGTGACGCATGCCTGTAATCCCAGGTACTCGGGAGGCTGAGGCTTAAAACATAAACTTTCTCAGTGGATTTATTGACACAGATAACAGTCTGTTAAGTGAAAAAAGTTGTCTTGGAGTAGCTCTCTTCCTGGTACAGATAGCTTTACTAACAGAAATTTCCTTTGTGAGTATAAATTTCCTTTGCAAAAGGGTAAGTTTATACTTTATTTTAGGCAATTGGGGAGGTAAAGACGTTTCACTGAGTTGGCTGGTTCTGATTTTTCTTTACTTCAAAATAATCAGTATGTCAAAATGGTCTGTTTCGGGGTTGCACGTTCTGAACCTCTTTAACTTAATCAACAAGCAAAAATTTCTTACAGTTCTAGAGGCTGGGAGATCCAAGATCAAGGAGCCAGCAGATTTATTGTCTGGTGAGGGCTCCCTTCCTGGCTTGTAGATGGCCACCTTCTTAGTGTATCCTCCCTTGGCAGAGAGAGAAGGGACTCTAGTCTTTCCCTCCCATTATAAGGGCAATAATCCTATTATGAGGACTCTATCCTCAAAACCTCATCTAAATCTAATTACCTCCAAAAGGTCTCACTTCCAAATACCATCACACTGGGGTATTAAGACTTCAACATACGAATTTTGGAGGTTCACAAACATTTAAATCATTTTGCCATTTCTTATAATTCACAGTTTCCCCTCCCATACTTTTTTCTTAAATTTATGTCTTGAAAAACCTGAGTTTTTGATCTGTAGAATCTTTCACAGTCTGAGTTTTTCTGATTATAAATTCATGGTGCAGCTTAACATATTCTATCATCTTCATTTTAAAAAATCGACAGCTGGGGCCAGGCACAGTGGCTCACACCTGTAATCCCAGCACTTTGGGAGGCTGAGGCTGGCGGATCACTTGAGGCAAGGAGTTTGAGACCAGCCTGGTCCAACATGGTGGAACCCTGTCTCTACTAAAAATACAAAAATTAGCCAGGTGTGGTGGTAGAAGCCTGTAATCCCAGCTACTTGGGAGGCCGAAGCAGGAGAATCGCTTGAACCCAGGAGTTGGAGGTCACAGTGAGCTGAGATTGCGCCACTGTACTTCCAGGCTAGGTGACAGAGCAAGGCTCCATCACCCCCCCCAAAAAAAAAAATTGACAGCTGGATCAGAGGTTTGATCCTTTTGGTAAGACTATAGGTAGCATTATGTTCTTTCAGCAAGAGCTATCTAAAGTCTGGTTTTTTTTGCCCCTTTTGCTATGTTAGCAGCCATTGATACTTAATGCCAAGATTAATGGATTAACTGGGAGTTGCAAAATAGTGGTATTCTAATTTTGTCAATTCTTTTTTTTTTTTTTTTTTTTTTGAGACAGTCTCGCTTTGTTCCCCAGGCTGGAGTGCAGTGGCACGATCTCTGCTCAGTGCAAGCTCCGCCTCCCAGATTCATGCTATTCTCCTGCCTCAGCCTCCCAAGTAGCAGGGACTACAGGCGCCCACCACCACGCCCGGCTAATTTTTTGTATTTTTAGTAGAGACGGGGTTTCACTGTGTTAGCCAGGATGGTCTAGATCTCCTGACCTCGTGATCTGCCCTCCTCGGCCTCCCAAAGTGCTGGGATTACAGGCGTGAGCCACCACACTGGCAATTCTTTTTCAAATTAGGTGGACTATTCTCAGGAAGAGACACTTGTCATCATCTTCTATTTAGTTACCCAGTGGTACAATTCACATATGAGAGGCAGGATACATTTTTATATTTCTCCCTTTATCAGCTTTCAAGATTGACTTCTTACTCTCCAAAGGCAACAAATTTTTAAAATTATTAGTATTATATTAATGGGTTAAACTAATAGGTTTTGATTCATTATAACTGCTATCTTTATTAAAGCTCAGATTGTATCATCTTTGGTCAATGGTAGCATCTACAAGTTGATACCCAAGTTCTCTTTACATGACACTCATAATTTTTTTCAAAAATATTAATTTTCAGAGGTCACCAATGGCCGTTGGGTGGGCACCACCAGCAGAGAAAGTAGCGTAAGACTTAAGACAACTTAACACATTTAAGACCAGGCATAGTGGCTCATGCCTATAATCCCAGCACTTTGGGAGGCCAAGGCTGGAGGATTGTTTGAGCCCAGGAGCGGGAGACCAGCCTGGGCAACATACTGAGACCTTGTCTACTAAAAAAAAAAAAAAAGAAGAAGAGCTGGGTGTGGTGGTGCATGCCTGTAATCCGTGCACTTTGGGAGTCCGAGGTGGGAGGATTACTTGAAGTCAGGAGTTTGAGACCAGCCTGGCCAACATGGTGAAACCCTGTCTCTACTAAAAAATACAAAAAATTAGCCAGGTGTGGTGGTGCACGCCTGTAATCCCAGCTACTCCAGAGACTACAGAGGATGAGGCAGGAGAATTGCTTGAATCCAGGAGGGAGAGGTTGCAGTAAGCCAAGATCATACCACTTCACTCCAGCCTGGGTGACAGAGTGAGACTCTAACTCAAAAAAAAAAAAAAAAAAAAAAAAAAATTTGGGTGTGGTAGCAGGTTCCTGTAGTCCTAGCTGCTCAGGAAGATTGCTTGGGCCCAGGGGTTCAAGGTTACATTGAGCTATGATTGCACCAGTGCACTCTAGCCTGGGTGAGAGAATAAGACCCTGTTTCTAAAATATATACATATTTTTATATCAGACAGGTAATATGCTGAGGTCATAACATGGTTTGAGGGAGGCACATATTACACGTGTGCAAAAACCCAATCATCATGCTTATGAACTATAAAAGGATCAAAGATACTATTTTTTTAGTGCAAAATTTCAAACATACACAAAAGTAAAAGAAGAGTACAATAGGCTAGGCGCGGTGGCTTACCTCTGTAATCCCAGCACTTTGGGAGGTCGAGGCGGGTGGATTACCTGAGGTCAGGAGTTCGAGACAAGCCTGGCCAACGTGGTGAAACCCTGTCTCTACTTAAAATACAAAAGAAAAAATTAGCCGGGTGTGTGGTGGAGCGTGCCTGTACTCCCAGCTACTCGGGAGGTTGAGGCAGGAGAATCGCTTGAACCCAGGAGGTGGAGGTTGCAGTGAGCTGAGATTGTGTCACTGCACTCTAGTCTGGGTGACAAAGCGAGACTCCGTCCCAAAAAAAAAAGAAAGAAGAGAAAAGAAGAATACAATAAACTCCTATTACCCAATATCTGGTTTCAATAATTACTAATACACTGTCAACCTTATTTCATCTATACTATATATGCTCTATTCCTTCCTTATCATCATTTTTTTTAATTATTATTTTGAGACAGAATCTCGTTCTGTCACCCAGGCTGGAGTGCGATGGTGGGATCTCGACTCACTGCAACCTCCACCTCCCAGGTTCAGGCGATTCTTCTGCCTCAGCCTCCCGAGTAGCTAGGATTACAGGCGCTTGCCACTGCACCTGGCTAATTTATATATATATATATATTTTTGTTGTTGTTGTTGTTTTTGAGACGGAGTCTCACTCTGTTGCCCAGGTGGGAGTGCAGTGGCACGATCTTGGCTCACCGCAACCTCTGCCTCCTGGGTTCAAGTGATTCTCCTGCCTCAGCCTCCCAAATAGCTGGGACTACAGGCACGTGCCACCACGCCCGGCTAATTTTTGTATTTTTAGTAGAGATGGGGTTTCACCATGTTGGCCAGGCTGGTCTCGAACTCCTGACCTCAGGTGATCTGCCCGCCTTGGCCTGCCAAAGTGCTGGGATTACAGGTGTGAGCCACCGTGCCCGGCCAATTTTTGTATTTTTAGTAGAGATGGGGTTTCACCATCTTGGCCAGGCTGGTCTTGAACTCCTGACCTTGTGATCCACCCGACTCAGCCTCCCAAAGTGCTGAGATTACAGGCTTGAGCCACTGTGCCCTGCCCAGTCTTAGATTTTTATTACCCCCAAATTTTGCCTCCTGGCTGTTTACATTGTCTTCTCTTCTAATCCCAAACTCAGGCAACCACTAACCTGTTCTATTAATTTAATCACCCTAGAGCTGTTCATCTTCCTGCTGCTGCCCAGATGAAAGTTCCGGGATTTCCCTTAACTTTAAACACTTAAAAGTAAAATAATCCCGTGGATTAGGATTACGATCGACAGGGTTATTTTACTTTTTCTTTCTGTGCTAAATCTCTTATTTCCTGGATCCCGTGTCGTCTTCTTTCTTGGTTTTATCCTCCTTTTTCAGGGCGCATCTCTTTCAACAGATTCCTGAGAATAGTTGCCAGGGTGCATTATCACTACATAACTACATTTTTTTTTTTGTCTTTTTCTTTTTTTTGAGACAGAGTTTCGCTCTTGTCGCCCAGGCTGGAGTGCACTGGCACGATGTCCGCTCACTGCAACCTCCGCCTCCCGGGCTCGAGCTATTCTCCTGCCTCAGCCTCCTGAGTAGGTGGGATTACAGGCGCCCACCACTATGCCCAGCTTTTTGTATTTTTAGTAGAGACAAGGTTTCACCATGTTGGCCAGACTGGTCTCAAACTCCCGACCTCGGGTGATCTGCCCGCCTTGGCCTCCCAAAGTGCTGGGATTACAGGCGTGAGCCACCACGCCTGGCCCCACTTAAAAAAAAAAAAAAAAGACGGAGTTTCGCTCTTGTTGCCTAGGCTGGAGTGCAATCCCACGATCTCGGCTCACCACAACCTCCGTCTCCTGAGTTCAAGCGATTCTCCTGCTTCAGCCTCCTGAGTAGCTGGGATTACAGGCATGCACCACCACACCTGGCTAATTTTTGTATTTTTAGTAGAGACAGGGTTTTACCATGTTGGTCAGGCTGGTCTCAAACTGCTGACCTCAGGTGATCTGCCCGCCTCGGCCTCCCAAAGTGCTGGGATTACAGGCGTGAGCCAAGGCACCCAGCCCTAATTTTTGTATTTTTAGTAGAGACAGGGTTTCACCATGTTGGCCAGACTGGTCTCCAACTCCTTATCTCGTGATCTGCCTGCCTTGCCTTGAGCCACTGCGCCCAGCCCACAAGTGCACTTTTAATGTTATGGACTCTACTATTTTTTATGACTTCCAGAATATGCTATAACTTACACCCCATAGTTTAATATTCCCAATTGAACATTTTCTTCCAATATCTGTATTAAGAAAACTGCAAGGGGTGTCTTTGTCACACTTAGTGAGGATTTCCGCAGGCTAGAGTCCTACAAGGGGAATTGCTGGGGCAGAATGTTAACTAGTTAGGTATGAGCAGAACAGGAGAGCGCTCCCCACCCCACACATACCAGGACTATTGGGTGACAATCAAACGATGGTCAGGCGGTTCTTAACTGTTTCTCTAACGTTCACCGGGGCCAGCGAAAGGCAGTCTCCTAATAGAAAACACCTGAAACTGATCAGTAGCTTCCCAGTAAGATCTCAGGAGTGGGGAGAAGCAATGCAAGTTCCCCAAAGTATGCCAACATATAAAACTTCAAGTCAACAGGTCAAGCTGCGCACTTGGTTTCTCAAGTCGCCTGCTTGGCAGTCTTCCAAGTTGTACTTTCCTCCTTTTCTTTCCGTCCCGTTCTAAAGCTTTTTGATAAACTTTTACTTCTATTCTGAAACTTGTCTAGGTCTATCCTGCCTTATGCCCTTCGTGGAATTATTTCTTCTGAGGAGGCAAGAACTAAGGTTACTGCTGACCCCTACCTATACAGGGGGTAACTGCCACCGCTAACAAGAAGGGGAGAATCAGCTTTTCTTTCTTTTTTTGAGACAGTAAAAGTCTGCTGTGTCGCGCGGCTGGAGTGCAGCTGCACGATCTCGGCTTACTGTAACCTCCGTCTCCCGGGTTCAAGCGATTCTCCTGCCTCAGCCTCCCGAGTAGCTGGGACTACAGGCGCGCGCCACCACGCCCGGCTAATTTTTGTATTTTTAGTAGAGAAGGGGGTTTCACCATGTTGCCCAGGCTGGTCTCGAACTGCTAACCTCAAGTGATCTGCCCTCCTCGGCCTCCCAAAATGCTGGGATAAAGACATGCGCCACCGCGCCCGGCCGAGAATCAGCTTTTCTCTCACATCTGATCTTTCCGTGTGTTAAGGCAGAAGCAAGGCACGGTGGGCTGAGACTCACACGCCCCCTCTTTCCTCCCCGGCCTAACGCACTCTTCTTTCTGTCCCACCACGTGCTGTGTTCGCGAGTCCCCATCACTCCTGCATCCAAACCGACTAGATTTTTGTTTCCATTTCCCTCCCGGAAAAGGCGGGACAGCGAAGACTGGCGTTTCCGCCGCTGAGGGGCTGAGGCCGGGAGGGCGCAGCGTAGCCGTCCCGAGCTGATGACGTCAAACGCCGTGTGCTCACCCACGTGTGGTGCCCCTCTCCCGGTGTAGGCGCTGGAGCTGAGGACGCCTTTCCTGCGGGCGTAGTTGCTGGCTGCTCGGGCACTGGGACCTCGGCGGCTTGGGGACGCTGGCCGCGAAGTAGGGAGCGCAGGTGGCCGCTCGGGGTGAGGGCCCTGGGTCATGGAGCACTTCTTGCTGGAGGTGGCAGCCGCGCCGCTGCGGTTAATCGCAGCCAAGAACGAGAAGAGCCGCAGTGAGTTGGGCAGGTTCTTGGCCAAGCAGGTAAGACGTGAAGGGAGAGGGAAAGCGCCGGAACGACTGGGTCGCCCCACTAGTAAGCTTCCTGCGCTCCCCCGCCGATACTCGCCGCTTTAAGTGGGGAGTGGTGCAGCCTCAGGTCAAGCTGGCCCCCTCCTGTGGGCTGGCGCAGGTCGTGGAGGTTTCCGAGCGTGTTTGAGGCGATTGGAAGGAGTCTTTTGTTTTTATCTGGGGGAGCCTTCCAGTACCCTTCCCATCGCCTCTCACCCCTATGCAAGCGCTTTGGCTGCTTGTGGCAGAGGTGGCCTTCCCAAAGGAATGTGGTTTGTTTTTCTGAAATTGAGGTTGCGTTTCTGCCGTTTTGACAAGTGTACGTATCACCTAAGTGTGCGTAGTGCAGCCACTCCTGTTAGTTTGGGGAACCATCGACAAATACTGATTGCATTCCTGCTGTGCGTAAGGAACGGTGTGGCGCTGTGAGAAAGTGGATAGATAAATTCGTTACGATCTCTGCCATGAGGGAAATTTGCATCTGTTTTTGGAGACAGTTCGTAAACACTTACAACAGCTGAAGTACAGAGCAAGACAGCTCATACTCACTGTAACTAACTATACAAATTATAAGGTTAATTAGAGTTTTCTGGGAAATAGGTCTTCGGGCTTTTAAGAACCTTCTCATTGACTCCTTCTATCTGAGTTGAAGACACTTTTTTTTTTTTTTTGAGACGGAGTCTCGCTGTGTCGCCAGGCTGGAGTGCAGTGGCGCGATCTCGGCTTACTGCACCCTCCGCCTCCCGGGTTCAGGCGATTCTCCTGCCTCACCCTCTCAGTAGCTGGGATTACAGGCGAGCGCCACCATGCCTAGCTACTTTTTGTATTTTTAGTAGAGACGGGGTTTCACCATGTTGGCCAGGATGGTCTCGATCTCTTGACCTCGTGATCCACCCGCCTCAGCCTCCCAAAGTGCTGGGATTACAGGCGTGAGCCACGGGACAGGTGAGTGTGGTCCCAGGTACTTGGGTCCCAGGTGTGGCTAATTAAAAAAAAAATTTTTTTTTTGTAGTTGTAAGGTCCCCCTTTGTTGCCCCGACTGGTCTGGAACCCCTGGGCTCAAGTGATCATCCCGCCTTGGCCTCCCAAAGTGCAGGGATTGTAGGAGTGAGCCACCGTGTCCGGCCTAAATTTTTTTTTTTTTTTTTTTTTTTTTTTGAGACGGAGGCACGCTCTGTCGTCCAGACTGGAGTGCAATGGCCCACCCTCTCAGCTCACTGCAACCTCCGCCTCTCGAGTTCAAGCGATTCTTCTGTCTCAACCTCCCGAGTAACTGGGATTACAGGCGTGCGCCACCATGCCTGGCTAATATTTTGTATTTTTAGTAGAGACAGGGTTTCACTGTGTGGGTCAGGCTGGTCTCAAACCCCTGATCTCAGGTGATCCACCCGCCTTGGCCTCCTAAAGTGCTGGGATTACAGGCATGAGCCACAGCGCCCTGCCCTGAAGTATTTTTTTTGATGTATCTCAAGCCCAATTGTTCTGGGGAGTGGGGCCAATTTTGCTCCCAGGGACAAATCTGGAGACCTTTATGGTTATCACAACTATTCATTATGGGGGTGCTACTAGCATCTAGTGCATCAAGGCCAGGGACGCTGCTAAGCATTCTGTTATGTATGGGACAACCCCTTACAACAGTTATCCGTCGTAAATGGCAGTGGTGCAAAATTAAGAAAGAAACCCTGCCCCAGACTGGTTGTTTACTTTCTGCTCAGGGCTTGCTATTTCAGCAACACTAAACTGCCTGCAATGACCACAGGTTGTTACCCTCTACTATTGTTGACTGGAGTCACCTCCCGTTGTTAATGTCTGTTGTTATTGTCTGGGCCATTCCTTGCTGTTACTTGCCTCATTGACTTTGCATTTCCTTTCCTTAGAAGGCTACATCTCTCTTCTATGCCCTGCTCAGTTAACTTGTTTGTTCTGGAAGACTGCTTTTGAAATGGTCTTCCCCAGGAAGACTTTTCTGACTTTACCCTTTCCTCTTCCTCTTAATCTTTGTTTCAACTAACTGATTCTCAGTAGTTGATTGAGAGTATGTCCAGAGAAGGGGATTGTGTAGCTGTAGTGTCCAATACAGTGTCTGATATGCAGTAGGCAGTAAATGTTTATTGACTGTATTAACAGATTAAGGTACTCCCAAATTGTGATACTTTTGTCAATGAAAAGTGTCAAACTCTAAAATATTCTAAGAGATTTATTCTGAGCTAAATGTGAGTGACCATGGCTCATGACACAGCCCCAGGAGATCCTGAGAAAATGTGCCCAAGGTGGTCGGGCTACAGCTTGGTTTTATACATTTTAGGGAGACCTAAGCCATCACTCAGTACATGTAAGATGTACATTGATTTGGTCTGGAAAGCTGGGACAACTCGAAGGGTGAGGGGGGCGGTCTTCCAAGTCACAGGTGGATTCAAAGATTTGCTGACTGGCAATTGGGTGAGAGTTCATTTAAATCCCTGGAATCAGTAGAATGGAGTGTCTAGGTTAAGATAGGGGTGTGGAGGCTGGGCACAGTGGCACGCGCCTGTAATCCCAGCACTTTGGGAGGCTGAGGCGGGTGGATCACAAGCTCAGGAGATCGACATCATTCTGGCTAACATGGTGAAACCCTGTCTTTACTAAAAATATGAAAAATTAGCTGGGCATGGTGGCGGGCACCTGTAGTCCCAGCTACTCAGGTGGCTGAGGCAGGAGAATGGCGTGAACCCGGGAGGTGGAACTTGCAGTGAGCTGAGATCGCACCACTGCACTCCAGCGTGGGTGACAGAGCGAGACTCTGTCTCAAAAAAAAAAAAAAAAAAAGATAGGGGTGTGGAGACCAAGGTTCATATTATGCAAATGAAGCCTCCAGGTAACAGGTTTCAGAGAGAACAGATTGCAAATGTTTCTTTTTTTAAAATTTTTATTATTTTTTAAAGAGATAGGATCTTGCTTTGTTGTCCAGGCTGGTCTAGAACTCCTAGGCTCAAGTGATCCACCTACCTCAGCCTCCCAAAGTGCTGGGATTATAAGCCTAGCCTGTAAATGATTTTTTTTTTTCCCCCAAATGCAGTCTCCTCACCCCCGCCCCTAGACGGAGATGGAGTCTTGCTCTGTCACCCAGGCTGGACTGCAGCGGCGCGATCTCAACTCACTGCAACCTCTGCCCCCTGGGTTCAAGCAGTTCTCCTGCCTCAGCCTCTCGAGTAGCCGGGATTACAGGCACCTGCCACTGCGCCTGGCTAATTTTTGTATTTTTAGTAGAGACGGGGTTTCACCATGTTAGCCAGGCTGGTCTCGAACTCCTGACCTCAGGTGATCCACCCGCGTCGGCCTCCCAAAGTCCTGGGATTACAGGTGTGAGCCGCTGCGCCCAGCCACAAAACAGTCTTTATTATGAGAAAGCAGTGTTATCTAGTCTTTATTATAAGAAAGCAATGCTATCTGGTTTCTTTCTAATAAAATAAAAGCAGTTTTCTTAAATAATTTACAAAGGGCAGAAATTGCTCTTGAACAGGGCTACCCCTCCTGGCACACCCACAGTGCTCTGCCTTGAACATATAAATAGGTACCTGTGAGCCCAGGGTTTAAGCCTGGAACTATCTCCTATGCCTTCCTCCAGGTCCCTGGTAGGGAAAGCAGGGATGAGAGTGGTGCCCCCAAGGGCCTTGGCACTGGAAACACAGTGGGCGAGTGACTCTGTGGATGACTCCCCAAAAACCAAGCACCTGGTTTGAGTTCAGAGCTCTCAAACATCTGATGCCAGCTCTTCACATTGTAGATGAAGCAAATACCAGGCTCAAGGTCAAGTATACGATGCATTACTAAACCCAAGAGTCCCCTTGGGGAGTAGAAGGAACAATTCTCCCCACCTCTGCAAGATCTCCCCAAGACACTCTCAGGCTGTGGCAGGCAGTCACTGATGGGTCCAGATGTGGCTGGAGCAGGGGGGCTCTGGGCTCCTTGCTAGTCAGGTCTTTGTTAGCAGTGGCCCAGGGGTACTGATGACTCCTGGGAGCTTCCGCCAGGAAGCTCATGGGGAAGCACAGACATTCTGGGGTACGAAGCCTTGGTGGTCAGACAGGGCTTGTTTCCTGCAGGGCACTTCCTCAGTCATGAATGAGAGTGTCATTTCACCACTCTCTTCCGCCATAATGGCTTCATCCAGCTCTTGGGACAGCTTCTGGAGATGCCGAATTCCTGCTCCCCATAGGTGCTAGGTCACTATCAGATGCGCTGGGAGAGCAGAGGAGCTCTGTCAAGGAGTAGGGGCTCTGGAAGGCAGTCTCCCGCCTCCACTGCCGTAGAGGGTAGGCACGTGAGCCTGTCCAGGTAGAGAGGTGGTGATGCACAGGGGTCTGTAGCTGAGTGGTCAGGGGCAGCTCCATACAGCTGAATCCTCTTCTGGCTCAGGCTGTGAGTTGGGGAGACACTGCTCTCCCTTTTGTACCCCTTTCTTCCTCCTCCTGGCCTTCACCTGGGTCTCCACCAGACACTTGGTGCTACTTTGGCAGGACTCCTGGATTCTCTGTGACATGGCACCCAGGGTGCTCTTAGCTGAGCGAGCTGCAGCCTGGAGTCTCTTACTGCCCTGACCCTGGTTTCTAGGGGTTTCTAGGAGGTACCTGTCCGGAGGTTGAGGTTGACGGCTCTTAGGGGCAGCCTTCTTTGGAACTGTCTGCACAGAGAACCCAGGGCCCTGGCGGAGATCTCCCAATGGCTAACCATAGGCTGCCGCTCCTTGCTGTCCAGCGGCTGCTCCTGGTGCTGGAGAGATCTCCGGTGCATGGAGGCCCTCGCATCCTGCCACTGAGAAACCATCTGTCTGGCCAAGAGTCTACTCTGCCCACTAGACCTCAACACCCCCAACATGTGCCTGAAGCCGAGCACTGTAAATGTTAAATGTTTCTTATAAGACTTAAAGAGACAACTTTGCAGGGCCATTTCAAAATTTGTCAAAGCTATATATTTTGGGCCAGATGTGGTGGTTCATGCCTGTCATCACAGCACTGTTGGAGGCTGAGGGAGGAGGATTGTTTGGACCCAGGAGTTTGAGACCAGCTTGGGCAACATAGCAGAGAGACTCTGTCTCTACCAAAAAAAAAAAAAAAAGGAGGGGGATTAAAGAACACCTGAAATACTTCTTTCAGGGTTTGCTGTCTGTCATATTTGTATCTTATTGCTACTAGTAATCTGTTTTGTCAGTCCTAAGGTCTCTGTTTTAATGTTAATGCTGGTTAGCTGTGCCAGAATTCTGAAGGGAAGAGAGTATAATGAGGCGTGTCTGACCACCCATTCCCAGCATGGCCTGAACTAGTGTTTCAGGTTTACTTTAGAATGCACTTGACTGAATGGAGAAGGATTCACCTTCATTCAGTTGGTTGGGGGGGCTTAGAATTTTATTTTTGGTTTATGCTTTCTTTTTTATTTTTTAAGACAGGATCTGGAGAGCAGTAGCCTTGACATCCTAGGTTCAACTGATCATCTTACTTTAGGACCCTCCCCATCCCCTCCAGTAGCTGGAACTATAGGCATGCCACCGCGTCTGGCTAATTTTTTTTTTTTTTTTTTTAAATCTTAGGTAGAAACAAGGTCTTGCTGTGTTGCCTAGGCTGGTCTCAAACTCCTGGGCTCAAGCAGTCCTCCCACCTTGGCCACCCAAAATGCTGGAATTACAGGCATACTTACTTAGTTTTGGCAGAACATAGCTTTAACTTTCAGTGTTTTAAGCAAATGATGAGAGTGATGATGCTTTAATGCTTCCCCTGCCCGAAACAGTGTCTCCTTTTATTGCCTGGGCTAGCGTACAGTGATCATAGCTCACTTCAGCCTTGACCTCCTGGGCTCAAATGGTCCTCCCACCTCATCCTTCTGAGTAGCTGGGACAACAGGTGCACAATACCATGCCTGGCTAATTTCTTTCTTTTTTGTTTTTTTTTTTTTTTTTGAGACAGAGTCTGCTCTGTCACCCAGGCTGGAGTGCAATGGCATGATCTTGGCTCACTTCAACCTCCGCCTCCTGGGTTCAAGCAATTCTCCTGTTTCAGCCTCCCAAGTAGCTGGGATTACAGGCACCTGGCACCATGCCCAGCTAATTTTTTGTATTTTTAGTAGAGATGGGGTTTTGCCATGTTGGCCAGGCTGCTTTTGAACTCCTGAACTCAGGTGATCCTCCTGCCTCGGTCTCCCGAAGTGCTGGGATTACAGGCATGAGCCACGGCGCCCAGCCTTGCCTGGCTAATTTCTAAAAAAAATTTTGTGGCCGGGCACGATGGCTCAGGCCTGTACCAGCACTTTGGGAGGCCGAGGTGGGCAGATCACCTGTGGTTGGGAGTTCGAGACCAGCCTGACCAACATGGAGAAACCCCTTCTCTACTAAAGATACGAAATTAGCCGGGCGTGGTGGCGCATGCCTATAATCCCAGCTACTGGGGAGGCTGAGGCAGGAGAATCTCTTGAACCTGGGAGGCAGAGGTTGTGGTGAGCCGAGATCGCGCCATTGCACTCCAGCCTGGGCAACAACAATGAAACTCCGTCTCAAAAAAAAAAAAAAATTTTTGTAGAGATGGGGAGTCTCACTTTGTTGCCCAGGCTGGTCTTGAACTCTTGGGCTCAAGCTATCCTCCCACCTTGGCCTACCAAAGTGTTGGGATTGCAGGTAGGAGCCACCGCACCCAGCCTAATTGCTTAGGTTTTATAGAGTAGTTTAGGAATTGTTTCTCTTTAGCTGAAAATACACATTTCAGCCGATACATGTAATTATAAATAATAACACTGAGGTTATCCTTTTAATTAACTCTGCTTTGAGAAGGGCTAACTGATCAGTTAGCAGTTGCCTTATCCTTTTAATTAACTCTGCTTTGAGAAGGGCTAACTGATCAGTTAGCAGTTGAATATGACAGTGTAGTAATTTCATTACTCAAAACAGTAAAAACTCAATATGTTAAGCATACAGACATACAAATATGAAGACTTTTTTTCCTTTTCTATTTTTGTTGGCTAATTATTGGGAAATTGATGAATTTTGTTATAGCAAAGGAACGGAATTGGTTAGTATTTTTGGTGGGAAGAGAAGAGCTGAGCCACCTTAAAAATATTTTTTCCTGGCCGGGTGCAGTGGCTGAGCTCAGACAATCTACCTGCCTCGGCCTCCCAAAGTGCTGGGATTATAGGTGTGAGTAACCACACCCGGCCAATAAAAATGTTTTTTCTTGGCTGGGCGCGGTGGCTCACGCCTGTAATCCCAGCACTTTAGGGGGCCAAGGTGGGCGAATCACGAGGTCAGGAGTTTGAGACCAGCCTGGCCAACATAGTGAAACCCCGTCTCTACTAAAAATACAAAAATTAGCCGGGTGTGGTGGCGCATGCCTGTAATCCCAGCTACTCGGGAGGCTGAGGCAGGAGAATTGCTTGAACCCGGAAGGCGGAGGTTGCATGAACCGAGATCAGGGCACTGCACTCCAGCCAGGGCAATAGAGCGAGACTCCATCTCAGAAAAAAAAAAAAAGTTTTTTCTTGTATTTGTTAAGTAATCAGTATTCTTCAGCTTTCCTCATACTTGCTTGTATCCCAGCTACCTAAATAAAACCCATTTAAGCTTCACAGAATGTTAAGAGAAGTGAGAAAATACAAAGGTGTAGCCAGGAGGAATGCAGTCCTTTCCCTTTTCCAGTGGGTCCCAGTCTCCCAAGAAGAAAGGCAGGATTTCCTAAGAATGTTATGGGAGTAATCACAGGTTTAAGAAGTAAATCCTGGCTGGTTGCGGTGGCTCACACCTATAATCCCAGCACTTTGGGAGGCTGAGGTGGGCAGATCACGAGGTCAAGATATTGAGACCATCCTGGCCAATATGGTGAAACCCCATCTCTACTAAAAATACAAAAATTAGCTGGGCGTGGTGGCACACTCCTGTAGTCCCAGCTACTTGGGAGGCTGTGGCAGGAGAATTGGTTGAACTGAACCCGAGAGGGACGCGGAGGTCACAGTGAGCCGACATCGTACCACTGCACTCCAGCCTGGCGACAGAGTGAGACCCTATCTTAAAAAAAAAAAATAAAAAGAAGTAAATCCTTTAACATTCATTGTCCTGTTTTTATTTCCTACAATAGCAAGCCAGCTGACATGGTCAAAGATGCTTTGATTAGCAAGACCCCTGGGCTTACAGAAGGAGAAAACTGATTATGTAGTTTTCCTATAACCCCCACCCACCCGCTAGATACTTACAGGTATCCTAGCCTAGCTGATCCCTTTTCTTGCAGGCCTGGCATTTACCCTTTCATGGGTTTTAGTAAAACATTTATAATTTTTTAAAACTTCATTAACTAGTAGTATTCATGCAGAATACTAGGAGAATTCAGGAAAGCACCACCCATATTGTGGGTTAAATTGTGTCTGTCAAAAATATACTTAGAAGTCCTAGTCTATAATACCTGAATGTGACCCTATTTGGAAATGAGGTCTTTGCAGATGTAATAAAGTCAGGATGAGATAATTAGATAGGGCCTTAATCAATATGACTGTTTCTCTTTCGCCCAGGCTTGAGTGCAGTGGTGCAATCTCAGCTCATTGCAACCTCCGCCTCTTTGGTTCAAGCAATTCTCCTGCCTCAGCAGCTGGGATTACAGGTGTGTGCCACCATGCCCAGCTAATTTTTGTATTTTTAGTAGAGATGTGGTTTCACTATATTGGCCAGGCTGGTCTCTAACTCCCGACCTCAAGTGATCTGTCCACCTCAGCCTCCGAGAGTGCTGGAATTACAGCCGTGAGCCACCACACCCAGCACAATATGACTGTTCTTATGAGGAGAGAAAGACATAAAGGGAAGATGGCCATGTGGCGATGACAGAAATACATATTGGAGTGATAAATCTGTGAGACAAGGAACAGCAGGGATTGATGATGACAACCAGAAGCTAGGAAGAGGCAAGGAAGGATTCTCCCCTATAGGTTTCAAAGGAATATGGCCTTGCTGACACCCTGATCTTGGACTTCCAAACTTTAGAATTGTGAGACAACACATTTCTGTTTTTTTAATTTGTTTTTTGTTTTGTTTTGTGTTTTTGAGACAGAGTCTCACTCTGTTGCCCAGGCTAGAGTACAGTGGCACGATCTCGGTTCACTGCACCCTCTGCTTCCCGGGTTCAAGCGATTCTCCTGCCTCAGCCTTCCTGGTAGCTGGGACTACAGGCACCCGCCACCATACCCGGCTAATTTTTGTATTTTTAGTAGAGACGGGGTTTCACCGTATTGCTCAGGCTGGTCTCGAACTCCTGACCTCAGGTGATCCACCCACCTCAGCCTCCCAAAATGCTGGGATTACAGGCGTGAGCCACTATACCCGGCCTTGTTTTTTTTTAAGTCAGTTTGTGGTATTTTGTTATGACAGCTCCAGGAAATTAATACATGTAAGAAAAACATTCAGTCAGGGACTGCCCATATTAATATTTTGATATATAATCTTCCAAACTTAATTTTTTTTTTTTTTTTTTTTTTTTTTTTTTTTTAGTGAAACGGAGTCTCACTCTGTTGCCTAGGCTGGGGTATAGTGGTACAATCATGGCTCACTGCAGCCTCTACCTTCCAGGCTCAGGTGATTTCCCCCAACTCTAGCCTCATGAGTAGTAGGGACTACAGGCATACACCACCAAGCCTGGCTAATTTTTTATTTTATTTTATTTTATTTTATTTTATTTTATTTTATTTTATTTTATTTATTTATTTTGAGAGGGAGTCTTGCTCTGGCACCCAGGCTTGAGTGCAGTGGCAGAATCGTGGCTTACTGCAACCTCTGCTTCCTGGGTTCAAGCGATTCTCCTGCCTCAGCCTCCCGAGTAGCTGGGACTACAGGTATATGCCATAATGCCCGGCTAATTTTTGTGCCTTTAGTAGAGATGGGGTTTCGCTATGTTGGTCAGGCTGATCTTGAATTCCTGACCTCAAGTAATCCACCCGCCTTGGCCTCCCAAAGTTCTGGGATTACAAGAGTGAGCCACTGCACCCAGCCAAGCCTGGCTAACTTTTGTATTATTTGTAGAGATGGGGTTCTGCCATGTTGCCCAGGCTGGTCTCAAACTCCTGGGCTCAAGTGATCTGCCTGCCTTGGCCTCCCAAAGTGCTGAGATTACAGGTGTGAACCACTATGTTCAGTCTTGTATATATAGTCTTTTCTCTATAAATCTGGGAAGATAAAATAAAAAGTTTTAAATATATATGAAGCTATGCAAACAGTGCTGTAAAAGAGTCAAATATACATACTTCTTTTTTTTTTTTTTTTTTTTTTTTGAGACAGTGTCTCACCTGTCACCCAGGCTGGAGTGCAGGGGCACGATCTCAGCTCACTGCACCCTCAACCTTCCGGGCTCAAGTGCTTCTGCCGCCTCAGCCTCCCTGGTAGCTGGGATTACAGGCTCCCACCACCATGTCCGGCTAATTTTTGTATTTTTAGTAGAGATGGGGTTTCAGCATGTTTCTCAGGCTGGTCTCAAACTCCTGAGCTTAGGTGATCCTCCTGCCTCGGCCTCCCAAAGTGCTGGGATTACAGGCATGAGCCACCGTGCCCAGCCAAATACATATACTTTTGTTCATGATAGAATAACTGGTACTGGATTAGCTCTGTTGCCAAAACAACTAGAAAAAGAGGAAAAAATCCATATGAAAAACGTTCAAACATTGGATGAAAGGTAGGTAGCATAGGATTGGAATTCCTAAAAATGGGAAACAAGGTGAGCCCTAGAATGATTCCAGCTGTCTACCTGGAATCACTTATAGGACTGACTCAGAGGAAGAACGAAGTTCAGCAGTGGTGGTCCTACTGAGCTGAGAAGACAGAGCTCAGAGTTGGGGCGGTAGTTGGAATATGCTGGGAAGGGTGTTGGAATGGAGGGAACAGCTCTAGGGATATGGGGTCTGGTGAGTACTGGCTGAATGTAAAGCTGTGTCTTCTTAGGGAAATTTCGTGAGCTATGCAAAGAATAACTACTGGAGTTTTTCTGTGTAGGAGATGTTCAACTCCTACTAGTTGGAGTGGAACGACCAAGTTGAATACTGGCATAATTAGTGTGGAACCCAGAAGGGCCACACTCTAGGGCTAAATCAGCCCTCAAAGGCCTTTCTAGACCAATACTAACAAAACTTAAAAACAAGTCTTGAAAGGATCAAGCTGACCTACAAGCTGATTAACTGCCTGCTAGAACAAAGGAAGAGAGCAAAATCTAGACACATCTACAACGTTCAGCATCCGATTAAAAAAGTACTAGATATAGGAAAAGGAAAATGGTGGCTCATTGCCAGGAGAAAAGTCAGTCACTGCAACAGACCCCAAAATAATAAAGATATTTAAATTAATAAACAAGGACTTTAAAAAGTGATTATATAATGATATGAATGTTCGGGAAAAAAAAAAAGAAAAAAGTGATTATAGGCTGGGCCAAGAGGAACCACTTGAGGCCAGGAGTTTGTGATCAGTCTGAGCCTGGGCAACAAAGTGAGATCCTGTCACTCTCAAAAACATAAAAAAATAGTAATTATATGTGCAGGGACTTGAAGTTTCGGAAACATAAACATAATGAGAGAAATTTAAGCTATGAAAAAAAACAAGTGAAACCAAAAAATACCATCTTAGCAATGAATATTTTACTGGATAGGCCTCATTGAAGATTAGACAGTTCACAAGAAACGAACATTGAATTACAAGATACGGCAATAGAAATTATCTAGGCTTAAACAGACAGGGTGGGAAAAAGCCAGAATAAAAATGCTTCAGTGATCTGTGAGGCATTATCAACTAGTCTACTGTATGTGTAATTGGAATTACAGGAGGAGGGAGAGAAGAGAAACAGTAGAAATATAAAAAGATAATCTCAAAATTTCTAAAGTTGGTGAAAAATAATTCACAGATCCCAAAAACTCATAATCTTAAATCTGATAAACACAAAACCACACCAAGCCACATCATGATCAAGTTGCTAGAAACAAGTAATAAATAACATCTTAAAAATTGCCAGAAAAAAAGACACTTTACTTGTAGAGGAGCAAAGATAAAAATGACTGCTGACTTCTTAACAGAAACAACACAATGAAACATCTTTCAAAATGCTGAGAAAAACCATAAACCCCCTTGCGTGGTGGCGCATGCCTGTAATCCCAGCACTTTGGGGGCTTAGGTAGGTGGATCTCTTGAGCCCAGGAGTTCGAGACCAGCCTGGGCAATGTGCTGAAACCCTGACTGTAGTAAAAATACAGAAATTAGCCAGGCATGGTAGTGTGTGCCTGTAGTCCCAGCTACTTGGCAGGATGAGGCAGGAGGATCCCTTGAGTCTGGGAAGTCGAGGCTGCAGTGAGCTGATATCAAAGAACTCCAGCCTGGGTGACAGAGGGAAACCCTGTCTCCAAAAAAATAAAATAAAAAACAAAACAATGTTTGCTTAAGACAGGATTTTGTATGTAAAAAGTCTTAAGAAATCTTCAAAATAAAGAATTTCATAAGATCACAGGATACCAGGTCAATGTATAAAAATGAGTTATATTTTTATATTTAAGATTATTGGGGAATGAAATTTATATTTTATGTATTTTATTTTTAAGAGAGTCTCATTCTGTTACCCAGGCTGGAGTGCAGTGGGCACGATCATGGCTTAGTGCAGCCTCGAACTCCTAGGCTGTGAGGTGATCCTCTCCTCACTCTCCAGAGTAGCTGGGACTGTAGATGCACACCGTCACCAGCTAATTAAAAAAAAAAAAATTTTTTAATTAAGCTTTTTTTAAAAATTTTTTTATTGAGGTGGAGTCTCACTCTATCTGTTGCCCGGGCTGGAGTGCAGTGGTGCATTCTCAGTTCACTGCAACCTCCGCCTCCTGGGTTCAAGCCGTTTTCCTGCCCCAGCCTCCCAAGTAGCTGGGATTACAGACACACACCAGCACACCTGGCTAATTTTTTGTATTTCTAGTAGAGACAAAGTTTCACCATGTTGGTCAGGCTGGTCTCAAACTCCTGACCTCAAGTGATCCACCACCCTCTGCCTCCCAAAGTGCTGGGTTTATAGGCGTGAGCCACCACTCCTGGCCACACCAGCTAATTTTTAATTTATTTTTATTTTTTTGAAGAGATGGCATCTTACCACATTGCCCAGGTTGGTCTCGAACTCCTGGCCTCAAGTGATCATCTCACCTTGGCCTCCCAAAGTACCACCATGTCTGACCAGTTTTCTTTGGATATGTTTCTTTCCTCTGCAATGTAACTTACTTTATTATTTAAAAAATGGGGCCGGGCACAGTGGCTCACACCTGTAATCCCAGCACTTTGAGAGGCCAAGGCAGGAGGATTGCTTGAGCTCAGGAGTTTGAGATCAGCCTGGGCAACATAGTGAGACCCCCATGTCTACAAAAATAAAATAATCAGCTGGGCGTGGTGGCACACACCTGTAATCCTAGCTACTTAGGGGACTCAGTTGGGAGGATTGCTTGAGCTTGGGAGGGTGCGCCTGCAGTGAGCTGTGATTTTACCACTGTACTTCAGTCTGGGCGACAGACCAAGACCTTGTCTCAAAAGAAAAAAAAAAGGTATCTTTAGAGGGCTTGTTTATGCGGACATGCAGCAGTTGAAAATGTGAGATTTTGCTCCTATGTATCATGACCAAATCTGTTAAATTTCTTTGCCTCCATTTTTATGGAATCCTTCAGTTAACCTCCTATAAAGGACAGAACTAAGACTGATAGAAATTGTTTCAAGGTAACATTTTTCCCTAATCAGTGCTTTGATCAGAATCAAATGTTTTCATGAGAGAATGCTCTGTAATTGGAAGACTTTGTAAGAGCTCAGGTGTAAGGTGACTTTCTGGGTGATAATTTTGGCAAAACTCGTTAAATTTTGCGTATGACATTTATGCTGTGTTCAAGGTACACTTATATAGGTGACTAGGGTGAGCCTCCTCCTCATCCTTTTTTTGTTGTGGGGGGAGACAGGGCTTTAACTGTTTGTCACCCAGGCTGGAGTGCAGTGGCATGATCTCAGCTCACTGCAACCTCGACCTCCCAGGCTGAAGCTATCCTCCCACTTCAGCCACCTGAGGAGCTGAGACTACAGGCGCATGCCACCAAGCCTGGCTAATTTTTCTATTTTTTGTAGCGATGGGGTTTCACCATGTTGTCCAGGCTGGTCTTGAACTCGTCGGCTTAAGGGATCTGTCTGCTTCGGCCTTCCAAAGTGGTGGGATTACAAGCATGAGCCACCACACCTGGCCTGGGGTGAAACTTCTTAGGATAAACTGATAGCATGGGACTTGCAAGGTCAAAGGGCATGTCCCCATTTTAAACCTGATGTTACATTGCTGGGCAGAAACGGTTGTGCAGACCTGTATACACACTAGCAATATAATGCCTTTTATACAGTTTTCAGTTTTCCTTTGTATGCTTACCTGCATTCTGAACCCGGGCACTAGAATTTTTTTTTTTTTTTTTTTTTTTTTGAGACGGAGTCTCGCTGTCGCCCAGGCTAGAGTGCAGTGGCACGATCTCGGCTCACTACAGGCTCCGCCTCCCGGGGTTCACACCATTCTACTGCCTCAGCCTCCCGAGTAGCTGGGACTACAGGCGCCTGCCACCTCGCCCAGCTAATTTTTTTTGTATTTTTAGTAGAGACAGGGTTTCACCATGTTACAAGCCAGGATGGTCTCGATCTCCTGACCTCGTGATCCGCCTGCCTCGGCCTCCCAAAGTGCTGGGATTACAGGCGTGAGCCACTGCGCCCGGCCTAGAATTTTGTATTTTATTTCATCTTCCGTATCAAAGTGTTGCTGTCTACTTTGGATCTGTTTTTTGTTTATTTATTAGAGGCTGATGCCTTGATCAGCTTGATAGGGATATCCTCATTCACTCCCAGGAATTAATTTTTTACCTCTGTCCTTTCCTGAAGAGTTGGAAGTTTTGTCTACTAACTGCAGAATTCATTTTTTTCTTCAAGAGTTAAAGGAGCTGGGGGAATTTTGGGGTTTTGAATTCCCTGGAGATTGTTGAAACCCCAGCACATAGATTATTTTTCAGATAAGTCGTGTAGCTTTTAAATGGAATCCAGGTATTAGTCCCTGTACCTCAAACTCCAGTGTACTGAAACTTATTTGTAACAGCCTTTATATTAAATTAACTCTGATCCTCCATTGCAAAAAATTTCCACGATATTTTATAATAGAATCTCACTTATGAAGTCTGGAAATTGGACATTTTAGTTCCAACCCAGGACTCGTCTCTGCTTTTCTACAGCAGTGCAAATGAATATTATTTACATAAATATTTTGGGCCAGGCATGGTGGCTCACGCCTGTAATCCCAGCACTTTGTGAGGCTGAGGCTGTTGGATCACCTCTGGCCAGGAGTTCGAGACCAGCCTAGCCAACATGGTGAAACCCTGTCTCTACTAAAACAAAACAAATCAAAACAAAAATTAGCCTGGTGTGGTGGTGGGTGCCTGTAATCCCAGCTACTCATGGGAGGCTGAGGCATGAGAATCGCTTGAACCTGGGATGTTGCAGTGAGCCAAAATCGTGCCACTGCACTCCAGCCTGGGAGATGGAGCAGGACTCTGTCTCCAAAAAAAAAAAAAAAAAAAAAAAGAAAAGAAAAGAAAAGGCCGGGCGCGGTGGCTCACGCCTGTAATCTCAGCACTTTGGGAGGCTGAGGCGGGCGGATCACGAGGTCAGGAGATCGAGACCATCCTGGCTAACATGGTGAAACCCCGTCTCTACTAAAAATATAAAAAATTAGCCGGGTATGGTGGCGGGCGCCTGTAGTCCCAGCTACTTGGGCGGCTCGGGCAGGAGAATGGCATGAACCCGGGAGGTGGAGCTTGCAGTGAGCTGAGATTGCACCACTGCACTTGCTCCTGGGCGACAGAGCGAGACTGTGTCTCAAAAAAAAAAAAAAAGTGAAAGATGTTTTGTTTTGCCTTTCTCAGGTGTGGACACCTCAAGATCGCCAGTGTGTCCTGAGTACCTTAGCACAGTTGCTTTTGGATAAGGACTGTACTGTGCTGGTTGGTCGCCAGCTTCGCCCTCTCCTTTTGGATTTGCTGGAAAGGAATGCCGAAGCCATTAAAGCTGGAGGCCAAATCAACCATGATCTGCATGAACGGCTATGTGTGTCGATGAGCAAACTCATTGGTAACCATCCTGATGTCCTCCCGTGAGTAGCAATTTTATTATTCGCATTTCTCCTTGAGGTGATAGAACCTGCTGTCTCCTGGGATGTAAGGGAGTCTGAGCTGAGAAGGTAAAACGGAAATACAGAAAGGAGAGAGATAAATAGTATTGTTTTATAAAAAGAGTCACAGCAGAATCCATTTATCCAGCTCAGTTCAGTGAGCATTTACTAGGTTTCTCTTAAATCTTGGCCATCAGAACAGACCTGGAAAGATGGCCAGGATATGTCCCCAGTGCTCTCAAGGATTGTATCATGTGGCAAGACATGCATATACAGCGGAGTAAATGAGGTTTAACTGAGGCTCTTACAGCATCCACCTCTAATGGGAAAGATTCCTTGCTTGTTAGAGCAGCTGAAGGAGTGGATTAGAAGAGCTATAGTATCCCTTCCAAATTCTATAAATCTATCTGAATTAGTATACTAAGAGCTGTGTTAGAGCTGGATTTTAATGTGACTTTTAAAGAGATAGTAAAATATAGTTTTGAGGAATAATCAAAAGAGACAGCAAAACTGAGTGTCAGGGGTTTTTAAATTGAAAAGATTTTTAAAACTTTCACTGTAAAAATGATTAATATTCTGTGTACCAATAGGACATTTCTTTCTTCTCTTCTTTTTTTTTTGTGAGATGGAGTCCCACTCTATCACCAGGCTAGAGTGCAGTGGCATGACCTCTGCTCACTGCAACCTCTGCCTCCCTCCTGGGTTCAACTGATTCTCCTGCCTCAGCCTCCTGAGTAGCTGGGACTACAGGCGCGCACACCACCACGCCCAGCTAATTTTTGTATTTTTAGTAGAGACGGGGTTTCACCATGTTGGCCAGGATGGTCTCAATCTCTTGACCTCGTGATCTGCCCGCCTCGACCTCCCAAAGTGTTGGGATTACAGGCGTGAGCCACTGTGCCCGGCCAACAGAACATTTCTTATATCCAGTGTTTTATTTATTAGTCTTCATCAATGCAATAAATACACTTTGGCTTTCTTGGAAGTATGATATCTAGTCTGGTCCTTTAATGAGGAAATAGGAAATGAAGACTTGGGGGAAAACACTGTTGGTCTGAGCTTTTCTAAAAGGGGTTGAGAAAAAAATGGACCTGGTTTAATGGAACTAGAAAATATACAGCCAAGTAAAGATCGGGACTCTGAGAACGTTCCTGGCTTTCTCTATTCTGATATGTCAGTTAGGTATCAAAGTTCTGTCTCATAAAAAATTATCCAGTTTTTTCCTTGCTTTCTCTTCACCTTGATTAAACTTGTGCTCCCAAATCCCCTCAGCTATAGCTTTGGAGACAGTTTCAGAAAGTTAGAATTACACGTTATGTGTTGATTATTTTCTTTTTTTTTTTTCTTTTTGAAGCAGTCTCACTCTGTTGCCCAGGCTGGAGTGCAGTGGCACGATCTCACCTTACTGCAACCTCTTTCTCCTGGGTTCAAGTGATTCTCATGCCTTAGCCTCCTGAGTAGCTGGGACTACAGATGCACATCACTACACCTGGCTAATTCTTTTTTTTTTTTTTCTGAGACAGGGTCTGACTTTGTCGCCCAGTCTGGAGTGCAGTGGCACAATCTTGGCTCATTGCAGCCTCTGCCTCCCGGTTCAAGTGATTCTCCCGCCATCACACTCCACTAATTTTTGTGTTGTGTTTTGTTTTGTTTTTTTTTTGAGACGGAGTCTCACTCTGTCACCTAGGCTGGAGTGCAGTGGCATGGTCTTGGCTCACTGTAACCTCTGCCTCCCAGGTTAAGCGATTCTCCCACCTCAGCCCCCCAAGTAGCTGGGACTACAGGTGCGTGCCACCACACCTGGCTAATTTTTGTATTTTTAGTAGAGATGGGATTTCACTATGTTGGCCAGGCTGATCTTGAACTCCTGACCTCGTGATCTGCCTACCTCGACCTCCCAGATTGCTGGGATTATAGGTGTAAGCCACTGCGCCTGGCCTAACTTTTGTATTTTTTGGGGTTTTCACCATGCTGTCCAGGCCAGTCTTGAACTCCTGGCCTCAAGTGATCTGCCTGCCTCGGCCTCCCAAAGTGCTGGGATTACAGGCGTGAGCCTGGCCTAGTTTTTGTACTTTTAGTGTGGATGGGGTTTCACCATGTTGGCCAGGCTGGTCTTGAATTCCTGACCTCGGGTGATCTGCCCGCCTTGGCCTCCCAAAGTGCTGGGATTACAGACATGAGCCACCACACCCAGAGATTATTTCCTTTAATGTTATATCAGAGTGTAACCTTATTTCTAAGTTTTACCTATGCTGACTTGACCAGCGCCTGCTGTGAATCATGTCTGCAATACACAGAAGTATCCTGGACTAGTAAAGAAGAAAAAAACAGTTCCTTTTTCTCTACATTTGCAGAACACTTCACTTCTAACACCAGATGTGTGACTTTTTACCTATATCTATCAATTCTCTGACGTCAGTTTGGTACCCTGCAATTCAGTTCAACTCTGAGACTGTCTATCTGGGTTTAGTACAGACCCCACAGGTTAAAGATTCAGTCCCACAAGAGTATCTCATCATTCCTCCCCTGCACACCCCCTCTCTAGACACCAATCTCAAGTCTAGGTTATCATATATGCCTCTGACCAAAAGGCTATCAATCAGAGACTTCCTTGACTCACCTCTTCAGGTTTGATTATTTGCTAAAATAGCTCACAGAACTCAGGAAAACAGTTTCTTTACTAGATTACAAGTGTATTAGAAAAGGATACAACTCAGGAAGAGCCAGTTAGAAGAGATGCACAGGACAAGGTATGGGGGAGGGGGACAGTAAGCATCTATGCTCCCCACCAGCTGCAGTACCCTCTCAGCACCTCCATTTGTTTACCACCCTGAAAGCTCTCAGAACCCCATTTATTTTTGTTGTCGTTGTTTGTTTTTTTTGAGATGGAGTTTCGCTGTTGTTGCTCAGGCTGGAGTGCAGTGGTGCAATCTTGGCTCATGGCAACCTCCGCCTCCCAGGTTCACGTGATTCTCCTGCCTCAGCCTCCTGAATAGCTGGGATTACAGGCATGTGCCACCATGCCTGGCTAATTTTGTATTTTTAGTAGAGACGGGGTTTCTCCATGTTGGTCAGGCTGGTCTCGAACTCCCGATCTCAGGTGATCTGCCCTCCTAGGCCTCCCAAAGTCCTGGGATTACAGGTGTGAGCCACCGTGCCCGGCCTGTTTTTCCTTTTTTTTTCTTTTTAATTGGATATTTCATTAGGAAGACATGATTTATTATATCTTTGACCATTGGAGATCATCTTAACCTTTATCCCCTTTCTCCTCTCTGGCAGTTGGGCTGAAAGTTTTAACTTTATTATCACTTGGTTGGTTCTCCTGGCAACCAACCAGTGCCCCCCACTCCTTAGGGACTTTCCCATTGTCACCTCATTAACATAAACTCAGGTGTGATTGAAAGGGGGTTGAATAACAAAAGAATAGCTCTTACTGCATCGGAAATTACAATTCCTGGAGCTCTGTCCTGGAACCAGATTGAAAACTAAACATATATCACAAATAAGCTCAAGTTTTTAACAAAATTTAAGTTTCATTCTTAAAAATGTGTATACACTTTTTCCCGTTGTGGTAGGAAAATGCATAAAACTGATCACCTTTACTATTTCTTTTCTTTTTTTCTTTGGAGATGGAATTTCGTTCTTGTTATCCAGGCTGGAATGCAATGGTGTGGTCTTGGCTCACTGCAACTTCTGCCTCCCAGGTTCAAGTGATTCTCCTGCCTCAGCCTCCGAAGTAGCTGGGATCACAGGCATGTGCCACCACACCTGGCTAATTTTGTATTTTTAGTAGAGGTGGGGATTTCACCATGTTGGCCAGGCTGGTCTTGAACTCCTGACCTTAGGTGATCCACCCGCCTCGGCCTCCCAGTGTTGGGATTGCAGGCGTGAGCCACTGCGCCCGGCCCAACTTTACTATTTCTAAGTGTGCAGTTTATTTGGATTGCATTTTAGCTTAATTTCTTGGTTACAGTTTTGCATCTGCTGCTAGTTTGTGCTGGGCACGTGCCCCACATCAGTGCTGTCTGTCTTTTGATTGGTAAGAGCAATAGTGGGTGGGCCCAGTCACAGCCTTTATGAAGAATAGCAGATGGATTGTTGTGGTGGAGCATGCACTTTCTTTTCAAAGACATGGTCCATGTGTAAGGTACCGTATTTGGCCAGTCATGCGGCCATACAGCAGAATGAGGGACCAAAATAGTTGCTGTTACACATTTTAGTTAAAAACTGTATCTAGAAATGCCTTAAAGGTAACATCTTGTATTTGTTTTTAGACTTTTCTTCCTCTCCAAGAACTACTTTATTCTCACTGTATCCCTGTGAGGAGAATAATGTCCTAATAGTATAATACCTATTTTCCTTTTTCTTCTTTTAGTCCCAGAAGTGATATATTCAAATAACATTCAACAATACAGAATGGTAGGAAGCTAAAGGTCCTCTCCACCCTGAAATCATACCCTCCAAAGATAGCTGGTATTAATATTTTGGTATGTTTTCTCCCAAATGTCTTTTCTCTTGCACACATCAGAGTATACACACAAGTACATTGATATGCACGCATTTTAAATATGGCTTTATTGGGATAGTTTATATAAAAGTGTACAGTTCAGTGGTTTTTAGTATTTTCATCAATATATGCAGTCATCACTACAGTCAATTGTATTTATTTTTTGTTTATTTTTAGCTTGCGCTAAATTATTTTCAAAAATTTTAACTTTTAGGCATTTTCTTATAAAAACTTGCTACTCATACATAAACTAATATGAACTTAAAATTCATCATAGATTTGTTTCACTTTTTTTTTTTTGAGATGGAGTTTCACTCTTGTTGCCCGGGCCGGAATGCAGTGGTGCAATCTTGGCTCACCGCAACCTCCGCCTCCCAGGTTCAAGTGATTCTCCTGCCTCAGCCTCCCGAGTAGCTAGGATCACCACCACTCATGGCTAATTTTGTCTTTTTAGTAGAGACGGGGTTTCTCCATGTTGGTAGGCTGGTCTCGAACTCCCAACCTCAGGTGATCCACCTGTCTCGGCCTCTTAAAGTGCTGGGATTACAGGCGTGAGCCACTGCGCCTGGCCTACTTCACTTTTTAACTTGACTTTCTTTCTTTTTTTTTTTTTTTTTTTTTGAGACAGAGTCTCGCTCTGTCGCCCAGGCTGGAGTGCAGTGGCACGATCTCGGCTCACTGCAAGCTCCGCCTCCCGGGTTCACGCCATTCTCCTGCCTCAGCCTCCTGAGTAGCTGGGACTACAGGTGCCTGCCACCACGCCTGGCTAATTTTTTTTGTATTTTTAGTAGAGATGGGGTTTCACCGTGTTAGCCAGGATGGTCTCGATCTCCTGACCTCGTGATCCACTTGCCTCGGCCTCCCAAAATTCTGGGATTACAGGCGTGAGCCACCACGCCTGGCCGACTTTCTAATAAATCTTTAGCTTCTCTTCTTTTGGCTGCTGTGTAAGGAGATCCTCTTTCACTTGGATTGTTTAAGAGCATCATTCATTAATGAGCATCTCATACTTTCCCTTTATTGGCAGTAGGCCTTAGACCTGGTATTGATGCTGCCTTCTGTTTTGTCATTTTTAATTCAAACCCACCTCTGTAATAGCCACCACTGAAGGCAGATTTTGGTAGACTTTGAAAAACTTGTTTTACTTGAGGCTTCATATGCTTCATGGCTTGCAAAACATAATGGCCTACGAATCCCATGGCAGCAAATCAGTCCAACTGCTACTACTGTACTGGCCACAGCTCCAGCTGGGCTCCCCTGCCTCCACCAGGAACGTGAATCATCCCAGCCCAGGGGTTGCAGCCAACAACCACATACCTTTATCAGAGAGCAACACAGCCGCCGACCACAAGAACAGAACCCGCTACAGTCCATTTTTGAGCATTTGTACACAATTTTTTAAGATAGAATTTTTTTTTTTTTTTTTTTTTGAGATGGAGTCTTGCTCTGTCGCCAGGCTGGAGTGCAGTGGCGTGATCTTGGCTCACTGCAACCTCTGCCTCCTTCCCAGGTTCAAGCGATTCTCCTGCCTCAGCCTTCTGGGTAGCTGGGACTACAGGCGTGTGCCACCACGCCCAGCTAATTTTTGTATTTTTAGTAGAGACGGGGTTTCACCATGTTGGCCAGGATGGTCTCGATCTCTTGACCTTGTGATCCACCTCCCTTGGCCTCCCAAAGTGCTGGGATTACAGGCGTGAGCCACCTCACCCAACCAGAAATTTTTGTGTTGTTGTTGAGATGGAGTTTCACTCTTGTTGCCCATGCTGGAGTGCAATGGTGCTGTCTTGGCTCACTGCAACCTTCGCCTCCCAGGTTCAAGCGATTCTTCTGCCTCAGCCTCCTGAGTAGCTGGGATTACAGGCTTGCATAACCACGCCTGGCTAATTTTGTATTTTTAGTAGAGATGGGGTTTCTCCATGTTGGTCAGGCTGGTCTCGAACTCCCGACCTCAGGTGATCCACCCGCCTCAGCCTCCCAAAGTGCTGGGATTACAGGTGTGAGCCACTGCGCCCAGCCCAGAAATTTTTATAAAATTAAAAACAAACATCTAATGCATGCTAATTATTTTTTAATACTTAATTTAGAGCCATTTTAGGCTCACAGCAAAATTGAGAGGAAGGTACAGAGATTTCTCATATACACACTGTACCCACACATCCATAGCCTCGCCATTATCAGCATCTCCCGTCAGAGTAGTGCATTTGTTAACATTGATGAGCCTACTCAAATTCCACCTGATTACATTAAGGTTCATTAGGATTAGTGTTAATTCTTCTTTTAATGTTTGGTAGAATTCCCTAGTGTAATCATCTAGCTTTTCTCTAGTGCAGTCTGGGCTTTTCTTTGGTAGGAGGTTTTTGATTACTGACTAAATCTCCTTACTAGTTACTTATTGGTCTGTACATATTTTCCATTTCTTTATAATGTTCAAAGTGTTTGGTTTTTTTTTTTGTTTTTTTTTTTTTTTTTTTTTTTTTTGAGACAGAGTTTTGCTCTTGTCGCCCAGGCTGGAGTGCAATGGCGCGATCTTGGCTCACTATAACCTCCGTGTCTCGGGCTCAAGTGATTCTCCTGCCTCAGCCTCCTGAGTAGCTGGGATTACAGGCATGCACCACCACACCTGGCTAATTTTGTGTTTTTAGTAGAGACGGAGTTTCACCATGTTGGCCAGGCTGGTCTTGAACTCCTTACCTAAAGTGATCTGCCTACCTCAGCCTCCCAAAGTGCTGGGATTTCAGGTGTGAGCCACTGTGCCTGGCCATGTTCAAAGTTTTAATAATATTTTTTATTTCCATGGCATTGGTTATATAATATGATGTCCCCCCCACCTTTATTGTTTGTTTGTTTTGAGACGGAATCTCACTGTGTCGCCCAGGCCTGAGAGCAGTGGTGCGATCTCGGCTCACTGCAACCTCCGCTTCCCGGGTTCAAGCGATTCTCCCGCCTCGACGTCCCGAATAGCTGGGATTACAGGCATGAGCCACCACCATGCCCGGCTAATTTTGTATTTTTAGTAGAGATGGGGTTTCACCATATTGGTCCAGCTGTCTAGAACTCCTGACCTCAGGTGATCTGCCCGCCTCAGCCTCCGAAAGTGCTGGGATTACGGGTGTGAGCCACCACACCCAGCCCTGTCTTTTATTTCTGATTTTAGTTTATTTGAATCTTTTTTTTCTTAATCTAGCGAAGGGTTTGCAGTTCATTTACTTATTTTGAGACAAGGTCTTGCTCTGTCATCCAGGCTGGAATGCAGTGGCACCTTCATAGTTCATTGTAACCTGGAACCTGGCAAATGATCTTCCAGCTTCAGGCTCCTGAATAGGCTTCAGGCTCCACCATACCCCACTAATTTTTTTTTTTTCTGTAGGAACAAGGTCTCACTATGTTGCCCAGGCTTGTCGTCTTCATTCATTAAGGTGTAACTTAAGCATCTCTTCTTGATTCTCCCCAGATTCAGTTGACTCGTGTGTGTATGTCTCTTAGCGTTTCTAAAAGTGGCTGTCTTCCTTACTAGACAGCAAACTCCTCAAGAAGAGTATCTATTTGGTTTTGAATCCCAGTTATTAAACTACAGTATCTGGCTCATAGAACTGAATAAATGTTTGTTGGAAATGAGTGCCTTTTCCGTTGTAAACACTTACATTAAGTACCCCCCGATTTTGTAGGTAATTACTTTAGATTTTTGTATCCTCTTAGTCAGAATTATCTCATGCCATTGTCCTGGTTCCTGAAATTGAACAGGATACAATTTTACGACTAAGTAGATTCAGCATTCATTCCCCTATGTTCTCAGACCCTTGGGAGTTCTGTTTTGTGGTTTGGTCAGAGTAGAGAATTGCGTTCTATGATATTCCCACCAATCAATGAAAATATAGATACTCCTTTTTGAAAATAGCTTAAGTTGAAAATGCATTTAATACTCTGATAAACCTATTACAAAGCAGAAAAATTAAGTCCAACCATTGTTAAGTTGGGGATGTCTGTATTCTTTGTGTTTGAAGGTTTGCCCTGAGATATTTCAAGGACACATCCCCAGTCTTTCAAAGACTTTTCCTAGAGAGTTCAGATGCTAATCCAGTACGCTATGGACGTAGGAGGATGAAGCTCCGGGACCTAATGGAAGCAGCCTTCAAGTTTCTGCAGCAGGAGCAGTCTGTGTTCCGGGAGCTCTGGGACTGGAGTGTGTGTGTCCCTCTCCTCAGAAGCCATGACACCTTGGTTCGCTGGTGCGTAGCTGTTAGACTTTTTTGCACTTCTAGTGTGGGGATGGTACAGGGCATGTGTGGAGTTGTGTGTGTCAGGAGGGAAAGGAAACCATTTAAAATTTGTTATTTTTGTTCTTGTGGCTTTTGGGGTTTTACTTCCTTTCTTTAATCATGTGTCATTGCAGAGGAAAATGAGATGATATGAATGGAGTTTCACCTTTTTCATGTTCCATCAAGTAAATCCATTGTGCCTGATTTGTATTTTCTGTTCTTAAATGTGTTGTAATAATTGAGATTTCCTTTTCTAGTGTTCAGTTGGCTAGTGGATTTTATTTATTCTTTATTATCAACTGCAGATAAACTGAATTTACATACTTTCTTTTTCCCTAGGTATACAGCCAATTGTCTTGCTTTGGTTACCTGTATGAATGAAGAGCACAAGTTATCATTTCTTAAGAAGATATTTAATAGTGATGAATTGATCCATTTCAGGTTGAGGTAAGCAGGAACCTTCGTGGAGGTCTTGCTATAGCATTTCTTTTTTTTTTTTCTTTTCTGGGGGTGACAGGCCAGAGGTGACTGCAGGTCTTGCGATAGCATTTCTGAGTGGTAAGGTAATTGACGAGACTCTCCTTTCTCTCAGGTTATTAGAAGAGGCCCAGTTGCAGGACTTGGAGAAGGCCTTGGTTTTGGCCAATCCAGAAGTCTCCCTTTGGCGTAAGCAGAAGGAGCTGCAGTACTTACAGGGACATCTTGTTTCGTCTGACCTCTCCCCTAGGGTGACAGCTGTTTGTGGTGTGGTGCTGCCTGGGCAGCTGCCAGCCCCTGGAGAGCTGGTATGTTGGTATCAGTAGGGGGTGTGTCCCCTTCCCCCTACTAAACACTGAGTGTGCTCTGTCTTTGGCTGGGTTCTATGTACCAGGTGTGAGCTAAATTTAGTTTGTTAAATTGCTGCTTCATTTTTGGAAGTTAAAAAGAAATTCATCTTGGGCTTTTCCCCTGATATTCCCACTGTTCTTGTTTTTATTTTTTGTTAATTTTTTAAATTGTAGAGACGGGGTCTCACTATGTTGTCTGTGCTGATCTGGAACTCCTGGACTCAAGGGATCATGCCACCTCAGTCTCCCAAAGTGTTGGGATTACAGGCGTGAGCCACTGCACCCAGCCTGTCCCTGTTTAATATGAAATTAGAAACTAATGGTTCCTGTGTGATGCCTTTAACTTGCGCGGAGCTGTTCCGTATATCTTCTTGTTTGCTTGCTGCAAAAACTGTGTGAAGTTCTGTAGCACATGTTACGATCCTATGTTGATGTAATTCAAAGGCAGAATTACTTGCTGGAGACCCTTGGACTGCTCTGTGGCAAAGACAGGCCTAGGTCTAGAGATGACTCCCAGCAGCCTCTTCTTTCAGAACTATCTCATTGTAGAGAGTCCAGTATCTAGTGAACTTCCTCTCTCCCATATGCAACAAGCTTCTTTCCACGAATGGCTTGAGACCATACTTGAACAGGCTTGCAGATCATAAGTCTGGCACTAGTGGGAGCCAGTCTCTTTTTCCATAGCAGTCTTCAGTCAGTTGTCACTTTGTCTGATGGTCAGGCTGTAGTGCAAGTGCAGTGGCAGAACCTCGGCTCACTGCAACCTCCCCCCTCCCAGGTTCAAGTGATTCTTCTGCCTCAGCCTCCTGAGTAGCTGGGATTACAGGTGCCTGCCACCATGCCTGGCTAATTTTTTGTATTTTTAGTAGAGACGGAATTTCACTATGTTGGCCAGCCTGGTCTCGAATGCCTGACCTCGTGACCCCCTGCCTCAGCGTGAGCCACTACACCCAGGCCACCCACTTTTCTTCTTGGAATAAGTTCTGGGTCATTTCTTGAACCCATCAGTTGGGTTCTGGTCAGTAGTAGTAAAAAAAAAAAAAAATTAAAATGTAATATACATATAGGAAAATGCACATTGTCATAAGTGTAGTCAGTGATTATTCATAAACTTCATATAAATAACACCAAACACCCAGTACTTCCAAAGCTCTTTGTGTTTTTTTCTAGTTGTGAAGACCCGTCCCCTTCCCTCCTCCCTCTTTACCCCCCACGTATCCTGTAACCAGTATCCCAACCTAGATTATGTTTAGGGCATTAGGATTTTAACATAGGGAAGGATTCTGGTTAGAATGGACCTGCTGTTGTTTAGCAGTGGGGACCCTGGGGCCAAAGCGCAGGGTAGAGTTGCGGTGCAGCCTGCCTGCTAAATTTATGAGAGGACAACCCTGAGGAAAGTTCAAGAGCTTCCAGCTCTGAATTTCTCATTTAATCCTCACGTATTTTTAGGGAACCAGCCATATTTGAGAACTTACTACCCCTTTAAGGTTATAAATCATTCCCCTTTTCCCCCATGTATATTGGATGCATTGTTATTATTAAACACATTTAAGGCCAGGCGCAGTGGCTCACGCTTGTAATCCCAGCACTTTGGGAGGCCGAGGCGGGCAGATCACGAGGTCAGGAGATCGAGACCATCCTGGCTAACATGGTGAAACCCCGTCTCTACTAAAAATACAAAAAAATTAGCCGGGCTTGGTGGCAGGCACCTGTAGTCCCAGCTACTCGGGAGGCTGAGGCAGGAGAATGGCTTGAACCCGGGAGGCGGAGCTTTCAGTGAGCCGAGATCGTGCCACTGCACTCCAGAGTGAGACTCTGTCTCAAAAAAAAAAAAAAAAAAAAAATTAAAAGTTTTGATACAACATTTACCATGTTAACATTTTTTACTTTACACGTTAGTTCACATTTTTTGTAGAGACAGAGTCTCACTATGTTGCCCAGCCTAGTCTTGAACTCTTAACCTCAAGCCATCCTCCCTCCTCAGCCTCCCAAAGTGCTGGGATTACAGGTGTAAGCCACCACATCTGACTGAGAATGTTTTTGTCTTACAAAGCTGAAATTCTTTCTCATTAAACTTACTGGGTGTGTTTTAATATTCTTTTTTACTTTTTGTTACAGAAAATGTCGCACATATTCCAAAGTAGAAAGAATGGTATAGTGAATACCCATGGACCTGATAGACCTGGGTATTCAATAATTATCAATTACATTTCATTTATATTTCTGCATGACTACCTCACATTATATTACTTAGAAGCAAATACCAGGCATCATAGTATTTTATATGAAAATATTTCAGTATATATCTCTAAAGGAGGCAAACTTTAAAAATCCCTGCTATTGTTATTATACCTAAAAAAAAATTACAACATAAGATATCCTCTCAGTGTCCATATTTCCCTGATTGTCTTCTAAATGTATTGTGTATATTTGTGATCTTAGATGGGAAATCCTAGAATATGGGGAAAGGAATAAAAGAAAAATCCAACAGTAATAGATGAGGTTTGCTCTTCCCTACCTTTGTGCATCAGCTTTTTTGGCTACTTAAACTTTGGAAGATTTTCTTACATTTGCCAACAAATTCTGATTCCCTACTTCCCATGGAATACCCCCACCATCCCTCACCCCCAATAAAAATGGAAAGAAAAAAAAATCAGATCCTTGCTTTATTTTTATTTTTATTTATTTATTTATTTTGAGGCGGAGTTTCACTCTTGTTGCCCAGCTGGAGTGCAGTGGCACGATCTTGGCCCACTGCAACCTCCGCCTTCTGGGTTCAAGTGATTCTTCAGCCTTAGCTTCCCGAGTAGCTGGGATTACAGGCATATGCCACCATGTCCAGCTAATGTTTTTGTAATTTCAGTAGAGATGGTGTTTCACCACGTTGGCCAGGCTGGTCTCGAACTCCTGACTTCAGGTGATCCACCTGCCTTGGCTTCACAAAGTGCTGGTATTACAGGCTTGAGCCACCACACCTGGCCCTTTGCTTTATTTTTAAAAATTTATTTATTTTTCTAGAGTCGGGGTCTCTGTGTCACCCAGGCTGGAGTGCAGTGGTGTGATCATGGCTTACTATCCTTGAACTCCTGGGATGAAATGATACTGCCACCTCAGCACTTCCAGTAGCTGAGACTATGGGCATGGGCCACAATGCCCATGAGATCTTTAGATGACATACCTGTTGTTATTATAGTTTTGGTACTACTAATTTACTTACAGAGGTTTGTGTAAGGTTAGTAGAAGGCTTACTGTGGAAATTAACTTCGGTTCCTTGGGGGAAGAACTCTTCTTGACATGGCTTTTGTCTTGCCTCTTTAGGGTGGTAATAGGAGTTCTTCACGTGAACAGGAGCTGGCCCTTAGGTCTTATGTGCTGGTTGAGTCTGTCTGCAAAAGTCTTCAGACCCTGGCTATGGCGGTTGCTTCTCAGAATGCTGTGTTGTTGGAAGGACCAATAGGATGTGGCAAAACTTCCTTAGTTGAATATTTAGCTGCAGTGACAGGTAGAACAAAGCCTCCTCAGCTTCTCAAAGTCCAGCTTGGAGATCAGACTGACAGTAAGGTAATAAGGAAATGTTAAGTTTTGGTGGCTTGTCATGCTTGTAAATATTTGCATTAAAATATTGCTTTTGCTAAGGGAATATAACAATAGTTATTGGTCTTGCTTATAACTGTTGGGGCCAACCTATGTAAACCTCAAGTGCCTACTTACTTACACCTACCTATAGAAGATTAACAGTTAATCAAAGGATGTAGCATTGCCACTACAGGTATGGTTTTTCAGTAATTACTTTATCTTCTTTCTGCAGATGCTTTTGGGGATGTATCGCTGCACAGATGTTCCTGGAGAGTTTGTGTGGCAGCCTGGCACCCTGACACAGGCAGCCACAATGGGCCACTGGATCCTTCTGGAGGATATTGACTATGCCCCCTTAGACGTGGTATGTCATCTCAGGAAATTCATTGTCCCTTAATATATTTTCCTGTCTTGGAAAAGCATTTTGTTAATAGTGATTCTGGTGATGATTTAAACAAAAATGTATTTGATTAGACGTACTATGTTGCAGGTACTTCATGGTTACTTACCTGATCTGATTTGCGGTCCTGAATTACTTGACTGGTTTCTTGTTTGATAGAGATTTTCTATAAAATTTTGGTTGTGCTGTTTCCTATAGTAGTTGAATATGTGACCAGTTTCATAGTAGTATTTTCCTCCCTTAATTGAATATGAGATCAACATTTTCCAAGAACAGGTCTGGTTTGGAACATCTCAGCCATGTTACATGTACATTGAGAACTTTGAGATCCTGCTTCTTAGTGGTGGCAGCTACAGAGGAGTGGGCTGAGGACAGGTGAAGGAGGAGATGATGTAATAAGAGTGTGCTTGCCTTTGTTTAGTTAAGAAAAATATGCTGGATTTGTATTTTGGTTTGTAAAAAGACCACTTCTGTGTGTAAGAAATTAGCCATTGAGACAATCCATGTTGCCTTTGTATTCTGAAAAGTGACAAAAAATGTATTGCAGGATGAAATATTCTTCCTTTGGACAGAGTTTTCCCGAGATTGGTTTTAATTTTCTTTTTCTTTTTTTTTTTTGTGAGACAGAGTCTTGCTCTGTTGACCCGGCTGGAGTGCAGTAGCACGATCTCGGCTCACTGCAGCCTCCGTCTCCCGGGCTCCAGCAATTCTCCTGCCTCAGCCTCCTGAGTAGCTGGGATTACAGGCATGTGCCACCATGGCCGGCTAATTTTTGTATTTTTAGTAGAGACGGGGTTTCACCATGTTGGCCAGGCTGGTCACGAACTCCTGACCTCGTGATCTGCCTGCCTCAGCCTCCCAAAGTGCTGGGATTACAGGCGTGAGCCACCGCGCCCGGCCTTCCTTACCTCTTTATTCTGTTCTTATCCCATTGTCTTAGCACTGGCTTATTTTGTCTACCTATCTCTCTTGCCTTTGTTACCTGAATAGTGTCCTTTTTGGCCGTTTTTCCTCTAGTCTAGCTCCTTTCCAAATTGCTACACAGTTGATTTTCTAAAATAAAAAATGGAATTATTTCTTTTCTTCTCAGCCTAAAAGCCTCTCGATAACTCTTATGAAAAAGTTCAAAGCCCTTAGCTCAGCACAGGAGGCCTTTTATTACTTACCTCTAAGCCTTACATCTTTCTGCTGCTTCTTACTGCACATTCTACCCTACACATAACAGAATTCTTGTGCCATGGCTTTTAGGTTTATCAGTTTTTTAAAAATACACTTGCATACTTCTGCCTGAAGTGTATGTACCATTTCTGTTTCACCAAACCTGGTTAATTTCTGCTCATTCTTCTTTAAGGTTTAGCAAATGTCACTACCTCTGGGAAGACTTCACTGCCCTGCTTCTAAATCATTCTATCCTGATTCAGAACCCCCTGTATCTTTATATATGACTTTGTATACTCCTGGGGTACACTGATTATGCTGTGTGGGAATTTGCATGCCTGCCCTCTCCCATCAGCCTCTAGGCTCTAAAGCCTTGGTCCTGTCTGTATTCTTGTGTCTTGCTTGGTTGTGATCCACAGGAGGCACTCGTGAATGTCGAGTGTGTAAATTGTGCTGGAGTGTAGGTGATTCAGACGTTCCCACCTGCATACTGACCCCAGTTTGGACTATGAGAGCTGACGTTTCCTTTAAGGGTGTGTCTGTCATTTTGAGAGAGGGTTGTTTTGTTTTGATTATTTCTGTCTTAATAGCTTTACTTTATCAGTGCGGTTGTTGTTATCTGATTTAGGTTTCTGTGCTGATCCCTCTCTTGGAGAATGGAGAGCTCTTGATTCCTGGCCGAGGTGACTGTCTGAAAGTGGCACCTGGATTTCAGTTTTTTGCAACCAGGAGGTATGTACTAGTAACCTTTCTGTTTTCACTCTGGAGCCACTTACTCGTAAGTCTGCATGCTGAGCCAGAGGTCCTGTAATAGAGTTCTCTGGGTCTACTTCAAGCAAGGTTAGTTGGAAGTGATAACAGGTCTAACCTTCTCATTCCTGATTATTTTTAATGAAGATAATTTATAAAATAAGAGGTCCCCCCCCCGACTTAAAAATAAGTAACCAGTTTAAAACACTTCACCTTATTTCATGTTTTAAAAAATAATCAGAGGTGAGGTTATTGTTAGATAGCCCAGGGTTTGAGTCCTGACACTGCTACTTAGTACCTATGTATACCTTGGCTGGTTATGATGGGGTTAATAATACCTTCTTCAAATGGTGGCTGTAAAGAATAAGTGAAATGACTTGTACTAAAGACCTGTCACAATAAATGCCCAGTTAATGGCTAGCCATGATGGTGATAATGATAGGTAGATTTCAGGCAATTGAAAAATTAATTGGATATAAGCATGAACAAAGGCACAAAAACTGAGCGTGCTTAGTATATATTCCTGCCTACATTTTAAAATTACCTGAAGGCAGTGGTTTATTTCTTACTGCTAGTCTATACCTGCACAGCTTCTTCAATGTCTTTAAATGCCCATGAGTGAAACTAACATCATTCTATAGTTAATGATTATATTAGTGTTTACCTCAGTTAACATTGACTTCTGCATGGAGTGTGGAGCTAACCCGATAGTATTCAAGGAATACCTCCCTAGACCCAATTACTCTTTTTTTTTTTTTCTTGAAATGGGGTCTCACTGTGTTGCCCAAGCTGGTCTTGAACTTCTGTACTCAAGCAGTCTTCCCAGCACAGCCTCCCAAGTAGCTGAGACTACAGGCACATGCCACTGTGCCCAGCTGACCCTGTTACTTTTTTTTTTTTTTTTTTTTTTTGAGATGGAGTCTCATTCTGTCACCCAGGCTGGAGTGCAGTGGTGTGATCTTGGCTCACTGCAACCTCCACCTCCTGGGTTCAAGCGATTCTCCTACCTCAGCCTGCCAGGTAGCTGGGATTACAGGCACCTGCCACCACACGGGCTAATTTTTGTATTTTTAGTAGAGACGGGGTTTCACCATGTTGGCCAGGCTGGTCTTGATCTCCTGACCTCATGATCCTCCGCCTTGGCCTCCTGATGTGCTGGGATTACAGGCGTGAGCCACCGTGCCCGGCCCAATCCTGTTACTTTTGTTTTAAACATTTATTTATTTTTTAGAGACAGTGTTTTGCTTTGTACCCAGGCTGGAATGCAGTGGCTTGATCGTAGCTTACTGTAACCACAAACTCCTGGGCTCAAGTGATCCTCCTGCCTCAGCCTCTTGAGTAGCTAGGACTACAGGGGTACACCACCATGCCTGGCTAAAAACAAATTTTTTTTATTATTATTATTATTTTAGAGATGGAATCTTGCTGCATTGCCCAGGTTGGTCTTGAACTCCTGGACTCGAGCAGTCCTCCCACTGTGGCCTCCTAAGTGTTGGAATGACAGGCATGAGCCACTGTACCTGGCACTGTTAGTTTTGATAGACCTTGATTTTTTATTTTATTTAATTAATTTTTTTTGAGACCGAGTCTCACTCTGTCATCCAAGCTGGAGTGCAGTGGCATGATTTGGCTCACTGCAACCTCTGCCTCCCGGGTTCAAGCGATTCTCGTGCCTCAGTCTCCCAGGTATCTGGGACTACAGGCACGCACCACGCCTGTCTAATTTTTGTGTTTCTAATAGAGATGGGGTTTTGCCATGTTGCCCAGGCTGGTCTTGAACTTCTGGCCTCAAGCAATCCACCTGCCTCAGCCTCCCAAAGTGCTGGGAGGTGTGAGCCACCACACCTGTCTTATTTTATGTTTTTTTAGAGATGAGGCCTCAATTTGTTGCCCAGGCTGGTCTTGAACTCCTGGGCTCAAGCGATCTTCCTGCTTTGGCCTCCCAACGACCGACATGAGCCACTGAGCCTGGCTGACCTTGATTTTATTTATAGAGATAGTGAAGTTCTTCCCTGGTAGATTCAAACACTTCCCAGAAAGACCTGGGACATCGTGGAAAGATGTTAGACAAACTTGTGATCTGATAAACTTGAATTCAATTTTCAGTTCTGCCATTTTCAGTCACAGTTGAGTGTATAAGGGCCATTCTTTCCTTCTCTTCCATTTATGTCAGAAGAAAAGAATGGCATCTTCCTCTCGGGACAGTTGTGAGGACTAAGTGGCCTATGCATAAGCATGTACCTTCCCCAGAGTGTATGTTTAATGTATATTCCTTCTCTACTTTTTTCTCTTCTGGAAATTTTTAATGGTTTTCAAGTACTGTAGCTTCTGGTAACAAGCAGTGAACTTAATGTTAATGCTATGAGCCTTGGATTATGCTTTCTCTTTCCTGAAGTTATTTATGCCTTAAGGAAGAGGAACCTGTCATTGAAATAAAAACATTTACCTTGTAGAATTATTTGCAGTGATTTGAAAATATTTGGTTAAAGCACTATCACTACTACTTAGGAGAAGAGCCAAACATGGGTTAACTGTCAGCCTTTCATTTGTCATCTGCCCTGTAAGCCCAACAGTGTAGTATCTGGAAACAGAAGGGATTATGAATATTTTTCCTATGTGAGACAGTGTACAGCAAGTAATATCCAGAGGCACAATTCAGGATTAAAATTTGGAATTTTGTGTGACTGTGTTTTTTATTTTGAAACGTAGACTCTTGAGCTGTGGAGGAAATTGGTATCGACCGCTAAACAGTCATGCTACTTTGCTAGACAAATATTGGACCAAAATTCACCTGGATAACCTGGATAAGAGAGAACTGAATGAGGTACGTGGGTCTTGGAAAGTATCAATGCTGGCCAGGTGCAGTGGCTCCCGCGTGAAATAGGAAATAGTATAATAAACCACCAGAACCCTCATCAACCTAAATTTTGCAGTCTGTGTGCTAGTATTTTACTGTATTTGCTTCATCTGTTATTTTTTCTGGGCTAATATATTTGAAAGCAAACTCCCAGCATACATCTCTTAAAATTTAATGGCATTTTCATATATAACCACAATAACATTATTATACACAATAAAATGAACAGTAATTCCTCAGTATCATTGAATTCTTAGATTATATTCAAATTTTCCCAGTTGTCTACAGAGGATCATTTTACTAAGTTGATTTGAAGTAATGTCTTTCACACTTAATGGACATTTTGATCTAGGCATTAATGAGAATTGAGGTAAATCACTTTATAGGTTTTCTACATTGATTCAGTTTCTAGTATTGTGGTTATCCTAGATCAGTAAGAAGTATATTACACTTGACTCCGTTCATGCCCCACTTCCCTTTTATGTCTCACTTGGAAGATTTCCCTTCCCCAGTGCTTTATCTAGGAGAGTGGCAGACAAAGCATTGTCAGTGGTCATTCAGACATGGAAGAGATGCTTTTCCCTTTATTGATGTAGGTATATAGGTAAATATGTGACACCAAACAAACTTCAATCTTTTATTTTTATTTTATTTTATTTTTTTTTAAACAGTTTCGCTCTTGTTGCCCAGGCTGGAGTGCAATGGCGTGATCTTGGCTCACTGCAATCTCTGCCTCCTGGTTCAAGCAATTCTCATGCCTTAGCCTCCCAAGTACCTGGGATTACAGGTGCCCACCACCACTTTTGGCTATTTTTTTTGTATTTTTAGTAGAGATGGGGTTTCACCATGTTGACCAGGCTGGTCTCAAAACACCTGACCTCAGGTGACCTGCCTGCCTTGGCCTCCTAAAGTGTTGGCATTATAGGTGTGAGCCACTGTGCCTGGCCACAAACTTCAAATATTTTTTCCTACATTTTCTTTTCTTTTTTTTTTTTTTGAGATGGAGTCTTTTTATGTCGCCCAGAACAGTACTCTGTGGCACGATCTTGGCTCGCTGCAACCTCCGCCTCCCATATTCAAGCGATTCTCCTGCCTCAGCCTCCCGAGTAGCTGGTGCATGCCACTATTGGGGTAACCCACCCCCAATATTACAACATAGGTTCTTTCTATTTTCCATAAGTGTTGGCTGGCTGAGAAATAAAGAGAAAGAGTACAAAGAGAGGAATTTTACAGCTGGGCTGTCTGGGGTGGCATCACATATTGGTAGGACCGTGATGCCCACCTGAGCTTCAAACCAGCAAGTTTTTTAAGGGTTTCAAAAGGGGAGGGGGTGTAAGAACAGGGAGTGGGTACAAAGATCACATGCTTCAAAGGGCAAAAAGCAGAACTACTAATAAGGGTTTATCAAAGATCACAAGGCAAAAGGCATAAAGCAGAACTACTGATAAGGGTCCAACAAAGATCACAAGGCAAAGGGCAAAAGCAGAACTACTGATAAGGCTCTATGTTCAGCGGTGCACGTATTGTCTTGATAAACATCTTAAACAACAGACCGGTCTGACCACAAATTTACCAGGGCGGAGTTTTTTCCCCACCCTAGTAAGCCTGAGGGTACTGCAGGAGACCAGGGTGTATCTCGGTCCTTATCTTAACCGCATAAGACAGGCATTCCCAGAGCGGCCATTTATAGACCTCCCCCCCGGGAATGCATTCCTTTCCCGGGGTATTAATATTAATATTCCTTGCTAGGAAAAGAATTTGGCAATATCTTCCCTACTTGCACATCTGTTGATAGGCTCTCTCTGCAAGAAGAAAAATATGGCTCTTTTTGCCTGACCCTGCAGGCAGTCAGACCTTATGGTTGTCTGTCCTTGTTCCCTAAAAATCGCTGTTATTCTGTTCTTTTTCAAGGTGCACTGATTTCATATTGTTCAAACACACATGTTTTATGATCAATTTGTACAGTTAACACAGTTGTCACAGTGGTCCTGAGGTGACGTACATCCTCAGCTTATGAAGATAACAGGATTAAGAGATTAAAGACAGGCATAAGAAATTATAAAAGTATTATTTGGGAACTGATACATGTCCATGAAATCTTCGCAATTTATTTTCCTCTGCCGTGGCTCCAGCTGGTCCCTCCATTTGGGGTCCCTGACTTCCCGCAACATGCCACCATGCCCAGCTAATTTTTTAATTTTTAGTAGAGACAGGGTTTCACCATGTTGGCCAGGTTGGTCTCGATCTCTTGACCTTGTGATCCACTCACCTCAGCCTGCCAAAGTGCTGGGATCACAGGCGTGAGCCACCACGCCCAGCTTAACTGATTTTATATCTTATTATTATTATTATTATTATTATTATTATTATTATTTTTTGAGGAAAGGTCTTACTCTGTCACCCAGGCTAGAGTGCAGTGGTGCACTGCAGTGGTGCTCAGCTCACTGCAGCCTCAACCTCTCAGGCTTAGGTGATCTTCCCAGCTCAGCCTGCCAGGTACCTGGGACTGACTACAGGTGTGTGCCACCCTGCCCAGCAAATGTTTTGTAGAGACAGGTTTTCACCGTGTTGCCCAGGCTTGTCTCAAACTCTTGGACTCAGGCAATCTGCCCACATCAGCTTCCCAAAGTGCTGGGATTGCAGGTGTGATCCACTGTACCCTGCTCCTTTTACATGCTTTTCATTGAGAAATTACATAATGGCCTTACCAGAGCTGTGTTTGAAATTAAATAGTAATTTAAGAATTCTTTAATGAATAAATTCTTTAGAGTTGGTTGCTTATATTTTGGTTACTTGGAGAACCTTTTAACATGACTTCTACCGCTGAAACTGTATTGTAGATGGTGAGATTGCTGGTAACTGAGTTCTGGGTAGGAAGAAAATCATCATGATTGAGTGAAATAGGTGGGTGGGAACAGGAGTGAGTAAGGGGGAAGTTCTTATTTTTGGTAAAGTTGACAAAATTTCTTTTCATTTTTATTTTTATGTTTTATTTATTTACGTTTTTTGAGACAGGGTCTTGTTCTGTCACCTAGGCATGATCACTGCTCACTGCAGCCTTAACCTCCCAGTCTCAGATGATCCTCCCTGCTCAGCCTGCTGAGTACCTGGGACTACAGGCACACGGCACCGTGCCCATGTTTGTATTTTTTGTAGAGATGATGTTTCACCATGTTGCCCAAGTTGATCTCAAATCCTGAATTCAAGCAATTCCTCTGCCTTGGTTTCTCAGAGTGTTGGGATTACAGGTGTGAGCTACCGTCCCCCAGTGAACAAATTTCATAGAGAAATACAATTTTTGGCTGACCAGTTTCAGCAGTAGTTTGTGTGCTTTCAAAAATTACCATGCTGGCTGTTAAATTTTCTTTTTTTTCCCCCTCTGTCAGGTTCTTCAGAGCAGATATCCTAGCCTATTGGCAGTGGTTGATCACCTGCTTGACATTTATATCCAACTTACTGGAGAGAAACATCACTCTTGGAGTGATAGTTCTGTTGGATGTGAACAGGCACCTGAAGAAGTTTCAGAAGCCAGAAGAGAAAACAAAAGACCAACCCTTGAGGGAAGAGAATTATCTCTAAGGTACTGGACTAAACAGTTTTTTCTTTTCTTTCTTTCTTTTTTTTTTGTGAGACAGATTCCTGCTCTGTTACCCAGGCTGGAGTGCAGTGGTGCAGTTTTGGCTCACTCCAACCTCCGCCTCCTAGGTTCAAAGTTCTTACCAGCTAGAAGTAAATAGTCAGGTTTTGAAATTATAGGTTGCTTCATGGTGTCAGATCCCTTTTTCAGATTTATAATTAATGACTGGGAAGGCTCGATTAGGGTAATGTTTTTAACTTTAAAAAATAACTTTTAAAGACCAACTTGGGAGTGGCTCCTAACATAATTCTTTCACTGAATGCCCTTTTCTGACACTTGGAGTCTTAAATAAGTCTTCTTGGATTTCGCTATCTATGACTTCTGTGCCACTCTGTGTTCTCAGTGGTTGACTTCCCCTTTGAGAAGTGAGAATTAGAAATGGGCATCTCCTCAGGCTAGGCGCGGTGGCTCACGCCTGTAATCCCAGCACTTTGGGAGGCCGAGGTGGGCGGATCATGAGATCAGGAGTTCGAGACCATCCTGGCCAACATGGTGAAACCCCATCTCTACTAAAAAAAAAAAAAAATACAAAAATTAGCCAGGCACGGTGGCAGGTGCCTGTAATCCCAGCTACTCGGGAGGCTGAGGCAGAGAATTGCCTGAACCCGGGTGGAGGTTGCAGTGAGCCGAGATCACGCACTGCACTCCAGCCTGGGCAACAGAGTGAGACTCTGTCTCCAAAAAAAAAAAAAAAAAAAAAGGAAATGGCATCTCCTCATTCTGATCTGATTGGTTGCTCCCCTCCTTTCCTGCTACCTTGTCTGGCATGGATGGCAGAGAGTAATGAGTTGGTAGGTCACTTCCTGGAATGGGTGAAGATTGGGAACTCTTTTTGTTTTGTTTTTAAATTTTACACACAAATACAAAGAGGGGAAGGATTGAGAACCCTTACTGGTTTCCCAAATACCTTTTATCTAAGCATTGTCAGAAGAAAGAAGAAAGTTATCAGGTATGCCCAGACTTAAGTGGGTCAATAAATTCTGATGCCTTTGATGTCTTTGGCCTGTGGTCTTTTCTTTGTTTTTTCTTTTCTTTCTTTTTTTTAAAGGGATCTGCTGAATTGGTGTAATAGGATTGCCCATAGCTTTGACAGTTCATCTTTATCAGCATCATTAAATATTTTTCAAGAGGTAAGATATAGTTTTCCAGTCTTTTTTGTCTTGGTTCTGTAAGGCTGTTGACTTCCGTTGTTATTTTCTGTCTTTTGATTGCCATCAGACTTTTTTCTTTTTTCCAAGTATGGTTTGTTATTCTTTTTTTGTTTTTTTTTTTTGAGACGAAGTCTCTCGCTCTTGTCCCCAAGGCTGGAGTGCAGTGGCGTGATCTCAGGTCACTGCAGCCTCCACCTTCTGGGTTCAAGCGATTCTCTTGCCTCAGCCTCCCGAGTAGCTGGGGTTACAGGCACCTGCCACCACCCCTGGCTAATTTTTGTATTTTTAGTAGAAACGAGGTTTCACCATGTTGGCCAGGCTGGTCTCGATCTCCTGACCTCAAGTGATCCACCCACGTCGGCCTCCCAGAGTGCTGGGATTACAGGCGTGAGCCACCGCACCCGGCCTGGTTTGTTATTCTTAGCTAGTTAAAACTCAACTAACGTGGCATTAAAGCTAATTGAATGTAATACATGTTTTGTGGTTTTTGAAACAAATTATTATTAATTTCAGAAGAAGTATAGTTTGATATAGAGTAAAACAGGTAGTGAAATTAAAGGTAAAATGAAAGAAACTCCCGGGTAATAATAAAGCAATGTTTGTTCCTACATATAATTTCTTAGTCTGTTTGATAAATTTGTAACTATCCGATCCCTCTACTTTTCTCAGTAGGGCTGGTTGATGTTGGTTGACTGAACCTCTTTGTAAGACACCATAAATCCAGGATGGGTTTCTGATGAGGGTGGTGGACTCTTCTGACTAATTCATCTGGGGTCCATTGTTATTATCTATGATGGGAGCATGTATGTGCACAGGACTTAACCATTCTAGTGGATATTATTACAGAAGACCAAATCATAGCGGTAAAGGTGGAATAAGAACAAAAGGAGTTGGATGTTCTTTTAGAAGTAACTCTTTTAAACTATACTATGGTAACCAGAGGAATTGTTCTCTTCTACTCTAAAATATATTTCTACTGAATTTGAGACCAGCCATTTCAAATGAGTAGGGTATATTCTTTTGAGAACTGGCAAATTGTTTTTGTCCAGCTCTTTTCCCCCCTTATTCCATGCAGACCAAATACCTTTATGAAATATCAGGTATTAGGTATTATAATTTGTATTAGGTATTATAAATAACCTGGAGATTTAAATAAAGAAGGTGTGCATAGATTATATGCAGATTCTACACCTGTAAAATTTTTTTTTTCTTTGGCTTATTTTAGTACATACTGACACAGGCCCTATACCTTTTTTTTTATTTATTTATTTATTTATTTATTTATTTATTTATTTATTTATTTTTGAGACATAGTCTCGCTCTATTACCCAGGCTGGAGTGCAGTGGCGTGATCTCGGCTCACTGCAAGCTCCACCTCCCAGGTTCCCACCATTCTCCTGCCTCAGCCTCCCGAGTAACTGGGACTACAGGCGCCCACCACCACACCCAGCTAATTTTTTTTGCATTTTTAGTAGAGATGGGGTTTCACCCTGTTAGCCAGGATGATCTCGATCTCCTGACCTCGTGATCCACCCACCTCAGCCTCCCAAAGTGCTGGTATTACAGGTGTGAGCCACTGCGCCCAGTCACCCTATGCCATTTTATATAAGGGACTTGAGCATCTTCAGATTTTGGTTTCCGTGAGAGGTCCTGGAATCAATCCCCCAGGAATATGTAGGGATAACTGTATTATAATAGTAAATCCTGTATTTTTAATATTAATGTTTGTAACTTTAGATTTCTGGGTATAAGTTTTCCTGCTTATTACTGAATTTTAGGGGTGCCATTATTTGGGTCTTTTTGCATCTTGTAAACTGACTTTACTTAGAATTATGGCTTTAAAATATATTTTAATTTTAAAAGGACTAGATTCTTCTTGTTAAAAAACAATAGAAAAGATGATGGAAGAAACTTAACTACTAACTCTACCACTGAGACGAAAGCAATTTGCAGTATTGGGGGCCTGTTTTCTCTTTTTTTTTTTTTTATTAGTTGAGACAATACTGTATATTAAGTGTTGTATTCTGAGTATTTCAACTGTCAGGACAAAAATATAAAATACTTTTAAAAAGGATGAAAAAATAGATCAGATTGTAACGGCCCAACAGGTTCACCTTGCCCACTGCCTAGACAGAGACAATTTATCATGACGGAATTTGCAATAAAGTAATTCACACAGAGCCTGCTGTATGGGAGACCAGTTTTATTATTACTCAAAGCAGTCTTCAAGAGAGCTTAATGAATACTAGGCTAGCCATATGGGAAATGGAATTGTTACTCAAATCAATCTCCCTGTTAACTCAGAAGCTAGGGTTTTTATGGATAATTTGGTGGGCAGGGTACTAGGGAATGGGTGCCTGCTGATTGGTTGGGGATGAACTCATAGGGATGTGGAAAATGGTCTTGTATACTGAGTCTACTTCTGGGTGGGGTAACTGAGTCAGGTGGGGTTAGTTAGTTGCTGGAATGCAAAAATCTGAAAATCACCTCAAAAGGCCAATTTTAGTTTCTACGATAGTGGTGTTATCTATAGGAGCAGCTGGGGAAGTCACAAGTCTTGTGACCTCTGGCCACATGACTCCTGAGCACTAAGGGATTATAGAAACTACACCTACATTTTAGCAGAATTCAGGCCCCTCCCATAATCCTAATCTTGTGGTCTTTCATTAGGTTTCGGTCCCTGAGCAAAGAGGGGGTTAGTTTTAGGAAGGGACTATTATCATCCTTGCTTCCAAGTTAAACTATAAACTAAATTCCTACTATGGTTAGCTTGGCCTATGCCTAGGAATGAGTGAAGATGGCCAGCCTATGAGGCTTAGAAGTAAGATGGAGTCAGCCATGTTAGATTGCTCTGTCATAATCTTTGCAAAGGTGGTTTCAATCCCACACTCATGGTGTCCTTTACATTGTTTTATCTCTCATATTTTCTGTAAATAGAAAATACAAAAAATGCTTGATGAATTCAAGTTTAACATATTTGGGGTACAGTCCATTTTTGGTGGTATTTTATATTTCATCACATCAGAAGACATAACTGGTTGGCTCACTGGTAGTTGCTAAGATTGAGTACTAGGTTAAGATAATGACCATGAGGTATTGCACACCTAGTGTTTCCCTTGCAGTTAGAAAGCAGTCTTTTGATATTACCTCAGCACTATATGAGTCAGTTCTCCTTGAACCATGTACCCAGTGGTCAACACTAATTGCTCTTCTTTGCCCGAAGCTAGGATTTGCAAAGTGGGGTGTTTTGTTGTTTGTTTTTTTTATTTGGCAAGTATTTCAATAGTCAATTATTTATATTTATTGGTGTCCTGTCTTTCCATTATGGTCAGGTCCTCAGTCCTGGGTTGGTACCTTATTTGCACTCCCTTCATTTTTAGAGAAATGTTCCTGCTGGATTTTGTGTTTCTCCCTCTTGTGGCCAGGAAAATGATGTTCTGTGATTAATATATTATTTTAAAAATCAGTCAGCATTTACCTTGGTTATTTTAATAGGCTCTAGACTGTTTCACAGCAATGCTTTCTGAGCATACAAGCAAACTGAAAATGGCAGAAGTTATTGGAAGCAAATTGAACATTTCTAGAAAAAAGGTATGTGTGCTGTTTTTTTACTTCCCTGTTGAAAGGAGGCTAGGATTTTTTGCTTGCTTGCTTGCTGGTCTCTAGTCCTTAGTTGGAACAGCTTTTGCAGTGGTACCTCTTTTGTAAAAGTTGGTGCTTTTATTGCAGCCTCTCGTGGGCATACAACTCCCAAATGGCGCGAGTGCAATGGCGCCATCTCGGCTCACCACAACCTCTGCCTCCTAGGTTCAAGTGATTCTCCTGCGTCAGCCTCCTGAGTAGCTGGGATTACAGGCATGTGCCACCACACCCAGCTAATTTCGTATTTTTAGTAGAGATGGGGTTTCTCCATGTTGGTCAGGCTGGTCTCAAACTCCTGACCTCAGGTGACCCACCAGCCTCTGCCTCCCAAAGTGCTGGGATAACAAGCATGAGCCACTGTGCACAGCCATGTTCCACATTCTTAAAAGGAGCTTCCTCATGTCCTGTGTCGTCTTCAGTGTTTTAGTGAGCATTTATTTTATTTTGTAGGCATTAGACTCAGGAATGTAACTATGTTTTAGTAATACCTTTGTCTATAACTTAATGCAGAGTTTTTCCATCTTTTTTATTATTTTCCCTTATTAGAAAAATTGGCAAGAGACTGAGTGTGGTGGCTCACACCTGTAATCCCAGGACTTTGGGAGGCAGAGGTGGGTGGATCACCTGAGGTCGGGAGTTTAAGACCAGCCTGGCCAACACTGTGAAACCCTGTCTTTACTAAAAAAATACAATAAATTAGCTGGGTGTGGTGGCACATGCCTGTAATCCCAGCTACTCGGGAGGCTGAAGCAGGAGAATCACTTGAACCTAGGAGGCAGAGGTTGCAGTGAGCCAAGGTTGTGCCACTGCACTCCAACGTGGGCGACAGATCCAGACTCTTTCTCTGATAAAAACCAACCAAACAAACAAAAAAAAAAGTTGCAAAGAGTAGTAGCAGTGAATACCTGTATACTCACTACTTTGTTTCATTGCTGACATTGTTAATATTTTGCCATTCTTGTTTTATGTCAAAATACGTATTTTGGGAGGAGGGATCCTTTCAGCAGTGGCACTGGTGTCTAGAAAAATGTCTGGGCTCATCTTGAAGCAGATATCTGACATTCTCATGTGAATAATGACTCTAAAAGATCTTATGGCAGGAATTACAGTAGTAGAGATTTTTATAAGGCTTCTGAAATAGTTGGGATGGTTTTGGCTGGAGGTCATAGAACGTCCTACTGAAAGGGACTTAAATGATACATATGTTAATCATGAGAAAGAAGAATGAAACCACCATGAATATTCATTCCACCAATATTCATCCTCTCTTGTTGTGGAAGGACTCACTTTTCCCAGAGCAGTTTGCTTCTTTCACTTCTGCCCCAAACCTGAACAAAATCTGTGTTCTTTGGAGAAGAGAGGAATGGCTGTTGGGTAGACATCCAGGAGCATCTGCCACAGCTCTTTTTGCTTTGGCTGTAGTCAGATGTACCATGATTTCCTAACATTATGTTAGAAATTTAAAGCAGAGGAGAGCATAGCTAGAGAAGATTTCTCTGATTTTTTTTTCTTACCTTTTAGGTGAGGACTTACTGTTCACTTTCTCTATTGGATATATCAGTGTGTTCACTCCATATATAGGTAGGGCTTATTTGAAAAGTACCATTTTAGGGAAACATGATAAATGTTGTGAAAAACATAGAAGTTTGGAAAATGAAAAAAGAAATTTCTTTATGAAAAGCCAACTCAACTATCTGGGAAGTAGAGAATAATTCTTTGTAGAGTGCTAATTTGAGGGCCAAAATAAGCCTCTGGATGAGGAAATATTCCAAAAGCATGTGGATTTTTACTCAGGTAAAATCTTACCTCCTACAGGCTGAATTCTTTTGTCAACTTTATAAACCAGAAATTGTGATCAATGAGCTAGATTTGCAAGTGGGTCGAGTGCGGCTTCTACGGAAACAAAGTGAGGCTGTTCACCTACAGAGGTAAGTAGGGCTCTAAACTAAGCTGCCAACTGTGGGGTTTCCAGAAACTTGACAGAAGGTCTAGCTCAGCCTCTTGTCTTTGTGCAAAACACATGTCTGAACTGTGATATCTGTAGTATGCTATATGGGAAGGAGCAGTGTTTTCCCAAAGTATGTTCTGTGAAATTAGATATCAATAGGTGAAAGAGGTGATGAAAGTCATTAAAGATTTGGCACTACCAAAGATGAATTATTGATTTTATTCACTGCAGTGTATTTAGTGAAGTATGCCTCAGTTGGAAGTCAGGCTTATGTCTAACATTAGTCTGTAAATTCCTAGAAGGCTGGGGTTATATAAGATTCTGAGATCGAGGTAACATTAAATACTTATTACATGTCTGACTTTGTACTAAGTGCTTTACATATTTTCTCATGTAGTGGTTGTAATAATCCTGTGAATTAATATATTAGTATCCTAGGGCTGCCATAACAAATTACCATAAACTTGGTGGTTTTAAACAATGACATTATTCTTTCACAGTCCTGGAGGCTGGAAGTGTAAAATCAAGGTTTCGACAGGGCCATGCTCCTCCCTCTGAAGGCTCTAGGGGAGAATGCTTTCTTGCCTCTTCCTGATTTCTTTCTTTCTTTTCTTTTCTTTTTTTTTTTTTCTTTTTAAGACAGAGTCTCACTCCGTTGCCTAGGCTGGAGTACAGTGGTGCGATCTTGGTCCACAGAAACCTCCAGCTGCCTGGTTCAAGCGATTCTCCTGCCTCAGCCTCCCGAATAGCTGGGATTACAGGCATGCGCCACCACGCCCAGCTAATTTTTGTATTTTTAGTAGAGACGGGGTTTCACCATCTTGGCCAGGTTGGTCTTGAACTCCTGACCTCAGGTGATCCACCTGCCTTGACCTCCCAAAGTGCTGGGATTACAGGCCTGAGCCACGGTGCCTGGCCTCTTCCTGGTTTCTTTGGCTCCCAGCAGTCCTTGGTGTTCCTTGGCTTGTAGTTGTATCACTCTAAGTTCTGTCTCTGTTGTCATGTGGCCCTTCTTCCTTGTGTGTGTATTTCTTTTCTTCTCTTCTTTTTTTTTTTTTTTTGAGATGGAGTCTTGCTCTGTCCCCCAGGCTGGAGTGCAGTGGTGCGATCTCAGCTCACTGCAACCTCCACCTCCAGGGTTCAAGTGATTCTCCTGCCTCAGCCTCCCGAGTAGCTGGAACTGCAGGCATCCACCACCACGCCTGGGTAATTTTTGTATTTTTAGTAGAGATGGGGTTTCACCATATTGGCCAGGCTGGTCTTGAGCTCCTGACCTTGTGATCTGCCAGCTTCGGCCTCCCAAAATGCTGGGGTTACAGGCTTGTGCCACCATGCTCTGCCTTGTGTGTGTATTTCTATGTCACCAAATCTTCCTCTTATAAGGACACCAGTCATTGGATTTAAGACCCACCCTAATGCAATATGACCTTATCTTAATTTGATTAAATTTCTTCAAAGACCCTATTTTGAAATAAGGTCACATTCATAGGATCTGGGTAGACATGAGTTTGGGGAAAGATTATTAACCTATTACAACTAGGTACTGTTGTTACCCACATCTTACAGGTGAGGAAACTGAGGCTAAGACACATTAAGTAATTTGTCCAAGATGAGCTAACTAGTACAGGTAGTCTTGTCTTATTGATCTTTTTAATCTCCAGAGCCTAGCATCGTATCAGATGTGTGAGTATTCAGTGTTTGCAGAGCAACTAAATTCTGTAATTTTTGTATGTTGTAAGATTATCTGGTATAGCTTGAAGACAGTTACTGTGAGCTGTTTTCTCATCCTTGTTGTTGAATCTGGAATATATGGTTTCCCAGAGCAAAACTAGGAGAAGCTTGCAGCGTGGTTTTTAAACTCTTTTTTTCTCCTTCCCAGGGAGAAGTTCACTTTCGCTGCTACACGGCCGTCCTCTGTTCTCATCGAGCAGCTTGCAGTGTGTGTCAGCAAAGGGGAGCCTGTGTTGCTGGTGGGAGAGACCGGGACTGGCAAAACCTCTACCATCCAATACTTGGCTCACATTACAGGTAATCCCTAGAGGAAATAAATCTGCCCCCAGATATTTCACACTGACTACTTTTTTTCCTTTTTTAAAAATACTAAATCCAAAGACCACAGAGTTTAAAGAGTGCCAGCACCCCACATGTAATCTCTGCCTGGAAATAACTACTGTTAATAGATTATTATTAAATTATTTCATTTCCAATCTATGCTTATGCAAATACATATACGTATAGATTTTGTTTTATTTCAAAACAGATATGGGATTATGTTCTACATATTGCATTATACCTCATTTCTTCTTTTTATTTTTATTCTTTTTGAGACAGGGTCGCACTGTTGCTGAGGCTGGAGTGCAGTGGCGAGCCCACAGCTCACAGCTCACTGCAGCCTTGACCTCCCAGGCTCAAGTGATCTTCCTACCTCAGATCTGAGGTAGGAAGATAGCTGAGACTACAGGTGTGTGCCACCACGCCTGGCTAATTTTTAAAGTTTTTTGTAAAGACGAGGTCTAGCTATGTTGCCTAGGTTGGTCTCCAACTTCTGGGCTCTCATGATTCAGAGCAAAGGCACATTTGAAAATTTACCTTATTGCTGGGCGCAGTGGCTCATGCCTGTAATCCTAGCACTTTGGGAGCCTGAGGTAGGAGGATTGCTTGAGCCCGGGAGTTCAAGACCAGCCTGGCAACATCATGAGACCCTGTCTCTACAAAAAATTACAAAAATTAGCCAAGTCTGGTTGTATATGCCTGTAGTCCCAGGTGCTCGAGAGGCTGAGACAAGGATCACTTGAGCCCAGGAAGTTGAGGCTGCAGTGAGCCATGATTGGGCCACTGCACTCCACCCTGGTTGACAGAACAAGACTCTGTCTCAAAAAATAAAGCCCTATGCCATATTCCCACAGCCTTAAGGAGCACACTGGATATTATCGGTCTTTAAATTTTTGGAGTAACACTTTTGCACTTTCTTTATAAAAGGCCACCGTTTGAGGGTTGTCAATATGAATCAACAAAGTGATACTGCAGACTTGCTTGGAGGGTAAGTGTGGCTTAAAATTTTTTTCTTATTTTTGTGTTTATTGCTTGAGGTAAGAAATACTGTTTTCTTAGTGTTAACAACCACAGGTTCTAGGATGCTCGATGCAATAGAAAAAGAGTTTTCTCAGATAAGGCTTTATTGGAGCTTTTGGCAGGGTACCAGGGACACAAAAGAGAGAATTCTGTGGCTGGCCCCAGTAAGACAGGAAAGTAATTTTAAGGGGCTAAAGTGGGAAGGAAGTGATATTTAAGCATGTAGAGGCAGGGAACTTCTGGCACTTGAACAGTTTGATAACGTGCTTCTTCATGTGTCCCATGTCTCAGCATGGGTATGATTTTTAGTATAGCAATGAAGCTAAGGCAAAGGATCAGTCATTCTTCTGGTCTTGTGTTTGTGCAGGAAAAAGGGTAAACTCCCTTGAGTAAGATTTAAGGTGTGAGTTGCTTATTTTAGTTTCCTCAGGGTCCCACCATCAGTGTGTATGGTGCTTTGAATAAGATTTATGGTGGGACATTGCTCATCTTAGTCTCTCTAAGGCACCTTGAGCAAGATTGCACCTTACCCCCCAACCACAGCAAGGTATTTATTTGAATTTATTGAGGAGCTCATGGGTGTGTAGATGTTTCTCTTCATTTTAATGAACACTTGAGGCCCTTGTTCTCAAAGGTCATATGATGGAAGAAGGAGAAAAAGCAGGCAAGTATATAATCAATTAATGTTTGTGTATACAGTACAGTTGATCTAAAGTGTAAGTTCTGGGCCAGGCGTGGCGGCTCACACCTGTAATCCCAGCACTTTGGGAGGCCTAGATGGGTGAATCACTTGAGGTCAGGAGTTCGAGACCAGCCTGGCCAACATGATGAAATCCCATCTCTACCAATAAATACGAAAATTAGTTGGGCATGGTGGTGTGCTGTAGTCCCAGCTACTAGGGAGGCTGAGGTGGGAGAATTGCTTGAATCTGGGAGGCAGAGGCTGGAGTTAGCCGAGATTGTGCCACTGCACTCCAGGCTTTCTACCTTGGTTTTATTTTACTTATGTTTAGTTGGTTGTTTGAGGAACTTGGCAATCTGTTCTTATTAATATATATGATTTTTCATTTAAGCAGACATGTCTATACTGCTGTATATATTTACCTTTATTCTTTTTTTTTTTTTTTTGAGACAGAGTCTTGCTCTGTCACGGCTGGAGTGCGGTGGCGCGATCTCTGCTCACTGCAACCTCCGGCTCCCACGTTCAGGTGATTCTTCTGCCTCAGTCTCCTGAGTAGCTGCGACTACAGGCACACACCACCATGCCCAGCTAATTTTTGTATTTTTAGTAGAAACAGGGTTTTACCATGTTTGCCAGGATGGTCTCCATCTCTTGACCTTGTGATCCACCTACCTCGGCCTCCCAAATTGCTGGGATTACAGGTGTGAGCCACTGCACCCGGCCTCTTAATTCTTTTTTTGTTTTTTTGGGAGGCAGGATCTCGTTCTGTCACCAAGGCTGGAGTGCAGTGGTGTGATCATGGCTTAGCACAGCCTTGAACTCCTGGGTTTAAGCAATCCTCCTGCCTCGGCCTACCCAGTAGCTGGGACTACAGGCATAAGCCACCAGGCCTGGTCTATTTCTCTCTATTCTGTATCTATATGTCTTTAGTAATTTCATACCATTAAGTAGTCCTAACATAAATGGCATTGATCTTGTACTAACTGAACATGGACTGGGTCCTTCTCTTCTACTGTGAATTTGTAGTGTTATGTTAGCCATTGCAAGTTGTTTTAAATATAGTGAGTAAACAGGAGTACATTTGTGATGCAAATTGATGACACGAAAAGGTTGGACTCAAAGTATGATTAACTAGAATTTGGTTTTGGTGCCAACTTGGTGAATAGAATATATCTGTTTTTCCTTGTTAGTAGGTCAGCATCACTTATTAAAAGAAAACGCTACTTACATTTCCATTTGAAAAGATCACTTGAGCCTGAGAGGTTGAGGCTGCCGTGAGCTGTGGTTATGCCACTGTACTTTAGCTGGGATGACAAAGCAAGACCCTGGACAGGATCTAGCTCTGTTGCCTACGCTGGTTTTGAACTCCTGGCCTCAAGTAGTCCTGCTTCAGCCTCCTGAAGTGTTGAGATTACAGACATGAGCCACCGAGCCTTTTCTCAGTTTTTGTGGGGTTGGAAATGTGCCTTGTTTTCTGTACTCTTATATTACTACAAAGAGATTTAAATAAAATCTTTTAACATATATTCTGTTATAAGTGAATAGGTGACTCCCTTGTTTAAGAATCATTGTAGAAGATGAGAATACCAAAAAGTTTTTAAAAAGGCAAGGGAATGGAGAACAAAATTCAGCTGTGGGTAAGGAGATGGGATAGGGAAAAGATAAATATTCCTATCCTCAGGCCGTGTTGCTGGTTTCATCTGTTTTATAAGTTATGTTAAATATATTTTGCATGTGTCCAGTATGTTAAATAATAACCTGGTTTGCAAATTCGGATCTTTTTTTTTTTCTTTAAGATAGGGTCTCACTTTGTCATCCAGACTGGAGTGCAGCGGCATAAACATGACTTATTGCAGCCTTGACTTTCTGGGCTCAAGTGATCCTTCCATCTCAGCCTCCTGAGCAGCTGTGGGACTGCAAGCACAAGCCACTACATGCAGCTGATTTATTTTTAGTAGAGATGAGGTCTCACTATGTTGCCCAGACTGGTCTGGAACTTCTGAACTCAAGGAATCTTCCCGCCTGGGCCTCCCAAAGTGCTGGGATTATAGGCACTGTAGCTGGTCTTGGATTTTATTTATTTATTTAATTTTAACTCTTTTTTTGGGGGGGGACAGGGTCTCACTCTGTTGCCCAGCCTGGAGTACCATGGTGCCCTCATAGTTTGCTGCAGCCTGTACCTCCTAGGCTCATGTGATCCTCTTGCCTCAGCCTCCCGAGTAACTGGGACTACAGACGTGCACCACCACGCTTAGCTAATTATTTTCTATTTTTGTAGAGATGAGGTCACACTCTGTTGCCCAGTGTATTCATTTGTTCTCACACTGCTGATAAAGACATACCTGAGACTGGATAATTTACAAAGAAAAGAGGTTTAATTGACTCACAGTTCCGCATGGCTGGGGAGACCTCACAATCATAGCACAAGACAAGGAGGAGCAAAGTCGTGTCTTACATGGATGGTGGCAGTCGAGAGCTTGTGTAGGGAACTCCCCTTTATAAAACCATCTAATCTCATGAGACTTATTCACTATCATGAGAATAGCATGGGAAAGACCCACCCCCATGATTCAATTACCTCCCACCTGTCCCTTGCACAACACGTGGGAATTGGAGCTACAATTCAAGATGAGATTTGGTTGGGGACACAGCCAAACCATATCACCCAGGATGAATCTTGAGCTCCTGAGATCAAGTAGTCCTCCCCAGTCAACCTCCCAAAGTGCTGGGATTACAGGCATGAGCCACTGTACTTGGCCTTTTTAGATTAATTTTAAAAACTTTTAAAAATTATTTTTGTTTTTTTTTTGAGACAGGGTCTCTGTCACACAGGCTGGAGTGCAGTGGCACCATCAGGGCTTATTGCAGCCTTGACCTCCCCGGCTCAAGCTATCCTCCCACCTAGGCCCTCCTGAGTAGTTGGGACTACAGGCATGTGCCACCATACCCAGCTAATTTTTTTTGAACTTTATAGAGATGAGGTCTCACTATATTGCCCAGGCTGGTCCCCTGAGCTAAAATGATCCTCCCACCTTGACCTCCCAAAGGGCTGGGATTACAGGTGTGAGCCACCATCCCCAGCCTAGGTTTTTGAGAGAGTTTTGCTCTTGTTGTCCAGGCTGGAGTGCAATGGCATGATCTTGGCTCACTACAACGCCTGCCTCCTTGGTTCAAGCGATTCTCCTGCCTCAGCCTCCCGAGTAGCTGGGATTACAGGCATGTACCACCATGTCGGATAATTTTGTATTTTTAATTGAGATAGGGTTTCACCATGCTGGTCAGGCTGGTCTCGAACTCCTGACCTCAGGTGATCCACCTGCCTCAGCCTCCCAAAGTCCTGGAATTAACAGGTGTGAGCCACTGTGCCCTGCCCTAGATTGATTTTTGAAGCAATTATTATTATGGGTAAAGATACTTTATAAAAATAAGGGCCTTAGAAACCATCAAATTATTTACATTATAGCAAATTGTCTTTTGCTCTTTGTTAGTGTCCATTATCCATTACCTCCTTGGTTTTATTCTTTTGTGCTTCTTGCTTTTTGATTAGTGTTGGCATGATATGTCTTTTTCCTTCATTTAATTTTAAACTCGTTTTTGTCATTTTATTTAACATGGGCTTCTGGTAAGCAGCATGTAGACCCTCACATTACCTGTAGGTAGAGACATAAATTTGAAGAGTTGCGGGTGGGGACAGCCAAAGATAATCCTTGAAAAAGAGTAGAGGGCATGGAAGACTTAGATGTGGCAGATAAAATCACTCCAGAAAGAGAAAGTCTAGCACTAAAGGGCAAAATACAGAGTGCATGTTCATAGCACTTACTATAGGGAATGGGCTTCAGAGGGGCAGCCTCTGAGGGAGAAACAGTGATATATTGAGAAGGACCGGTTACCCTGGAGAGCTTGGCAATGAAAGAAGAAAAAAAATAGAGGAAAATTAAAGATATTGTAGAAATAGTAATAAAGCAGCCAATCCTCATCTTCCTTGCCACCCACCCATAGAACAGTCTTTAAAAGAAACTGCCCAGAAGAGCATATGGCAGGAGCATGCAATTTGAACTCAGAACCCTGTCCATGACATGAAGAGAAATGGCTTATCATTCTAATTACTCAGCATGTACATTTTATATTCTTTTTACACTTTTTGTTGTTTCACATGTTATAATTTTGTGTAGCCATTCTCACATGAATGCTTACATGTGGTTCCAGTGTATGTAACAGATATAAGCAAAGTTATTTTCCATGAAGGCAGGTGTTATGGACCTTCTTGGCATTTAAGTGGCTCCCAAGGTGCCTTTCTGCAGAAGACGGTTTGAAAATCTTGCTCTTTAGTTGTTTGGTTGTTTGTAGTTTATATCCTCAGTTCTCTGAGGTGTCAGGTTGGTTCCCGTTGAATATTTGTGTTGCAGTTGCAGTTGATTTTGTTTTGTTTATTCTTTTTTGAAATGTATGTTTTTTCATCTTTTCATGTATTGAAATATGTATTGACTTAAGGGCTTTAGGTAATACTGTGCTCAGCTTTAAATGAATGAGCTTTCCTTTTTTTTTTTTGAGATGGAGTCTAACTCTGTCGCCCAGGCTGGAGTGCAGCAGCGTGATCTCAGCTCACTGCAACCTCTGCCTCCCGGGCCCAAGCGATTCTTCTCCCTCAGCCTCCTGAGTACCTGGGATTACAGGGGCCCGCCACCAGGCCCGGCTAATTTTTATATTTTTAGTAGAGATGGGGTTTTGCCATTTTGGCTAGCTAGGTTGGTCTCAAACTCCTGACCTCAAGGCATTCGCCTGCCTCAGCGTCCCAAAGTGCTGGGATTACATGCATGAGCCACAGCGCCTGGCCTGAATGAGGTTTTCTTTAAGGAACTCAGTCTACTTTGAAATATTAAGCTGCCTTTTTCATAAATTCAATAGATCAATAATAACAGAGACATTAATAATTGTATTAATTATCTATTAACTCTCTGTGGCAGTCATTATGTGCCAGGCACTGTTTTGAGTCCTTTTTCTGTGTTAACTTAGCTGGTCTTCTTAAAACCATGTGAGACAACAGACTGTTATCCTCTATATTTTAAACATGAGAGAACTGAGGCAAAGAGAGATAAGTCACTTATTCAAGAAAATGGCAGATCCAGGATTTGAACCTAAGCAGTCTTGAGTGTCTGTGTTCTTAACCATTACTCTGCTTCTTCAGTTAACTTTGGATCCCATTTATACTGTTATTTTCAGGACTAGCAATTTTGGCCAGGAGCAGTGGCTCATGCATGTAATCTCAGCACTTTGGGAGGCAAAGGTGGGAGTATTGCTTGAGGCCAGGACTTCGAGACCAGCTTGGGCAACATAGTGAGACTTTATCTTTAGAATAAAAAGTTAAATAAATAAAAAGATTAGCAATCTTATTTAAATGACACATATATTTTGTTCAATTTCTCACCATTTTCACTGTTGTCGTTCTAGTTTATCTACTGTCTAGTCCACTGCGTTGGTCTCTTATCTTTGCTTCTACTCCTAATCTTTTTATAGTCTTTTTTGTTTAGGAGTTACAATGATCCTTTAAAGTACAATCAGATAAAGTATAATTTTTTGTGTGTGTGTGTGTATGGCATAGTCTCACTCTGTCTCCCAGGCTGGAGTGCAGTGGCACGATCTTGGCTCACTGCAACCTCTGTTCCCGGGTTCACGCCATTCTCCTGCCTCAGCCTCCCGAGTAGCTGGGACTATAGGCGCCCGCCACTATGCCTGGCTAATTTTTTTTGTATTTTTAGTAGAGATGGGGTTTCACCATGTTAGCCAGGATCATCTCGATCTCCTGACCTCGTGATCCGCCCACCTCTGCCTCCCAAAGTGCTGGGCCACCGCGTGAGCCACCGCGCCCAGCCCAGTAAAGTATAATTTTTTATGGAGACAAGGTCTTGCTTTGTAACCCAGTCTGGTCTCACTCTCTTCCTCAGGTTCCTCCACTGAACTTCTCAGTCCATTTAGGATAAAATACAAAGGTTTAGAATAAAATGTTTGGTTTGTATAGCCCTTCATAATCTGACAGTGGTACTTCTCTGATATCATCTCTCACCTTCCCCTGTGTTGCTGAGCTCCAACCACTTTCTTCTGCTTTGCACCTAAATGCTTGCTATTTCTTCTGTGTGGCCTCCTTGCACCCACAGATAATGCTTAGCTCACATCCTTGCTTGACTTAGGTATCCTTCAAATGTCCCCTCCTCAACAAAGCCTTTCCTGACTGTGATACTCAAATTACCAAAACTCACATCACCCATTCAGCTTTTACCTTACATTATGTTCATAGCACTTAAGCTACTACTTGACCTCCTGAGCTTGAACAAGCCTCCCACCTCAGCTTCCCAAGTAACTGGGACTACAGGGGCACACTGGCATGCCTGGCTAATTTTTATATTTTTTGTAGAGACAGGGTTTCACCATGTTGCCCACGGTGGTGTCGAACTCTGGAGCTCAAGCAATCCACCTGTTTAGCCTCCCAAAGTGCTGGGATTAACAGGTGTGAGCCACCGCACCTGGCCTATTGTCACTTTCATTTGATTGTAAGCTACACAGGAGTAAGATCTTGTGGGTCTTGTTGATTCAGTGGCTAACACGTATAGCAGGTGCTCAAAAAAATTTTTATAAAGGGATGAGTTCTTGCTCTGTTGCCCAGACTGTAGTACAGTGGTGTTATCATAGCTCACTGTAGCCTAGAACTCCTGTGCTCAAGTGATCCTTCTTTCTTAGCCTCCCAAGTAGCTGAGACTACAAATGTGCATCACCACACCTAGCTAATTTTTTAATTTTTTATGGAGACAAGATCTTGGCTTTGTTACCCAATCTGGTCTCAACCTCCTGGCTTCAGGGGATCCTCCCGCCTTGACCTCCCGAAGTGGTGGGATTACAGGCATGAGCCACTGTGCCTGGCCTCAGTACATTTTTTGTTTAATAAATGGACTAAAGAAATGCCTATACTAATGTATTAGTGCTATGAGTAAGTGAAAGTGAGTTTGATGTTCCTCTTCAACTTTTTTTCTTTGGAACTGGACTCTCAGATTCAGATGCTCAGTATCAGGCCATTGGGTTTTTACTCATCTCATTGTTTCTCCCTCACTAGGCCAGTGAGTCAGCAGTAATCCATCAGTTCCCTTACGTTTGTTGTGAAACATATTTTGGTACCTTTTAAGTTCTCAACTTAAATTATTTTTCATGAAAATAAGATTTATCTCATTCTTCCTGAATTGTAATGGTATGCCATACAAAATTGGGTACTTAAGATTTTCTAGGAATAACTAGTGCCTCTTAGACATCGTATGTTTAAGCTAGAGCAATGTTTTTCAACCTTTTAAAAAATTATCTCTTACCTCCCCCAAATATTCAAATTTAAGTTAATTTCCTAGCTCCTTAGCCAGAGGAATTTAATGCTAAGGAATAACAAAGAATCTAAATACTAAGAAGTACAAGTTGAGCTTTGGAGTACCACAAACCATTGCAATAGCTAAGATTTTTTTTTTTTTTTTTTTTTTTTTGCGTGCCCTACCCTAATTTTTATCCCATTGAAAGCAATATCATTGTTGCTCTCTCCTACTCTTCGTTTTCCTAACTGATAATGTGTGGGCTGTGTTTAATTTACATAAGTAAATCAATTTCAGATATTTATTTTTCCTTGGATTTTGGTCAACCTTAATGAAATATGGATGGTTTTTTATTATGCCCTATACATATTTATTTAGACATGTTGGTAAAATAAATGATGTGAATTTTACTATTCAAGTAGGACTTTCAATTTTTTTTTACTTTTATTTTTTTGAGACAGGGTCTGGCTCTGTTGCCCACGCTAGAGTGGCAGTGGCGTGTTCTTGGCTTACTGCAACCTCTACTTCCTGGGCTCAAGCCTCCCACCTCAGCCTCCCAAGTAGCTGGGACTGCAGGTGTGTGCTACTGCACCTGACTAATTTTTGTATTTTTTTGTAGAAACAGGGTTTTGCCATGTTGCCCAGGGTGGGCTTGAACTCCTGGGCTCAAGTGATCTGGCCACCTCAGTGTCCCAAAGTGCTGGGGTTATAGATGTGAGCAGCCATGCTAGGCTAGTTTTTTTCATAACACTGTTTATCTAATAATAGTTTTTACCTTCATTATGGGCCCTTCAAATGCTTGCGATGGGGGAAAATATTACAATTTAAAACTGTAACGTAGATTTTAAATATTTCAGTAGTATTTCTGACGTTAATTAAATGAAATCTGAGACCTACTCCTGTTTTCTGAGCCATGCTTTCTAACTTCTGTTAACTTCAGAAGTTTGTGAATCACATTTACCTGTGTCTGTTTCAGTTATAAACCGGTGGACCATAAGCTTATTTGGCTACCCTTACGGGAGGCATTTGAGGAACTCTTTGCTCAGACATTTTCCAAGAAACAAAACTTTACGTTCTTGGGGCACATTCAGACCTGTTACAGACAGAAACGGTGGCATGATCTCCTGAGACTAATGCAGCATGTACACAAGTCTGCTGTTAACAAGGATGGAAAAGACAGTGAAACTGGTAAGGATGTGACCCAGGCTGCCATGGGGGAGGGCATGGGGCTGGGCTTTAGTTAACATATTAGTTTTGGGGAAGAGTAAAGCGATACAAATTGGAGCTTTCTAGGACTTTGGCAGAAGTGACTAATTGTGAAGTATTGTGCCCCATTATTCACGTATTTCCACAAAAACAGTTGACTGGTAATGCTGATGTGCAAGTACTATTTAGTGGTCAGTAAGGCACATTTCCTCAGAAAAAGCTTATTTCTAAGGAGCTAGATTCTATAGCCAAGAGGCTTTTGCTGGCTTAGTTTACTTCTGTGTGGTTCCTTATCTGTAAAGCAGGAATAAAAATAACTAGTCCAGAGGGTTGTTGTGAGGGATAAATGAGGCAGTTAATACATATATATTCATACATGTGGGCTAATTAGTGTCATGTCTGGCATTTTGTTAGCATTATACAAGTTTTTAGACTTAGTGTTTTGTGTAAGATGCTTAATTTTTGTGTGTTTTGTTAATTGTATTTGTTTGTTTAGAAGTTGTATATATTACAATTCAAAATGTGTGCTGAATTCTTGTCTTTCTTTTTTAGGGTTACTCATAAAAGAGAAATGGGAAGCATTTGGTCTTAGACTCAACCATGCCCAACAACAGATGAAAATGACTGAAAATACCTTATTGTTCGCATTTGTAGAGGTATTTCTGTTTTTGTTATTTAGCTTATGGGAACGTTGATTTTATGCAAAACAATGTTTCAGGCAGGTTACTATTTTGTATTGTCTTAATGAAATAATGATTTTGGGGGAAGATTTTGAAAAGTGTCCTTCATGGTAATTATGGCAATTATAAGATCTTAATGAGCACCATCATTATTTAAATAAAAATTTTAAAAGTACAAATTGATAAATTATAATTGTATATATTCATGGGGTACAAAAGGGTGTTATGATTTATGAATACGGTATGGAATAACTAAAGCTAGTGAATATTCATCATCTCAAATACCGTTTTTTGTAGTGAGAACATTTGAAATGTACTGCCTTAGTAATTTTGAAATGTACAAGACATTATTATTTATGGCATGGTCGCCATGCTATGCAATATATATCTCAAAGGGAAGAAAGCTTATTTTTTTCTGTCTAATTAAGGCTTTGTACTTTCTTTTCTTTTTTTTTGAGACAGAGTCTCACTCTGTCCCCCAGGCTGGAGTGCAGTGGCACAGTCTCGGCTCACTGCAAGCTCTGCCTCCTGGGTTCACGCCATTCTCCTGCCTCAGCCTCCTGAGTAGCTGGGACTACAGGTGCATGCCACCATGCCCGGCTAATTTTTTGTTTTTGTATTTTTAGTAGAGACGGGGTTTCACCGTGTTAGCCAGGATGATCTTGATCTCCTGACCTCGTGATCTGCCAGCCTTGGCCTCCCAAAGTGCTGAGATTACAGGCGTGAGCCACCGCGCCTGGCCAAGGCTTTGTACTTTCATTACTCTGTACTCCCTAACTCTCCAGCCTCTGCTAACTACCATTCTGCTGGCTGCTTCTTTGAGTTCCATTGTTTTAGATTTCACATATAAGTGAGAACATGCAATACTTGTCTTTCTGTGCCTGGCTTGTTTCACTTAGCATAATATTCTCTGGTTCTATTTATGTCATAGCAAATGACAAAATTTATTTCTTTTTTCAAGCCAAATAAGATTCCATAGGATTCCATTGTTTGTATATATGTATATATACAACATTTTCTTTATTCATCTGTTGATGGAGACATAGGTTGATTCTATATCTTGACTATTGTGCATAGTGGTGCAATGAACAGGGGATTGCAGACATCCCTTCGACATATTGTTTTCAGATTTTTTTTGGGAATACCTGGAAGTGAGATTGCTGGATCTATTACTATTTTTAAAGATGCAATTGATGACAGCTAGTGAACTCTGGATTCTTTCTCTCACCATGTGTGTCTCCGGGGAAAGAGTGTGTGGATGTGAGAGAGGGATTTGGACCCGTTCACTTCATTGCCCCAATTTTAATCCCAGGGCATGGACATCTCTACTGTTTGCTGTCCTGTGACCCTGTAGGAAGGATCAACTTGGTTAAATATTTGTGGCTTGGTCATTTAAAAAAAGTTTGTTTCTGTGACAGTCCTTAGATGAAGCCCTAGAGGAAGCAGGAGTCTTACTTGGTGATGTTTTAGTAACAGAGAAGGTCTACTCAACCATACATTATGGGTGTGGAAAATTTGGTCATCAGAATTATTATTATTATTTTTTTTTGAGACAGAGTCTGACTCTGTCACCCAGGCTGGAGTGCGGTGGTGCAATCTTGGCTCACTGCAACCTCTGCCTCCTGGGTTGAAGCAATTCTCCTGCCTCAGCCTCTGGAGTAGCTGGGATTACAGGTGTGTGCCACCACGCCCAGCTAATTTTTGTATTTTTAGTAGAGACGGGGTTTTGCCATGTTGGCCAGGCTGGTGTTGAACTCCTGACCTCAGGTGAGCCACCCACCTTGGCCTTCCAGAGTGCTGCGATTACAGGCATGAGCCATTGCCCCGGGCCCCAGAACTATTCTTTTTTTGTTTTTGAGACGGAGTTTTGCTTTTGTCACCCAGGCTGGAGTGCAATGGCAGGATCTCAGCTCACTGCAACCTCCGCCTCCCAGGTTCAAGCGATTCTCCTGCCTCAGCCTCCTGAGTAGCTGGGATTAAGGGTGCGTGCCACCACGCCCGGCTATTTTTTGTATTTTTAGTAGAGATGGGGTTTCACTATGTTGGTCAGGCTGGTGTCGAACTCCTGACCTCCAGTGATCCGCCCACCTCAGCCTCCCAAAGTGCTGGGGTTACAGACATGAGCCACCACACCCAGCCCAGAATTATTCTTAATAGGATTATTTCTAAAACCAATTAAATCTAGGAAATAGAATTTGAAGAGATAACACCAGTGTACTAAAGCCAAGGGATGTTGCATTTTAATCTTCAGTAGGTGTGAAAGGCAGTGTATGACAATCACTAAACACTCTGGGATTTAGACATTTGTCTAATCTTGGTATAGCCTGACCCTATATTTATTTTGAGTTTTAATAGTCACTTGGGTGCCTTTAAAGACCTGACTACAATGTAAGCTATTTACCTGACCATCCACATAATGAGAGGATTTAGTTTATTGCATCTCTCTGTTAGGCTCAAAGATATTCCCTTGACCTTTTTGGACATTTAAAAAATTAACTTGGCCTTAACTCTGCCTATCTGCTGTCAGCCAGTTAAAGTATAGGCCCATCAAGTAGGAAAGATTTGCCCCGCCTCTATTTCTAACCCTGCTTGCATAACTGTTCTTGGCAAGTGTGCCTTTATTTGACACATTGTTAACATTTTATTTTATCTTTTTCTAGGGTACATTAGCTCAGGCTGTAAAGAAAGGAGAGTGGATCTTGTTGGATGAGATTAACTTGGCTGCTCCAGAAATACTAGAATGTCTGAGTGGTTTGCTTGAAGGATCTTCTGGATCCCTGGTGTTGCTGGATCGAGGAGACACAGGTAGCACTTGAATCCCTTGGGATTTGACTTGGTGTCAAGCCCTGTGGCCACTTTAGAGTGAGATTTTTTGTTGTTGTTGTTAGAAGGATGACATGGGCCTCCCAATGGAATTTGTTCATTCTTTAGATATTAATTTTCTGCAAAGTGCATTAAAGTGTTGGGTGGTATGGGGAATGCAAAGAAGAATAATATAATTTGACAAGGTGTTTGAGTTGTGGATAATAGACACACTTATAAAATAACAGGTGAATGGTTGATAAAAGATAAATAACAGTGAATAAACATACCGCAAAAGACTGCAGTATAAGATTAGATTGAATACATAGGTCTGGAAAGTTATTTCAGTGGGGTTTCAGAAAAGACAAGGATGGTGTGAGCAGCCAGCATCAGGCTGGCTGGGCCTGGGGTTCTGTGGAATTAGATAATCATACCTTTGTTGAGAATTTGTAATTTTCTCTTAACAGAGCCACTGGTTCGGCATCCTGACTTCCGTTTATTTGCCTGTATGAATCCAGCAACTGATGTAGGCAAAAGAAATCTCCCACCAGGAATAAGAAACAGGTGAGGGTTTGGTTCTTGGAGACTTTCCTTTTTTGCAACAGGTTCTTGCTCTGTTGCCCAGGTTGGAGTGCAGTGGCGTGATCTTGGCTCACTGCAAGTCCCCGGTTCAAGCAGTCCTCCCACCTCCCACCTCCCACCTCAGAATCCTGAATAGCCGGGATTATGGGTGCATGCCACCACACCCAGCTATTTTTTTATTTTTTTTCTGAGACAGAGTCTTGCTCTGTTGCCCAGGCTGGAGTGCAGTGGTGTGATTTTGGCTCACCACAACCTCCACCTCCTGGGTTCAAGCGATTCTCCTGCCTCAGCCTCCTGAGTAGCTGGGACTACAGGTGCATGCTACCATGACTGGCTGATTTCTCTATTTTTTTTTAGTAGACACTGGGTTTCACTATGTTGGCCAGGCTGGTCTTGAACTCCTGACCTTGTGATCTGCCTGCCTCAGCCTCCCAAAGTGCTGGGATTACAGGTGTGAGCCAGTGCGCCCGGCCTCAAGTTTTTGTATTTTTAGCAGACGTGGGATTTCGCCATGTTGCCTAGGCTGGTCTCTCACTGGGCTCAAGAGATCTGCCTGCCTCGACCTCCCACAGTGCTGGGATTACCAAGACTTCGTTTTTAGATTCTCTTTATTTATAGATTGGTAATATTAATGTAACCGGACTTTAGAGCAATGCTTGAAATTGCCGCTGATAGAGGAATCTTTATTACCTTATTTGTCATATTCCTCTGCTCTCTGTAGGTGGTAGGCATATGGGAATCTTCAGAACACTGGAGAATTTTTCCCTTTGTGTTAGTATGACAGTGGATATTGTTGAAAATAAAAATCTTTCCTTCCTCAGGTAATCTTTTGGCTATTAGAAAAATTTCATAACACGATATAACAGGAAAACATATACCAGTATACGCATATTTTAGGAACACAGTCCTCTTTGGGTGAGGCTAATGATTTGAAAAGGCCTTTAAAGTTTCTTTTATTTTTCGCCACTAAGCACTGACATGAACAAGGTACTTAGTTGTTGGTGTTTTATGTATGTAACATTTGGGAAAAAATAAATTAAATGACCAGATTTATTGTTGGTAACCGTTTACTTCATTTTGAATTTTAAAATAGTAACTTTATTAGATCCTCTCTCTTCATTATAAAGCAATAAAAGCTTGTTAGGGAAGCTTTAGAAACTACATTAAAGTAGTTGTTTTCTCTTCAACCATTTTGTCTTTGATGATGAGGGGGCTTGTTTTTTATTGCACTTATTTTTTTAAATAGGCGATTATGATAAAAAACACTTGAAAATGAGGATAATTAATTCTTATTTTTGTATCTTTTTTTTTTTTTTGAGATGGAGTCTCCCTCTGTCGCCCAGGCTGGAGTGCAGTGGCGCAACCTCGGCTCACAGCAGGCTCTGCCTCCTGGGTTCACGCCATTCTCCTGCCTCAGCCTCCCTATTAGCTGGGACTACAGGCACCCGCCAACACACCTGGCTAATTCTTGTATTTTTAGTAGAGACGGGGTTTCACCATGTTAGCCAGGATGGTCTCCATCTCCTGACCTCGTGATCCACCGGCCTCGGCCTCCCAAAGTGCTGGGATTACAGGCGTGAGCCACCGCACCCGGCTTTTGTATCTTTTTCTTCTTGTAAGGACTATACGTAGAAGACTTATTGCATAGAAGAAGCAATAATGGTATATTTTTGGTAATGGTTACATTATCCTTTAATTATGCTAAGTTTCTATATCAGGTTGAAAGACATTTTATACTACAAGCAGTTAAAATGAGCTGACATAGCTTCTTCTGTTTCATGTTTTTCTATTGTCAACATAGTTATATTAACTTCCTAAAAAGTGTTTATTATGTATTGTTTTACAGGTTCACAGAACTTTATGTAGAAGAATTAGAAAGCAAAGAAGACTTACAGGTTCTTATTGTAGATTATCTGAAAGGATTGAGTGTGAACAAGAATACAGTGCAAGGAATCATAAAGTAGGTTCCCTTTTGTATGTCTTTATAAGCTCTTTCTCTGAACATGAAAATGTGCTACTCGTGCACACACACAAATATGTATTCTTTTTTACTTCTAACTTGAGAAAACTGATGGCAGGATTATTATTTAGATTCTCTTGTAAAGTTGGAACCTGATATGAACTCCTTTAGGTTTTTCTAAGGAAATTACATAGAAAGCTATGAATCATTACCTATGAGAAGATATAAACCATCAGATAATGCTCTCCTGATTACCTCTATATTCATAGCTGAGGGTTTGAATTCTTGGAGATGTACATGGCTTGCGTTTTGAATCTGTCTTGAAGAAGGTTGCTTTTCTATTTGCAATATTTATACTAGCTATGTGGGATGTAAGGAGAAAAGGGTTAATATAATTGATTGTGTCAGGTTTGGAATTAATGGAAGCTTAGCCTAATAAATAATAGAGTAGTTACGTGGCTTGTGCTTTAATTTGAGACTGTTATTCCTGTTTTTTGTATGCCATATGGACAACATGCAATCTTTTGTGTCAGACAACCTCAATTCTAGTATTGGTTCTATGAGAAACTAATTGTGTCATTCTGGGCCAGTAACTTAATTGTGTGTTCTCCAGAAAGAAATACAACATGTAAAAGGATTGAAATAGGGTGATATTAATGTTTTACTGTGTGTTTGTGTATTTTTTCTCTTCCTTAATACAAATACTTATTGAGTGCCCTGGTGCTGTGGTTATAGCTATGAGTAAGGCAGACAAAAATCCTGGTTCTTCTCATTGAGCTTTAATTCTAGAGGAGTCAGGTACTGTAATTTTAGGTTGTGATAAGTGAAAACATATAAAGCTGAGTAGGGTGTAAGAAAATGAAGACTTGGAGTTCTATTTTTTTTTTTTTTTTTTTTGGATACAGGAGCTTTGCTTTGTTGTGCAGGCTGGTCTTAAACCCCTGGCCTCAAGTGATACGCCAGCCTTAGCCTCCCAAAGTGCTGGAATTACAGGGTTGAGCTACAGCACCTGGTCCTGAAGTCCTGTATTAAATAGATTAGTCAACAAGGCATGTGTTTAGAATGCTTCAGAATGGTTTACCACAACACACCCTAAATTGGAATACTTTTTGGTAGCCAAGAATATTTGGACAAAAGTGTAAATACGTATAGTTAAGATTCCAGATGCTAAAGGTAAACTTTTATAAGTGCCTTATTTTATCTAAAGAGGTAGATAAAGGATAAAATTAGGCACTTATAAAATACTGATAGTACAAGTAGTATATATTCCATATATTAAAAACTCAGTTCCAAAACATAGGTTCTTTCTACACAAAAATATTTTGAAATATTTTGAAAATATTTTGAAAATATTTGTGTATTTTTGCTATCTACAAAAATATTTTGTTAGGTAGCAAAGAGGCAAGATAAAGCTCATTTGGGCAGGAACTTGAATTTCATCTGTGATGCATGCATACTTGGTTTCATTTGATCTTGTGGTGCTAATTGATCATGAATTTCACAAAGTGCAAGACCTTCATGTTTCAGTCTGAAACTTTTCCCATCCTGTCATCATCTGGACTTCTAAAGTGTGGTAGTGACAATAGTAATGGCCATCGTATCCTCCTGCTTTTTAACGTTTTGTCAGTACTAATTATAGCCATATTCGTAGCCTTTCAAAACACCATGCGTTGTTTGCCATGTCTTTGTTCATCCCCATTTTTGATTGCATAGGAACTTTCTTTGTCCCTTAAGCTTGAACAGACTCTGGAACACAGAAGCTTCTCACCTCTCTTTATCAGTACCTTTTTGCTAGAGGAATTGCACATTGCACTTCCCAGTTTCCCCAAGGAAATAGATAGGTGTTCATTTTTTATTTTGAAAGATATCTCTGAGTATGTGAAAAGTAGGTTTAAAAGAGACTAAGATATTTTGATGCATGCCCCAGGAAGTTGTGTGCATGATCATTTCTGATCTAAAAAATGTCCTTTGGGTTTTCTGTAGAGAATTGATAATACTGGATACTTATTAGTAAATAAAATTGCCTGACCTTTATTCTATTTGTAGCTTCTACACAGCTTTGCGGAAAGAGTCTGGGACCAAACTGGTGGATGGCACTGGCCATAGACCTCACTACAGCCTTCGGACTCTGTGCCGGGCCCTGCGATTTGCAGCCTCCAATCCATGTGGCAACATTCAGCGCTCACTCTATGAGGTCTTTCTGAAGTCTCTTTGACTGGATATGAGCTTAATGGATGGGTTCATGGGAAGGAAGGAATAGGGATGCATATGCCAGGTTGCCTGTGCTTTCCAGTTAGTCAGATCAGCCCATAATACCTCTTACCAGATTTACCTTGCCCTTTTAAATTAAATATTTTACTTTTTATTTTAAAATTTTTATTTTTAATTATACATAGAGACAGGGTGTCACTGTGTTCCCACTCTGGTCTCGAACTCCTGGGCTCAAGCTGTCCTCCTGCCTTGGCCTCCCAAAGTGCTGAGATTACAGGCATGAACCACCGTGCCTGGCCTACCCTTCCCTTTATCTACCACCTTACTATATTTAAAAGTTGGGAAGCAGCATCACCCAAGAGGTTAAATTTTGTTCTGGAAATAAGTTTGGTTGTATTGCAGAAGGTTATTTAGCATTATGCATATTTGTCTTTTCTTTCTAGGGTTTTTGTTTGGGTTTCTTAACACAGCTTGACAGGGCATCACACCCAATAGTTCAGAAGCTCATCTGTCAACACATTGTCCCTGGCAATGTCAAGAGTCTGCTGAAGCAGGTATGTTCTTTTGTTATTTTTGACTTGTTACACTTGAAAGGCTGAATTACCAAATTTTCAGCTGTTTGGTTTTTTTTTTTTCACATAACTTTTTAATTATAAAGGTAATCTGTTGCAAAAAGTTTAAACATTACAGAAACATATGTTTAGATGGTGAAAGTTTCCAATAAGCGTGCTCTTTGGAGATTTAAATACTGTGGATAATCTTTCCAGATAAATTGTATAATGTATATATTTTATTTTCTTACATATCCAAATTTTGATATGTATATGTTGATTTATTGAGGTAAATTGTAAAATTGTAAAAAATTGTAATATGCGTTTAATGTAAGTGGGACTGTCTTATAAGAATATTGTTTTTTTGTTTTGTTTTGTTTTGTTTTTTTTTGCAGATAGAGTCTTGCTCTGTTGCCCAGGCTGGAATGCAGTAGTGTAATCTCAGCTCACGGCATTCTCCCCTTCCGTGGCTGAAGTGATTCTCCTGTCTCAGCCTCCCGAGTAGCTGGGATTACAAGCGCATGCCACCATGCCCAGCTAATATTTGTAATTTTAGTAGGGACTGGGTTCCATCATGTTGGCCAGGCTGGTCTCGAACTCCTGACCTCATGATCCGTCCACCTCGGCCTCCCAAAGTGCTGGGATTACAGGCGTGAGTCACCGTGCCCGGCCCATAAGAATATTCTGTAGCTTTCCTTTTTAACCTATCTGAATCTTGGATATATTTTTGTTTTTGTACCAGAGTTCATTGTGACATGCCTTCTAAGGGCCACATAGCATTTCACTGGATGGGTACACCATAGTTTCACTATTTGCATAGTTTAACTACACAGTTAGGTATAATCTATACCTTCTGATTGATGGTTGGGTCTTTTTTGAGGAGGCAGTAGTGGGGGCACTGTTAGAAACAATAGCCGTTTTGGATTTGGCAGGAAATTACAGAATAGCATGGGACTGAAAGAGGCTGAGAGAAACTTGCTCACAATCAACATGTAAATTGGCTTGTTTACTTGTTGATTGCTTATTCATTAGGAAGAGAGAGCCCTTGGGACTTGGAGTTTCTTTGGACTCAGCCTTTTAAAAAATCGTACAAGTAACACATGCGTAAATACTTTCGGTAAATTGTAAAAACATTGAGTAAAGACTCAGGTTTGCTTTTACCATTATTGTAATCAAATACCAGTCTCTTCCAGTTGGTCTTTTTGTGTGTGTATGCCTCAGGGTGTGATAGAAACTTAAAAAGATCCTTCCTCCCCTCCCCCTATTGCTTCTCAACTCAACTGAGGAGGCCTTAAAAGCAGGGCCTAGACGTGTAGCTTGAAATCTGGGGACCAAATGCTCTAGAAGAGTACTTTTCCATAGTTATAGATTTGACCACCATTTAACCATTTTTTTACTTATAAAAATGGGAATTTGTATAATCGAAACTAATAACTTAAACCATATCTCAGCAAAGTGATGCCATCATCCACAATATTATCCTTAATGGGCTAGTTGCTCTGAAAAGTCAGGTTTACTTTTAATGTCTTCTAGGCAATCCAGAGTATAATAGTGCAAAACCTCCTTCCTTACTACAACACTGGCCCTTTTTCGGGGAACATGGTTTATATGAAATTCATGTTTTTGATAAAAATAATTGGAGTGGGCATTTTGATATGTGAGAGAAGAGAACTGGTACATAAACCTTCTGGGAATTTGTTTTGATTCAGCTTTTTTCCAAACCCACCTACTCCACTTCAGTTTTAAAACCAATATATAACACCATTTTGTTCTCATTCCTCATAATTTTATGTTCATATTTCATCCAGTTTTAATGTTGAAAGTATGCAGAACAAGACAGCTTGTTCAACAAGTGGCTGTTTTCCTACTTTATGCCCTTCTCTGAAAGAATGTACAACTGTGGGTTATTCCTTGAACTTCTGTGTCTTTCAGCCTATTCCAGAGCCAAAAGGAGGTCGGCTTATCCAGGTTGAAGGCTACTGGATTGCGGTGGGAGACAAGGAGCCTACAATAGATGAGACGTACATTCTGACATCTTCTGTGAAGCTGAACCTGAGAGATATAGTCCGAGTTGTCTCTGCAGGGTGTGTGGGCTTTTTTCTCGCTGCCCCGAACTTGATACAGGCATAGGCATTGATGACATTTTGGTCTAACTTCCTTAACTTTCAAAGAGCTTTATTCTTATTCATTGGCCAACTGAACAATTACTTACAAAAGTCAGTACTATAACTTTTTCCTGGTAGAAAACTTTGTTTCTAGTTGTGCAACTTTGGAGGGAGCACTATGGATGCAGATGATTTTATCTATCTTTAAAGTTATCTTTTGTTATTTTGCTGATAAATACCACAGATTATTCAGTAAATGGCTAAAAGTTCTACTTACAGTTTCTTACAAATGTTGCCAGCATAGTTGGAATTGCTTTCCTTAGTATTTTTTGAGGAATAATGTTTACAAAGATACTTCTCAGTGTATAGGAATAAAAATGTTCTTCTGCTTCTTGCATTTTCCAGAAATGTAAAAAGGGGAAAAAAAAGGAAAAAAAAATGCTCTTTTAATGATGCTGTTAAATGATGTCGTCATTCTTTTAAAAAAAAAAAACCAAAATAATACTTGGCCAGGTGCAGTGGCTCATGCCTGTAATCCCAGCACTGTGGGAGGCCAAGGCGGTCGGATCACTTGAGCCCAGGGTTTTGAGAACAGCCTGGGCAACACGGCAAGACTCTGTCTCTGCAAAAAATACAAAATTTAGCTGGGCTTGGTGGTGCATGTCTGTAGTCCCAGCTACTCAAGAGGCTGAGGTGGGAGGATCACTTGAGCCTGGGAGGTCGAGGCTGCAGTGAGCTATGATTGCACCACCATACTTCAGCCTGGGCAACAGAGTGAAACCCTTTGTCAAACAAAACAAACCAATACTCAGTTCTGGTTTCTCAGCTTTGTAATTTTTTGTTGTTTTAAGTTGCTTAATTGGCTAATCTTTTACAGAACCTATCCAGTGCTGATTCAGGGAGAGACATCAGTTGGTAAAACAAGCCTGATCCAGTGGCTGGCTGCAGCTACTGGCAACCACTGTGTGCGTATTAATAATCACGAACACACGGATATTCAGGAGTACATTGGTTGTTACACGTCTGACTCCTCAGGGAAGCTTGTCTTTAAGGAAGGTAGGGTTAAGATTCCATTCCATGGACATAGGTGTTTATTCTTTCACACACATTTCCTTAAGTAATATTCTTCATCCTTTCCAATTGAGGCACATGGACCTTTGCTGTAACAGCCGGCTTTTCTTGATGCCTGAGCTAAGATAGTTAAGGGGTGATGCATAAGGTGCTGGCTTTCTTTAGGTTCTGCTAATCTTGCTGGCTGTATACAGGACTAGGGCCAATTTTCAAGAGGGGAATTGAACTGCTGCTTTATTTTCTAGGAATTCAGAGAATGGGGTTAGTGTTAGCCAAAAGGAAGTTGGGAATAGTCAACAGAATGTGGTGATTTAAATGAAATTAGACTGCAGGGGAAAGATTACACAAGAAATATGAGGTATTTTCAGCCTTGGCTTCTTTTCTGTGGGGAAAAAAGGGACTATTTTAATTGAAAATTGTTCCTCCTTGATCTGCAGTGTCATAATTTGTTTTGAGGCAAGACTAGCTACAGAAAGTAATTTGCTTTGAAATTTGATGATAACCTAGGATTTGTTGATTTGTACATAATGCATTTTAAAACTTTGTACTGATTTATACACTAGTTCTTGCTGTTTGTTTCTTCCTAGGTGTTCTTATTGATGCCATGAGAAAAGGCTATTGGATTATTTTAGATGAATTAAATTTGGCCCCTACTGATGTGTTAGAGGCGCTGAATAGGCTGTTGGATGATAACCGTGAATTGCTAGTAACAGAAACACAGGAAGTTGTTAAAGCACACCCTCGGTTTATGCTTTTTGCCACCCAAAATCCCCCAGGACTTTATGGAGGCAGAAAGGTATGTAGCATTTGTCTCCTTCCTTCAATTTGTTAACACATCAGATAGTAGATTTTTCGTAGTAAGAATGAAATGTTTTTACTTCTCCTTTAATATTTTATGGTGAATGTCAGAGCCTCCATATTGGAAATTAAAAGGCACCTTTTACTGCATTCTTCCTGTGCTTTGTCTAGGTCCTTTCTAGAGCCTTCAGGAATCGGTTTGTGGAATTGCACTTTGATGAGTTACCTAGCTCCGAGTTGGAAACAATCTTGCACAAGCGGTGTAGTTTGCCACCCTCCTATTGCAGCAAGTTGGTTAAAGTCATGCTGGATCTTCAGGTACTTAGTTTCAAATGGAATGTATTGATTATACTTGGTGATCAAAATTTCATGGCTTCTTTTGTTAGAAAAAAGAATCTGTCTGTTGATGTATTTTTCCAAGTAGAGATTTTTTTTTATTTTTTATTGTTTTTAATTTTTTTATTATTTATTTTTTGCAAGACACAGTCTCACTCTACTCTCCTGGCTGGAGTGTAGTGGCACAATCATAGCTCATTGCAGCCTTGACCTCCTGGGCTCAGGTGATCCTCCCATCTCTGACTACTCACTCCTTAGTAGCTGGGACCACAGATGTGCACCGTCATGCCCGGCTACATTTTTTTTTTGTAGAGACAAGGTTTCGCCATGTTGCCCCGGCTGGTCTCGAACTCCTGGGCTCAAGGGATCCACCCACCTTGATCTCCCAAAGTTTTGGGATTATAGGTGTGAACCACAGTTCTTGGCCTTCAAGTAGAGGTCTTTTAAATGCTTCCCAATAATATATATTTTTAGTTTTTTTTTTTAATCAATCAACAATTTTACATCATTAAAATTTTTCTGATATTTACATATGAGGATTTTGTATTTGTGTATAATATTGAAGCATTTTGTTTAGAATGTAATTTGGCTTAGGGAAAACTGGTTTTTGGTTTTTAAATGGATATAGTCCTTGAATGGACATAATTAAAGAGATCCATTCTTTGTGGCTCCCCCTAGTCAACTGCAAAGCTACAGCTGATCTTTAAAAATTCCATTTATCTTATGGGGTTAAAAGTTTTCTTTATCAGAAAGTATACATTGTCAAACTTCTTTTTAGAAAGCTAATAATAATGAAGACTCCTACCATTATGGTTCCACATTGTTTCACTAATCTTCCTGCATCTTTGCCACCATTTGCATTACTTTTTGTTTGTTTTTTGAGACAGAGCCTCACTCTGTCGCCAGGCTGGAGTGCAGTGGCGCTATCTCAGCTCACTGCAACCTCCGCCTCCCGGGTTCAAGCAATTCCCCTGCCTCAGCCTCCTGAGTAGCTGCGACTATAGGCGTGCACCACCAGGCTTGGCTAATTTTTTGTCTTTTTAGTAGAGACGGGGTTTCACCATATTGACCAGGATGGTCTCGATCTCCTGACCTTGTGATCCGCCCGCCTTGGCCTCCCAAAGTGCTGGGATTACAGGTGTGAGCCACTGCGCCCATTTGCATTACTATTAATCATCTTTTTTCTATGTGGCATAAGAAATGTGGAATTCCATTTTATGTTCTTAATTTAAACATGAATTTGAACATTTTTCCTCAGAATATTACAAGTTATTTTCATTAAAAAATTAATCTTTTTTTTTTTTTTTTTTTTTTGAGACGGAGTCTCGCTTTGTCGCCCAGGCTGGAGTGCAGTGGCGCAGTCTCGGCTCACTGCAAGCTCCCCCTCCCGGGTTCATGCGGTTCTCCTCCCTCAGCCTCTGGAGTAGCTGGGACTACAGGCACCCGCCACCACGCCCGGCTAATTTTTTGTATTTTTAGTAGAGACGGGGTTTCACCATGTTAGCCAGGATGGTCTCGATTTCCTGACCTTGTGATCCGCCCGCCTTGGCCTTCCAAAGTGCTGGGATTACAGGCTTGAGCCACCACGCCCGGCCAAAAAATTAATCTTATTCAGTGGAATGAAATCATTTAAATGGGAGCATAAATTTGTTATGAATTTTATATGCATTGTACTAAAAACTTACCATGCATTGCAGCTGATGCCCCTTTTCATTTGTTTTGATACTTCAACAGTCCTATCGCAGAAGTTCTTCAGTGTTTGCTGGAAAGCAGGGCTTCATCACCCTTCGTGATCTGTTCCGATGGGCTGAAAGATACAGATTGGCTGAGCCGACCGAGAAGGAGTATGACTGGCTACAGCATTTAGCCAATGATGGTGTGTTTTCAATCAAATGCTCTCAATATATAGTTATGTTAAATGTCAAACTTTTTATTAAAACAAATCTTGCCTCAAATTGTGATTGATACATACATTTGACTAGGTATTCCAGAGAGCCTGTTTCCCTCCAGTTCTAACAGCTTTTGTAAGTGATCTTATTCCTGCAGGCCTCCATGCTAATAAGGACTGGTTGCTAAGGTTTTCTTACTCTTTGCTTCAGGTAGCCACATGTGGGAGTCAGGATATGGACATAGCCTCTTTGGGAGTTAGGCAAATGGTTGATGGTAGCTTTGTGGGCCATTTTTCTGCAGTGTCACCACAGGTAGTCTGGCTAGTGCTTTACAGACATACAGAAAGCTGATTTGTCAGAAAACATCAGCATTCTGAGAGAAAAAAATTATATAACCTGAGACTCAGGTTTTGTTGTTTTCCTTTAATGCATGGGAAAAATTTGTTACTGTTTGTGATAGGATACACAGTGTTTTGGAATCTTCTGATTTGAAAAGTGCTGATGATAGGATACAAAGTGTTTTGGAATCTTCTGATTTGAAAAGTGCTGATGATTGATTAATGGGCTAGTTAATAAGTAAGAAGAGTATGTAAAACTAGTACAAGAGATTTTTTCTCTACTTGTAAAGAATATTTACATAGAGGAATACTTTTTTAAAAACTTTTTTTCTTTCTTTCTTTCTTTCTTTCTTTCTTTCTTTCTTTTTTTTTTTTTTTTTTTTTGAGATAGAGTCTCCCTCTGTAGCCCAGGCTGGAGTGCAGTGGCACGATCTCAGCTCACTGTAACCTCTGCCTCCCGGGTCTGGGTTCTGGTTCAAGCAGTTCTCCTGCCTCAGCCTCCCAAGTAGCTGGGATTACAGGCAAGCGCCACCATGCCTGGCTAATTTTTGTATTTTTTGTAGAGATGGTGTTTCCCATGTTGGCCAGGCTGGTCTTAAACTCCTGACCTTGTGATCTGCCCACCTCAGCCTCCCAAAGTGCTGGGATTACAAGCATGAGCCACCATGCCCGGCAAACTTTTTTAGTGAGGTGTAACAAACAGTAAAGCATTTTCCCATGTAAAGTATCACCTAGACCAAGATTTAGAATATTTCCAATAACTCAGTAGGTCTCTTGACAGTGGAGGTAATCACTACCCTGACTACTGTCACTACTAATTGACTTCTGTCTGATTATCACTACTAATCTGATTGAACAGCATTTTGCCTGTCCTTGAGTTTCACCTAGCTGACACCATGCAGTATGTACTTTTTGGGTTCTGGGTTTTTCACTAAACCTGATGTGAGATTCAGTCATGCCATTATGTGTATCAGGACTTCATTCTTTTTTTTCTTTTTCTTTTTATGTGGTAATCCACTGTATGACGACACCATAGTTTGTTTATCCATTCTCTTGGTTATGGACATCTGGATCATTTTAATTTTTTAGTTATGAACAAAGCTTCTCTGAACATTCCTGCTTATGTCTTTCGACACACACATGTTCATTGGTGTTTGGGGATACTAGAAGTCATATTGCTGAGGCATAGGGCAGGTATATGGTTAATTGTAATAGGCTGTCCTAGTTCTTCAGATTTCTACCTCACCAGCCGCGTATGAGAGTTTCTATTGTTTCATATTCTCCATATCCCTTGGTGTTCCCGGTAGACACTTGATGATTCCTCTCCTCCTTTTCCTCCTCCTCCTCCCAGGTTATATGCTTCTGGCAGGTCGAGTCAGGAAGCAGGAGGAAATTGATGTGATTCAAGAAGTCCTTGAGAAACATTTCAAGAAAAAATTGTGTCCTCAATCTCTTTTCTCCAAAGAAAATGTTCTAAAATTGCTGGGTGAGTAGGCCAAAATCCCTAGAGGAATATGATTTGAGTTGTACTCATTAGAATCTAAATATTTATTTTTCCTTGGATAGGTAAATTGTCTACTCAGATATCCACATTGGAGTGTAACTTTGGCCATATCGTGTGGACTGAGGGCATGCGGAGACTCGCGATGCTAGTGGGAAGGGCATTGGAATTTGGTGAACCTGTGCTGCTGGTTGGAGACACTGGGTAAAGATCTGTGACAGTGACTCATGAGGGTTCATTTCAATTCCATAGGATTACTTGAGTTATCACTGAAGAACTCATGAAAGTATTAATCCCCCCTTCTTTCCTCCTTCCTCTTTTTTCTTTTTTTTTTTTTTTTTTAAGAAGAGACTAAGAGTGGGTCGGGGGCTGGGGGAGGGATAGCATTAGGAGAAATACCTAATGTAAATCACGAGTTGAGGGGTGCAGCAAACCAACATGGCACATGTATACCTATGTAATAAGCCTGCACATTCTGCACATGTACCCTAAAAAAAAAAAAAAGAAACTAAGATCTGTTACTGTTTAGTTTCCTCTACCTTCAGACTAGGTTCTTTGTTAATGGAAAATAATGGCTTTATTATTATTATTTTTGGAGATGGGGTCTCACTCTGTTGTCCAGGCTGGAGTGCAGTGGTGCGATACGGCTCACTGCAGCCTTGACTTTCTGGACTCAAGTGATCCTCCTGGCTCAGCCTCCCAGGTAGCTGGGACTGCAGGCATGCACCACCACACTTGGCTAATTTTTAAATTTTTTTGTAAAGTCAGAGTCTCAGCTGGTTGTGGTGGTTCATGCCTGTAATCCCAGAACTTTGGGAGGCTGAGGCAGGCGGATCACTTGAGCTCAGGAGTTCGAGACCAGCCTGGGCAACATGGCAAAACCCCGTCTCTACTAAAAATACAAAAATTAGCTGGTTGTGTTGGCATCTGCCTGTAGTCCTAGCTAGTCAGGAGGTTGAGGCAGAAGAATCGCTTGAGCCTGGGAGGCAGAGATTGCACTGAGCTGATATCGTGCCATTGCACTCCAGCCTAGGCAACAGGAGTGAAGCCCTGACTAAAAAAAAGATGGAGTCTCACTATGTTGTCCAGACTGGTCTTGAACTCCTGGGCCCAAGTGATCCTCCTGCCTTGGCCTCCCAAAGTGTTGGGATTACAGGCATGAGCCACACTGTACCTGGCAAGAATGATTTTTTGCTTCATTGCATTGAGGGCAGTTTTTGTCTATTTAGTTCTTTTAAACAGTGAGATTCATTCTATACGTGTGTAGAGAAGAGATAAACTAGTGTCTCTTGAAAGTCTGTCAAGTCTATAAGGATTAGATTTCTTTTCCCTCTCTTGGTGGTGGTTTTTTTTTTTTTTTTTTTTTTTTTTTTAAGAAGGCATTCCGCTCTTGTTACCCAGGCTGGACTGCAATGGCGTGATCTCGGCTCACCACAACCTCCGCCTCCCAGGTTCAAGTGATTCTCCTGCCTCAGCCTCCCAAAGTGCTAGGGTTACAGGCGTGAGGCACTGCGCCCAGCTGGTGATTGTTGATAGAACTAGGTTGGAGTTTGTGCAGTACATACCTTCTGGATAAGAATATGGGAGAGTGCAGTCGTGTAGAGGGGTGCCATGAGCCTGGGGTTGAGGTTCCACATTGGCCAGCACTGTTTACTGCTGCAGTGAGACTCCCACAGTGGTTCTTCTCTTTTGCTGAGGGGGGGTGTTTATGGATGTGTATTTGAAACACATGCCTTGTTAATCAGTTGCACATCTCTAACAGGTGTGGGAAAACTACTATCTGTCAGGTATTTGCAGCCTTGGCAAATCAGAAATTATACTCTGTCAGCTGCCACTTACACATGGAGACATCAGACTTCCTGGGTGGCCTGCGGCCAGTGAGACAAAAGCCAAACGACAAGGTTTGTCCAGCAGCAAGTGTTCCTGTTATTTTAAAAAACTGCAGTTAGCTGTGCATGAGTTAGTGGTGGGGTTTCTGGAGCTGGGTTCTGGTTTGGTTAAATGTGCATATCTGCAGATTTTCTCTGGTCTACAAGGGCCTTCACAAGCATTCTGGTGTGCAAGTTCTATCTCCTGTTCTCAGATTCTTACTTTCCTCAGAATGCCTACTTCACCCCTGGAAACACCAGCCAGCTGCATGTATATTGTCTGTGGAGCCACCTGCCCTTTAATTTTCCCCACTTTTTCAAATTATAGGAAGAAATTGACACATCAAGACTCTTTGAGTGGCATGATGGGCCTCTGGTTCAGGCCATGAAGGAGGACGGCTTTTTCCTCTTGGATGAGATCTCATTGGCCGATGACTCTGTCTTGGAAAGACTCAACAGGTACGTGCCTGAGAGGTTTGCCTTGTGTTTGATATTTTTGTTGGTGTGATTTTTTTTTTTCTCCCTGAGACAGTGTTCTCACTCTGTCACCCCAGGCTGCAGTGCCGTGTCATGATCATAGTTCACTGTAGCCTCAAACTTCTGGGCTCAGGTGATTGATGTGATTTTTATAGATATTTAATCTTGTGCACAGTAATACTTCTCATAGGTGCACCTTAGTAAATGCTTGAAATTATTGATGTATTACCATGTCTTTTGGCTTTAGCATTCAGTGTTTCCTAAATTTCTAGGTTTTTTTTGCTATCAATAATCAGAACAATGGGATCGTGGAATGGTAGGGCTAAAACATGAGCCAAAGTCAAAACTATTTTTTAAAGTGAATTATATCCCTACTCTCTTAATATTTTGAAAGAACTGTAGTCAGAATCCTAGACCCATGGCTATAAGCCATCATCAGACCTCAGACCAATATGAATCTTGATGTAGTAACACCCATTTTTTCTTTTGAGGTATAGTTTACATATCATAAAATGTATATTTCAGTGAGTTTTAGTAAGTTTATAATCCCATGATGGGTTCTTCTTGCAAGCTATATGCATAGAACTGAGTCACTGAGTTAGTGGTATTGCAGTAGAGAAATAATTTAGTAGTTGCAGAGCTAGCCAAGTGGAAGGACAGGAGTTTATTACTCAAATCAGCTTCCTAAAAATTTGGAAGATAGGGGTTTGTTTGTTTATTTTTTTAGACACAGTCTTGCTCTTTATCCCAGGCTGGAGTGCAGTGGTGTGATTTTAGCTCACTGCAACCTCAGCCTTCCAAGTTTGATTGTTGTGCCTCAGCTTCTTGAGTAGCTGGGCTACACATGTGTGCCATCAGGCCCAGCTAATTTTTGCATTTTTAGTAGAGATGGGGTTTTGCCATGTTGGCTAGGCTGGTCTTGAACTCCTGACCTCAGGTGATCCGCCCACCTTGGCCTCCCAAAGTGCTAGGATTATAGATGTGAGCCACTGCACCCGTCCTGGAGGCTAGGGTTTTTTTGTTTGTTTTTTGAGACAGAGTCTACTTCTGTCACCCAGGCTGGAGTGCAGCGATGCGATCTTGGCCCACTGCAACCTCTGCCTCCTGGGTTCAAGCCATTCTTTTCATTCAGCCTCCTGTGTAGCTGGGACTACAGGCATGTGTCACCACTCCCAGCTAATTTTTGTATTTTTAGTAAAGATGGGGTTTCACCATGTTGGCCAGGCTGGTCTCGAACTCCTGACCTCAAGTGATCCTCCTGCCTCTGCCTCCCAAAGTGCTGGGATTACAGGCGTGAGCCACTGTGCCCGGCCGAGGCTAGGGTCAGAGGCCTAGAGAATGGGGAATGCTGTTGGGACAGGGTTGAAATCACAGGAAGTTGAGCTATCTTTTTGCCCTAAATAAGTTCATGGGATCATAAGACCTGTTGAGCCACTTCTTGGTATGGGTTTCCATTCCAGGTGGTGCTAGCCGTTTTATCAGAATCAGGGTCTGAAAAGTACCTTAAACACTAATCTTAGGTTTTATAATAGAGATGTTATCTTATAGGAGCAATTGGGAAGGTTATGAATCTCGTGACCTCTGGCTGTGTCCTGAGCCGTAATTTTAACCTTTTGGTTAGTTTTATGAAGGAGGGGTTAGTTTTGGGGGGGCGCTATTACTTTTCTTTTAAAGTTGAACTGTAAACTAAATTTCTCCCATAGTTTACTTGGCCTATACCCAGGAATGAACAAGGGCAGCTTGGAGGCTAGAAGAAAGATGGAGTCAGTTAGGACAGGTTTTTGTGTTTTTTTTTACTGTCATAACTTTTTGTTAGACTTTTTTCTCACTCATAATTTTTGCAAAGGTGGTTTCAAGCTTTGCAACCATCACAATTTAGTTTTTGTGTTTGTTTTGTTTTGAGACAGCATCCTGCTGTATTGCCCAGGCTGGAGTTTAGTGGTACAGTCTCAGCTCACTGCAGCTTCTGCCTCTCGGGTTCAAGTGATTCTTGTGCCTCAGCCTCCCGAGTAGCTGGGATTACAGGCGTGAGCCAGCACAGTCTGCTAATTTTTGTATTTTTAGTAGAGATGGGGTTTCACCATCTTGGCCAGGTTGGTCTCCAACTCCTGGCCTCAAGTGATCTCCCCACCTTGGCCTTCCAAAGTGCTGGGATTACAGGCGAGAGTCACTGCGCCCGGCCTACAATCCAGTTTTACAACATTTCCATCATTCAATAGAATCCTTTGTGTGCATTACACTAAATTTCTGATTAATCTCTTTTTTGTCTCTGCAGATTTCTTTTCTGGGTATTTCAGATAAAAGTTCTCTTCTCTTACTTTGCATTGATGTTTTGAGGTTCATTCCTATTTCAGCACGTATTATTAGTTTGTTCCTTTTTGTCCCGAATAGTATTGGATATACCACATTTTGTTTATCCATTCACCAGTCAATGATATTTGAGTTCTTTCTAGTAGTTGGCTATTATGATAATGCATGCAATTTATTTGTTTTCTTGTAAGTTATTCATTTTTAAGACCAATGCCTTAATAGTTTATAAGTTGAAAAGTTTTTTTTTCTTGATCAGAAATAGCCATTATTACACAGAAATTGGGATAGTGAGTCATTTTAAAATTTGTGATAGGAAACCATTAACTAAAGTAAAAATTCAGTAGAAAGAAGATAACTTTTTTTTTTCTTTTAAAGAGCATTGAAGATTGTAAAACAGAAAGATTGTATAAGCCCTTTTCACTGTTCTTCAATTTTTCTTTTAGTGTCCTTGAAGTAGAAAAGTCTCTGGTATTAGCTGAAAAAGGCAGTCCAGAGGACAAGGATAGTGAAATAGAGCTGTTGACTGCTGGGAAAAAATTTCGTATTCTAGCAACCATGAACCCTGGGGGTGACTTTGGAAAAAAGGAGGTAAAACTTTACTGATGCACATTTTCTTTCTAGGTTTTGACCTCAGCTTACTGGTACTCGTAAATATAGTATGTAATAATGGATTTGGAATTTTATGTTAGGTAAAAAGTGGGTAAAAAGTGTAAAAACTCAAAAATATTTTAAAATAATTATTGGGTTAGAAAAAAATTCTGACACAAATATCTCCTTATTTGATATCTCACTTTGTGTATGTGCCTGAAATGTCATTGTTACAGTCACTTTGCCTAGCCCTTTACATATGTTACCCTGAGAAAGCTCACAGGAGCTCTGCAAGAAAGTTATTATTGTAGTTTTATGGATGAGAAAAGTTGGATCTGAAATTTAAGTTTAACCTCTGTTTTTACAGTCCACTTTCTTAAACACACCTCTGCTTTCATGGGTGGTTTTAAAGTGACAAAAAAGTCACAACCAGGAACCCTCTTCTGGTTTGTAGATGGAGCTTATTTGTTCTCGTAAGGGTTATGTGTGTCACTTTCTGACTGCTGATAAAGTAAAGGGCAGAGGGTAGTTCCTATGTTCAGAGGGTTGTGTTCAGATATATTTGGGAACCAACAACCTTGTTGGTTTCCAGCTCAAGAAACCTTTCAGTGGAGAAGTCAGCACTATGTGTTGGATCCCAGTCTGTTAAAGTTAGGAAGAGAGTGATGTAACAGGTCAGGGATGATGAGAAGAAACAGAGGGGTTGATCTTAAATAAGACAATTAAGAGTGTTGGTAATTTGGTGGGTAGCTGAAATGATATATTGGGCCTAGGTTTCCTCAGTATCATAAGATGAAAATTGTCTCTATGCTTCAAGATATGCTCTGAAGAGAGGGAATAAAATACATTGCATTCAAAATATAAAAACTGGCTTCTGGGCAAGTAGAAATGCCACAGAGAGGTCTGATTTCAAGTTTGTGTATATTAGCTTGGCTGTCAGATTATCTTATCTTGTTTTCCTCAAGTCAATGCTTGCTGACTTTTACCCAAGGGAAAGTTACTTTTTAGTTTCGCATGCCTAACAAGCAGAGCAAGGTAGGATGCTGGACACCGGAGGTACTGGTTGTCTATGATACTGATGAGGTACACACACGTATGCTTTATTCCTGGGCCTCTGTGGTAGACCAGATAGATGATCATCAAGTAAAAGGAAAGTAATTACAAAGTAATCAGACAAACCAATAATGATGCTTATGTGGCATTGCAAACATTTGTGAATAGTGTCAACTGACCTTGTGGTGGGAAAAGGAATCTACAGGGGCAAAGGCCCTAAGACTGGAGTGGCTAAACAATTTCTTGTTATTCAAGAGGTAGAATATATACTTTTTAAAATCACACTCTCATTGAGCTATGTAAAAGAAGTTTCTTCCTCCTACATCAGACTGCCCTTCTCTGTGGGAAGACAGGTGTTTATTTTCTCTGAAGTATTATTTAGGTACCTGATGCAAAGTAAAGGTAAAGTAAAAGGAAGAATCTTTGCCTGAGGGGAAGAGTTCAGATTTGACTGGGACTGGCTGGAATCCTGCTTCCACCACTTAGTCTGTAAGGCCTCTGGACCACGTCTATTAAGAAAGTGATGATGATACTGGAAGGTGTCATGGAATATAAGGAGTCAAGACAAAGTACATCTTCAATTAATTATATCTGATAGTAGAAATAATTTTTAAAAGTGTGTAGTATTTGCTGGACTTAACAGCTAACAACATTCTTTCAAGACTTGTTTTCCAGCTTTCCTTACAGTTTTAAAAATTCACATTGAAGTTTTGTGTTTCTTATAGCTGTCTCCTGCCTTAAGAAACCGGTTTACAGAAATATGGTGCCCTCAAAGCACAAGCCGTGAAGATTTAATTCAGATCATCAGTCATAATCTTCGTCCAGGATTGTGTCTGGGCAGAATAGATCCTAAAGGTGAGAGTTTGCAGGTGGTGATGGTAGTATTGGGTCATAGAAGGGTTTGTGTTGGGAGTTGAGGGATCTCTTACAGGACATCAGCCCTGTGTGTATATGGTGTGTTATAAGAAGAAAGGAGATAGGTAAATGAAACAAAGTAGACAAGGAGAATATTACTATTCTGTTACCTTCTGTTAAAGTGTCCCATCTTCATATTTTCATCATTACCACTTGACACAATGGCTGTAGAATTTCAGCTGCATTTCTTTAGTTGTCATCAATGAACATGTTATTCTTTCACTTTATTTAAAAATTTTTTTGGCTAGGTGTGGTGGTTCACACCTGTAATCCCAGCACTTTGGGAGGCCAAGGTGGGCGGATCACTTGAGGTCAGGAGTTCGAGAGCAGCCTGGCCAACATGGCGAAAACCCATCTCTACTAAAAATACAAAAATTAGCTGGGTGTGGTGGTGGGCACCTGTAATCCCAGCTACTTGGGAGGCTGAGGCAGGAGAATCGCTTGAACCTGGGAAGTGGAGGTTGCAGTGATCCAAGATCGCGCCATTGCACTCCAGCCTGGGCAGCAGAGCCAGACTCCATCTCAAAAAAAAAAAAAAAAAATTAGGCTGGGATTGCACCATTGTACTCCAGCCTGGGCGACAGACTCCATCTCAAAATTAATTAATTAATTAAATAATTTTTATTATGAAAAATCTCAGGCACAAGGAAAATAGATTAGTATCCATAATCTAGAATTAACAATTTAAAATATCCAATAAAAGGCAACACTCCTAACTATATGGTTCTTTTTGTTTTTGAAGCCTGTATTGGTTTGATGTATGCATATTTATCTTAGACATTCAATGGAATAAATTTAGAACCCAGATCTGGTTCCAAGACTAAATACATAGTTTTTTGGATCATTTTTTATATTCTTAAAGAATATAAAAAAAAGATATCTGCTTCTTGGAAATTGGAATTCATGGCTATGTTTCACTTTTTAAAGGTGCCCTACCACACATTTTCTAAAATGAGTAGAGTAGCTGTAGAGAGCATCTAATCTGCATGGAACCCATTCTCACCTGTGGTGTTTTAGGGACGACTGATTCTTTAGTCATCTGAGCAAAGACTTCTTTTTAGGAATGGCCCACGGTGAACTGCCACATTTATAGGTACGCACACTGCTGCTTGAATGGCCAGAATTCCCCATGCCTTGTTGAACTTCCTTTTTTCTCTACAGTCTCTACCAATATCACAGTCACCCAGTGGCATAAGAATTGACTAAGCCTGTAGTTAGTTGTCAGACTCATTTGGAGGGCTTGTTGAAGTGCAGCTTACAGGGCCCCACACCCAGTGTTTCTTATTCAGCAGGGGCAGAGAATTTGTCTGTCTAACAAAGCCTCAGGTGATGCCACTAATACTGGTCTAAGGCCCAGGCTCAGAGCCTCAGAACTCAGAACCCATGACTCTTGTGTGCTGTTTGCAGCAGCACATTTACTGTGAGAATTCCAGTAAAAGAAGAAGTATAATACAGACTTTTCTGGGGGGTTGTGGGGAGACAAGGTCTCTGTCACCCAGGCTGGAGTGCAGTGGTGGAATCACGGCTCACAGCGGCCTTGACCTCCTGGGCCCAGGTGATTCTCCTGTCTCAGTCTCCCAAATACTTGGCACTGTAGGCATGCACTACCACGCCAGGCTAATTTTTGTGTTTTTTTTTTGAGAGATGGGGTTTCACCATGTTGCTCAGGCTAGTCTGGAACTCCTGGGCTCGAGTGACCCGCCTGCTTTGCCCTCCCTAAGTGCTGGGAACTAGGCAGGAGCCAGAAGACCAAAGCAGGCCTGAAGACAGAAATCGTTAACCAAGCATGGTTTGTCTTTTGGGTCTGTGTCGGGGCTGGATTCCTTCAGGAAGTTACCTTTTCATCTCCTATGGGCTGTGCTTATTCCTTTGTTATTTGGATTGTGATAAGAATGACAGAGGGTTCAGTTGCTGTCACGACCATGCTTGCTGCATCACCAGTGTGCTCCATGCAAGCATGGGAGCCCTGAGGACTTACCTCTGAGCCCACACCTTGTCCTTAAGGAGCTTGTTTACTCCAGGCTTTCTAGGCTACACAGCAGCAGACTTCCCAGGGAGGCATTAGAGACCTTGAAGGGGAGCATGGTGAATAAGGGAAGTGGCTTAATAATTCACAGCAGTTATATTTTCTAGAAATAGATCAGGAAGGCACAACATAAAAACTTCTTTAAAAAATTGTGAAATATAAAACAGGAAACTAGACAAAGCTTTTTGTTTTTAGATTTTCTTTAAAGATAGTTAAGATTTGATGAATTTATTTATTTTTTTGAGACACAGTCTTGCTATGGTGCAATCTTGGCTCACTGCAACCTCTGCTTCCTGGGTTCAAGCAATTCTCCTGCCTCAGCCTCCCGAGTAGCTGGGACTACAGGCATGTGCCACAACGCCCAGCTAATTTTTGTATTTTTAGTAGAGACGGGGTTTCACCATGTTGGCAAGGATGGTCTCGATCTCTTGACCTTGTGATCCGCCCGCCTTGGCCTCCCAAAGTGCTGGGATTATAGGTGTGAGCCACCATGCCTGGCCGAATTTAATATTTTAACTAATAGTGTCCTTCTAAATTGAATTCTGATCCTAATTGTAGTACTTATATTTATTGTATTATCTTAATGAGTATATAAATACCACTGTGGGTTCTACTTAATTTCTCTAGTATTTTTAGTTCACAAATCTCTGTAGTAATATTATCCATATATTCACAGTATGACCAAAACAAAAGATTCTAAAAGCCAGTCATGGTAGTACGTGCCTATAATCTTAGCTACTCAGGAAGCCAAGGTGGGAGAAACCCTTGAGCCTAGGAGTTTGAGATTACAATGAACTATGATTATACCATTGCACTCCAGCCTGGGCAACAGAGTGAGACCCCATCTCTTTAAAAAAAAAAAAAAAAAAGGTTCTGTGATATTGATGTGTTTAAAAAAAAAAAAAATTGACCTGTGAAAGGCACATGAACTGCTTTTTACAATCTCAAACTTTTGTAAACAATACTTCTGTATTACATTGGTTAATGTACCAAGTATTGGTACATTAGTCAATACTTTAATGAACCATTCTGTTTCATTAAAACAAACTATTGGCCGGGTGCTTTCTTTCACACCTGTAATCCCAGCACTTTGGGAGGCCGAGGAGGGCAGATCACGAGGTCAAGAGATTGAGACTATACTGGCCATCATGGGAAATCCCGTCTCTACTAAAAATACAAAAATTAGCTGGGCGTTGTGGCAGGCGCCTGTAGTCCCAGCTACTTGGGAGGCTGAGGCAGGAGAATCGCTTGAACCCGAGAGGTGGAGGTTGCCGTGAGCCAAGATCACACCACTTCACTCCAGCCTGGGCAACAGCATGAGACTGTCTCAAAAAAAAAAACAACCAAGAAACAACTATCATTTACAATGATTTCCTTGTGTTATATTCTAAAAGTGGAGATAAGAAACTGTATAGTTCTCCTTAGATAAGGTCAGATTGCTCTCCAGAAAGATGGTATCATTTACAACACTGCCAGCAATGTAGTGAATGTGCCTGCATGCCACAGTCCCTCCATCAGGGAGTTCTCTCTCTCTCTCTCTCTCTCTCTTGTTTTTTTTTTTTTTTTTTTCTTCTTCCTTTGAGACAATGTCTGGCTCTGTCATCCAGGCTGGAGTACAGTGGCACAATATTGACTCACTGCAACTTCTGCCTCCCAGGCTCAAACCATTCTCCCACCTCACCCTCCCAAGTAGCCAAGTAGCTGGAACTACAGACGTGCCCACCATGGCCAGCTAATTTTTGTGTATTTTGTAGATACAGGGTTTTGCCATATTGGCCAGGCTGGTCTGAACTGGGATTATAGATAGGAGCCATGGTGCCTGGCCTCATTTTAAAAAATATAGTGAAATCCATTATTTTATCCTTATTAGTTTAGCAGAGGTTTAAAATTTCCTTGTCTTTTGTTATTAGTGACATGGAACATTGTTTGTGTTTTATTTTTATTTTTATTTTTTTGAGACAGAGTCTCACTCTGTCACCCAGGCTGGAGTATAGTGGTGCCATCTTGGCTCACTGCAACCTCTGCCTCCCAGGTCCAAGCAATTCTCGTGCCTCAGCCACCCAAGTAGCTGAGATTACAGGCACGTGCCACCATGTCCAGCTAATTTTTGTATTTTTAGTAGAGACGGGGTTTCACCATGTTGGCCAGGGTGGTCTTGAACTCCTGGCCTCTAGTGATCTGCCCGCCTCAGCCTCTCAAAGTGCTGGTATTACAGGCATGAGCCACCGTGCCTGGCCTTTATTTTTAATGAATTAATCATTTTGCATTTGGTATTCATTATGTCTTTTGGGGTGATACTTTTTATTACATTTTTCACAGGTTTTAATATTCTGTTACCTTTATATATTTGTTTTAAAAATACATATGTGAACCTATTTCTCTCTGATTTTGTTTCTTAAATGGTCAAAATTTAATTTCTATTAATGGATTTTTTCATTTTCATTTTTTTAATTTACCTGGAATTTATTCTTCTCTGAAGTGTAGATCTAAGTACTAGTATTTACTATCTAGTTGTTGAAATAGCATTTAATTTGTTTCCTCATTGTTACTGGAATTTCCCCTTTGCTTTGTCATTTTAAGCTCTTTTTAAAGAGTTTTTTTTTTTTTGTAATCAGTATTCTTCCAACCAATTACATTTCTTCTAAATCACAATCTATATAGCTTTGGAGGCTGTATATATATATAGCTTTTGGAGGCTGCTTTATATTATAGCAGTGCTTCCTTCTAATCTTTTCTTTCTTTTTAAAATATTCTTTGATATTCATACTTTAGAGATAAATGTCTACTGTTGTTGACTTAAGACGTTTTATAAAGTACTCTGCTCAATTTAATTGGGATTACTTTGAATCTATATATACTACTTAAGTATTTTCTTTATTTAGAGACAAATATTATCTGATAGGAAATTGTGATAATTAGAATATTCAACTTGATTCATGAAACAAAATTTGTGAACCCCCTAATTTGCTGAATTCTGATTGCTGAATAGATGTAAAAAAAAAGAAAAAAGAAAAAAACTTGAATGCATGCCATTGAAAAGATGACATTCTTTATTGCATTAAATGGAAAAAATAAATTTATTTAAAATACAAGTAAAATTATAAGATATAACAAAATTTGCATATTTTCTAAAATAATTATAATAGAAGTTCAAAACTGTGTCCGAACTCAAATCAAATGAATATTTCTTTGAGCAGTTTTCAGGTCAGTATCTAAAACTATAACTCCCAAGGTTTTGTTTTGTTCTTTGGATAGGGATGGACTGCTATTGATGAATCCTTTCAGAATTTGATCAAAGCTGCAGGCTGCTTTTGTTAGAAACAGCATTTATGTACATTCATTCACAGAACTTTGCTTAGAAGGAGCAGAGACCCCTTTTAGGCCATTTGTGTGCCCCTGGTTATGAACTTTTGTTCTGGGATCTCCCGTTAACAGCAAATGCTTTTTTTGTTTCTTGTGTTTAGGGTCTGACATACCTGAAGTGATGCTGGATTTCATTGACTGGCTGACCCACCAAGAGTTTGGCAGAAAGTGTGTGGTCAGTATCAGAGATATCCTGTCCTGGGTTAACTTCATGAACAAAATGGGGGAGGAAGCTGCTTTGAAAAGGCCAGAGATCATCTCCACTGTGACATCTTTTGTCCATGCTGCATGCCTGGTGTACATAGATGGAATAGGTTCAGGTATGTTGTCTGGTAGCTGGTGGGGACAAGGGGCTCGTATAGAGGGGCATAGGAAAAGGAGCAAGCCCAGGCCTCTGACCCAGCTATTTTACTGAATCACTTCTCAGAACATTTCTAAAACTCAGAATGGCTTTCCTTTTGTTTGTACTCTTTGAAAGGTGATTGGCACACAGGATACACTGCAACTTCTCAAAGCTGGTAGACCAGGTACTTAACAAACATGAAGTGGTGATTATGAGTAGAGTAAAGACTGCTGAAATGTCTTTGCTTCTGAAGCACTGGCTTTTTTTTTTTTTTTTAAATTAAGTTCTGGGATACATGTGTTAGGAATAATGCTTAAAATTGTAAAGAAATTGAACACTTAAACAAAGGGTTTTTAGCAAAGCAATTTTATTTTTGTGCAGAGGGGTGTTTTTTTGGCCAGTTGCCATGAGAGTACACTTGAACAAAGGGCACGAGAGCCTTTATTTTTGATGCAAGTTTTGTTTTTGTATTTTTCTTTTATTGGCCGGGGTTGGGTTGTATAATTTAAACTCATTTTGGTTGGCTAGACATTTGAATTTTTTTAGATAAGGTGGACATGTTAAAGAAAGTGGAGAGGAAGGGGGAGGGGTGTTTGTAATGAGTTAGAAAGTTAGTTTTTTTTTTTTAAATAAGGAAAGGAATGTGAGCTGGTATTGATAACGCCTGGTATTGTGGCATGCCTGGGCATTTAACAAAGGAAAAAAGGAGAAAAAGGAAAAGGTGGGGGGGGGGGGCGGTACTATGAATTAAAGAATAAAAGATTGATCAGATTATTTGAAGAGAAACCGAATATGCGGGTTTGTTACATAAGTATACATGTGCCATGGTGGTTTGCCGCACCCATCAACCCGTCATCTAGGTTTTAAGCTCCTCATGCATTAGGTATTTGTCCTAATGCTCTCCCTCCCCTTGCCCCCCATCCCCTGACAGGCCCCAGTATGTGATGTTCCCCTCCCTGTGTCCATGTGTTCTCATTGTTCAACTCCCACTTATGAGTGAGAACATGTGGTGTTTGGTTTTCTGTTCCTGTGTTAGTTTGCTGAGGATGATGGTTTCCAGCCTCATCCATGACCCTGCAAAGAACATGCACTTATTTTTTATGGCTGCGTAGTATTCCATGCTGTATATGTGCCACATTTTCTTTATCCAGTCTATCATTGATGGACATTCGGGTTGGTTCCAAGTCTTTGCTATTGTGAATAGAAGCACTGGCCAATGTTTAACATGAGTAGTAATTTTTTGATAATGGGCCTGAATATTTTAAGTTTATTTTAATGTCATAAAAATCACTGTGGTTTTTCAGCCATGAAGATTTGAAATATAAATAAAAATGGTTACTAGTGCCATATTAGGTACTGTATGTAGGCTGATTTATCACTGAGTGACTAGAGTGCTTTACTGAATGATCTGCTGCTTAATTGATAATCCATAGATTGTGGGGGATGCGTGTTGGACTTCTTTCTTAGGACTGCTTACACTAGAAATCACATTTAGGCTGCAGTTTTGCTGAGGCCTCTTTTTTCCGGGAACCTGTGCTAGAGCTCCTGCTTAATGGTGGTGAAGCTTGGTGTTGTACTGTTGCTTCATGGACTGATCCTCTGTCTTTTAGGGGTAACTTCCTCTGGGTTTGGTACAGCCCTTTTGGCACGAAAAGAATGTCTGAAATTTCTAATCAAGAGGCTTGCCAAGATAGTACGACTTACAGAATATCAGAAAAATGAGTTGAAGATTTATGACAGAATGAAGGCCAAAGAATTCACTGGAATAGATAACCTTTGGGGAATTCATCCATTTTTTATACCAAGGGGTAAGAATGATTTTTAAAAAATGAATTTTCCTTTTCTATAGATCATAGATACTTGGCTTTTATTGTGACTTAGTTTTAATGTGTAATACTCATGATTATATTTGCACTAACTGAGTTAGATTCTGACTTGAGAATAACCATAATTGTGTGAATGGTTGAAAATACCTGACTGGCATGTAAAAATAGAGGGAAATAGAGACTTCAATCTATAAATAGATTGTCTTATACAGTGCTTATTTTTTTATTAGTTGGTTCCCACATTAGGAACTTTCCTATAGTAAAGCTCTAAACTCTACTAATGTTGACAATAAACTTTTAAGTGGCTTGCAAAGACCTATTTAGCCTATAATGTATCTTAACTATACAACCTCATCATCTTTTACAGAAACAGGTTTTGTGAACCCTTGAAGGCTGGTAATGTGTCATTCCTGATCCGGTCCCTGGCATCTGACATTTAGGCCTCACAGTCATAGGCACTCAGAAAATTTCTGATGGATGAGTGAATGATTAAATGGGAAATGCAGTAGTCTAGGAGATAGTGGGTTTGTGTTCTAATTCTTTCTCTCTTTCTATCTAACTAGATTGTCTCTACCAAGTATTTAAATGAGGCAGTTAGATTAGCTACTTCTAAGGTGCTTCTACTTTTTCAGGATGTTGTTTCTGTAGCAGAGTCATCTGTTTCTTGTCCCTCCGCCCTCTCTATGTTAATGATTGATGAATGCCTGAAGTATATGGAGTTGCAGTGGCAATTACTGGGGTTTCAGTGGTGAACATAACCAGTCCAGGTTCCATTGCCCTTGCCCCTGTCCTCAGAGCTCCATCTCTCCTTAGCAGTATTCTCTCTTCATCCCTGATGGGCTGTATAATCTAACCATCAAATCCCTTCTCTAAGCCACCATCATAGGACTCAGTGCTCCTGTGTAGGAGATACATGCTAGTGGCCTAGAACTGGGGTGGTCCTTGCTTCTGCTACCAAGGGTGAGGTAATAAATGTTTTCCTAGCCTCACTCCCTTCAAACTGGTGTACAAAAAAAAAAAAAAAAAAAAACGAAAACAAAACAAAAACTTCTTCCAAGAGACAGTGGCACAAATGTTAAATATTACAAGACTGTTATTAGTCCTGCATATCAGTTAACTTACAGGTTAAGGACACAGTGTGAATTGTTTTGGTGGCCAAAAACATTGGATGAAGTTGATTATGTGGAACCATGTGGCCCATATGCCTAGCTTACACTTGGTTTTTAGGAAAGTAACTATGAAGGTAAATTGTACAAGTACATACAGTGATTCAGGGTGTAGGTTGTGAAAGGACAGGTGTGTGTTTGCATGTACATGTATGTGTATAGGAGATGGAGAGATCTGTGTAGTAGGCACTGTTGAAGAAAACGTGTTATTGGATATTCCTTTAAAGCATTTTATGGATCTAAAAGTGGGGAAATATTGAAATAGGGATTGAACATTTTCACTGCAAATGGTATTTCACTAACTGATAACCCATGTGGTAGATTTTTAAAATCTTGAGTTGATGCATACATGTGATTTGATGATGTCCCGCTTATACATGACTTTACTTTTCTCCACTTAAGGACCTGTCCTACACAGGAATAATATTGCAGACTATGCACTCAGTGCAGGGACCACTGCTATGAATGCACAGAGGCTCTTAAGAGCTACCAAACTGAAGAAGCCCATTCTCCTGGAGGGTTCCCCTGGTGTTGGCAAGACAAGTTTGGTGGGAGCATTAGCAAAGGCTTCAGGAAATACCCTTGTTAGAATCAACTTATCAGAGCAAACGGTAAGCTCGGTCATCCTACAGCTGATGGAGATAGCTATAGATAGTAATGTCTGTGTCAATTTATATTTGCCTAATCAGAAATGATTACATTATCAGTATCCTCAAATTTTTCTTTTCTTTTCTTTTCTTTGTTTTTTTGAGACAGAGTCTCGTTCTGTTGCCCAGGCTGGAGTGCAGTGGGGTGCAATTCTCCTGCCTCAGTCTCCCTAATCACTGGGATTACAGGTGCCCGCCACCACACCTAGCTAATTTTTGTATTATTATTAGAGACAGGGTTTCACCATGTTGGCCAGGCTGGTCTCAAACTCCTTATGTCAAGTGATCCACCTGCCTTGGCCTCCCAAAGTGTTGGGATTACAGGCGTAAGCCATGGCGCCTGGCCTGTATCCTCAGATATTTCATATCATAATAAAGCCCACAGCAACATGACCTTCCAAACTAAATCTTCTTTGGATTTGTTAATTGCTGACACCTATAATATTAATTCTCTCTGGATGCTTTATTCTAATTCTCTTTCGAGAGAGAATTATCCACTTTGGTATTTATTGTAATATAACCCCAGTTAATTTTTTGCTTAAATTTTTTTTTAAAAAGTGGTAGAAATAAAATGACTTTTAACAATCTAAGGAAAATATGGTACAGATGACAAATTGAATGAGAATCCTTTGGAATAGGATTTTGTTTTCTTTTTTTTTTAAGCCTGTCAATTAAATTCCAAGTACAGCCAATGTTGAGAACTGTTAATCTAGAGCACCAGCTCAAATTGATTGATATATGGAACATGTTGGGAAAGTTCTTGGGGGCATGTTTGGGCTCCTGGTAAAGAGAGCTGGGATTGGTTAGTTCTATCTTGGGTGTAGGAAGGAAGAGTAGTGGTGCCAGCCCCAAGTATTTATCATTTCAGATTTAGGGTGTTAGAATCCAGTTGATTTTTAAAGTAATAATGGCTTCTTTCCATTTCTTCCCCTTTCAAAGGACATCACAGACCTGTTTGGAGCAGATCTACCTGTTGAAGGTGGCAAGGGAGGAGAGTTTGCCTGGCGTGATGGCCCCTTACTGGCAGCTTTGAAGGCAGGCCATTGGGTGGTGTTGGATGAGGTGAGGGGCCTGTTTGTCATGCCCAAGACGGTGATCATGTGTGTGAGGAGCAGTCATCCTTTCACAGCTCCATTTCACAATCCATTTCTCAGTGGAAGATCCCGCTGATGACTTTTCTCTAATGAAAAGATCCTCTGTAGTTTTCTTTAAGAATGAGGAAGGTCACTTGGCAGAATACACAAAAAGAGGCCCTTGTACATAAAACCTACAAACTCTCCCACTGTTTAAAGTTATCCTTCAGAGGAAAACTGCATCGTCACTAGTTTAGTCTCTGACAGGCTTGCCGTTTCTGCATTTATTTTAGAGGCATTTTATAAATAGCGTCAACCGCTTCATGTTTTATTAGTGCACCGGAGAGACTAAGGAAAGACATACAAAATGACCTACTGAAATGAGGAAACGATCCGTTATGTGTGCATATGGGGTAAATTATTCATCAGAAGAAAGAGCAGAGTATGAGACATGATAAATACTGAATCTCTGACAACTAGAGATATGGAGCTGGGTCAGTTTGGGGTGTACAATATTCAGGAAAAGGCTAGAAATATTTGTGGAGCTGAAATGATTAGAGTGATGTACGTGTCACAGGTGAGACTTTGGACACAGGCTGCAACAGGTCCCCCAGGTTCAGACTCCTGGGTCTGATCATCAGAGAGGGTGCTGTGGGACTCCTGTCTGCTGAGCTGCTTTCTGCCTTTTATTCTTGGGATAACAAGGAGAGGGAATTTTTTTCCATTTTTCAGATTTTTTTTTGAACAAGATGTCTGATAGAATATATATTAGCCAGGAAAAGAGAAAGCCTAGTTTTAAAGCTGAAGGCTACTGACCATACTTAGTATTTAGTGGAATTGCATATTTAGTGGAATTGCATTCAGGGACGACAAGACATTCTAGATTTATAAACACATTTAAGAGCGGCCTTCTGTTTGGGAATATACAGAAGTGTTTGTGCTTTGTGGTGCTTGTGTAAACATGACACTTGAAATTCTAATGTAGTGTGCTCTGATTTTTGCCTGTTTGCATTTTAATAACTTGTATTTTCCCGATCTCCTTTTTCTATGTTACCAACAAACCACACATGCTTCACATCCCTGAGCTCTGAACTACTCATCTGAAGACCTACATTCAGCTCTTTTCATCCTGGCACAAGAGCCCCTTGTAATTGTTCTTATTTACAAAATTGGTGGAAATCAGCTGTATTAACTCACTTTATATCCTGACTTTGAAACCCGTTGGAGATTTTGTTCAGTGTTTGAGATGGGAAAGTATTTAAAGAGTTAACAAACCTTATCTATTCTCTACAATTAGTGTTACATGTCTTTTTCTTTTTCTTTTCTTTTTTTTTTTTTTCTATTTTTCTTTTTTTTTTTAGGCAGAGTCTCAGTCTGCCGCCCAGGCTGGAGTGCAGTGGTGGGTTCTCGGCTCATTGTAACCTCCTCCTCCCAGGTTCAACTGAATCGTGAATCTCCTGCCTCAGCCACCTGAGTAGCTGGGATTACAGTCATGCACCACAATGTCTAAGTTTTGTATTTTTAGTAGAGACAAGGTTTCGCTATGTTGGCCCGCCTGGTCTTGAACTCCTGGCCTCAAGTGATCCACCTGCCTCGGCCTTCCAAAGTGTTGGGATTACAGGCATGAGCCACCACTCCTGGCTAATTTGTGTTACACATCTTAAAAACTCAGATTGTGAAAATGAAATATCTGTGTATTGGCAAGTTTTTCTGCAAGTTATTACTTACAGAGCAGGTTAATATAGGTTATATGTAATGGATACAGTTTAACTTTTGAGAAGATTCTTAACTTTAAAATTTAATTTGAGCATTTATTCAGTTTAAAGATTATTAATATATGTGTGTATATATACGTGTGTGTGTGTGTGTGTGTGTGTGTGTGTGTGTGTGTATAAAATACCAGACAAAATCTCTAACATACATGGGAAATAAAGAATAATAGAATTGGACCAGGTACAGTGGCTTATGCCTGTAATTCTAACATTGGGAAGCTAAGGTTGGAGAATTACTTGAGCCCGGGAGTTTGAGACCATCCTGGACAACATAACAAGACCTTGGCTCTACCAAAAAAAAAAAAAAAAGAATTAGCTGGATGTGGTGGTGCACACCTGTGGTCACAGCTATGCAGCAGGCTGAGATGGGAGGATCTCTTGAGCCCTGGAGGTAGAGGTTGCAGTGAGCTGTGATTGTGCCACTGCACTGCAGCCTGAGTGACAGAGTGAAACCCTGTCTCAAAAACAAAAGCATAATAGAATGAAGACAAACCAACCATAACTCAGCCAAAAATACAGAAGGTTATCAATATTGTTTGAAATTCCCTTTCTGAAGATAACTCTAGCTTTATTTGCTGCATATTATTCCCCTGCTTTTTGTTGCAGTTGTATAATATATTTGAGACAAATTATGTACTTTCTTCTTTAAATAGCTTAACCTGGCTTCTCAGTCTGTATTGGAAGGACTCAATGCTTGTTTTGACCACCGAGGAGAAATCTATGTGCCTGAGTTAGGAATGAGCTTTCAAGTGCAGCATGAAAAGACGAAGATTTTTGGGTGTCAGAATCCCTTTAGACAAGGAGGTGGGAGGAAAGGCTTGCCCAGGTCTTTCCTTAACAGATTCACTCAGGTAAGATTTGCTGTTGCCATAGAGACCAAAGATAGACTCGGAGGGGATAAGACTACTATTATGAAGCCTTTAAGGATATTCACTATGAGAATTAGAGAGGATCAGCTTAATGATCCTCTTTCTTGTCCTTATATGATCAATATTAATGTGACTGATTCCCATCATTGCTTCTGTCCTTCATCTTTTGCCCTGGAAGACTAGATGTGTTATCAGCTGGAAGAAAGTAAGGTCCCCAGCCTTTTCAGGATTCTGTGACTGCACTCTGGGATGAAGTCCAATCTTGGACCTTTTCAATTGTCCCTCTGATCTGTTGAAATATATAAGAAAAATTTTTATTGAAAATAATGCATTTTAACTAAAGAAAAGAAAGAACAGAAAACTACTATGAAGAATAAAAATCCACTATTCCCCAGTCAGTCATTATTAACATTTTGGTATCTTATGCCTTTATTCTTACTTGCAGAGGGGTACCTGTGTATGTGTATGCTTACTTGTTTTAACATCAGTTTTTCAGAGTTTGGCCAATCCAGAGGTTTGGAAATGTCTCTAGATTTCTTTAGTGTCACTGTCTCTTATGATTAAGAATTGGCTGAGTATCTTTTAAGAATGTTTTATTGGCTGGGCATGGTGGATCATGCCTGTAATCCCAGCACTTTGGGAGGCCAAGGCAGGTGAATCACCTGAGGTCAGGAGTTCGAGACCAGTCTGGCCAATATGGCGAAACCCCGTCTCTATTAAAAATACAAAAATTAGCTGGGTGTGGTGGCAGGTGCCTGTAATCCCAGCTACTGAGGAGGCTGAGGCAGCAGAATCTCTTGAACCCGGGAGGCGGAGGTTGCAGTGAGCTGAGATCGCGCCATTGTACTCCAGCCTTGGCAACAGAATGAGACTCCATCTTAAAAAAAGAAGAATGTTTTATTGAGAAAACTTTCAAACATATGGAAAAATTGGATGACTTTTATAGTGAATACTCGTATCTACCACCCAGATTTAAAAGCATTTTACATTATACATAGGAAATTTTTAATAACATGTATCTTTTTTTTTTCTTTTTTTGAGATGGAATCTTGCTCTGTCGCCCAGGCTGGAGTGCAGTGGCGTGATCTTGGCTCACTGCAATCTCCTCCTCCTGGGAGCAAGCAATTCTCCTGCCTCAGCCTCCTGAGTAGCTGAGACTACAGGCGCATGCCACTATGCCCAGCTAATTTTTGTATTTTTAGTGAAGACAGGGTTTCGTCATGCTGGTCAGGATGGTCTTGATCTCTTGACCTCATGATCCACCTGCCTTGGCCTCCCAAAGTGCTGGGATTACAGGTGTGAGCCACCGCACTGGGCCTCTTTTTTCTTTAATTCACTAGAATAGACCTTAAAAACAAAACCTCTACTCAGCTGTATTTAGAAGATTTTATGATTCTTTATTCTCAAAACACAAAAAAAGAAATTTCTATAACTGAAAATTATATTTCTCATGTATTGTTACTTGGTATTAAAGATTTTGCATAATAAGACATGGTAGTCATTTCTAGTGTTTGGTAAAGAGAAACAAAGGCATTTCTTCATATTATTTTTGGATTTCTAGGTCTTCGTTGATCCCCTTACAGTAATTGACATGGAGTTCATTGCCAGTACTTTGTTTCCAGCCATTGAGAAAAATATTGTTAAGAAAATGGTTGCTTTCAATAACCAAGTAAGTACCTACACGTATTGGTTTCTTTTTTTTTCTGGCTGTATTTGAACCAGTATTTTTTCAACATAGAGTTCTACCAAATTATCAGGATCTCTAACTAAAAAAAATTACTTTGAATTCTACAGGTTTCTAGTGGAAGGGACACTATGTAGTGGAGGCTTCCAGTAATTCATTTCTGTATTGTGACTACCAGTGTTAATGCTTAGAGGATAAGCCAGGCATTTGGAAGTCTTGAGAAAGAGGCTCTGAATCAAGCCTGTTAATTTTTGTTTCAGATTACATATGCTTTTGTAGTACATTCCTAGTACTTAATGCAGTGCCTAGTAGTAAGCAGGGCATGTTTCCCAATCAGGATGTTTTCTTTCTAGATTGATCATGAAGTGACTGTTGAGAAGAAATGGGGGCAAAAAGGAGGACCCTGGGAATTCAACCTCCGGGACCTTTTCCGCTGGTGTCAGTTGATGCTGGTTGACCAGTCCCCTGGGTGTTATGATCCTGGTCAGCATGTGTTTTTGGTCTATGGTGAAAGAATGAGAACCGAAGAGGACAAAAAAAAGGTGAGTTTCACGCTTGGTATTTGTATTTCTTTCCATCTGAAAGTTGATTTCCTGTGGGTGAGAAAGGACATACACTAATTGCAAGCCTTTTTTTTTTTTTTTTTTTTTGAGACTGGGTTTCACTCTTGTTGCCCAGGCTGGAGTGCAATGGCATAATCTTGGCTTGCTGCAGCTTCACCTCCCAGGTTCAAGTGATTCTCCTGCCTTAGCCTCCCAAGTAGCTGGGATTACAGGCATAAGCCACCAGTTCCGGCTAATTTTTTGTATTTAGTAGAAACGGGGTTTCACCATATTGGTCAGGCAGATCTCTACTCCTGAATTCAGATGATCCACCTGTCTCAGCCTCCCAAAGTGCTGGGATTACAGGCGTGAGCCACCACGCCCGGCTAGCAAGCCTGTTAAAGCTGCTTCAAAATTTAAAAGTTAAAAGAACAGACTAAACGTTCTCCTACCTTGGGGTCTCACAATATAGAGTAGCTTGCTTTAGAGGACATAATTTGCTTATCTATCCAAATCCCCATGATCACATACCTTAAAGCAGTATTGCCCTCCAGTAGTAAAGAACTAAGTCTTCACCATCTTTACAGGCACCAAGGTGAGAAGCAGGAGGAGGCAGACAGGTGATACTCCGTAGAAGAGGAAGTTTTTCTGTTTTGTTTTGTTTTTAAATAAATGTCAAATTACAAAGCATTTTGTCTAGAAAGTATAATCGTATAAAGAGAGAATATTCTGTGTTTAAGTGAAAATAAAAATACCTGTTTGTAAAACTAGAATTCCCACTGTAAGGAATTGTAATAACGTGTGCATTTTAGTTTGTGGTATTTAAAATCCTGTCTCGCTGAATGCTCACAGTAGCTATAGGCAGGAGGTGCTGTCATGGCATCTTACAGGTGAAGATCCAAGGCTTAAAGTTATGGAGTGTCACAGGTAGCAGAGCCAGCTTTCCAGTTTAGGCCCTCTCCAGTTTGTCTGCTGTTTCCTTCTAGTAAACTTCACTGTTTGAAAATAAATGAATAGATACATAGATGCATGCACTAGAAGCAGTAACCTCCTTGTTGAAATGTGAACATGTGGCTGGCCCATAGCACATGTGACTTTCACAGCCCTTTCATTCTGCTACCCATTCTGTTTGTTCTTATTTTTTTTCTTTTTTTGGATTGCAAAAATTTATTAAAATTGGAGACATTGTTTTAATCTTCTTGTGCCATGAGACTCCATCAGGCGGTCTACAAAGACCATTGGGAGGCTGAGGATCACTTGAGCCCAGAAGTTTGAGGCTGTAGTAAGCTTCAAAGGCCGCTGCACTCCAGCTTGGGTGAGGCAAGACCCTTTCAAGCAGTAAGCTGCATGCTTGCTTGTTGTGGTCATTAAAAACCCTAGTTTAGGATAACAGGTCTGCCTGCATTTCTTCAAGCATGAATTCTGAGTTCTTTGCTTCTTTAAAACTTGCTCCACACAGGGTAGTCAAGCCAACTCTCCATACCTTTAAAAGGTATGACAGGAACTGTCTTCATGTCCTTACCCAAGCAAGCCATCCACGGATAAAAACGTTACCAGGAGCAGAACCGTTAAGCTGGTCCAGACAAGTTGGACTCCACCATTTCAACTTCAGCTTTCTGTCTAATGCCTGTGTGCCAATGGCTTGAGTTAGGCTTGCTCTTTAGGACCTGGGAAGAAACAATTCAGTAGCTATTCTCATCCCTCCTTTGGGACAGAACTGTCCATAAGGTGCTATCCAGAGCCACACTGCATCTGCACCCAGCACCATACCTCACAGGAGTCGACTCCTACCTCGAAAAGCTGTTCTTATTTTTTTTGAGGCAGGGTCTGACTTTGTTGCCTAGGCTGGAATGCAGTGGCACAATGCCGGCTTAATGTAGCCTTGACCTCCTGGGCTCAAGGGATCTTCCCACCCCAGCCCACTGATAAGCTGGGACTATAGGCACATGCCACCAAGGCATGGCTAATTTGTTTTTACTTTTAATAGAGATGTGGTCTTGCCGTGTTGTCCAGGCTGGTCTTGTACTCCTGGGCTCAAGCAATCTTCCTGCCTCAGTCTCCCAAAGTGCTGTGATTACAAATGGAGTGAGCCACTGTGCCCGGCCACCCAGAGCTTCTTTAGTGTGGTATTCAGAATCTAATTACACACTAACTCATTTATCATACGTAGGTGACTTTCAATCATTTGATTAGGAGAAAGTCTTAGTAGTTTTTAACAGCTTTATTGATATATAATTCACATAATCAGCTAGTATTTTAATTTCTTCATCCACTTATAGTATATTAATTATGACCAAAACACATGCCAGTTGTTGAATGATTGATTAGTCAGGTGCTGGGTCATTGTGGTATGTGGAAGTTTTCCATCACTCTTCCAATTCAAGGTTATTGTAATGGACCTTATAGGTGTTTTCTAGCGGGGGAGACAAGGTCAAGAAAAATAATGTTATAGAAGGATAAAGTCTGTAAAAGCTAGAAGAGTCCAGTTGAATGGAATTTTGATTTTATAAAGCTAAACCAAAGAGCTAGATTGGGAATTTTTTTTTTTTTTTTTTGAGATGGAGTCTTGCTCTGTCGCCCAGGCTGGAGTACAGTGGCGTGATCTTGGCTCACTGCAACCTGGGTTCAAGTGATTCTCCTGGCTCAGCCTCCCGAGTAGCAATATTTGTAATTTTAACCCTCTGGTAGAACATCAGGGGTTGGAGATTATATACTTTAGTGTGGAACATGAGGTCATGTATCACCTGGACTCATAGGTAGGTGACAGGAACACTTTCCTATGCTGCTTTTAGTCTCACAGTCCAATGTTTGACACTGATTATGATTTTATCTATATTATTTTTATTTTTTAACTTCATTGTAGTATTCAATTATGTAAGTATTGCTGCTTTTTAGAAATACTATTTTGTATACTTTATTTATTTTTTTTCTGGCTTTAATTTTCCCTACTTCTGTGGGCTAAATTAATGTTTTTTATATACCTCTATCCGCCCCCCACCATTACTCTTAGATTTTTTAGAGATCCAAAATAAAAGAGTCAACAGAACATTTTCTAATAGCATTACTGCTAATGAAAGGATAACAATGTAAATAATTGGTTAGAGGAATAAATTTGGTTTTCATATCTACATAAATGTTTGGAGGGATAACATGTTTTTTGGAGGCTGACTGGCTTAGATTTAAAATCGGTCACCAACCATGGGCAAATTCTATAACTCTTGTGAGTGCTGTTGTCTATATAAAATGGACATGGTAACTATTTTGCATGGGTATAAAGATCAGAAATAATCTACCAAAGTACTTAATACAGTGTTTGGTACATAGGAGGTGGTTAATGAATGGTCATTTTTCTTTATAATCTTCGTATTACTGTTCTATCCTCTTTTTAGGTAGTATCTTCAATGATGAAAGCAAACAACTCTTTTTTTGTCTCTAGATTTCAATACTACAGTGTCCATGGCTTCAATTTAATTTATGGTGCATTGTTACTGGAATCTCAGATAGTTTGGAATATGACTGCTATGTTCTCAATCTCAAATTTACTTTCATTCCAAAGAATTAAATAAATGCAGTCAATCCTTTTTATAAGAGAAAATTCAAAAGGATAAGGGAATTGTGGCCAGTGTTTTTAGAATAGTGACTCTTATCACTGTGCTTGTTTTCTAGAAAGTTTGCCTAAGAATTAGGTGGAGTGATTTGTGTTTTCATTGCATTATCTTCTTCCTTTAGGTCATTGCTGTATTCAAGGATGTGTTTGGTTCAAATTCCAACCCATACATGGGAACCAGACTATTTCGTATCACTCCCTATGATGTTCAGGTAAGGAGACTAGGATAATCCTCTATCCTTTGACATTTTTTAATGGTTTCTTCTGCTCCCACTACCAGGCACGCTTATGGAAATCTCACTGGCATGTCTTTTCAGTTGGGCTACTCAGTCCTTTCCCGTGGGAGCTGTGTTCCTCACCCGTCCCGCCATCCCCTGTTGCTCCTGCACCAGTCATTCCAACCCCTGGAGTCAATCATGAAGTGTGTGCAGATGAGCTGGATGGTCATCCTGGTCGGGCCAGCCTCTGTGGGCAAGACCAGCCTGGTCCAGCTTCTGGCACACCTTACTGGCCACACATTAAAGATCATGGCTATGAACAGTGCAATGGATACTACTGAGCTGCTGGGTGGATTTGAGCAGGTAACCAGTCTGCCTTCATATTTTCTGGCAAAGCATAATAAACCCCGTGGTCTGACTGAGAGTCTTCTGAGTTGGTGATGAGTACAGATAACAGTATTCTCTGACCCTATGATGAGTTCATGTCCTCTGGAAATTACAGGTTGATCTTATACGACCTTGGAGGAGGCTGCTAGAGAAGGTGGAGGGAACTGTAAGGGCACTGTTAAGGGATAGCCTCCTTATCAGTGCTGATGATGCAGAAGTAGTGCTGCGAGCCTGGAGTCATTTTCTTCTGACATATAAGCCTAAGTGTCTTGGAGAAGGTGGTAAAGCTATCACGATGGAGATTGTCAACAAACTAGAAGCAGTGTTATTGCTTATGCAGCGACTCAACAATAAAATCAACTCATACTGCAAGGCAGGTATGTATATTTGGATCTCTGTATCAGGAACTTACCATTGCTTATATTGTGTCCATTTACACGTAATAGATTTACAAATGTTTTGTATTAATTTAGTAATTATTAACAATCAGAACTTGTGGGAAAGTTTGACCTAGAAAGTAAAATGAAGCTGAGGTAAAGTATTCAGAATAGTTGATCCTGAAAAATCAAATAGGAAAAAAATTGGTTACGTTGCTTTATGGTTTATTTTGTGTGTAATCACCTATAATGATAAAACAGCATGTAAAACTTTTATTATTACTGGCTATTTTTTTACTCAATAATTTCTCAGGAAATTGAGCATTTTTAAACTGAAGAATAGGAGTCTGAATTCATAGGATGTGTTTATTCATTTGTGTGGAGATGGAGGAAATATATCATCCTGTATGCCATCCAATTAACATGGAAATTTCTCTCATTTTGTGGTGCCACTTTCAGAGTGGTGGTGAGCATGCTCTTAGGGAGGATTCAACCTAAAGGCCCACAGGCTGGGTCTGTCACTATGCTTGTCATTCTTTATTTCCAAAGCCTGCTTGTAACTGATTACAAAGTGTTGATTCCTTATAGCCGAAGAAATCAGACATCCCACTTCTTGGCCAGCAAACATTTTATCTGTGGCGGTGGGCCACTCATTTACTTTCTTCATTGTTGATTTGATCTGTCATTTCTCACTTTAAGCCTGCCATTTGAACTTGAAATCCTTTACTCATTCACTCTAATTATAAAAGATATCCGATGCAGTCATGTGTCATATATTTTTAAATGGGTATTGTAAAACTCACCATTGAGTTATGAATTTCTATTATAAACACTATACTGAATATATGTACTTTTAATCACCGTGACAACACTGCATTATAGGAAGGATTATCTACATCTAATAGATGAGGATGTGAATATTCAAAGAGACAAAATTACTTGCCTACAGTTTTACAGTTAGCAAGTGGTTGGACTATGGTATGTTAAGTCTAAACCTCGTTACTCCCTCATCTTTAGAAGTAGAAATCCAATGTGTATTACCTTGTGATATGAAAAATGGTCATAAAACAGTTTCCAACCAAAAAGATCAACTGAAAAATTTCGAGGGAAGGGCTATATAAACTATAAAGCATTTGGCAAGTAATTACCAGTTATTACTATATTACTATAATCATATGATATGCTCATTATAAAGGAAGCCCAGTTTGCACTGTGTGAAGTTATAGCACTTTCATTTAGTATAAATGCACTGATAGGTGGGAAACGTCCTCCTTCTGCCATTTGAGAAACCGTAATACAGAAAAATCATTTGCCACCTCTATCACCCTAGAGTCAACCCTGAGTAGCTATTAATACAGAGAGCCATTAAAACGTATTTTCTGTCTTAAACTTAACTTTCCTATCTGTGTTTAAACAGAAGCAAAACATTCTTCTATTTATTCTTTTATGAAATCTTAAAAACCTTGGCTAGAAGTATCAAGCTTCCTTTTCATAAACTTAATTCTTTGTTTGAAGTTAAGTGCTGTGGATGGTGATTCTTCCCTGTGACATTTCAGAGTTTGCCAAACTTGTTGAAGAGTTCCGAAGCTTTGGTGTGAAGCTTACGCAGTTGGCCAGTGGCCATAGCCATGGCACATTTGAATGGGTTGACAGCATGTTGGTTCAGGCCCTGAAGTCTGGAGACTGGCTTCTGATGGACAATGTTAACTTCTGCAAGTAAGAACCTTATGCCTAATCAGTGGTCCAACTTGAAATTTGGGATATGCTTGTCAAAGTAGAAACCCAGATAGAAGTGCTGGTATTTTGAAGCTACTGTTTTTCTTAATTACGCAAGCGTCCTCAGCCATATTCTGTAGACTTCTCCCTGTGGTGAACAGTGGTAATTCGTCATCAGACAGTTATAAGATTTCAGCTCTGTATGATAATTTTCAGCCAAAGCAAAGGCTAACAAAATTGGATTATTTTTCCTGGCAATGTCCTTTGAGTTAGGCCTTTTAATTTAATATCAGAAGTCTTCCTTTTGTTAGGGTTTCTTCAGTGCAGTTTTTTCTAATGCAGGGTCTGACACAGGGCAGGCATTTATTAAATGGCCATCAGTGATGCAGCAATTCAACCATGTATCATTCTTGATCTTGCAGTAAGGTAAAGGACAAGTGTGAAACTATTGTACATATACAGTTAACATAGAAGCTACTACAAGTTAGATGATGACTATTTCTTCACGGAGCATTTATCTGAATGTTACAAATTGAAATCCAGCTGCCTTAAATGGATTTGATAATGTTGAGGGATGGGGGGCAGGAAAGGAAAAAGTGAAAAGGTTATAGTGCAAGGAACTTATCATTTTCTTTAATTTCATTTATTCAAAAATATCTTGTGTATTTACTGTGTATAAGGCCCTGGGCTATGTGCCTAGGGAAGCGAGAAGGAAAATCAATGGGGAATCTACTTTTGAAAGAGATCACTGTTGTATCTGGGTGAATGATTGTGCCGAAAGGAAATGTGAGTCAAAAGCATTTGGAGCCCCGTGCATGGAAGGAAAGAAGAGTCAATGCAGCATGTCAGCCTATCCACCATCTGAATTCTGTCTCTGCAGCCCATCAGTGTTGGATCGTTTGAATGCTTTGCTTGAACCCGGAGGTGTCCTCACTATTAGTGAGAGAGGAATGATAGATGGATCCACTCCCACGATAACACCAAATCCCAATTTCAGGTATTTGTATCTCTTACATTTCTGCCTCAGAATCTGACAGCCTCAGTAGCAGAGGTAGACGTTCAGTAGGACTTCCTTATATATTTTATTTATAAACTGAATCATGGAGAAGTTCACCCATTTATTAATTCACTTAACAAATACTTACTGAGGCTTTACTATTTGCCAGGCATTGCTGGGCTCTGGAAACACAGCATAAACAAGAGGGGCAAGGTCCTTGCCTTGCATTGGTGACGAAGGTGGGAAGCAGAGATACCAGTCATGATCCTTTTGCAGTAATTTAGGCAACACATCACAGTGGCTTAGATGAGGGTGGTCAGATGGGTTGGTTTGCTGATGGACATGTGGGTTGAGAAAAAGAAGAATCAAGGATGACACCTATGTTTTTGGCTTGAGTAACTGGGTAAATGGGGTTGCCATTCATTGAGAAAGGGAAGACTGGTAAAGGAGCAGGTTTAATGTGGGGAGGGTCTACCGGGAATCAGCTGTTTACTTTCAGACATACATCAGAGGTGTAAGATAACTAGATGGAGATGTTGATGGGCATTCAATATATGAATCCAGTTGTTTCAGGAGACTACACTTGCTTCCTGTTCTGCTGTCTGTAGGTGAGTTAGAATAATGAATTAGTACAGCCTACTCTGGGGAATATCTGAAGGTTAAATTTTTAAAGTTCTCAGCACTAAAGGTACACTGGATATATCATACACAGTTCCTTAGGAAAGTAGGTTTAGAGAAAATCTTTTGCTATATTGATGCATGCTAGAAGTAAAAGATCCTTGGTGTGAATTCTGTGACAATGAGCCACATAGGATTTGCCCTCACTGACTGATGCTGAGCTACACCTTTGGTTGCACTGGGATTTAAAATCATTTTTTTCTTTGAATTGCTATTTTTCTAGACTTTTCCTCTCGATGGATCCTGTTCATGGAGATATATCCCGAGCTATGAGGAATCGTGGACTTGAAATCTACATTTCAGGGGAAGGGGATGCAAGCACCCCAGACAACCTGGATTTGAAAGTTCTGCTGCACAGCCTTGGATTGGTGGGGAACAGTGTATGTGACATCCTCTTGGCTTTACACACAGAGACCCGGAGCACTGTTGTAGGTGAGGTGCTTGACTTTTGGGCCTTTGCAGAGTTTTAGTCTTCAAGAAATTTATGTCATTCCATTGGACTGCTCATCAAAGATTTCGTACATTTAGTGTATATAGAAATTATCAGGAAAGCTTGTTAAAAATGTGGATTTCCAGACACCCCAAGAGATTGGGTTCAGCAGGGCAGGGCAAGGCACAGGAATCAGTATCTGAAAGACGCTTCTTATGTCATTCTGATGCAAGTAAGCAGAGGCTAACCCTCGAGTAATTCCACTTTACGCACTGAGGTTTATGAAGTTTGCCCATCATTTCTCCAGGGTCATCAACAGCCTCTTGAAGTTGGAATAAAGAGGAAACTTTGAGTTGTTTAAAGCAGACAGGTGTTACTTTTTCTAAACTTTCAATTACACAAAAAGGAACAAGATAATAAATGAAGTATTGCTTGTTGGATAACTACTCTGTGTTAGGTACCATGCAGATTGTTTATTTAATCTTTTTTTTTTTTTCTTTTTTTTTGAGACAGAGTCTCACTCTGTCGCCCAGGCTGGACTGCAGTGGCGTGATCTTGGCTCACTGCAAGCTCCGCCTCCCAGGTTCATGCCATTCTTCTGCCTCAGCCTCTCCGAGTAGCTGGGACTACAGGCACCTGCCACCACGCCCGGCTAATTTTTTTTTTATTTTTAGTAGAGACAGGGTTTCACTGTGGTCTCAATCTCCTGACCTCGTGATCCGCCCACCTAGGCCTCCCAAAGTGCTGGGATTACAAGCGTGAGCCACCATGCCCAGCTGTTTATTTAATCTTTACATTAGTTCTGCAAGGCATATGTTTTCATTTTTCAGATAAGACTCAGAGAGTTTGAGTAATTTATCAGTTAATAATAACAGCTGGAATTTGCAAATAGGCCTGTTGGATTTCAAATCCCATGGTCTTTTATGAGGTTACACTCAACTTGCCACCTTCAGTGTGTGTCAGCATTAGATTAAGGATATATGTGACCAGACTTTATCACATCTATAAATGAGTCCCCCATAATAAACTACAGACAGCCATAGAGAAACAGGGGAGATAGGAATACAAAGGTTCCTACAGGTCCTTTGTGCCCTCGGAGGACTCTAGAGTCTACTTGGAATGTTTTGTAAAGTAAGTATTTGGGTGGGGTTGACAGGAAGGAGGTTTGATGGGAGGGCAGAATTTATCCATTTTCATTGGAGATTTTAAAGACTCTATTGTTTATAGATGGCAATTTTTTTTTAATAGGTTCTCCAACATCTTCTGTATCAACTCTAATCCAGACAGCCATACTAATTGTCCAGTACCTGCAGCGAGGGCTGAGTTTAGACAGAGCCTTTTCTGAAGCATGCTGGGAAGTATATGTCTGTTCCCAGCATTCACCAGCAAACCGGAAGGTACTATGAAGTATTGCAGAATGTTTCTAAGTTGTAATACCCTACATTCTTGAGTACGAGGAAATTATTTTTAAAGGTGGCAACCCAGTGACCTAAGAGAGTTGACCACTGCAGTTTGCTCTAATAGAGATCTGGTATCCAGGTACTTTTCTGGAAAATAGCTTGAATGTAAATATTCCTTTTTTTTTTTTTTTAAACTTACATGTCATCAGGAAAAGTAGAATTTGACTTGTGTTTTTCATTGAAGAGTGTATTAAAAGTTGTTGTGAGGTGGTCGCATGGACTATTATTACTTTGCTGGTTTTTGGGGAATATCACTTTTATGTTGGTACCACTGTATTGTGTTTTTGTCTCCTACCAGCTTGTACAGGCTTTACTGGAGAAACATGTTTCTTCTTTGCGAGCACATGAAACCTGGGGAGACTCCATTCTTGGCATGGGACTGTGGCCAGATTCTGTGCCCTCAGCTCTCTTTGCTACTGAAGATTCACACCTGTCTACAGTCCGAAGAGATGGACAGATCTTAGTATATTGTCTCAACAGGATGAGCATGAAAACCAGCAGCTGGACAAGGTCAGTGGAGCCTTCAGCTTGTGTCTCTGGTTTCTTGGCTGGTTTTTATTTTTGCTGGAAATGGTCAGGACACAATATATTTAACTGGAGCATTCTGTGGCCATTTATTGTGTAGCTGTCATAGTTTTATTGTTCATTGTGATATTGCTCCCTATTGATTATTTATTAGGTATGTTTTAACTTTCTTCCTCTGTGGGAGACTCTCCTTTTCTCTCTTACCTTTGATCCAATATTTGTGAAAGAGGTTTTCTCAGTTATTTGGAATGTGAAATAAAAGGTTATTCTAGTACTGAGTTTGTTCATTCAAATGAATTTCAGGAGTCAGCCTTTTACCTTGCAAGACTTAGAGAAAATTATGCAGTCCCCCAGCCCTGAGAACCTGAAATTCAATGCAGTCGAAGTGAATACTTACTGGATCGATGAACCAGATGTTTTGGTCATGGCTGTTAAATTGCTCATAGAAAGAGCAACCAATCAGGATTGGATGCTCAGAGTTAAATGGCTTTATCATTTAGCCAAGAATATACCGCAGGGGCTTGGTGAGTAGAACAGCTTAATTTGTCCACTGATGTGATTTATATACACTTATGCTATTTAAGTGCCTCAGCAGCTGTGTTAATCTGTGACTACACTGTTAAAATTACAGTTGGGAGGTCTCCTAGGAAGAAATTTGTGGTCTAGCATTACTGTTAAGGAGCAAGTCTGCCTGTAGATGTGTCACAAGATAAACTTTTGTTTCCATGTTATCCTTAGCATTTCAGGATATAGTCACCTTCCTAACAAATTCAAAAGGAAAGCATACTGTATTATTTTACTTTTTAGTTTTGAACATCTGCTTTTTGTGCTGTACTACTGCTACAGAACCATTCTATATGGGAAAGGTATTAGTTTTGATAAATGCATTTCCTCTAAAAGTATATAAGATTCTAATCTTATTTTAGTTCCAGTGCTCCATGTTGTCACACTTGGAGTTGTCCCTTGGTATCTGTGGGGGATTGATACAAGGACTCTCCCTCCCCCACCCAGGGACATCAACATACGTGGACGCTAAGGCCCCTTATATAAAATGGGATAGTATTTTCATATACCCTACACACATCCTCCTGTATGCATTAAATCATCTCTGGATTACTTATAATACCTAATACAATGTAAATGCTATGTAAATAGTTGTTGTAGTACGTTGTTTTAAAATTTATATTATTTTTGTTGTATTTTTATTTTTTGTTTTTTTAAATTTTTGAATATTTTTGATCTGTAGTTGGTTGAATTCCACAGATGTGGAACCCTCAGATATGGAGGGCCACCTGTACTTTCTTTGTAGTTCTTTCGTTTTAAGAGAGGACAAAGCAACAATAACAACATTGCTTGAATTGTAAAGTACAGAACATGGAATTTGTTGGTGGAGATTAAGTAATTGAGTTTACATGAGCCTTTCTACTTCATGAGAATTTGTCAATAAGCCCATGGATGTTTATAATATTTTGTAACACATGTGGTCATCTGTCTAAATATATGTAGAGAATTTTTATAAATATTTTTATCTGTATTGTCCTATATGATAGCCACTAGCCAGCCAGAGAGGGCTACTAAAATGTAAATGTAGATTAGATTTAAAAAAATAAAAAATCCAGTCCTTTAGTTGCACTGGCCACATTTCAGGTCCTCATATGTGACTAGTGGTTATTCTATGCAGCTGTAGAACATTTTCATCACTGCAGAACGTTCAATTGGATAGCACTGCTTTAGAGTCTAACACTGGTTTCTCCTTCCTCCACAGAGTCCATACAAATTCATTTGGAAGCCAGTGCTGCATCTCTCAGGAATTTTTACTCACATTCCCTCTCAGGTGCAGTCAGTAATGTTTTCAAAATATTACAACCAAATACAACAGGTATGCACTTTTGATTTCTAGCTCTCAGCACTGTTTTGGAAACTTATCTTTTGACTTTATGGGGAAAAGATCTGACCTGTTAGAGGTCTCAACATAACGGTATTTTTTAGAAGACTCATGATATGCAGAAGCAAATTCTCCTTCTTTTTTTTTGAAATTTCTTTTTTTTTTTTTTAAAGGGACAGGGTCTTACTAAGTTGCCCAGGGTCTTCTTGATATTCTGGCCTCAAACAATCCTCTTGCTTTGGTCTCCCAAACTGTTGGGACTAGAGGCTTGAGCCACCATGCTTGGCCTGAAACTATCCATTTATCCTCCAGCTTCTGAAGGAGGCTGATGATATGCCATGGAGTAAAAAGAATCTAGGAGTTGGAACACTAGGCCCTGGTACCAACTCTGCCACAAACTGGCTTGGTAGATTTTTGGCTCATCATTCACTGTCTCTGCCTGTGTTTAGAAACTAGGGGAATTAAGCTCTTATTTCTCTGAGGTGCCTTCCACCCTTAGCTTTGTGTTGTCTACCAGTATCGTTAGTAGGAAGAGTTTCAAACCACGAGATATTTGACTTAAAGGAAAGTTACACAGGGTCATTTAATTTAGGAAAATATAAACCTTTAATGATAGATGCGGTGACTTGTACCTGTGGTCCAGCTACCTGGGAGGTTGAGAGAGGAGGATTGTGTAAGTCCAGGAGTTTGAGGCTGCAGTGAGCTGTGATAGTGCCACTGACTGCATTCTAGCCTGGGCAACAGAGCCAGACCCTGTCTCTGAGAAAACCTTGATGACGAAGTTATAAAACCATAGTGATAACAGAAATAGACATCTAAGATATCTGATCAAAGGAAGTATTCAAGATTAATTTTTTTTAAATAAGGAGTGAGAGAATAAACATTTCCTAGAACAGAGTAATATTAACTTGATTGGCACAAGCATTAATGAAGAAAATGGGCATTTTCACAACACCAGATTTAAAATTTTCTACCTCCATCTTCATTTGATGTTGATCAAAATATACCACTGGCCATTTGGTTTAGAAGAAAATATGCATGATGCTTTTGTGCTAAATAATTCCTTTATGTGCACTAAAGATCATGGAGTGAATGGGAAGAAATCAAACAATAGAGAAAAATACTTTGCTAGTCAAGTTGTGGCTGAACTAAGGCATGGCTTTCCACTATGAGAGGATTGTAACTTTTACAAACACAGTTCTACAGTAGCAGCTTTCATTTTCAGCAGGCATCGCTTGTCCTCTGTTGGAACACATTAGCTCCAACTGTCCTTTTCAGTTTTGTAGCCCTTTTATCTTACTGAGTGTTGGAATATGGGTTCCCTCCTTAATGTACCTGCTGTTCACAGTATGTCCTGGGTAGTCTGGGTAGTCTACTATATGGTGGATGCTTTTAAAACTTAAAGTGCTCCACTGAACCGTCCTGCCAGCCACCTTCAAATTAATGTTACCCTTTTTTGTGTCTTGCCTCCCTTCCTTGGGTTTTCACAACTTCTGGAGAATGTCAGTCTCCTCCTGCTGCTTCACAGAAGTTGTGTCAGGTGTGAGCCAGAGGATTGTGGGGCAGCAGCAGCCACATTCTGATTATAGAGAATTTGTTTTTAAGTTTAAAAAACTGCATTGTTTTCTTAATGAAAACAGATAGTGAGGTGTATTTATTCATTTTCTGCCATGTACGTATTTTTTTTTTTTTTTAAGCTAATGGTGACCACTGTGTAATTTAGCCCATGGATTAGTGTGATCTCAGGAAGTGAATTCATTGGTTGGAATGTTGTATTCTAGTAGGGATTACCTTTATATCCTGCATTGGGATGAACTTTCAGGACATACAGATACTTTGCATTTGGTAAAGATAGAGTGTAAAAGCTATTAAACCCTGCTATTCTAGTATTATGGGATGAAACTCATGGTATTTACTGGTTCAACCTCTTCCCCATCATGATTCAATGTGCTCAAAGTAAAACAATGAAAATATTCAACTGAAACTTCCCAGGCAAGGAGTTTCTCCAATATTTCTGATTTTTGTTTTGTTCTGTTTTTAAACTAGATGAATTTGTGATCCCTCTGGATCCCCGATGGAATATGCAGGCTCTGGACATGATTAGAAATTTGATGGACTTTGACCCACAAACGGACCAGCCTGACCAGCTCTTTGCCCTTTTAGAATCAGCTGCAAACAAGTAAGTGAAACCTGCTGCTCTGGGCACTGTTTGCCTCACTGGCTTCTCGGATTATACCTTTCCTAAGAATCTGTCAAATAGCTTATGTGTGTTGAATTTTGTGAACCTGAGAAGTTGTGGGGTGTTGGACATGATTGCCTTTATCATACGATAATCATATTTTCTACTGTTTTCTGTTTTTTGTTTTGCTTTTGAGACAGGGTCTAGCTCTGTCACTGAGGCTGGAGTGCAGTGGCATAATCTTGGATCACTGCAACCTCTGCCTCCTGGCCTTAAGCCATCCTCCCACCTCAGCCTCCCAAGTACCTGGGACTACAGGTACATACCACCACACCTGGCTAATTTTTGTACTTTTTTGTAGAGACAGGGTTTTGCCATGTTGCCCAGACTGGTCTTAAACTTCTAAGCTCAAGTGATCCACCTGCCTCATTCTCCCAAAGTGCCGGGGTTATAGGTGTGAGCCACTGTGCCCAGCCTGGTTTTTGTTTGATTCCCAGCAGCTCCTCCCATTTTCACCTACTTGTTTTTACTTGTCTCTTCCTCAGCAATCTCTCTGTCCACATCATTTCCTGTCCTCAAATGTTGGAGACATAATAGCACCTCCATACTTATGTACACACTCACATATGAATTTACTTAATTTTCAAAGTGAATCCACAAGTATAGTGTGTACCTCAGAGGGTGCCTTGCAAGCTACCAGCCCCCTACTCCTCTGCTCCACCAACTCCTCCATTTCTACCATGGCCACTTTGAAGAGTTCACGGTGCAGTTTGTCAGATCGTGACAGACCAAGGCCTGGGAGTCTGCCTAGACCCAGCTTTCTCCATCCATCGATCTTTCCTTTCACCTTAGTAGTTGTCACTTTCATCTCCATCTCTTTAGTCCAAGATTTGCAGAGGCAGGAGAGGAATGGCAGGATGAAGGACCCTGATGTTCCAAGTGTTCCAGCAAATAGAGGATATGATTGAAAATGTTATTAACCGATAGCTATTTGTTACGTTTTTTGAATCTCATTCCAGGACAATCATATATCTTGACCGGGAAAAACGGGTTTTTACTGAAGCAAATTTGGTTTCTGTTGGTAGCAAAAAGCTAAGAGAGAGTGTTTTGAGAATGTCCTTTGAATTCCATCAAGGTAAGAACATTTACCTTTTGTGTTCTCTAATTAAGCATCTGATTGCATAATGTTGCTAAAGTTGAGAGGCATATTCAGCAGCTGCTGTTGTTTACTGGTTTCTTTTAATCTGCTGGCCTGATTTTAAACATGTCCCCTTACTCAATAGTAATGACTAACATTTACTGAGCACTTACTTTGTGCCAGGTGCTTAGCTAAATGCTTTTTATGTGTCCTTGATCTCATTTACTTTTTGTAGCCACCTGTGATATAGGTCCCCATGTTGTTAGTGAGGAAACGGAGACACGGAGATGCTCAAGGTCACGTCTCTAGCAAGTAACAGAGCCACTTGAAAACTAGGTCTGTCAGCTGAAAAAGTACATATTCATAAGCATTTATTATAGGAGGGAGCATTTCTCCCATGTTTTTTTTTTGTTAATTGAAAAGATAGTTGTGCTTGTTGGAAAAAATTCAAACTATTAAAGTATAAAAATTGAAAAAGTTCATCTTTACATCAGCTACTGTTAGTAATAGTTTCATTTATGTTTTCTCATATCTATTGGTATTAACTATCTATCTAAACATATGTACTTAGTTTTCATTTTATACTTAAATACTTGTATAAAATATACATTTTTTTCTTTATAATCTGCATTTTTCCGTGAGACATTATTTACATCTGTAGGTATACATGCCTCATTTGCAGAGTTTAATAATACAGATTGAACATCCCTAATATGAAAATTTGAAATCTGAAATGCTCCAAAATCAGGAACTTTTTGAGCACTGACATGATGCCACAAATGGAAAATTTTATACCTGACCTCATATGATGAGCCATAGTCAAAATGCAGTCCAAACTTTGTTTCATGCACAAAATTATTAAAAACATTGTAAAATAGAAAATTTGGACTATGTGTTTCCCCAAGATACCTCATTATGTATATGCAAAGATTTCCAAAATCAAAAAAAAAAAATTGAAAATCTGAAAGACTTCTGATTCTAAGCATTGCAGATAAGAGACACTCAACCTGTAGTAGGCAAAGAATTTGCTTTTGCTTTTGCTCTCAAAATTGACCTTTGTACTGGGGATAACATTTAAATTCTAGATTACAGTTTATTTTGAAAATGTCCAGAGATTATTTTAAATCTGATGAAATGTTCTCATTTTATTTATGTTGACTCTCAGATCCAGAAAGCTATCACACTCTGCCCCATGAAATTGTGGTCAATCTTGCTGCTTTTTTTGAACTTTGTGATGCACTAGTCCTGCTCTGGGTACAGTCCTCCCAGGGAATGGTGTCTGATGCCAGTGCCAATGAGGTAAGGAACTGCATCTTGTTTTATTTTTAAACAACAAAATTTATCTTTCTTGGCATAAAGATTCTTAGGGCTAAGACTAACTTTAGTGTTGTTATATGCCCAATATTATTTAAGAAACTTATTCTTAACAGTTTTAAATATACCTATACACATATTTAAAATCTTCATTGGGGTATAATTTACATATTATAAACTGCATATATTTAAAGTGTATAAGTCTTGACATGTATACACCTGTGAAACCATTATCACAGTCAAGATAATGAACATATCCATCACCCCCAAAGGTTTCCTCATTCCCTTTTTGTATTTTCTTCTTTCCTGCTCCCACCCACAACGAGGTAGCCATTGATCTGCTCTCTTACTGTGGATCAGTTGTATTTTCTATACGTGGAATTATGCAGTATATATACTTTTTTGTTTATATTCTTTCACTCAGCATTGTGATTTGGAGATGCATCCATGTGGTTTCATGTATCAGTAGTTCATTCCTCTTTATTGCTGAGTAGTATTCCATTGTGTGGATCTACTACAGTTTTTTTATTCGCTCACCTGTTGTTAGATTGTAACAGTTATATTTTAATCCACTTAAGTCCTCTTAGACATTATTGTCACATGTGGATTAAATGGAATTTTTAATCCAGATTATTCTAGTAAGTCTAGTAAAGTAGAGCAGCCAGTCTTAAACTTTTTGATCTCTGCCTCTATACTCTTAAAGGTTCTCAAAAACTCCAACGATGTTATATCTGTCAGTTTTTACATATTAAGAACTGAATCTGAAAAACATAAAAAAAACCCATAAATTTGCTTAAAAATACAGTAGCAAAGAATTTCACGTTAATATGAATAACTTATTTTCAATAAAAAATAGCAATTTCTAAAGTAAAATTTGAGAAATGTGGAACTGTTGTACATTCCTGCAAGTCTCTGTATGTCTGGCTTGTGAAAAGATGGATTCTTGTAGTATGTTGTTTGGGATAAAGTTTATGAAGAAAAACTGGCCTCCTATAGTTAGGAGGTTGGAAAGGAGAGGAATATTTTAGTAACCATTTCATATAATTTCAAATATTCTTATTTGATGGCACACCAAAAATGACAAGTAGTTTTGTAAGGGTTATTTGCAATGGAAAATCTGAGCAAATAATCAGTGAACTTCTTGTGTTAAAATTCATTGGCCACGGCCAGGTGCGGTGGCTCACGCCTCTAACCCCAGGACTTTGGGAGGCTGAGGTGGGCGGATCACGAGGTCAGGAGATCAAGGCCATCCTGGCTAACACGGTGAAACCCCATCTCTACTAAAAATACAAAAAATTAGCCAGGCATGGTGGCGGGCGCCTGTAGTCCCAGCTACTCGAGAGGCAGGAGAATCGCTTGAACCCAGGAGGCAGAAGTTGCAGTGAGTCGAGATCGTGCCATTGCACTCCAGCCTGGGGGACAGAGCAACACTCCATCTAAAAAAAGAAAATTCATTGGCCTAGTTTGCACCTTGGATAGACTTTGACCCTGCATTAGTTTATAGCTCGTGCACTGGTAACTTGGAAAATACTGTTCACTGAGTTGGCACATTTCATTCTTCAATATAAATAAGTAAAAAGTCACACTTGTGAAAAATCACAAATCTCTTCAGAAAAATCGTTACCAGGAAGTCATCAAACTCTGTTTTCCAGAATTTTTTTTGAGACAGAGTCTCGCTCTGTCGCCCATGCTGGAATGCAATGGCGTGATCTCAGCTCATTGCCAACCTCCGCCTCCTAGGTTGAAGCAATTCTCCTGCCTCAGCCTCCTGAGTAGCCAGGACTACAGGCACGTGCCACCACACCCAGGTAATTTTTGTATTTTTAGTGGAGACGGGGTTTCACCATGTTGGTCAGGCTGGTCTTGAACTCCTGACCTCAGGTGATCCACCTGCGTCAACCTCCGTAAATGCTGGGATTACAGGCATGAGCCACTGTTCCTGGCCAGTTTTTCAGAATTCTAAGTTTTGCTTAAAAGCTGAAATTTTATCATGGCAACATATATCCTCAATTTTTTTTTTTTTTTTTTTTGAGACGGAGTTTCTCTCTTGTTGCCCAGACTGGAGTGCAGTGGTGCCATCTTTGCTCACTGCAACCTCTGCCTGCTGGTTTCAAGTGATTCTCCTGCTTCAGCCTCCCAAGTAGCTGGGATTACAGGCGCGTGCCACCACGCTCAGCTAATTTTTTGTATTTTTAGTGGAGATAGGGTTTCACCATGTTGGCCAGGCTGTTCTGGAACTCCTTACCTCAGATGATCTGCCTGCCTCAGCCTCCCATAATGCTGGATTACAGGTATGAACCACCGCACCTGGCCTCTCAATTGTTTTTCTTGAAGTGACAGGTTCACATTGATTTTCAATACAGTGTCTGTCAGATAGTCATAATTTGCCTGCCAGTCCTTCTTTTTTTGTACTATTAGTGTAAATGTCATCATAGTGAAAATGGCAAATAACATGATATTATGAAAATAGCTTTGACTTCATGGAACCACTATAGGAAATCACTAATCTAGAAACAATGTTACTGTGAAAATGCATTATTCAAAGAGCCATGTTGGAGACTCATATTACCTGATTTGCATTGCAACCCTGTATTAAACAAAACCGTATGGTATTGTCTTAAGAATAGACATTTAAACCAATAAAACAGAGGATTCACAGATAGACCCCCCCCCCTTCCCCATACATGGTCAGTTATTTTTGTTTTGTTTTTTGTTAAATATGCAAAGGTAATTTAATGGCAAAAAATGGTCTATTCAGTAAATGGTGATGGAAGAATTAGATGTTTATATAAAGTAAAATGAGCCTAGCCAGGCACAGTGGCTCATGCCTATAATCCTAAGTACTTTGGGAGGCCGAGGTGGGTGGATCACCTGAGGTTAGGAGTTCGAGACCAGGCTGGCTAACATGGTGAAACCCCATCTCTACTAAAAATACAAAACAATTAGCTGGGTGTGGTGGCAGGCGCCTGTAATCCCAGCTACTCAGGAGGCTGAGGCAGGAGATCACTTGAACCTGGGAAGCGGAGGTTGCAGTGAGCTGAGATTGCGCCATTGCACTCTAGCCTTGGCGATGGAGCAAGACGCTGTCTCAAAAAAAAAAAAAAAGGGCCTTTACCCCTACCTCACATTATATGTAGTTACCTCAACATGGATGAAACCTTTAAAAATAGAACTGACACTATGAGCTGGCTAAAAGAAAACGTAGGAGAAGATCTTTACAATCTAAATATAGGCAAAGATTTTTTAGGATTCTTTCTAAATGAAAAAAAATTGATAAATTGATTTCATCAAAATTTAAAACTTCTATTCTTCATAGATACCTTTATGAACATACTGTGAGAGAATGAATATACTGGGAAAAACTGCTAACAAAACACATAAATTCCATAAACTAGCTATAATACAACCTAGTTTTTAAAATGAGCAAGACATCTGAATAGAATATCTTCTTGGAAGTTCTATGAATGCCCAGTAAGAACTTTAAAAATTGCAGTGTCATCAGTTATCAAAGAAATGTAACTTGAAACCGCAGTGCGGTACCATCCACCAGAATAGAATTAAAATTAAAACTAAAGTTAAAATCATTAACAGCAAGTATTGGCAAAGAAATGAAACAACTGAAACTCTTCTACACTTCTGGTCGGAGTACAAAATGGTACAGCTGCTTTGGAATACAGTTAGTAGTTTCTCATAAAATCTATACTTTGACCCAGCAATTCCATTTTCTCTAATAACTTCATGCTTCAAATACTAAGAGAAAAGATCTTCACCTCCTCTGTCTGCCTTACTGTTCCTACATATATTCCAGTCCAGTCTTAGACTTTTGGTGTATGTAAATTGAGCATTGATTAGCAATTATAGCCTATGTTGTGTGTCTTTTCCCGGGAGATGTTGGTGAGCAGTCTTGGTTCACTTTGTTTTTATTTTTCTTCTTGCTTTAGTCTTTCTTCATGCCATCTTATCTAAGAGACTTTGTTTTTAGATCTTAGGTTCTCTGCGGTGGCGGGACCGGTTCTGGACTGTGGCCGACACAGTAAAAGTAGATGCCCCAGGTCTGGCCCTTCTTGCCCTCCATTGGCACTGGGTTTTAAAACATCTGGTCCACCAGATCCCCCGACTTCTGATGAATTATGAAGACAAGTAAGATTCATATTTAGAGTAATAATGTCAATGATTACAGATAGATGTTAAGGATAAGATTTGGAACCGAAACTGTTTCTTCTTGCTTTATTTTGGTTTATTCCCTTGGCATATTGGTGAATGTACAATTAAAAGAAAGAAAGAAAGAAAATATTAATGGCTTCTCTTACTGTCTAGCATTTCCCCCTTTCCTTATTTCCCCTGTGCCCTTGTTCTCCTTTAAAGATATTACAAAGAAGTTCAGACTGTCTCAGAACATATTCAGAATTGTCTGGGGAGCCAGACTGGTGGCTTCGCTGGTATAAAGAAGTTGCAGAAGTTCCTGGGACGACCGTTTCCTTTTAAGGTACACCTGGAAGCATTTAGTAAATAAAAGAAATGTGACTACTACTTCTGAAGTCCTTTTGGAACTTGGGAACTGACATTGTATAAGATTAATCCTTGTCTTGAAAGCATAACTCTTGCAGTTTTCCTTTGGCATCTGGGGGTGATTGGTTCCAGGATTCTCCTTGGATACAAACCTCCAGGAAAGTCCAAGACTTTTATATAAAATGGCGTTGTGTGTGTATATAACCTATGTACCCTTTATATCATCTCTAAATTACTTACAGTACCTCATACAATATAAACGCTGTGTAAATAGTGATTATACTGTATTGCTTAGGTAATAATGACAAGATAAAAAAGTCCTTATGCGTTCAGCACAGACGCAACCATCCATTTTTCCCCCTGAATATTTTCGACCCACGGTTGGTTGAATTGATGCGGAACCCGCACATAACAAGAGGGCAGGCTCTATCCCATGAATCCTGTTTAGTAATTTGCTACATATTATCATCTTACTTATTCCTGAGACTGTTAAGGCTGGGTAGAGAGTTAACTTTATTACCACTGTAAAATCTCTTGACAGCAACAGAAATAAACAAGTCCTTTGTTTTCTGGAAACATTAAGAATATATCATAAATTTATTCTGAGACCTGTATAGGCTACTAAAGAAAACCACATTTGTGCTCTATAGTATGCTCTTGTGGGTGTTGTTGTTTCAGGACAAGCTGGTGGTGGAGTGTTTTTCACAACTGAAGGTCCTTAACAAAGTCCTTGCCATCAGGGAGCAGATGTCTGCCCTTGGGGAGAGTGGATGGCAGGAAGACATTAACCGTCTCCAAGTGGTTGCTTCTCAGTGGACATTAAAGAAAAGTCTCCTGCAAGCCTGGGGACTGATCCTCAGAGCAAATATTTTGGAAGATGTCAGCCTAGGTAAAATATTCTAGCACTTGGCTAGCTGACAGATGCTCTGAAAATATCCTCTTGCTGGTAGTTAATAAGTTTTCCCTTAGATTTTTCTTTTCTGGGTGATGTGAGGGGTAGAGTTTATATACCTTTATATAAGTGTCAGGCATAGGACTAAATTTCACATATATTTTTAATTCCATCAGAATCATGTGGGTATTAATATCATTTCACAGATGAGAATCTCAAAGCTTAGGTTAAGGAGCTTAACTCTGATTAGCTCAAGTTAAGCTTGCAGTCACATAGCAGGTTGTTGAGAATCTAGAGGCTATACTCTTAACCATTGTGCTCTCATACAACATTTGTCTTTTTGTCCAGATGAATTGAAGAATTTTGTGCATGCTCAGTGTTTAGAACTGAAAGCCAAAGGACTCTCACTTGGTTTTCTGGAGAAAAAGCATGATGAAGCTTCCTCCCTGTCCCATCCAGACTTGACCTCCGTAATCCACCTCACCAGGAGTGTTCAGTTGTGGCCTGCAATGGAGTACCTGGCTATGCTTTGGCGGTACAAAGTGACAGCTGATTTTATGGCACAAGCTTGTCTCAGAAGGTAAACCATGCTTTCAGTTGTTTTCCTTGCGGGAACTTTTTTTCTTGATTATTCTGTGTATCCTATACCCATAAACAAACCACAGACTTGATAGGGATGGTTACCGAAGCAGAGGGAAGTGATTTGCCACTTTGGAAAGCCAAAATTTATTGAAGGTTTTTTTTTTACTAGTTTTGACTCTACTTTAAAAGTCACCGAGAATTTTATCAGTAGAGTTGTTCATTTTTAGATAAATGTACTGTAAGTTTTATGTTACACCTTCCCTAATGTAGCAGCTTTCCAGTAGTTCATTGATAGTCCATACCCCACCCTCTCCCTCTTTATTTTTGGAACAGATGCAGCAAAAATCAACAACCCCAGATAAATGAGGAGATAAGTCACCTCATCTCATTTTGTCTTTATCACACACCTGTTACACCTCAAGAGCTTCGAGATCTGTGGTCCTTGCTGCATCATCAGAAGGTAAAAATCACAATAAGACATAAGCCTCCTTTACATTATGAGTTGGTTAGATTTTCTTTGACAGACTGGTTGGGAAACATTTTATTTATTCTCAAAATTCCATATTGGAAACCTCAGGTTTTTTTGAATTGCCTCTTAAAGGGAAGAATTTTAAATATTCTTTTATAGTAATTATGAGGGTATATTACAACTCTTATCACAGGAGTATTCATTTGGTTTCCAATTAAATGAGATGAAAATATTTGCTGCTTAAAATCTCCCAATTGCTCAAAAATATATTGTGAGAGTGTTTTTTATACTTTTTTGTACTTTTCCTCTCTAATAAATTGAATATGAATACTGGTACACTCCTGTTAATAGAATTTCATTAGTACAGCTTTAAATAAAACTGTAAACATGTCACATTCCTTGACCAAGTTGACTGGGGTGGCAGAGAAACGGAAAAATTTGGATTAATACCTTTAAACTTATGACAGTTTTAGATGGGCCTTAGAAGAAAGAAGACCTAATAATTTATGGAGTCTTTCTCAGGTATTCTCTTACCTAATTATTCCTTTATTTCTAGGTGTCTCCTGAAGAAATTACATCTTTGTGGTCCGAGTTATTTAATTCCATGTTTATGTCTTTCTGGAGCAGTACTGTGACCACAAATCCAGAGTACTGGCTAATGTGGAACCCTTTGCCTGGTATGCAGCAGAGGGAGGCACCCAAGTCTGTTTTGGACTCCACATTGAAGGTTTGTTGGTCTAAAATTATAAAAAATGTTTGATAGTGGCAAAAGAGTTTCTGAATGGATCTATCAATAAACATTTATTCCTAGCATAGAGTGGTGACTAAACAGGTGATTGCAACACTTTACTTTCTGCAGAATGTTAAATAAGTGTACTGTCAGTAAAAGTATACCATGTTAAATAATTTGTGAAATTTTGAGATAAGTCAAAAAAGGTTTTATTGAAAAAGTCTATTTTTTCTAATTAAAACATTTTTCCCACTATAAAACATTTAAACAGTGCAGATATATGTATATATAATACAGAATTCATTAGAAATATCCACTCTGTTCTATATCCTTCTGTTTACATATATTTTTATATTAAATACATACGTAAACAAGAATTAAGTACACATATATGTAACAGAAATGTGTATGTCATTCCAGCTTATTTTTAAAAGTTATTCCATTGTATCAATGTGCTTGAATTTATTTTAATCACTTTCTTACCGATAAAGTGTTGAAGTTTCTTGCATTTTCTCCCTCTTCCTATAATAAGCATGCCACATTGACTATCCTAGTATACATCTTTGTCCACTTGTTGGAGCATTTCTATGCATAAGTTGTTAGAATTAGAATTGAATCCTTGGTCAGAGTGTCTACACATTAAAAACAAAATTATGGTTATTGCCAGACTGGAAATGTGGTTTTTGCTTTTCACTTTTTTAAAGATGTGAAGAGCCAGTGAAGAGGGAAGTCCTGAAGTCTTAGATGACCACAGTGAGGTTTAGTTTCCTTTAACATGGAGATGAGGACCTGTTCATCTGCTTGCTACACTAGCTGTTATAAACATTTTCAATTGTTTCTGTCATATAGTTAAAAAGAACTCATTTGCACTTCTTTGATAAGTGTGAAGATTGAACATATTTTCACGTTTACTGATCCCCTTTAGTTCTTCTCTGAATTTTCGAGTCATAGTTGTGCTTTTTTTTAAAAAAAATTGTGTTGGTCAGGCGCTGTAGCTCACGCCTGTAATCCTAGCACTTTGGGAGGCTGAGGTGGGTGGATCATTTGAGGTCAGGAGTTCAAGACCAGCCTGGCCAACATGGTGAAACCCTGTCTCTACCAAAAATACAAAAATTAGCTGGGCAGTAGTGGTGTGCGCCTGAATCCCAGCTACTTGGGAGGCTGAGTCAGGAGAATCGCTTGGGCCTGGGAGGCAGAGGTTGCAGTGAGCCAAGATCGTGCCATTGCACTCCAGTCTGGGTTACACAGTGAGACCCTGTCTCAAAAAAAAAAAAAAATAGGGTTGTTCAGCGTCAGTTTATTATTGAAGATCTTTTTATGTATTATGGATATTAAGCCTTTGCCCAATATGAGTTGGAAGTATATTTCTAGTTTTCTGTCATCTCTCAAGTTTGTTTTCTTATATGTCACAAGTTTTATAATTTTTTTCCCTCCAAATATGCCAGTCCCTTCTACTTATTGACTTTAGTGTCATGCTTTTAAAAAATTTCTTCCTCCATCACTTCGAGTTCAAAACTATTTTCCATTATTTTCTCCTATATTTTTATTTTATGTTCAAATCTATTTCATCAGTATATGTTGTTTTATGATATAGGGATGCAAATTTTTTCTTTTATACAAACAGATCCAAAAGCGATGTAATAACATCATTTTGACTAATTCCTCCTTTCCACTCTCATGTGAAATGCCTTATTGCCCCAAATGTTTTTGGATTTACCTGAACTCTATTCCATTCTTTTGCACTATCAAAATGGATTTATTGTAAAACACCCCTCAAAGCCTTTAGTGATAAACTTTGGATCCCTGAGGGTTGTATGGCATTATACAGAGTTGACTATCACACACATTTGGCTGTCACCCTTTGACAACCCTTTGCTGTGGACAGCTATTACTGTGTCCCATCTAACAGTCTAAGGAGCACAGACATGGCATATTTTGTCCCTGGCTCTTACATCTGTCTCTCACTCCTTTCCTTGCACCCTGAGTTGGCTCTTATCCTCCTGCAGTGTGTTTCTTTCCCTTCTGCAAGAATGTGCTCTCTGATTCCCAGGTTTGCGGGCTTTCCTCATGCATTACTAAAGCATCCATTGCTCATTTCCTAGAGCATGGAGTCCACTTTCATTTAAGGTATACTAACCTGTTCTGTCCTTCTAGGCCAGTCTCTGAGTGATGCTTACCTGTTCCAAGCAACCTGAACTGTCTGTTTCTTTCCTCTCAGGTTCCCTAATGCTGCTTCTGGAAATTGTCTTAATTTCTAAAAGTTATTGACTCTTCTCTTGTCCTTTAGGGCCCCGGCAATCTCAATAGACCCATATTCTCTAAGTGCTGCTTTGAAGTCTTAACCAGCAGCTGGAGAGCAAGTCCCTGGGATGTGAGTGGCCTCCCCATTCTTTCCTCCTCTCACGTGACCCTAGGAGAGTGGGTTGAGAGAACTCAGCAGCTCCAGGACATCAGTTCGATGCTTTGGACTAACATGGCTATCTCTTCAGTAGCAGAATTCAGGTATTCCCTCGCCCTGGAAGCAGACTGTAAAGTTCCTGTCTTTTCTCCACAGCATGGAGCAGAGACCCAGTGAGAACTTCCTTCTGTAGTGGCTAGTTCTGGTGTTTGAAGTGAGGGTATTTTCTGCCTGAATCAGCATGTTTTCAGGCTACCGTGAGCTGGCTGGTTCCCATGTCAGTTTTAAGCATATTGTGATCAAGAGGGTGAACTTAGTAAACCAAATAAGACCATGTGAGAACAGAAATTCACCTCTACATATTGATGCTGCATTCTGTGGTTATCATTTCTTGAGAGAATTATACTGTATGAAAAGGAATGCTTTTTGATACAGTACAAACCTTTCAGTGCTTTCTTTTTGTCCCCACAGACGCACGGATTCCCAACTCCAGGGGCAGGTGCTGTTCCGGCACCTGGCAGGCCTAGCAGAGCTGCTCCCAGAGTCCCGGCGGCAGGAGTACATGCAGAACTGTGAGCAGCTGCTGCTTGGGAGCAGCCAGGCCTTCCAGCATGTGGGCCAGACACTTGGGGACATGGCTGGTCAGGAGGTGCTGCCCAAGGAACTGCTCTGCCAGTTGCTCACCTCCCTGCACCACTTTGTTGGTGAAGGGGAGAGTAAGAGGAGCCTGCCTGAGCCAGCCCAGCGTGGGAGCCTCTGGGTGAGCCTCGGCTTGCTCCAGATTCAGACATGGCTTCCCCAGGCACGCTTTGACCCTGCGGTGAAGAGGGAGTACAAGCTCAATTACGTCAAGGAAGAGGTATGGGAGGCAAGAGTATGGAGCATGGGCTCCTTCCCTGACGTGCTGGGTTTGCTTATTGTATTACTCCTTTTATTCCCTTTTGGGTGCTCAGATCATCACAAGCATGATATTGCATAAGTTGCCTTATGACTTCCCAGGAGTCTGTTTTAGAGACTGTATTTTCCCCTTTGAGAGTTGTCCTGACTATACTCATGCTCTGGGAGGAGCCCTTCCTAAGGTTCTGAGATCTCTGCCAATAGGTGCAATGGGCAGAGGGCAGGTAGAAAACCTGAGCCATTGTCAGAAATAGTGGTACCTCTCACTGTCTCTGGACTCTCTCTACCTGAGCTTAGTTTTGGATATTTGGGTTTTTGTTTGTTTGTTTGTTTTTGAGATGGAGCCTTGCTTTCTCGTCCAGGCAGGAGTGCAGTGGCACAATCTCGGCTCACTGCAACCTCTGCCTCCTGGGTTCAAGCAATTCTCTGCCTCAGCCTCCCGAGTAGCTGGGATTACAGGAACCCGCTACCACGCCTGGCTAATTTTTGTATTTTTAGTAGAGACAGGGTTTCACCATCTTGGCCAGGCTGGTCTTGAATTCTGACCTCAAGTGATCCACCCGCCTTGGCCTCCCAAAGTGCTGGGATTATAGGCATGAACTACCATGGCCAGCCTGGATTTGGATATTTCTTTAGATAGAATATAGTATCCCTATATCCTAGGAATTTTTAACTTATTGGTGCTTGCTATCTAAAACTCAAGAATCAAGTAGAGGCTGGGTGTGGTGGCCTCACCCTGTAATCTCAGCACTTTGAGGGGCTGAAGTGGGAGGAGCAGTTGAGCCCAGGAGTTTGAGACTAACCTGGGCCACCACATAGTAAGATTCCTGTCTCTACAAAAAAAGGAAAAAAAAAAAAAGCTGGGTGTGGTGGCATGTGCTTGTAATACCAGCTACTCACGAGGCTGAAGCAGGAGGATCACTTGAGCCTGCGGGGTCAAGCCTGCGGTGAGCCATGACTGCACCACTGCACTCCAGCCAGGCTACAGAGCCGAGACCTTGTCTTAAAAAAGAGTCAAGTTGATTTGGGTAATGTGGTATCCCTTGCTATTTGAAGTTTTGAACCAAGTTCAGGAACTAAATACATTAAGATGATGGTATGTTAGTACATATTTTGAAGAAGGAAAATTATATTAGTTGGAGTGAAGGCTAAGCTCCTATAGCAGAGAGACTAAAAAATTCAGTGGTGTAAATAAGATCGTTTCTTTCCCCTCACAGCTCTGATGTGAGTGGTGTAGATTAATGGAGCAGAGCCACCTCTCCTTGGGTCATTCAGGAACCCAGATTCCTTCCATCTTGTTCCTCTACGTGTCCCCAGGACATTGTCCTCATGTGCATGGTCATAGCTGGGACACAGTGGACTAACTTCTCTCTTTTCCATTAGTTACACCAACTGCAGTGTGAATGGAAGACCCGGAACCTGTCATCCCAGCTGCAGACTGGAAGAGACCTGGAAGATGAAGTCGTTGTCAGCTACTCTCATCCTCACGTCAGGTAACACAGCAGAGTGATTATTTGTTTTGGGGATTATTGACTCTCCTTTTGATGTAATGTAGTTATGGTGTGAGTAGAAGTGATAATATACACCTCTAAACTACATTAGCAATTAGATGCCAAAGCATTGTTTATAGTCAGGAAAAATAATATGCCTTGTGAAAGGAGGAGAGGGGGGCTATTCAAGGTGTGTGTTCACATGGGGCCAAGATGTTTGAAGCCAAAACTTAGTCTCAGCATAGAAGAAGTGGGGTGTGATAGTATGCACTATATTTCTCTGCTATTCTTGGCTGTAGGTGTGTTACTAGGAAATATGGTACGGGTTGGGGATCCCTTATCCAAAATTCCTGGGACCAGAAGTGTTTTGGATTTGGGGTTCGTTTTTTTTCTTCAGATTTTGGAATATTTATACCAGTTGAGCATCCCGGATCTGAAAATCTGGAATCCAGAATACTTTAATGAGCATTTTCTTTAAGTGTCATATTGTCTGGCAGTCAAAAAGTTGGGAGCATTTTGGATATTTGGATTTGGGATGCTCAGCCTGTATAGTGTAGTAGGTTCTGAGTTCCAGTCCTACTCCTGACCTTTGGTTTTAGACATTGGGTAGATCACTTAATGGCTTACATCTCAGTGTCCATATCAGCATAAGAAGGGTAATTGTAGTTATCTACTCCAGTGAGTCATGATGAGGCTTCAGTAAGATATGCATCTGAGCACCAGCAACATACATGACACAGTAACTGCTGTGTAAATGTTATCCATTTTCATTAACTAATTGTCAGTATTATCACAACTGAGATGATATTGGAAATATTATTTCGCAGCAGCTGATGTTTCTTCCTTCGGTTTTCCTAGCTGAGGATCCAATCTAGATTTGCTGCTCTTCTTCTGACATAATTGGCATATTGTGTTAATTTCCCGTTAGGCTGCTTCGCCAAAGGATGGATCGGCTGGATAATTTAACCTGTCACCTGTTGAAGAAACAGGCCTTTAGACCCCAGCTGCCTGCCTACGAGTCCCTGGTTCAGGAGATCCACCACTACGTCACCAGCATCGCCAAGGCCCCTGCTGTTCAGGATCTGCTCACACGGCTTCTGCAGGCCCTCCACATAGATGGGCCACGGTCTGCCCAAGTAGCCCAGAGCCTTCTAAAGGAGGAGGCCTCTTGGCAGCAGTCACACCACCAGTTCCGGAAGCGGCTGTCAGAGGAGTACACCTTCTATCCAGATGCCGTGAGCCCACTGCAGGCATCCATATTGCAGTTACAACATGGCATGAGGCTGGTGGCCTCTGAGCTCCACACCTCACTCCACAGCAGTATGGTTGGTGCAGACAGGCTGGGGACCCTGGCCACAGCCTTGCTGGCTTTCCCATCGGTGGGCCCCACCTTCCCGACTTACTATGCTCATGCAGACACTTTGTGCTCGGTGAAGTCTGAGGAGGTTCTACGAGGCCTTGGGAAGCTAATCCTCAAGCGCTCAGGAGGAAAGGAGCTGGAAGGCAAGGGCCAGAAAGCCTGTCCCACTCGGGAGCAGCTGCTGATGAATGCTCTCCTTTACCTGCGCTCCCACGTGTTATGCAAGGGAGAGTTGGACCAGAGGGCCCTGCAGCTCTTCAGACATGTGTGTCAGGTGAGCCATCTCTGGGAGGCCTGCCCTGCCCTTCCTCCTGCAGAGAGCCAGGTTCACAGCAGGGCGGCCTGCAGGACATTAGCATGCCTAGTAGATACACAGTGTCGTTGGGGCGTGGGCATTTTGTTTTCTGTTCCTTCTTTTTCCCTATTTAACTATCATGTTTGGGGACCTTTGCCTCTCAATTTTTAAGAGATTAAAAAAAAATGAGAGCGGCCTTTATTATACACTACATGTGTTTTCTCCCAGTTTGTCAGTTGTCTTTTGCCTTTTTGGTAATTTTGCCAGGTACTTATGTCAACTTGCATTAAGATGTTCCCTTATTAATAAAAGTAATTTGCTCTCATTGTATGCAATTAAGAGAATACTAAAATTTCTAATGATCCTACCACTTAAAGCTGTATAAACGCTGCTAACATACCAGGTATCCCATTCCAGGCTTGCTTGTATGTGTATATATATTAATATTTATCTGTAGCTGTATGTCTGTGACACTCTAAATTATTAAAAATTTGTCCCAGTGGCTTACAAATTTTTTTTTGTAGTAGCAGCAGCTTTTAAAAAATACAAATCTTAGCATAGTTAACAGAAAAAAAGAGTTGCTCCGGTTAAGGTAGATTCTAATCCCCACCAGGGCCCCTGAGACATGTCCTTAAATTGCTACAAAATGTACAACAAACCACTAGTAAAGTTTATTCTATTTGATAACTCTGTTTGCTTTTAAAAACTTCATGTATAGTGATTATTTTCCTGTTATTCTGTATTCTTCACCTGCTTCATATTTAGTGACTGCCAAGTATTCTATTGTATGTTTATGACACAAGTAATTTAACTATTTTCTTATCATTGAACATTTACATTTGTATATACTTTTACTGTTTTGCCAAAAAAACAAAAAAAAACAAAAACCAACCCAATGCCACAGTAAATAGTCTCACAGCTATATATTTGGATACAAATTTTAGAGATCAGGATTGCTGGGACAAAGATTAAACACACTTCTTAGGCTTTACATGCAAATTACCTTCCTAGATGGTGGGTGCTTATTTCCTCAACCTCAGCAGTACCGGATGGTTCTTTAAGTTAGAATTTTTGCCAGTTTAAAGATCTAAAATCTTAGAAGTGGTAGGGAATTTCAGAAGTGTCTGGTAAGACACATTCCAGTTTTGCCTGATTGGTGCCCTTTGACCACCCAGTCCCTAGTCTAAGTGTTTCTTTTCTGAACCCCTTGGCCAGCTCCTTGGGGTGCCACCCAGGTGTTGTCTGAACCACAACCCTCTCATGGCCAACCCTGAGTCTGTCCTTGTTACAAAGCACCTTTACCTCTTGACAGGAAGTTCCCATTAGCTGTACTGTGGCAAGTTTTACACCTTCAAAATTACAATGACACAGCAGGGGGGATTTAGGAAACTGGTTGCTGAGGCTACACACTTGGAAAACAAAACCCATTTGCTCTTTATTCCATGGAATTTAGTTTCTTGGATGTTGGCTTTTATTTGTTTTTGAGTCATGATACTTTCATTTTCATGAGAAATTAATAGCAAATCTTGCCTTTGTGAATGCCTCAGCAAAGAAAGCTCAGCTTCTTTCTGTCTGTGTGACTTTCAGGAAATCATCAGTGAGTGGGATGAGCAGGAACGCATAGCCCAAGAGAAGGCTGAGCAGGAAAGCGGCCTGTATAGATACAGGAGCAGGAACTCTAGGACAGCCCTGAGTGAAGAGGAGGAGGAAGAACGGGAGTTCAGAAAACAGTTCCCCCTGCATGAAAAGGTAGAGCAGTGATGGCAGGGTGTGTTTTGGAATGAATTCCCTTGATGCCATATACATTCCCTCTGATGGCTTTCTCTCTTCCTCTTTATCTCTCTCTCTGTATGTATGTATTTTAGAGACTGGGTCTTGCTCTATCACCCAGGCTGGAGTGCAGTGGCGCAATCATAGCTCACTGCAGCCTCAAACTCCTGGGCTCAAACAATCCTCCCAAGTAGCTGTGACTGCATGTGCATGCTACCACACCCTGCCGTTTTTATATTTTTTACAGAGACAGGGTCTCACTATGTCACCCAGGCTGTCTCAAACTCCTGACCTCAAGTGATCCTCCCTCCTCGGCCTCCCAAAGCACAGGGATTACAGGTGTGAGCCACTGTGCCCAGCCTGTAGTCTTTTAAAATATATTTTAATACATATATTAGTCCTATTTCATTTTTTCAGTCATTCTTATGCTTTTTTCTTTCTTCCTTTTAGTCTGATTAGAAGTAGATTCTGATTTTTAAAAGTTCAATTGCTCTAATGCTATTTATAGGACTTTGCAGATATTTTGGTGCAGCCAACGTTGGAGGAGAACAAAGGAACTTCAGATGGGCAAGAAGAGGAAGCAGGCACAAACCCAGCTCTCCTCTCCCAGAATTCAATGCAGGCAGTAATGCTGATACACCAGCAATTGTGTCTCAACTTTGCTCGATCCCTCTGGTATCAACAGACTCTGCCGCCACATGAAGCAAAGCATTACCTCAGCCTGTTTCTGTCTTGCTATCAGACTGGGGCATCGCTTGTGACACACTTCTACCCCCTGATGGGTATGGTAGTTTACTTTTGTTATGCCCCTGGGAAATGAAAGCAAATGCAAATAGATGCTGTTGCTACTCTGTAACAATCACACTCATGAATTTCCTGTTTTCGCATAATTCCTTATTGGAGTTTCCTTGGCTTAAAGAACTGAAGCTGATTCAAGAAAATTGATTTAGGATTCTGTAATAAGATGGATTTTCATCAGTGTACAAATGGGCCAAGAAAAAGATGGATTTTTATTGTTTGGATCCTTTGGGGTGAGGGATTAAGAAAATAAGGACAAGGACTTAATTTAAATGTGTACGTGTATGTGTTTTTTTTTCCTTAGCATTATTTCTGCTGTCAAATAGCCTTAGTGCTTTTGAAATGAAATAACACATACCTGGGAGCAACCAATCTTGTAGAATATGGTTTAATAGTTGGTTCATTGCAGTTTCCTACATGATTTCTTGGCATTATTTCATAGAAGTAGGAAGGAGGCTTTAAGTTTCCTTTCTGTTTACCTAGAATAGGTATAAAAACTGGGAATTTGGATGCACTGAGTTAACCCCTACACCATTTGTTTATACCTAGGCAGTTTCTGACTTCCTCTGCACATTCCAGAAACTTGAGAGCTTTAGGTAGCTACTATAGTATTAGGATTACAGTTCTCTAGGCCAATGTTGCTTTAGGGGAGAATAGCATTCATTAGTCCCAATTAGTTCATTGTTGCTGATGTTGCTGATGCTCTGTTTCTCAGGCTGGAGTGCAGTGGCACAATCTCAGCTCACTGCAATCTCTGCCTCCCAGGTTCAAGCAATTCTTGTGCCTCAGGCCCGCAAGAAGCTGGGATTACAGGCACATGCATGTCTGGCTAATGTTTGTATTTTTAGTAGAAAAGAGGTTTCACCATGTTGGCCAGGATGGTCTCAAACTCCTGGCCTCAAGCAATCTGCCTGCCTCGGCTCCCCAAAGTGCTGGGATTACAGACATGAGCCACTGCACCTGGCCCTGTTGCTGACATCTTTTTGACATGTTGATAGATCAACTTACTGAATTCACTGACTTTACCGTGATGTTAACTTCACAGGAGTTGAACTGAATGACCGACTCTTGGGCAGCCAACTTTTGGCCTGTACCCTCTCCCATAACACTCTTTTTGGGGAGGCACCCTCAGACCTGATGGTGAAACCTGATGGGCCCTATGACTTCTACCAGCATCCCAATGTTCCAGAAGCACGGCAGTGTCAACCTGTGCTTCAAGGTTTCTCAGAGGCTGTCAGTCACTTGCTACAGGACTGGCCAGAACACCCAGCGCTTGAACAGGTAGGGCAGCTGTTGAGGAAGGAGTGCTCACAGTACTGAGTCTGCAATGAGGATGCAGCCTCACCATTATCCCTGGGGGCACCCACTTGCACATATATACATATAAACAAAGGCTTAAAGAACTGCAGTTCAATGAGATGTTACTTACTAACTGCAGGATGAACACACCAGTTTTGTATTTCTCTTGTGTAAATGATTGGGGATTCTGTTAATTTTATTTGTTGGTCAGGAGTTGCTGACCACATAATAAAATGCTGCCATGTTGCTCTGTTTTTTTTTTCAGAGGTGTTTTAAAAGTAGAGAACTGGGGGGAATCTTCTGGTCAGGACTCTCTTCAGTACCCTGTGACTTAGGATCACTGGTATTCCTACTGAGATACCCAAATCTTTATTTCTGCAGCTCCTGGTTGTAATGGACAGAATTCGTAGTTTCCCACTTTCCAGTCCCATCTCAAAGTTCCTGAATGGCTTAGAGATCCTTCTGGCAAAGGCACAGGTGAGCTAATACCTCTCTTCCTCATTTTAGTTGGTGGTCAGTTGGCAAAAGATACGTCTTGTGGCACCTTTGTTGTTAGACAGAAAATTATAGTTTGGGCTAGAAAAAGGTAAACATCCTTGGTTTTTCTGGCATGGGGTGAGATCATTGCAAGTGAGGCTGTTGCCCCTGTGGTGAGGGCTAGCTGCCTTGCCTTTTATCCAGTGGGATGCAGTATCTACCGGTAATGAGGGTGCACTCCTCCCAGCCTTCCAGGTGGGCCTTCATTCCAACTGAGTGCCCACATACACGGTTCCCCTCAGTGCCCTCATGGCCTCTAAGTTAGCTGTTGCCTCCCCATTGGACAGAAAAGGGCCGCATGTCTTTGTTCTAGGTCAGATAGCAAAGAGCACGAATTCAGGCTCCAGTCTATAAACACTGTGCTTTTTTGCCAGCCTCTAAACTTGGCTCTGGTGGAGTTCTGTCATGTGAACAGAAAGAACTTGAAGCTGATACACTGTAAATTCATTCCTACAATTGGTGCAAGTTGTTTAAGGGCCCAGTAGTCTTCACTCAAGCAAAGTTCAAGATGTTCTTGAGGAAGGAGGTGATTATGGCATTGAATAATATCTGTAGTAAATTTTATCTTTGTTTCTTTAGGATTGGGAGGAAAATGCAAGTCGAGCTTTGTCTTTGCGGAAACATCTTGATTTGATCAGTCAGATGATCATTCGGTGGCGTAAACTGGAGCTGAAGTAAGTGACTCTCCTTCCCTCTCCTAAACTTAGGTTGTAAGGGCTTTTGTCTTTTGGTAGTTTAAATTTCTTTAGGATTTATATAGTATTACAGCTACAGAATGTGCTTTTCAGTTATTAATCACAGAGTTAAAAGTAGGGCATTAAAATGACCTGAATACAGTCCAGACAACAGCATATATTCTTGAGGGAGGAAACTGGGTGGCTCCTCCATCTCCATTTGGGAGGAGAGAAATGTGAGCATGTAGCTTCTGCATCTTTGGTTTCAGATATTTCAAATAGGTTTTCCTAAATGCCTCCTTGGCTTCTTCTCGTTTCAGCTGCTGGTCCATGAGTTTGGATAATACTATGAAGCGCCACACCGAGAAATCCACCAAGCACTGGTTCTCCATCTATCAGATGCTTGAGAAGCACATGCAGGAACAAACAGAAGAACAGGAAGGTAATGCCTAGCAGTACATTTCCTGCCCACTTAGAGCTTCCCGGCTAAATGGAGTGCTGCAAAGTGTAGGATTTTCCTGCTCCCGCTTCTCCCGCTACATGGCTTTCATGGGAATGCCTCCCATTTGACTTCATGATATTTCTGAGAGGTCAGCCAAGAAAACTGTAAATCGTGCTTATCTAACTGAGAGAATAATAACAAAAGTGTGAGAGGTTTAAATGTCTTCTCCAAAAGTCTAGAGAACCAGTCGTAGGATAAGGTTTCCGTCTTCTCTATGTCCATGATAGAAGTCAAACTGAAAGCTGACTTTTTGGTAGGTAGTAGCCAACATGCTTGAATGAACAGTCTTTTATTTTATACTTGTGACAAGCACCTTATAATTCATTTTCATAATTTGCTGTGAGTGCATTTAACACATGCTCTATGTGCAGCTGCTACTTTTATTTATTTATTTATATTTGTTTTTTATTTTTTTTTGAGACAGAGTCCTGCTCTGTTGCCCAGGCTGGAGTACAGTGGTACGATCTCAGCTCCCTGCAATCTCCGCCTCCCAGGCTCAAGTGACTCTCCTACTTCAGCCTTCTCAGTAGCTGGGATTACCGGTGCCCAACACCATGCCTGTCTAATTTTTGTATTTTTAGTAGACACGAGGTTTCACCATGTTGGCAAGGCTGGTTTTGAACTCCTGACCTCAAATGATCTGCCCGCCTTGGCCTCCCAGAGTGCTGGGATTACAGGCGTGAGCCACCACACCGGCCTGTTACTTTTAAATCAGCTTAGAATTTAGCCATGGTCCTTGCTTGAGAGCTTCACATTGTGATGTCTACCTCTTGGCCATCCGTAGTATCCCAAATAGATTGCGTGCATGTTAGGAATAGGGAGTCATGGTCGAAGGAACATATATATTTTTCTCTTTGAATTTTTAAAGATGACAAACAGATGACCTTGATGTTGCTGGTCAGCACATTACAAGCATTTATTGAAGGATCCTCGCTGGGAGAGTTCCATGTGCGACTTCAGATGTTACTGGTTTTCCATTGTCATGTCTTGCTGATGCCACAGGTTGAAGGAAAGGGTGAGGATTTTTTTTTCCTTTCCTTTGACATTGCACGACTAAAATGAGTTAGGCTTTGAATTCTCTGCATGAGACAGGTGCCTTGTTGCACGCTAGGTTTTAAACAAGACACATTTAGTTATGTTTAATGCGATTCACATTAGATATAGAGAAGAACATTCAAAGTGAGGTGCAGATGGTTATAAGTTTAGTACTGACTAGTGAGCTCTGGCAGAGGTAAATTGCCAGATGAAGATCTCAGGACCTACCATGTTGAGGCAGCACATCTCTCTGTCTAGACATTGTAAATGTCCTGCTAAGCTGCTCCTTGATCCAGGCCATTATTAGTTTCTTTCATCCAGTGAGAGCACTGCCAGCCATCAAGGAACTGCATCTAAAACTGCCCGCTGTCAAGTACTATCCCTGATCACAGCAACTGGGATAAAAGTCTCACTACAAGATGAGTATAGATTGTACATGAATGAGCATTTGAGGTGAACTGCTTAATATGCCATCTTTTAAAAAAAGCTCAGTTTCTGCTGATTTTACAATAAGTTTCACAGAAGGAATTTGACATTGTGATTTTAGAAGAACCTAGGAGTACATCATCTTCAAGAACAAAAGTGCAAAAAAACATCTGTTACAAGCAGAAGTGAAAAATAGGGGAGTGTTGACAGCCTGCATCTCTGGGAAATGCTAAACTCAGACAGGATCCCTAAATAATGCACCTGTGAAACTCACTGTAATCTCATGGCATAGAGAGTAATGAGGAAGGGTCATCACTGAAATATGAAGGCCACAGCTGGCACCAGTAGCACATGCAGCAAGTGTGGTATTTTTGTTTCCTTTTCATTTCTTCCAGATTCACTTTGCAGTGTTCTATGGAATTTGTACCATTATTACAAGCAATTCTTTGACCGGGTCCAGGCCAAAATTGTGGAACTTCGTTCCCCCCTAGAAAAAGAACTTAAAGTAAGATGAACAGCTGTCATGATCACTCTTGGGAGGACAAAATCAGCAAATTCTCTTTCGTTAACCCTGTTATCCATTTAACACTGAGGCAGGGACCTAGGGGAATAGAGGTGAGCATTGCCACCGCTAGGGAGGATGGCAATATGTACATCGGTGGCATTGGCTTCTTTTGTCACCTGCAGAGTGTGTGAGCGATTGGTGGAGTGGCCAGTCAGAGCCTCCTCAGAGGACTGCCACAGAAATCTGTTTGTGTTCCCCTGGTCTTGCCCAGGCCTGTCTCCCACCTCAGAGCTATGCCATGTTGTGTTGGTCCACACACTACTGAATTACCATGGGGGAAGGAGGGACCGCTCTTTTTGATATTCTCAGTGGTTGTGGAACCAACCATGGTACAAGGGACATGACTAACTTGGTGGTTCCTAAGCTGGAGTATATGTCAGGTGACTTAATGACTGTAGCAGCACTCTTTTTTTTTTTTTTTTTTTAAATCACTTTGAGACCAAAACATTTGTTGTTTTTGTTTTTGTTTTTTGAGACCCAGTCTCAACTCTGTTGCCTAGGCTGGAGTGCAGTGGCACGATCTCAGCTCACTGCAGCCTTTGCCTCCCGGGTTCAAGCAATTCTCCTGCCTCAGCCTCCCGAGTAGCTGGGACTACAGGTGCAAGCCACCAAGCCCGGCTATTTTTTCTATTTTTAGTAGAGACGGGGTTTCACCATGTTGGCCAGGATGGTCTCAATCTCCTTACCTTGTGATTCCGCCCACCTTGGCCTCCCAAAGTGCTGGGATTACAGGTGTGAGCCACCGCGCCTAGCCCATGGTTTCTTTTTTAGACTTGTTTTACTTGTTCACTGACACACAGTCCTGTGTTTGGGATAGAGTGAGCTCTGGTCTTTGCTGAACAGAAATCTAGAAAGAAACAGAATGACACTAGCTTTATAAAGCCATTTCTTGAACATCATTTATCTTACAGGAATTTGTTAAGATTTCCAAGTGGAATGATGTCAGCTTCTGGTCCATTAAGCAATCTGTAGAAAAGACACACAGGTAATCCATCTTTTAAAACTGGAGACAACCAAAATAGAATAGAATTTTGTGTGGTAGGGAGCAAAACGACATAGTTACCATAACCTAACTTAATATTAAGTGTGTTAAACTTCTCAAAAAATAACACCTTGATTGTTTTGATGTTGCTTTCAACACCACCCCCTTCTTCTCCAAGCAAAGTCTACCTGCAGTAAGGATTAGTGTGCCTTGAGACAAAGCAGGCTATGTCTCAAGTCTTCTGCCACCCACTAGCTGTATACTTTGAGCAAAGCAATCCCATTCTTTCTGGCTTTAGTTTCTCTTCTAGAAAAGGAGGATAACAGTACCTGCCATACTTTTTCTCTTAAAAATAAAACAACTATTAATATTTAAGGAGAGCATTGTATATAAAAGGTACAGGGTATTAGATTATGTATGGATGCATGATAATGTATTTTTTATATGTCTTCACTTGCTAATCCAGTTTTTTTCTTCTTATCTCTGTCATTACCTGGGGACAGGACACTCTTTAAATTCATGAAGAAATTTGAAGCAGTCCTGAGTGAACCCTGCCGGTCATCCCTGGTGGAGAGTGACAAGGAAGAACAGCCTGACTTTTTGCCCAGGCCAACAGATGGAGCTGCAAGTGAACTGTCTTCCATTCAGAATCTGAACAGGGCACTGAGGGAGACCCTGTTAGCCCAACCAGCAGCTGGGCAGGTACTTGGTTGTGGGACAGTGCTGGCTTATTCCCAAGCCAGTCAAGTGGGATCTGTGTTTTATGTGCAAGGCATGCCTCAGTACTAGACAAGAAAATGCCTTTGAAATCTTGTTCTTTGGACATATATAGCATGTATTTGCCTGACTTCCCTGCAGAATAAGGCAAAAAATCTTGGGGTTTTTTTTTTTGCTTTTTTTTGAGACAGATTCTCGTGCTATTGCCCAGGCATGATTATGGCTCACTGCAGTCTCAACCTCCTGGACTCAAATGATCCTTCCACGTCAACCTCCTGAGTGCTGGGACCACAGGCACATGCCACCATGCCTGGCTATTTTTTTTTTTTTTTTTTTTTTTGTAGAGATGAGGTCTCACTTTGTTGCCCAGGCTGGTCTTGAACTTTTAGTTTTTTTTTTTTTTTTTTTTTTTTTTTTAAGACAGAGTCTCGCTCAGGCTGGAGTGCAGTGGCACGATCTCGGCTCACTGCAAGCTCCGCCTCCTGGGTTCATGCCATTCTCCTGCCTCAGCCTCCCGAGTAGCTGGGACTGCAGGTGCCCACCACCACGCCTGGCTAATTTTTTGTATTTTTAGTAGAGACAGGGTTTCACTGTGTTAGCCAGGATGGTCTCGATCTCCTGACCCCATGATCTGCCCACCTCAGCCTCCCAAAGTGCTCGGATTACAGGCGGGAGCCACCGCTCCTGGCCGAACTTTTAGTCTTAAGTGATCCTCCCTGCCTCGGCCTCCCAACGAGCTGGGATTATGGGCATGAGTCATCGCACTTGGCCTTGCTGCTTAAAATTTAATGTCAGCCTGTGAGAAATAATTGTGCTTTTACCTGTGAACATTTCATCTGCTATGAGCAAAGATTTGAAGCATCAGTTTAAGAATATGCCGTTGAAGCTGCCTGTGGGCTACCACATGAGGAAGCTACTGCACAGGGTGTGAATATGTGCCGTGATGTGCTGGTTTATAGCAGATGCTGATTACTGTGGTGTAAATACTCCTATTATGGCCAATTTCAAGCACCAACAGTTAAGATTTGGCTTGCAAAATTCCTGAAAATTTAACAGTGATACATCTTGAGTTAGCAGGTCTGTTACAGAATGGATGTTCCTGCTTCATGTCCTTGGGTGTGGGGAGCTCCAGGATTGGAAGACACCCCTCAGGAGAGTAATTTCTGGGCAGGCGTAGTGGCTCACGGCTGTAATCCCAGCACCTTGGGAGGCTGAGGCAGGAGGATCACTTGAGCCCAGGAGTTTGAGACCAGCCTATGCAACGTATGAGACCCTGTCTCTCCAAAAAAAATTACTTTTTAAAGAGTAATTAGCTTTGTCTTCTTACTGTATTTCCTACCTGGGGCTCACAGAGTTAGTAATGAAAGTCCTTAAGCTATTTTTGTTATTTTAGTGGTTCAAAACTCATAATAGAAACTGAGCATACAGCCATAAGATGGCTGCAGAGATATGATATGGCTACCAAATTTATTTTCTTTTGACTGTATTTGTCAGCTCACTGCTTCTGTCATTCTGATCAACAATTTTGATTTGCTAATAATGACAACATAGGAGTTTCAGGTTATTCCTCAAGGAAAAAAAAATGAAAATATGCCCTTGATGGACGAAAGCTCTTCCCTTCATATAACATCTGAATTCCTGTGTCTGAGGTGCGGTGGCTCATGCCTGTAATCCCAGCACTTTGGGAGGCCAAGGCAGGCAGATCATTTGAGACCAGGAGTTCGAAACCAGCCTGGCCAACGTGGTAAAACCCCATCTCTATTAAAAATACAAAAAATAGCCAGGCATGGTGATGCATGCCTGCAATCCCAGCTATTCGGGAGGCTGAGGCACAAGAATCACTTGAATCTGGGAGGCGGAGGTTGCAGTGAGCCAACATCGGGTCACTGCACTTCAGCCTGGGTGACAAAGCCAGACCCTGTCTCAAAAAAAAAAAGGAAAGAAATCTGAATTCCTGAAATTTAAACTGTTAATTAGGGGTAACTGGTCACAGGAGTAGGACCAGTTTCGCCTGGCTGCTGTGTCTGAGAAACACAATGTGGCTCAGCACCTTAAGGGCAGCAGTGATATTATTCATTCTACTCTGTTCATAATTCAGAACTGGAGTCTCCTTGTGGCTATCATAGCAAGCATTGCTGGATGTAGGGGCATGGGGGTCCTTCAGTTATAATGATCTCATATGGAGCAGTAATATGGTTTTCTAAATATCCACAGTATGTCTCTTTTAATTTTAGTGATGCTACATTTGTTCTCTATTTGCTGAACTAGGGATGTGTTTTTGTGTGCAACAGTTAAATTTAGTTCCCTTGCAGGGACACTGCCTGTCATTCTTGGCAGTGAGGCTAACCTGTCTTTTGTCTCACAGGCCACAATTCCAGAGTGGTGTCAGGGCGCTGCTCCTTCCGGCTTGGAAGGGGAGCTTCTGCGTCGCTTGCCAAAGCTCAGGAAACGCATGAGGAAGATGTGCCTGACGTTCATGAAGGAGAGCCCCCTGCCTCGCCTTGTGGAGGGCCTTGATCAGTTCACAGGTGGGTGCCAGCATCCAAGTCAAGGGTGGATCTTTCTGTTTTCCCCAGTGGCGCAGGAGGGCTGAGAATGTGGCAACTGTGTCCTTTTTTGATACCTTGTGTAGTGTTGAACAGTTGATTGAATAAGCAAGTGGGCTTAAAAACCCACAGAGCTCAGAAACAGGAGCCTACTGAGAACACACAATCATAATTTTCACATTGTCGTCCTCTCATGTAACTTGGCACTGTGCCATCTTTTATGAGAGCCTTGTCTATACTAGTTCCTGTTGGTTGGTGTTACCAGTAAAGGGGCACAGAGGTGGATTTCCCAGTGTCTAAGCTGTCCCCACTGTCAAAAAGTTGTCTCACTTGAGGAGGATTCATCCCCATCCTCTTGCTTTCTTCACTTCAGAGAGGCACAGCAGTTTCATTTCTCAGGCTGTCTTTGCTCAGGGAAGGTGAGAGCGAAGATCTCATAGTGTAACACAGCAATAGCTGGGAAGGGAACCCAGAATTTAATAGAATGTTTGGGCCCCTGGCAGCCTCTGACTACCTCCTTCACCCCATCTACCCCCCAACTGCAGTGAGTGTGCTGTCAGTGAGGGTGGCCTGCCTTTAATGAGGTTGCATCTAATCTCAGGGAGCTCTTCCTTTTTAAAACTTGTCAGCCGTTGCTCAAGGTGACTCAGGCCTAGGGGTGGGGGTGAGTGGAATACAGATCCATTTGCATCTCCTGGAGAGGGGATGCGCTGCAGGATGCAAAGCCTCCCTCATCCTCTAACTCTCCCACACTGTCTGATGTCTTTGGTGTCCTTGTGCTCACTGGTGACTGCCTATATTTGGCTGGTAGTGCTGCCTTAATATAGTACCACAGACTGGGTGGCTTCAGTGTGAGGCTAAAAGTCCAAGATCAAGGTGTCAGCAAGGTTGATTACTTCTGAAGCCTCTCTCCTTGGCTTGCAGATGGCCACCTTCTCACTGTGTCCTCCCGTGGTCACTCTTCATCTGTGTGTTCTGTGTCCTGATCTCTTCTTTTAAGGACTTCAGTCAGATTAGATTAGAGCCCATTCTCATTTCACCTTCATTACCTCTCTAAAGGCCCTGTCTCCAGATACAGTCACATTCTGAAGTTCTAGGGGTTGGGACTTTAACATATGAATTGAGGGGGAAGACACAACCCAGCCTATAACACTGCCTGCAACAGGGAGGCGGCACCCTTGTGTTATTGGTACCCACGTGTATTCAGGAAGGCAGCTTGGTGCTATATAGAAAGAACTTGGGCTTTGGAGTAAGGTAGGCCAGTGTTCAAGTCCTGGCTCATCTACTCGTTCACCACATGGCCTTCAGATAGTGACTAGACCTCACTGAGCCTTTCTTGAAGTCTGTAAAATGGAGCTACAAATAGGTGCTTCTGAAGTTGTGCACATGAAAAGAGAATTTACGATGTACTAGCTACAAGTGGAAACTCAATACATATTATATTAATCTGAAATTTCCTTCAAGTGATTATAAATTTCTAGTATAATGCACTGCACATAGTTGGTGCTCAGTAAGTGCATTTGCTTGATTGATTATAAAACCCCTAAATACAAAAGAATGACTGCTGCTGTTCGGGTTGTTATTGTCAAGAGATTTGAAATCCTGTGTGTTATTTTTCTATTTCCATGCACCTTGACCAGTTTGGTTAAAACACTTAATGAGATTTTACCAAATGCTAGGGACTATGTTAAGTACCCAGGGTATAAAGATGAATGATACTTGGCCTTTGTTCTCCAGAAGGTCCCTGGTGTTGGGTAACAAACACATTACCAGACCCCTGGGATTTTCTTATTGTCTCCCCTCCCCGCCTTGTTTTCCCTTACAGGTGAAGTGATTTCCTCTGTGAGTGAGCTGCAGAGCTTAAAGGTGGAACCCTCTGCAGAGAAGGAGAAGCAGCGGTCAGAAGCCAAGCACATTCTCATGCAAAAACAGCGAGCTTTGTCAGACCTCTTTAAACACCTTGCAAAAATTGGTAAGGTTCTCACTTGAAACCCAATGAAATGTAGTCACCAACTTTTAGGGAGAGAAATGACATGACTGATTTTGGGGGAAATTCCATAGACAGTTGAGATGGTGGACAACAGAAGGTACAGGCAAGGTTTCCAGATGTCTAAGAGTTCCACTCACATGCAGGAAAATCCTATGACCAGCCATCCATGATTCCCAAATATTTCCCGCTTTGTATGAGGTTTCTCGGAATCTATATTTTTATTTATTTATTTAATTAATTTTATTTTTTTGAGACTGAGTCTCGCTCTGTTGCCCAGGCTGGTTAGTGCAGCGGTGTGATCTCAGCTCACTGCAACCTCCGCCTCTTGTTGCCCAGGCTGGAGTGCAATGGCGTGATTTTGGCTCACTGCAACCTCTGCCTCCTGGGTTCAAGCGATTCTCCTGCCTCAGCCTCCCAAGTAGCTGGGACTACAGGCGCGTGCCACCACACCCGGCTGATTTTTGTATTTTTACTAGAGACAGGGTTTCACCGTGTTAGCCAGGATGGTCTCAATCTCCTGACCTCGTGATCCACCCGCCTCAGCCTCCCAAAGTGCTGGGATTACAGGCGTGAGCCACCGTGCCTGGCAGAATCTGTATTTTTAAAATTTCTGTCACCACGTGCTGTACCATATGCTTGCAGCATAGCATAGAGAGCAGTGCTTCTCAAACTTGAACGTGCATGTGAATCACCTGGGGAATCTTGTGGAAGTGCAGCTACAGATCCTGTTTCAGTTGGTGTGGGTGCAGCCTGAGAGTCTGCATTTCTAACAAGCTCTCAGGTGATGCTGTTTAGAAGACTTTGCTTTGAGTAGCAGGGGAGAGGGGGGCACATCCATTCTCTACTAAGCATCTTTGCTTAAAGAAATGCTGTTTATTTCCTAGGTTTGTCGTATCGCAAAGGTCTTGCTTGGGCCCGTTCAAAAAACCCTCAAGAGATGCTTCATCTTCACCCATTAGATCTCCAGAGCGCATTGTCCATCGTCAGCAGCACTCAGGAGGCTGATTCTAGGTTTGTCTGTTTTTGTTTTGTTTTTTCCCTACTTATAAATGGAGCAAGTAATTTAGAACTCCTTGTCCTCATTTGCACATTGCAAAAATAGGGATAGCAATACCACTGTGGCTACCACTTACAAAAGTGCCTGGCTCAGGATCTGACTCCTGATGGACATTCAAATGAAAGTGTGAGGCTGGGTGCAGTGGTTCATGACTGTAATCCCAGCACTTTGGGAGTCTCAGGTGGGCAGATCACTTGAGGTCAGGAGTTCAAGACCAGCCTGACCAACATGGCAAAACCCTGTGTCTACTAAAAATACAGAATATTAGCCAGGCATGGTGGCACATGCTTATAATCCCAGCTGCTCAGGAGGCCGAGGCAAGGAGTATCACTTGAACCTGGGAGGTGGAGGTTGCAGTGAGCTGAGATTACACCACTGCACTCCAGCCTGGGCGGCAAAGTAAGACTCTGTCAAAAAAAAAGAAAAAAAACATTTATTTTCTTTCTCTTTCTTCCTTGCATTCACCTCTCCATTCTTCTTCTTCTTCCCTTTTTTTTTTTTTTTTTTGCCTTTTGATTTTCCTGAGGTCTACTTGCTTCATTTGATCATACATGTGGAAACCTATTAGAAAATGGTATATTTTTAGTTGCTCTATATACATACACTCCTCATAAGTTCTAATATGTTATTGAATTTGCGAGTCCATACACTATTGAGACAGGCAGAGCTACCTCTGTTTACAACACAGCAGAGGATGTTGTGAATGATGCTTTGCATGAACTGGGTATAGTACACATGTGTGTTTTATTTGCTCCCAGGGCTTTAAATTTGAATTCAACAGAACATTGTAGAAAGGGGAAATTTTACATAAGCATTCTTTTTCAGGAAAATTCACGAAGTGGGCTTGCATTCCCATTCAGTCAGCAGCACTGTAGCTGAATAGTAGTTTCCTCCTTTTGATAGGACACATGCTCTCCAGCTTACTTGAGCCCTCAACAACCCCTGTGTCTTCCCCACGTTGAGGTCAGCTGTCACTGCCATGCATCATTGTATGCTTGGCTGTCCTTAGTCCTCTTATGTTATTTGCCTGGCCCCTGTAGGCATCAGAGTTTATGACCCCCTAGCCTCCACTGCCAAGATAGGAAGATTTCATTGAAGAAACCATGTTGTCAGCATAATTTATTTCCCCTGATACTTCCAGTGCTGAGTTAAGTAAAGGACTAATGAGTGCCTCACTGAATGATTCCTCATAGAAATAAACCTATTCAGACAGCTGACTCTTGGTTATGGCCAAATATACCAATATCTGAGTTTTCAGGATCTGGGGTGGGAGAGCGTGGTTTTAATTAAGTAAACAATGTTGATATCTTTTCCAGGCTGCTTACAGAAATCTCGTCTTCATGGGATGGATGCCAGAAGTATTTTTATCGCTCTCTTGCACGGCATGCCAGGCTTAACGCAGCACTAGCAACTCCTGCCAAGGTAGAATGATAGAACATGAGTCTTGCAGGGGCTCAGGGAAAGCCCTTGTTCTGTTCATCCCAGGGCTGTATTCTCAGACCTTGTTAAGTGATAACAGCCTGTTAGTGGAACTGAGCTTTTTGCAGTACATCCTTAAACTTAAAATATAAATCAATGTAATTTTGTGCAAAATCAGAACACCTTAAATAAATTCAGTTACACTTGCCAGCAGGACAGATTTTCTTAATGTTTAAGAAAAATTAAAAACTTCAAATTGAGAATGCCATCTTTAGATCTTTCTTCCCTTTGTGAATTGAGAAAAGACCACTAATAAATGCATTTTGGAGTTAAATCCAGTTCCTGTCTATGGAATCTCAATGATCTGTGCAAGCATAATTGGAGAAACACTGCTCAAAAAAATGAATATGTCACCTCTAGAGTGTGGCATGTCTGACGCTTATAGTAGAAACAGCTTTCTAGAGGCACATCTGTGGGTGATGTTTGTCAGCAGCCCCTTCAGCATGTTTTTCCTTCTTCTGCCAGGAAATGGGCATGGGCAACGTGGAGAGGTGCAGAGGGTTCTCAGCACATTTGATGAAGATGCTCGTCCGACAGCGGCGCTCCCTGACCACGCTCAGTGAGCAGTGGATCATCCTCAGGTATCAGCTGATGAGTTGGGCTTGTGGCATGAATTGGGAAGAATTAGATCCAAGTCAGCTCAGAGTTGCTGCATGTGGGGAGAGGAATAAGACATGCTCTCAATTGTGAAATGAATTTAAGGCCCAAAGAGGCAGGTAGGGTTTCTCCCAGCTCTGCCCCTTGCTTTCAGTGATATGCCTCTAGTGTCCCTCTCCCTCCGTGCTCTGAACCTCCTGAGAATATGGAGCTGCAGAGATTTCAGGGCTGTGTCAGGCAGTGAAAATTGTTATGGGTGAACTATACCTGTGTCTGGAATGAGGATATACATTGCCAAAAGTCCATGTGGGCCAATAGTTAGGCTTCTGTTCATGGTATTAGGGTGAGATGGTCTTGGGCACCGATGAGATTTGAGTCTGCTTCTGTTACTTAGGCTTTGGGGATCCCCCAGATGGCAATCTGAGCCATACATGGAGGCTCCTCAATGGAAACAAATAATTAAGAGATGAGGACAGTTAGGAAGGTTGTCGTCATCTGTTGAATGGATTCGTGGCTGAAGGACAGTATTTCCAGACTATTCACTTTAGCTTCAGGTATTTTCTGCTCCATTCATTAGGGTTTATTTAGCAAAGTACAGCACATTTACTAGATAATGCTAGTTGAAGTCACTGTAGTGGTGTGGTTGTGTTGTGATACTTCTCCTGAAAGACTGAGGGATGGGTTTAAGTACTTTGGGAGGCATTTTAACAGACTTTTTACCTATCTGGGGGATTCTTCCTTCTTGACTGTATGAAAAAGCCCATGCTTGTTCAGAAACACAAATTTCTTTTAAAACAATGTGGTAAAGTGGTTTAAGGTGCCATTCATTGTGTTTTTCCCATGGGTTTCTCTGTACAGGAACCTCCTCAGCTGTGTGCAAGAGATTCACAGCAGGCTGATGGGGCCCCAGGCCTACCCCGTGGCCTTCCCCCCTCAGGATGGCGTGCAGCAGTGGACAGAGCGCCTGCAGCACCTGGCCATGCAGTGCCAGATCCTGCTTGAGCAGCTCTCCTGGCTCCTCCAGTGCTGCCCCAGTGTAGGGCCAGCTCCAGGCCATGGCAATGTCCAGGTACTGGGGCAGCCTCCTGGCCCCTGCCTGGAAGGACCAGAACTTAGCAAGGGACAACTTTGTGGAGTAGTGCTGGACCTAATTCCTTCCAATCTGAGCTACCCATCTCCAATACCTGGAAGTCAGCTGCCCTCTGGTTGCCGGATGCGGAAACAGGATCACCTTTGGCAACAGTCAACTACGAGATTAACAGAGATGCTAAAAACCATTAAAACAGTGAAAGCTGACGTCGACAAAATTAGACAGCAGTCTTGTGAGACTCTCTTTCATTCTTGGTAAGTGTGTCTATGTCTTTACACTTCTCTGTGTGCTTAGGTCCTTATTGTGCTTATCTAAATTGGGGGTGGGAAGGGAAGGGTGTGAACAGAAAGCAGCAGCTTTTAGACAGCCCTGGAACCTAGGGAACTCGTCGGTTTGGGGGATGGGGTGGGGTGGGGATAGGGGGTGTCATCTGCAGGTTCTGAGACTTCAGCGGAAACAGCGTTAGCAAAAGGATGCCAGACAAAGCCCTAAATAATCCACAGGGAGAGCAAATCACATCCTGCCATTTGTGGTGGTCCAAAATAAAAGCCTATCACACCAAATACTAATGATAATGGAATATCATTAATGGAATAAATTTACCATTTATTGGAATAAATTAATGGAATAAATTTATCATTAATGGAATAAATTTAGTAATTTATTCCATTACTAAACCTAGGTGTTTAGTAATAGAATCAAATTATGAAAATAATTGTGCTTCAGTCCTCTGTTACTCAGTGGACCTGCACAGCACTTTGTGGCATGTGTTTAGCCGTAAACCTTCAGCTATGATGAGTTCTACCTTGCATATCTTGTAGTGGTTGCAGGGAGGGGTGTGTGTTTGTGGGAACTGTAATGCATTCCTTTCAACATTGTGGCATTTCTGTTGCAGGAAAGATTTTGAAGTTTGCTCTTCTGCGCTGAGTTGCTTGTCCCAGGTGTCAGTTCATTTGCAGGGCCTAGAGTCCTTGTTCATTCTTCCAGGGATGGAGGTTGAGCAAAGAGACTCACAAATGGCACTAGTTGAAAGTCTGGAATATGTAAGAGGAGAAATTAGTAAAGCCATGGCTGACTTTACTACCTGGAAGACCCATCTGCTTACTTCAGATAGCCAAGGAGGTAAGGAATATTGTTCAGTCAGGGAATGAAAGTCCAGTGTAGAAATGATGTCTTATAGATGTAAGTCTCATTGTCCAAAAGACACATTATATTTTGGTCTACATGTACCTGTCCAGGGTTCTGAGGCAGGGAGGTGCGGTTGAAATCCACAGCTCTTAACTTTTTTGCCCCATTTGTTTGGATGCCTGTTACATACTTTGTAACACACATAGGAAGGCAGCATCAGCTCACTGTCTGTTTTCCCTTAGATTGAAAAAGCTTGGCACTGATATTTGGACTAAGTTAGTGTTTATTCATACTGTCTTAACTGTTATTTTTATATTTTTTACATTATTTTAGTAAAAATGTTTTAATACAAGGTAATAAACTTGTAGGTTTATCGAGGCAAGGAATTTGTCTCTTCTTTGTATCTGGCACAGCTTGACACAGTGGCTCATCAATAAATGAGTATTTTTAATGATTTCCAGAGGCACTAAAGCAAATGATTGGTGTCTTTTGTTTGTATGTTTGTTTTGCACCATGTTACCTGCTAGGAAATCAAATGTTGGACGAAGGATTTGTGGAAGATTTTTCAGAGCAAATGGAAATTGCCATCCGAGCCATCCTCTGTGCCATCCAGAACTTAGAAGAAAGAAAGAATGAAAAAGCAGAGGAGAACACTGACCAAGCAAGCCCACAAGAAGATTATGGTATGTCTGAAATCAGGCAGAAATTAGTTTCATGCCTGATTTAATTTTTGTATTTGATGATTTATTTCTGTGGCTAAATAGTTAAGGATGGATGTTAGAAACAGATAACTGCATGGATAGAGATAAAAGGATTTGTTTTCTGTTATTCATCATGTTGTTATTTTCTCTGAATGAATGAGGCAGCAGGCTTTGAGAGACTGCAATCAGGACATCTAACAAAACTCTTAGAGGATGACTTCTGGGCCGATGTGAGCACTTTGCACGTGCAGAAAATAATTTCTGCCATCTCCGAGCTGTTGGAGAGGCTGAAATCGTACGGTGAGGATGGCACAGCAGCAAAGCACCTGGTAACTAACTGTTCTTTACAAACTTCTTCCTCTTCAGAATGCACTGAGCAAAGGCAGAGTGGGCTTTACTTCCCTCCACGTAGATAAGTGCCAGAGCAGGCCTCAGTGCCAAAATCACTAAGAACTTGGTCTCTTTATTTATACGTGCAAAGTCATTGACAAGCTTTGAAGAGCTTAGGGCTTGCTAGCTAATTGTTAGATGCATAGGTGCAGAAATGCTAACCATTCAGAATATCCATTATATTAGGATTCTTTCATATCTTATTCACATACTCCCAAGTATCTGATGTTACTGATAGACGATGTTATCAACTGAGGCTTAGCAGCCATCCTGTGTAACCACCATTCCCACTACAATAAGCGAACAGAGTAAGCAGTTGTAGTCTTTACAGTAAGTCCAGAGAAGCAACTTACTTTGCAGGACATTGTATGTTATTCTGTAGCATTGCCTCCGGTGCTAACTTTGAATCAGCAGAATTTATTTATAAACATTTTATTTTTCTTATTTTATTTTGGGACACGGTCTCATTCTGTTGTCGAGGCTGGAGAGTGTGGTGGCATGACCATGGCTCACTGTAGCCTTGACCTCCTGGGCTCAGGTGATCCTCACACCTCAGCCTCCCAGATAGCTGGCAGTATAGGCATGCACCACCATGCCCAGCTAATTTTTAAAGTTTTGTAAAGATGGGTTCTGGCTATATGTTTTTTTTGTTTGGTATTTTTTGTAGAAATGGGGTTTTGCCATGTTGCCCAGGCAACATGAACTTGAACTCCTGGGCTCAAGCAGTCTACCCACTTTGGCCTCCCAAAGTGCTGGGATTAAAGGCGTGAGCCACTGTGCCTGGCCAACATTCTATTTTTAAAAAACCAACATTGTTAGCCAAAGGAGACATCGGTTTGAGATTGTACTTTTGTGACGATATATGTAAATGAAGAAATCTCAGTGAGCTGTGTGTATTGGGGTGGGTGGAGGTTACAAACACATACATGTAACTTGCCATTAGTACTATTTAGTACATTCACAATGTTGTGCAATTACCACCACTATCTAGTTCCAGAATGGAAACCTGGTACCTGCCAAGCAGTGTGAGCAGGCCTTTTGTTTTGTTTTGGTCTCAGTTCTTCAGCCAATCCTGTTCCTTGCTGGTGCGCCTGGTGCCGGTCCTCTCCAGCTACTCAGACCTCGTCCTCTTCTTCCTGACCATGTCTTTAGCAACTCACCGTAGTACTGCAAAGCTGCTCTCTGTGCTTGCCCAGGTCTTTACAGAGCTTGCCCAGAAGGTAAGGACTGTTCACATGGTGCACTGTGAGCAGCAGGGACCCAAGTAAATTTCATGTCATTAGTCTTTGGTGTGATAGGCTTTTATTTTGGACCACCACAAATAGCAGGATGTGATTTGCTCTCCCTGTGGATTATTTAGGGCTTTGTCTGGCATCCTTTTGCTAACGCTGTTTCCACTAAAGTCTCAGAACCTGCAGATGATACCTCCTATCCCCAACCCACCCTTTCCCCCAAACTGACGAGTTCCCTAAACTCCAGCGCTGTCTAAAAGCTGCTGCCGTCTGTTAACACCCTTCCCTTCCCATCCCCAATGTAAATCTTCAGATAACTCTTGAACTAGAGTTGTAGGATAAACCCTTAAGGCTATTAAGTTTTCTTTTAACCATGTTGGTGTAATTATGATTAAATGATAATGGGCCTGTTATTATTAGAGTGTTTTTCGCCTGTTGTGGTGGCTCACGCCTGTAATCCCAGCAGTTTGGGAGGCTGAGGCGGGTGGATCACCTGAGGTCAGGAATTTGAGACCAGCCTGACCAATATTATGATGAAACCCCATCTCTACTAAAAATACAAAAATTAGCTGGGCGTGGTGGCATGTGCCTGTAATCCCAGCTACTCAAGAGGCTGAGACAGGAGAATTGTTTGAACCCGGGGAGGCGGAGGTTGCAGTGAGCCAAAATCATGCCATTGCACTCCAGCCTGGGCAACAAGAGCAAAACTGCATCTCAAAAAAAAAAAAAAAAAAAATATATATATATATATATATATATATATATATGTTTTTTTGGAGACAGAGTCTCCAAAATTGTAATTGTAATTGTAATCTCCACGTGATTACAGGCACGTGCCACCACGCCTGGCTAATTTTTGTATTTTTAGTAGAGACAGGGTTTCACCACATTGGCCAGGACGGTCTCGATCTCCTGACCTTGTGATCTGTCCACCTCGGCCTCCCAAAGTGCTGGGATTACATGTGTAAGCCACTGCGCCCAGCCAGTTTTTTTCTTTAGCAGGGAAGTCATTTGTTCATTCAGCCATGTACCCGGTATTGTGAAAAGCACTGAGGTTGTAGAGATTGTAGACCCTCCCCTTGAAACTCAGGGGCAGTAGACAGTGAAATCTAACAGCAACATGGTGTGGGTAGGTCTAGTCATAGAGATATCCAGCTCTCGGTCTCTCTTAACCTCACCAAGCCTCAGTTTCCTCATTTGTAAAATGAGATCTGCCTATACTAATATGCATTTTTGTGAGAACCACCTGCATTTGAGTATATAAGTTTTGTTTTTGTTCTTAGCATTCTAAGATTTTCTCCAAGCTTAATACAGATGAGATGTACTTGAGGAAGATATGAATTTACAAACTGAAGATGGGGTCTAGATTTCTTATAAACAATTAAGAGTTCTTAGTTCCGAGTCTCTGAAATACTGGAAAGAGGTAAAAAGTGGAAGCCAAGCCTAATGCCTTGTATCAAGAGGATAAATATGTTTATCTGTAGTAATGATAAGTAACAGTAATAATAATAATAATAAAAAGTAATAATAAGTAAAAGAATGAGTCTCAGGTTTCTCCGCCTCTGGTGGGCACCAGGCCAGCCTTAACATTCCATTGCTTCTTGGAGAAAACACTGTATACTAAAGATAGTGGCAGGAAAATGTGTGGTTCGGGTGCCTTGAGATTTGGCTCAGCTGGATTTGTCCATTTGTACCGTAGCTTTTGTCTGACAGGCTGTAGAATGACTTTGGCCTTTCAAACCTTTGTCTGTTGCGGGTAGGAATGGTTCTGATATGTGCAGAATGTTGGGAGCCCTGTGGCTATCCCAGACGTAGCAGCTGCAATGATATACTCTGGTAAGGGCATCTGAAACTCCCTCCTATGTGGTCGTATTCTTTGTCTATTTCTGAATGTCTCTCATTTAAATAATGTAGTTCAATGGGAAAATTAAGCAAGTAAGCCAAACTGTATTTTCCTATCAACATTCTGAGAATATATGTCCTAAAAGTGGGTTTGGCTTGTTAAAAATTTTTCTAAGTGTCCAAATTGTATTCATATCTTTTCTGAGTAGTTCAAGGGAACTTGAGAGTAGGTTAGACAGTGCTAAGATAATAGATCTAGGCTGTAATTAAAGCTCTTGATCCGCAGGAAGCTGTTTCTGTGTAACCAAGTCATAATTAGTGTTTACTGGTTTGGGATCTTAATTCCTTGCTAATTAGCAGCTTATTTTTTTGTGCATTCCCATCCTCAGATATATCTTCATAGTATATATTTTCTCTTACAAAATTAAACTTTCTGATTGAGAGTCACTACTACTTTTTCTTTTTACTTCTGCTCAGCAGGCTAGTATTCTTCTCAGGTTATTTTCCTGTATAAAATAGTTTTTTTCAACATTTCACAGTTATTACTATGTCTGACTGTGTTCTCTCCAGAGCCTGTTCTGCCCTTACTCAAGGACTTTTTCCAAAATACTGTCCTTCTAGTATACTTCATTTAGGTTTTTGTCTTGGCAAAGTGACAAATGACCACATGCCAGAGGCTTCTACAAAGTCAAGTCATATGTTAAATCTGATGTCAAGCTGTGAAACTGCATAACTATTAGCACCAAAGAGGAGAAGAATGTCAGAAGTCTCCTGTACTTCCAGCGGATTTAAGATAATGAGCTAGAAAAAGAATTCAGTATGTGTTTAAATTGTTTTCCTGTGGCAAGAATGAAATCTCCTTTTAAAATTGCTTTTGTGCCTAATTGTTCACTTCCTTTTTCTTTTTTCTAAGGGATTTTGCTTGCCCAAAGAATTTATGGAAGATTCAGCTGGAGAGGGAGCAACTGAGTTCCATGACTATGAGGGAGGTGGAATTGGAGAAGGCGAGGGCATGAAGGATGTGAGTGACCAGATCGGAAATGAAGAACAGGTACGTTTTCACATAGGTATACAGTTGACAGAAGATCACTCTCTTTCTTTTCAACATGTAAGTTACACATAAAAATGGTTTTTACTAGGTTAATAATTTTTAATCTGTGATCTACAGAGCCCTAGATATATTGGTGCTTCGGCAGTGGGTGTAAATAAAAAGCCTAAAATCCACAGGAAGGAACCTGGCAACTCCATCATTGGTTTTGGCTATAATTATGGAGGAAATGATTTTTACTTTTTTTTTTTAAATGGGCAGATATTTACTGATGATTTTCTAGAGTATTTTTGATAGTATTTTTAAGCATAAAAGGCCTGGCTATCTTAAGTGATAATTGCATTAAACAATAATGCCAAAATTTGCTGTTAATAGGTTTTACTGTTGTATATCTTTAAGGCATAGAGTGTTTTAAAAAATCTGTATCCTTTTTTGGTTGGAATCAAGCAACCTTCTGAACTATTCAGATGCTGTGAACTAAGATTGTTACATTGCTTGGATTTTTTAAATGCCTGTCTCATTTGTGAGTGATTTATGTGTATTGGGTGTATCACTTATATTCTAAGTTAAATCAGATCAGAAACTTGTATTTAAGGTAATTTTATAGTTATTAAAAATAAAGGAGAAAACCAATTCAAATTCCCTCCCTTCCTTGGCAGAGAAAACTGGAAAGCAATTAAAAGCCAAAAGAATAATGCTAGTATTTATGTTATGGAGCTCTAATTTTTTTTTTTTGGACCTATATTGTCCTTAGATAATTGCTTTGTTATTTTGGCCTTCTGTATTTCTCAAATCTAAATCAGTGTATACTACTTTTCTAGTAGAAAAAAAAAGTCAAAAGCAAAAGCAAATCTAATAGAAAAGTTCACACAAAAAACATTACATGGAATAAAAAGCTTCCAGAACAATTTGGTAGTGTCTGCTGAATTTTAAATTATGTGTATTCATTGACCCCCAAATTCCATGTTTTCTTATAGAAATGCTAGTGTCAAAGATAAATAGGTATATGAGTGTGTATATATGTCTACACATGGATATTTACTACAGCATTATTTATATGGTGAAAATTGTGAAACAATCCAAATATTCATCAGAAGAGAATTAAATTATGGCACCATCCATGCAGAACAATGGTAAAACTATTAATGAAGTAGAATGAGATGGTTTTGTATGTATCAACATGGAAATAACCTAAGATCCTATTTTTAAGAGATGAGGTCTTGCTCTCTTGCCCAGGCTAGAGTGCAGTTCTATAATCATAGCTCACTGCAGCCATGACTTGGACTCAAGGAGTCCTCCTGCATTAGCCTCTTGAGTAGTTGGGATTACAGGTGTGAGCCACCACACCTGGCTGAGATGTTTTTAAGAAGAGATGTGTTTTACAGGCTGGGTGTGGTGGCTAACGCCTGGATTCCTAGCACTTTGGGAGACCAAGGCAGGAGGATTGCTTGAGGCCAGAAGTTTGAGACCAGCCGGGGCAACATAGGGAGACACTGTCTCTATAAAATTAAAACAAAACAAAACAAAAAACAAAACCCAGCCTGGCCAACATGGTAAAACTCCATCTCTACTAAAAATACAAAAATTAGCTGGGTGTGGTGGCATGCATCTGTAATCCCAGCTACTCGGAAGCTGACGCAGGAGAATCACCTGAACCTGGGAGGCAGAGGTTGCAGTGGGCCAAGATCGTGCCATTGCACTACAGCCTGGACAAGAGAGCAAGACCTTGTTTCAGAAAAATAAAAATGAAAAAAGCAGATTGCATAAGTCTGTAAAGCATGATCTCTTTTTTGTTTAAAAAGATGTTGGGAGGCAGGTATTGGTAACTATCACCTGTATCACTTAAGTATATGTTGGTGTATTCATAGAAAAAAGTCAAAGGTTCACCAGAATGTTGTTGGTAGTCATTCTTTGAGAGGCTTCGAGGATGGAGGTGTTATGGGGAAACTTGTTTTTGTTTGTTTTTTTGTATTTTGGAGACAGAGTCTTGCTCTCTCCCCAAGGCTGGAGTGCAGTGGCATAGTCTTGGCTCAACTGCAACCTCCAGCTCCCGGGTTCAAGAGATTTTCATGCCTCAGTCTCCCAGGTAGCTGGGATTACAGGCGCACGCCACAATGCCAGGGTAATTTTTGTATTTTTAGTAGAGACAGGGTTTTGCCATGTTGGCCAAGCTGTTCTTGAACTCCTGACCTCAAGTGATCTGCCCGCCTCAGCCTCCCAAAGTGCTGGGATTATAGGCGTGAACCACCATGCCTGGCTATTACTTTTGTATTTTAAAAAGGACTTCTTTTTTTTTTTTTTTTTTTTTTTGAAACGGAGTCTTGCTCTGTCACCCAGGCTAGAGCGCAGTAGTATGATCTCAGCTTGCCACAACCTCCACCTCCCGGATTCAAGCAGTTATCCCGCCTCAGCCTCCCGAGTAGCTGGGATTACAGGCCCCCACCACCACGCCTGGCTAATTTTTGTATATGTAGTAGAGACGGTGTTTCACCATCTTGGCCAGGCTGGTCTCAAACTCCTGACTGCGTGATCCACCCGCCTCAGCCTCCCAAAGTGCTGGGATTACAGGCATGAGCTACCGTGCCTGGCCTTAAAAAGGACTTTCAAAAATCAACCATAATGAAAGAGGTAACAATCACAAAACTTTTTGCCCCAAATAGCACATCAATTATATAGAAACATATAAATTAGGCTGGGCTCAGTCGCTCACACCTGTAATCCCGCCACTTTGGGAGGCCGAGGCAGGAGAATTGCTTGTGCCCAGGAGTTGAGACCAGCCTGGGCAACATTGCAAGGCCACGTCTCTAGCAAAAAATAAAAAATTAGCCAGGTGTGGTTGTATGTGCTTGTGGTGCCAGCTACTGGGGAGGCTGAGGCAGAGGATTGCTTGATCCCAGGAGGTTGAGGCTGCAGTAAGCCATGATTGTGCCACTGTACTCCAGGCTGGGCAACATAGTGAGACACTGTCTAACAACATAAAAAATAATTTTTTATAGAAGAAATATAGAAACCAAGGAAGAATGACCAAGATTCTCTTGGGCCACTGTCTTTCAGCGATAATAGTGACAAAAATAGTATTAAAGAATTGGATAATAAAAGATTGATGAATTTTTTATCCTACAAAGAATATATATTCTTGCAAATGTCTCTGGGACTATTTTTACAATTCCCAATAAGAAAACCTGAACAAAATTCTATACTCTGATTAAAACAAGTGGAAACTAACTCCAGAAATTTTACAAATTCCATGTGGCTGTCTCTGTTGTTTCTCTTTTTTTTTCCTCTCCCAGATATATTTTTACACCATTAACCTTGGCATTTATATCTCACAGCTGAAGCAAACATTGGTAAAGTTTCATTTATTTATGTTTAATACTTCTTTATGTAGGTGGAAGATACATTTCAGAAGGGTCAAGAAAAAGACAAAGAGGATCCTGATTCAAAATCTGATATTAAGGGCGAGGATAATGCCATTGAGATGTCGGAAGATTTTGATGGGAAAATGCATGATGGGGAGCTTGAAGAACAAGGTTTCAGATTATCTGTCACTTCATTCTTGTTTTTGAAAGCATAAATATTTTATCCAGGAAATTACATGTTCCTAATAAGGAACCCAATATAATCTTTTGAAACAAGTTGGTTACTGTGCTTAAGTGCAAATGAAAACCTCAGCAGCTGCATGTGCTATCACCACCTCCACTGAGGCAGAAGTCCCTGGTGTCTCATAGATTCTTCTCACATTGATGTTTTAGCTGCCTCGTGTGCTAGATGCAGTGGCTCAGTAGTGAAGCCTGAAAGGAGATGATCCCTAATGGAAAAGGGCTTTCAACAAAAGGCAAATTGTTCTGTAGTGTTTAAAATACCTTTTATTCCTAATTAGAAAAATAGTAGGTGTTTGTTGTAGATGATTTGGAACAAACATGTAGAAAAGAAATAGATCCCCCCTCAGGCCTACCAGCCATAGCACTTAATAAATAGTGGTATATTTCTTTCCATTTATTGCATGTATACCCACACAGAAACCATATACCGTTCTGTAGTCTGCTTTTTTCTTTCTTTCTTTTTTTTTTTTTTTAAGACGGAGTCTCGCTCTGTCCCCCAGACTAGAGTACAGTGGTGCAATCTCGGCTGACTGCAAGCTCCACCTCTCGGGTTCACGCCATTCTCCTGCCTCAGCATCCTGAGTAGCTGGGACTACAGGCGCCTGCCACCACATCCAGCTGATTCTTTTTTTTTTTGTATTTTTAGTAGAGACGGGGTTTCACCATGTTAGCCAGGATGGTCTCGATCTCCTGACATCATGATCCGCCCACCTCAGCCTCCCAAAGTGCTGGGATTACAGGCGTGAGCCACCGCACTGGGCCTGCTTTTTTCATTTAACATCTTATGAACATTCTCCCTGTCATTAAAAATTATTTGAGAATTTGATTTTTTAAAGTACATCATCATCTGTCATATGTTTGTACCATAATTCAGCCCTTGCCCCAAATTTCTGTCCAATTGGAGATAACTGTATCTTACTCTAAAATGAATATCTTGCAGAAATGAAAGTTGACCTTAGTGGCAGTTGGCCTAAGGCACATAGGATATGACCTTTTGCAAAGTATACCCTGTGCAAAGACAAATGAAGACAATTCTGATTGAGACCTGATTTTAGGTGTTGGAAAAAATCATAGCAGTATATTGAAGATGGGGAGGACCCATGGAAACCACCTAGTCCAACCCCATCATTTCAGACATAAAACTCAGGTTGCTGAGTCCCATAATGGCCATTCCCCCAGCACCAAAACCAGACATCCTCATAGGTATTTCCTTACTCTTTTTACCATCTGTTCACACATTATAGACTTCCTTGTACCTCTACTTTGCAAAACACAGTAAGACTATGTCAGTAGATCTAAAGGCATCTGCCCGTAGGGTGTGTTCTGTAGAAAAAGGCAATAAATCTCAGGTGGGGCCCTTGCTAGGGAAGCGGGTCCACACCTCTCTTAAATACACAGGACTGGGTCAGTTTGGAGATCTGCCTAAGCTCAGTGCCTTCCCTTTCAGAAGAGGATGATGAGAAATCAGATAGTGAGGGCGGAGACCTGGATAAACACATGGGCGATCTCAATGGTGAGGAAGCTGACAAACTAGATGAGAGGCTTTGGGGTGATGATGATGAGGAGGAAGATGAGGAGGAAGAAGACAATAAAACTGAAGAAACAGGACCAGGAATGGATGAGGTAATTCAAAGATTTCTCCCCTCCCAAACAAGCTGAGAGGAGGTAATCTGCCCACAACCTACCATTCTCTGTCATTTACTTCTCTTCTTTTTCTGTATTTGTTTTGTTCTCTTTTTTCTATTCCTCTTTTTCTTTTTTCTATCCTATCTTATTGATTACATTCAGAGCTAAGAGTAGCTTGACCTGAGTCATCCCATGTGTTATGAAGGAGGATGAACAAGACCCTGTGCAGATGTTCTAAGCTGATTCTCCTATAGGCCACTGATTTTTTCCAGCTCCCAGCTTGGGAGAACTCCAGGGCTGAGTGTAACACTGCAACAGCCCAGGGTGAAGCAATGAATTATCAAACTCACCCCACCATTCACACACTTAATAATATTGCTGCTGTCATGGAGACCTGCACTGTTTTCTCTAGGTCACGGATGGCACTTTATCAGCCATCCATGGGATAGGTCCAATAGGCAGAAATTATGCATGTCTAAAAGTCAACCCATGCAGAAGCAGTTTCTTGGATTGAGTGTGATGATTGTTTTTTCTTCCTCTGACATTTAGGAAGATTCTGAACTTGTTGCTAAAGATGACAACTTGGATAGTGGCAATTCAAACAAAGATAAAAGCCAGCAAGATAAGAAGGAAGAAAAGGAAGAAGCAGAAGCTGATGATGGTGGACAAGGTGAAGACAAAATTAATGAACAAATAGATGAGGTAATGAAGATTTGAAACTGATCCGCTCTCTTGACTCAAGGCCAGAGCTCTTGAGCTGTATAGTTCTCAAGGTGTCTCAAGATATTTTTTCCCCTGTTCGTCGACTGCTCTCCCATTACCTCATAAAAGAATATGCAACAGAGGCTCTTAACAGGACATAAAATATATAACTGTTGGTTCCTGACAGGGTAGTCCACATGTTGTCTGGGCTCATGCTATAGATCAGAAGCTAAAACCTGTGATCCCTTGTTTATTTCTTCTTGTAAGTTTCTTCGAGATTAAGTAACATAGCACCATTTGTCCTTGGATAACCTGCACAGAAAGTGAAATCTGAGATTCCAACATGAAAGGTCTAAAAATAAAATACTAATGTGTGCAGATAATTTTAGGGAATAGATATTGTGTTCTCTCACAGTGTAAATACTTAGAGCTGATTTTATGGGAATTCTACTTTTTAAAAAAATATTTGTATTTTTATTTTATCCCTGTTGTCTCCATTGTCCCAAAGAGGGACTATGATGAAAATGAGGTGGACCCTTACCATGGCAATCAGGAAAAGGTGCCAGAACCCGAGGCTTTGGACCTTCCAGATGACTTGAACCTCGACAGTGAAGACAAGAATGGTGGTGAGGACACCGACAATGAAGAAGGAGAAGGTGCGTCTTTCAGAAACAAAGAGACCGGTTAGAACTCACATTAGTGAACAGTAATTGATTTCTCTTTTGAAAGCTAGCTCAGTGTCATGGCCAGGTGATAAATCACGTTTGGTAGGCTCAATCCCAGTCTGAGAAAATGGTTTGCCTTTCCTTTGTAGTATTTCTCATGTGATTATCCCTACAGCTCATCAACCAGCAGGTATTTCTCAAACTACTGTCATGTCCTATTCTCGCTTTTGGCACTGCTATGCCCTGGTGGTGCTTCACACACAGCACTGTCTCTTCACAGCCATTACTGTGTATCCCATCTCATGGGATGGTGTAAACGCTGTGCAGTCTGGGTATACCAAGCTGTCGTGGAGTCCAGTTATAGCTTTTTTAGGGAAATGATGGTTTCAGTTATTGATTGTCATGTGTAGTGAGGAATGAGACTAAATAATCCCAAGAGAAATCGCATGGCATATGACAGTATTTCGTGCCTTTGTTGTCCATTTTTCAACCCTAGTGAATCCTTTAGGGAGTGTTATCTGGTATTAGTTGAAAGCATTGTGTTGGAGGTGCCCCTGTAACAGAGGGCCCCATTCCTGCTGCTGCTTAATCAGACAGAAAGATGTGAGCTGGCCTCGCTGATAAATGAGTCAGTTACATAGTTATAAAATCTATTTTAAAAAATGTATATGTATATTTTTATAATGCTGTATTAGAACAAAAATAGCAAGTTACAAAGGAATAAATAAGAGGTGCCATTTATGTAAAAATTAATTTTGGAATCTAGTTGCAAACAAAGTCAATTACCAAGAAAGCATAAAATTAAGAAAATTAAAATCCACTGAGAATGTAATATGCTGTCTGCTTTTAAATAGCCAGACTCGTTTTGTAACTAAGGAACAATTATTTAAAATTGTTTGCTAATTAAATAATAGATAATGGGAAAAAAAAACCCAGTAGGCTGGTTGCAGAGGCTTGTGTCTGTAATCCCAACACTTTGGAAAGCCAAGGTGGGAGAATCACTTGAGCTCAGAGTTTGAGACCAGCCTGAACAACATAGTGAGACCCTGTCTCTACCAAAGAAAAAAAAATTAGTTGGGCATTATGGCACACACCTGTAGTCCCAGCTCCTCAGGAGCTGAGGCGAGAGACTTGCTTGAGCTCAGGAGGTTGAGGCTGCAGTAGGCCATGATCTCGCCACTGCACTCCAGCTTGGGTGACAGAACGAGACTCTGTCTCTAAAAAATTAAAAAATTAGCCAGGCGCGGTGGTTCATGTCTATAATCCCAGCACTTTGGGAGGCTGAGGCGGGCGGATCACCTGAGGTTGGGAGTTCAAGACTAGCCTGACCAACATGGAGAAACCCCGTCTCTACTAAAAATACAAAATTAGCTGGGTGTGGTGGCATATGCCTGTAATCCTGGCTACTTGGGAGGCTGAAGCAGGAGAATCGCTTGAACCCGGGAGGCAGAGGTTGCAGTGAGCCAAGATGGCACCGCTGCATGCCAGCCTGGGCAACAAGAGCGAGACTCCATCTCAAAAAAATAAAAAAATAAATAATAAGAGTTATTTTAAGAATTTGCTAATAACTGATTTTTGAAGTGTCCAAAGTATAGAAAATCTCTTTTGATAAAACTTTTTCAAAATAAGAGTGTTTCTATTTCAGTGTGAGTTGTATTTTCTGTATATGATCATGACATCCACCAGTTATTCACAATGATAATTGAGCATTAAGCTGCCATTTCCATTGGCCTAAAATTTTCCTATTGTGTTTTTTTGTTTGTTTGTTTGTTTATGGGGGTTTTTTTGGGTGGATTAGCTATTATTTTTTAATGAAATATGCCATTAAAACAACTGTATGTATGAGTATGGTTTAAAACAAGGGTGGGAAAACATTTTCTATAAAGTGTCAGATATTAAATATTTTTGGCTTTGCAGACCATAAGCTCTCGATTGCAAACACTCAGTTCTGCTGTTGCAGAGTGAAAGCAGCCATAGGCAGTACAAAACGGATGGGGTAAACACAGAATATATGTTGCTGTGTTCCAGTAAAAACTTTACTTGTTTTTGGAGACAGGGTCTTGCCCTCTCACCCAGACTGGAGTACTGGGGCATGATCATAGTTCACTGTAGCCTTGACCTCCTGGGCTCAAGTGATCCTCCTGCCTCGGCCTGCTGAGTAGCCGAGACCATAGGTGTATGCCGCCTTGCATGGCTAATTTTTTATTTTTTGTAAAAGATGGGGTCTCACTATGATGCATGCCCAGGCTGGTCTTGAACTCAAGTGATCCTTCTGTCTCAGCCTCCCAAAGTGTTGGGATGATAGGCATGTGCCACAGTGCCCAGCCAGTAGAACTTTCTTCATAGAAACATGTAGAGGCCAGATTTGGCCTGTGGGTCACAATTTGCCACTCGCTGGTTTAGAGAATTGTAATAAGACAAAACTTGCATAAGTAGCTCCCAGCTTAAGAAATCATGTACGTTTCAAAAATTCTGCACTCCTCCTTTTTGTTGTATCTATACAGAAGAGAATCCTTTGGAGATAAAAGAAAAACCAGAAGAAGCAGGTCATGAAGCTGAGGAAAGAGGAGAGACCGAGACCGACCAGAACGAAAGTCAGAGTCCACAGGAGCCTGAGGAAGGCCCCAGTGAAGATGACAAGGCAGAAGGGGAAGAGGAAATGGACACAGGAGCTGATGACCAAGATGGAGATGCTGCTCAGCATCCTGAAGAACACTCTGAGGAGCAGCAGCAGTCTGTGGAGGAAAAAGACAAGGAAGCCGATGAAGAAGGTGGAGAGAATGGCCCTGCTGACCAAGGTTTCCAGCCCCAGGTATCATGAGATGTCTGGCTTTTTATGTTAAAAATAATGAGGAAGAGGAGAAGTCACCTTATTCCCATTAGAATCCCTTTTAGGATACTCCTCCATCAACATGTGGCACTTCCGAGGAGTTCTAGGTTTCTGTTTTAAGACCCTTAGTGAGGAGTGGGGAAGCCTGCTTGTTGCAAGGTCTCCCACCTTATGCTGTTCCCCCAGAGCATTTAATGCTGTGTTTGATTTCTCTGCCGAAGGAGGAAGAAGAACGGGAGGACTCTGATACAGAGGAGCAGGTGCCAGAGGCTTTGGAGAGGAAGGAGCATGCCTCCTGTGGGCAGACTGGTGTGGAGAACATGCAGAACACACAGGCCATGGAGCTGGCTGGGGCCGCACCTGAGAAGGAGCAGGGGAAAGAGGTGATCAGTGGTTTCACTGCAGCCGCCAGCTGCCTCTTAGTAGGGTCTCTTCTCCCTGTCCGACATCACATTCTGTGTAGCATTAGTTGGTTTATGTTTGGTTATTTTGTTGTTTGTTTTGTTGTTGACATCTAACAGACCACATCTCATTCTTTAAGCAACGCGTGACTGAACAGTTATTTTTTAAAGACAGGGATACATTCTGAAAAATGCCTCATTCAGCAATTTCGTCATTGTGCGAACACCATAGCGTGTACTTACACAAACCTCAATGGTAGAGCCAATTGCCCTTAGGCTGCAAACCTGTACAGTATGTTACTGTACTGAATACTGCAGGCAGTTGTAACACAATGTAAGTATTTGTGAATCTAAACATGGAAAAGATATAGTAAAAACGTGTTATTATCTTACAGGACCACCAGTGCACATGCAGTCTTTCCTTGACTGAAACGTTGTTGTGTGGTACATGACTGCTACTTATTTTTATATGCCTCCCAGGACAAACCCCGGAATATCGGCTGTATTTAAGTGGTGTGCATAATAAGAAAAAGTTGTTAGACTGGTAGCTCTAGATGGGAGAATCAGGTTCGTGTTGTTTTTCAGAAAGCTCTCCAGGAAGGAAACATGGAATTTAGACTTCAGGCAATGTATACCTTTAACGGTGTTTTGCTTTTCCTTGCTCATCATCAGGTTTCTAAACGTCTAATTTAAAAAGCAGATAACTTTTTCATTCTTTGATCTGGTGGTGATGTGTTCTGATATGGCCACAATTCAGGTTGCTGGGTGCTATGGAAAGAACATGGGATGTCAACGCAGGACCTGCTGGTTACAGTGGTGATTCTGGACAACTTTAGTCTCTTTGAGTCCTAGTTCTTACTGACAATAACAACCATTTATATTGCTTATACCGTATGACTACCACCACCACAAATATTCATTGAGCACCCATTAGGTGCTAAGCATTTTCAGTACTTCAGAAAGTCCTCTCTATGTCCCCATGAGATAGATGATATTGTACTATTTTCTTCATTGTATATTTGAGAAAAATAAGCCTCAGTAAAGTTAAATGACAACCTCAAGTGTACATAGCTGGTTGATGATGAAGCCTGGTTTCTAATTGAGGTCTGTCCTGTCTTTGGAGTGAGACATAATATTCCTGCAAAGAACTAAGCAGCCTTACAAAGGCCCCTGAGAGGTTAACATAAGGTCTGTACCTAGACACTCCTGTTTCTGCCTGTAGGCCAGGCCTTAGTTACGGTGAGTTCCAGGGCAGGCAGGTAGGCAGGAGTGATTATATGACTGAGAATAAAGGACAGCAGTGAGAGAAGTTGTATTCAATGCAGCACAGTAACCAGGGACTTGTAATAGCTTCTTTCACCTCATTCTTTTGTGGCTTGGATTTCCTAGGAACACGGAAGTGGAGCTGCAGATGCAAACCAGGCAGAAGGCCATGAATCGAATTTCATTGCCCAGTTGGCCTCCCAGAAGCACACCAGGAAAAACACACAGGTTTCTATCACTCCTCAGCTAAACTTAGGTGAAGGCAGCATGTAGAAAAAGATGTTCCAAACGTAGTGCTTTAAAAAAAAAAAAAAAAAGCTATACTCCTGGTTTTTTTGTTGTTGTTGCATCAGATATGATAGCAGCCTTGGTGAGCAGACCACGACCATGGGGTTTACCCAGTGGGATCCCGTCACGGCTTCTTCCCTGCCTGTGTCTCTCCCCGACCCCTGATTCCGGCCATGAAGTCTTAAGAGCCAAGTGCTGTGTGCGGCTGCCCAGCACAAACCGTCTCACTCTTTTCATTGTCCATAGGCTTTTGCTTTTTTAAGAGTAAGTTTTTTTTTAAGTAGGGTATAATTTATGCACGTGATGCAAAATTAGTGTAAAAAACCAATCCCCTAAAAGCCTACATCCTATTCCTGTCCCCAAGGGACCCTCCTCAGAGCAAATTGGTGTTACCAATTCCTTCTTTCAGAGATATTTTCTGCATATATGACATATATGGATGTGTGAAAGTGTGTTTCTTTGCCTTCATTTTAGATATAAAAGTATATCATAGAGATTGTTCTATGTAAGTATATAGAGTCCCGGTTCTTTTTAATAGCTGTATTGAATTCCATTCTTGTATGGCTACACCTGATTTACTTATCCTGTCCCCTATAGATGGATATTATGTTTACTTTGAGTCCTTTTGTCATGACAGGCAAGGCTCTGATGAATTTCCTTGTATTTCTCAGAGTTTTAAGAGGAAACCTGGGCAGGCTGACAATGAACGTTCCATGGGTGATCACAATGAGCGTGTGCACAAGAGGCTGAGGACTGTGGATACGGACAGCCATGCCGAGCAGGGGCCAGCTCAGCAGCCCCAGGCCCAGGTGGAGGATGCAGATGCATTCGAGCACATTAAACAAGGCAGTGACGCATACGATGCACAGACCTATGGTACGGTCCTGGGAAAGCTGCTGCCTTTGCCCACTGAGCTCTCTATGAGAGCTTGTGCTATGTGACCTATAATAATGATACGTATTTGTGGGGTACAGTGTGAGGTTTTGATACATGTATACAATGTTTAATGATCAAGTCAAGTCAGCTGTGCCTGGCAGCTGATTGTATACACTTATATCAGGGGAGAGAGGAAATGGCTTTGTAAACATAAGAAATGTGCAGAAATACAGTTTGTTTTTGGTACAAAGGTATCTGTAACCAAGTGAAGATGGTTAAGATTTCTTGGTTTAGTATAAACTCTTTAAATATCCTTAAATATAATAGTTAAAAATAAGTTGTTCACATCCAAACCCCGATATCAGGGTTTCTTAGTACTGGACATTTCTTTCTTCTTAGTCACCTCTGGATAGGTCCCTGCACTGACAGGTGCTATGAATTTGAAATATGTGTTTTCTCCATAAGTGCAAAAGGGAGGAAAAATGTCTCAGCATGAGGTCATTGGTCAGTCTCCCCTTCTGGTTCTCTTGGTGACTTCAGTTTCATTCCTAATATGTAAACTTATATTGAGAATAATCTACCATTTAGGATGGTACGAAAATGACTGCTCTACATTGGATTACATTTTTCTCTCCTTGATCCCACTTAAAAAAAAAAATAGAGCAGTAGCTACCATGTATTGAGCTTTTGCTTTGTGCCAAAAAACTTTTCTGAGCCTTTGCTGCGTGATCATAAACTTCCTCAACTAATCCTATGAGCTAGAGTCTCTCTGTTGTATAGTTAAGTACACTGAGGCCAGGTGGTTTAAGAACTCACTCACGCAAGATCACAATGCTGGGATTCCTATTCGTCTTTCTGTGCCTTGTTTTCTACTACTTTTTATTATTTTTAATTGACCTATAATAATGATATGTATTTGTGGGGTACAGTGTGAGGTTTTGATACATGTATACAATGTTTAATGATCAAGTCAAGATAATTAGCTTATCTACCACCTCAAACATTTATCATTTCTTTGTGTTGGGAACATTCAAATCTGCTCTTCTAGTCATTTGAAAATATATAATAAATTATTGTTAGAGTCACCCTATAGCCCAGTTAAACACCCTATTTTGTCAAATGCTCAGGAGCATTTGACGGTGTACTTTGAGTTCATACTGTAGGGCGGAAGGCAGCCAGTGTCACATGTATAGTTACATTATATCCTCATAATTTCTGTAGGGGGTAGGGAACAGGCAGTTCATTATGTCAATAGGTCAATAGGAAATCTTGTGCACAGACAAGTCTCCAAGCCACATAGCTGGTCAGTGGCACAACTTGCATCACTAGCATTTTGGAAGCTAGAATGACAGAAACCATACCCACTTATTATTATTTTGTTCTGCAAAGACCTAGGATTTTTATGTGTGGGTGCGTGCTTTGTTGACAGATGTGGCCAGCAAAGAACAGCAACAGTCTGCAAAAGACTCTGGCAAAGATCAGGAAGAGGAGGAGATAGAGGACACCCTTATGGACACAGAGGAGCAGGAGGAGTTCAAAGCAGCAGACGTGGAGCAGCTGAAGCCAGAGGAAATCAAGTCGGGCACCACAGCACCCTTGGGTGAGTCCTGCTAGTGAACAAACCCTTCCCAGGCGCTCTGACTTGAAGTAGTCAGTTCTCTCTCACTATAATCTAGTCTGGTGTTCAGTTCCATGTCCTAATCCATGGCTTAGATGAATGAATTGCCTATAATAATTTCACTATATTTTGTTTGGGACCAGAAAACAAAAATATGGACAGCGGTGGGTGTTGCAGGACACCATCCTTTAAGGAGTCCCCTGAAACTTGAATTTCTGGCAAAATCTCATCAGTTTTTAAAAAATATGTAGAAGAAACCAGAATAGTACACTTACTACAGCTATGATGAAAAGGTATAGTATTAGAGAAATGATATTTTCAATTATATAAAAGTATATGCTATTAGCATAAAATGCAGTAAAATATTAAAAGAAATAGAATGAGGAGTTTCCCTTTCATAGCTAACCAAGTTCTATTAATTACTTGGCAAAAAAAATAGCTTCATCAGCAATGGAATAAATGCAAATTCAAAAGAACTTGCCAAATTCAGAGGCTTTTTCTTCTGCTTAGTTCCTGTCCTCTCAGGAGCGTTAGAACTGTTAGAACGGTTGACTATCCTATGTGACAAGCCAGGCTTTGCCTCTCACCTCACAAGTTGAAGCAAATTATTGATCTTTTCTTTGCCTGTTTCCTCTTCTGTAAAATGGAATTGTGGCTTTTAGTTTTTATTTCTGTCAAAGTTTTACATGCATATAGTTTCAAGAATCATACAGTTTTACAAGGCTTCTTAGGACAACCCAAAATTTCCCCTATTTCCCTTTCCAAGAACATCTGCCTTCAACATCAGGTGAGGAGGAGGGGAGTTTAGAGAGTAAGGGTTGGCAATGAGTGTCTCAGAGAGAAAGAACCTCTGAAATCAACATGTGGAAATGTGTTGGAGAGTGAATGAATGAAGTTTGATTAATTTTCAGGATTAACAGGCAATAGCAAAGGCTTGGTCAGTCATCAGGCTAATATTATAAGTAAAATTATGTCCTTAAATGAAAATAGGCTTTGATGAGATGGAAGTGGAGATCCAAACTGTTAAAACAGAGGAAGACCAAGACCCCAGAACAGACAAAGCCCATAAGGAGACAGAAAATGAGAAACCAGAAAGAAGCCGAGAGTCTACCATTCATACAGCTCATCAATTCCTCATGGACACGATCTTCCAGGTAGTAAAACTCACAAATTACTGCATTAATATAGTGTTAATAAATTAACAAAATAAAATTTTAAACTGGTTTTAAATCTTTGTCTTTAGAACTTTATGGAACATCTGGTTGTTGAGGGGTTTCATGTTCTTATTCAAAATTTTTAGGAATACTATTGGTATGATAGGTGTTCTTCAAGCACGTGATACTGTTCCAGCAATTAATCACAGGGTCACAGTGCCCTGACCTGTCTGTGATGGTGGGTCTGGTCCTTGGCCTCTGGGACTCACATCCCACTTTTCTAACCATCCTTGTGTAAGGAATCTTCAGGACAATTAGGTTTGTGATGGTTAAGTAAAAAATCTTTGGCTTAGTGCCTGTATTTATGAAGAGCTATTTAATTAAGTTCTTGAGCTAAGAGTTTGACTTATTTGATTAATCAGATAACATTTTCATTATTGATGACTTAAGGGTGTTTGGGTTTTGTTTTGCTACAGTGGCTTTATAAATGTTTAAAGTTTTCTTTATCCATATTGTCTCTCTAAGAGGGAAGCAGAATGCTTGTCTGGCATCTTCTCATTGTGCCACTGTATTTGCTGAATTAAGTTTTGAATCTCAGGAGCATTTGACTATGTACTTTGAGTTCATACTGTAGGGCGGAAGACACCCAGTGATACTAAGTTGGTGATTCCAACCTGGGCCACCTCTTATCTATGGCTTTTTCTTTTTAGCCCTTTTTAAAAGATGTCAATGAGCTAAGACAGGAGCTGGAGAGACAGCTGGAAATGTGGCAGCCACGTGAATCTGGAAACCCAGAGGAGGTAAGTCACTGCTCACTGTTTTTTTCATAAAATATCTCGACTTTTTTTTTGTTTGTTCAACATATAGCAAACTTAATAGGTTCTTAGCAATTACCTTAACAAAAAGGACCAGGCATATGGAGAATATAATTACAATCCTAAAGCCTACAGATCTGTCCATCAGTTTCTGGCTGCTTTGCTGTTAGATCTATAGCTTAATTAAAACAGAAATTGGTGTGCTTAATTCCTTTAATTTCTGTTGCTGGCTCTGTAATGGATGTTAATAGTTGTGACAGTGGTTGAAAAACCGGGCAAGAGTCTATGCTGTGCCATCCTAAGAAGAGGCCAGCTAGATCACTGCTGGCTGACTTAACGTGGTAGTGTGGATTAACCAGCAGTCTTATTTTTAATGACTTTGCATCTGAAATTTACTGTATTATATACACATTTCACTTTTATATCTATTGTCATAATCACTCCCACCACATATATGTATTCAGTGCTCTGCCATAGTTGGCAGAAAAATCATGGGGCTTTGTGTTGAGTGTGTTGCTGGAGGGATTTGCCCTTAGCATTTTTACTTTTTTTCATTTTTTTGAGATGGAGTCTTGCTCTCTTGCCCCGGCTGGAGTGCAGTGGCGCAATCTCGGCTCACTGCAAGCTCTGCCTCCCGGGTTCAAGTGATTCTCGTGCCTCAGCCTCCCAAGTAGCTGGGATTACAGGCACTTGCCACCACGCCCGACTAATTTTTTTGTATTTTAGTAGAGACGGGGTTTCACCATGTTGGCCAGGCTGGTCTCAAACTTCAGGTGATCCACCCGCCTTGGCCTCCCAAAGTGCTGATTACGGGCCAACTTTTTTCTTTTTCTTTTTTTTTTTTTTTTTTTTGAGACGGAATCTCGCTCTGTCACCCAGGCTGGAGTGCTGTGGCGCGATCTTGACCCACTGCAACCTCCGCCTCCTGGGTTCAAGCGATTCTCCTGCCTCAGCCTCCTGAGTAGCTGGGATTACAGGTGCCTGCCCCCATGCCCAGCTAATTTTCTGTATTTTTTTTTTTTTTGTAGAGACAGGGTTTCACCATGTCGGCCAGGCTGGTCTCGAACTCCTGGTCTCAAGTGATCCACCCGCCTCGGCCTCCCAAAGTGCTGGGATTACCAGGCATTAGCCACCACCCTCAGCTGGAAGGAGAGACATTTTTAATCAAGTAAATTACATGGTAGCTTGCTGGGAGAAGATTTAAAGTGCTTCTGTTGAGAAAGTTCATGCAGGTCATTTTCTACCACTTTGCTTAAAGCCTGCATCTTGCTAGAAGACTTGGTTGGCTCTGACATTCTGAGGGTAACTTACATTTTGTTGTTGTCACAGGAGAAGGTTGCAGCTGAGATGTGGCAGAGTTACCTGATCTTAACAGCGCCTCTTTCACAACGGTTATGTGAAGAGCTTCGTCTCATATTAGAGCCTACCCAGGCAGCCAAGCTGAAGTAAGTCTTCCCCTCTGGAAGGCCTCACAGTGCCCTGAGAAGACGGCAGCTTCATTGATTCTGTTGAACGCGGCACCTAACCATTTATAGTGCCAGCTTCTAGGCTGCCGCTTGTGCCGTACAGGCACCAGTATGCTGTTCCTTACCCTGTTTTCCTATTATTGTCTCTGCACAAAAGTTTCTGGGTGTCTGTATTGATCACCTTGTTACATGTTGAGCTATTCACTTGCTATAGGTGTTACTCACCTAGATCTTTTCAAAGATGTCCAAAATCATTCCTATTTAGTGCATTTTTTCCTAATTTTTAAAAATGTGTCTGGAAGGACCTAATTATTATTGCCACATACGTGTCCAGTTTTTCTGGCTAGAGGTCAAGAAGATCCTTAGTCGTCAATTGACAGAAACACTTCATTGTGCCAGGTTCCTAGTTACTTGCTATTGGTTTTAAGGTATTATTGTGATTTTTGTCCTTAATAAAAATTCTCAGGAATTAAAAGTTGTTAACTAATTTTTGCCCCCATTTGAATAAATAGAGGAGACTATCGAACTGGGAAACGACTAAACATACGGAAAGTCATTCCATACATTGCTAGTCAATTTCGGAAAGACAAGATTTGGCTTCGAAGGACCAAGCCCAGTAAACGCCAGTATCAGATTTGTTTGGCTATCGATGACTCTTCTAGTATGGTAGACAATCATACCAAGCAGGTAAGGAAGAGAAATGCAGTGGCAGTTTGATAGGAAATTAACATCAAGCTATGTTCCATGGGCCACCAAAATGCTTTAAATATGATATGGCTAATGCTTTAAATATGATATGGCTAAAACATTTTGAAATACCTGTTAGGCCTGTTTTGAGAATGTGATAACCATCTTTGATAAGACCTAAGATTTAAAGAGTTCAAAAGGGCAATTTTAGGATGTCTCAGATGTGTTAGTTTCTTACTGTTGTAGGTCTTTTACATTGTTTTGTTTCTTGACCTTGCTGTTTGTTCTTAACTGTCTAGTTGCAGAATAAGTAAATCTGATAGTGCTTGTTTTGCAGAAAATGCAACAGTGTACTCTTAAAAAAAAAATCAAAGTTTTCAGATATTACTGCATAGTCTTAGATAGTTTAGGTAGGTATCTAGGATACATTTCTTTTATATCTGAAATTATCCAGAGTTATTGTTCTATCAGTGCTAATATTAAGTTTAGGAGCCTTAATAGAATTACTTATACCACCATTACAGATGCCAAAGAGTGTTTGTTTTGGGCAGTGATGCTGTTATACAGCATGGGCTAATAAGCAACCTAAAATTTGTATGTTCTGCTGGAAAAAGTTAGTGTAGCCTCTGAACCTGGGTTCATATCCCAGCTCCATTTATTAACACATGACTTTGGGCAACTTATTTCTTAGTTATCAGTTTCACCTTCTGAAAAGTGAGGAATATATATATTTACAAGCACACATAGAATAGTAATAACCTCATACTTGCAGAATTGTTATGAAGATTAAATGAAATAATAGATGTAGAACACTCAGTTTGCTGCTGCTTTTGTCATATTGCAAATGGTAATGAAATTTTCTGATATAGTTCTACAGTCTGATCTGACTACATATATATGAATGGATTTTAAATTGGTTTTTAAAATTTTTTACCTACAAGAGGTTACTCTTCATGTAGGTCCAAAAAAGAAGAAAGAAAAATTCATGGACCATATTTCTCAAGGTCACTTTCTTTCTTTTTTTTTTTTTTTTTAAAGACAGGGTCTTGCTCTGTTGCTTAGGCTGGAGTGCAGTGGCATGATCATAGCTCACTGTGGCCTCAACCTTCTGGGCTTAAGCAGTACAGTCCTCCCACTTCAGCCTCCTGAGTAGCTGGGACCATAGGTGTGTGTCACCATGCCCGGCTAAATTGTTTTTTTTTTTTTTTTTGAAGACAGGGTTACAGGGTTTCACTCTGTTGCCCAGGTGGCTCACTGTAGCCTCAACTTTCCTGGGCTCAGGTGATCCTCCTACCTCAGCCTCCCAAGTAGCTGGGACCACAGATGTGGGGTCTTGCTGTGTTGCCTGGGCTACTCTTGAATTCCTGGACTCAAGTGATCCTCCCTCCTTGGCCTCCCAAAGTGCTGGGATTACAGGTGTGAGCTACCACGCCTGGCCCTCAAGGTCACTTTTTATTCGATGTCTACAGCAGACCATTCCTATCAGTGTAATGGATTCTAGGTTTCAACATTTGTGGTACCAGGCCACCAAAGCCTTTGGGTTTGTTGTGACTATAGTAGCCTTACTGATGTTATTCCTCTACTTGCCAAACAAAAAAATGTTTTCTTTGGGAATCTTGATGCAAAAAATAGTTGAGAGGCTCTGGTTTAGAGGATATTCTGATTCCTAAAATCATTAACTTTCTAATTCACAGCTTGCATTTGAATCTTTGGCTGTGATTGGAAATGCTCTAACCCTCCTGGAAGTGGGTCAGATTGCAGTGTGTAGGTAAGGTTGCTTTGTAATTCCTTTATGAAAACTTTTCACAACCTGTTTGGTTATTTTGATCACACAGCCAAAAAATAACTCCTGTTGTATTTGGTTTTCCTCCCCCAAGTTTTGGAGAATCTGTAAAGCTGTTACACCCATTTCATGAGCAGTTCAGTGATTACTCTGGGTCCCAGATTCTACGTCTCTGCAAATTCCAACAAAAGAAAACCAAGATTGCTCAGGTAAGAGGATGAAATAAAATGTCTTCTGCACAGTTATTTTTAAACTGGTGTAGGTTGGAGGGAGAACATTTTTATTTTTGAGACAGGACCTTGTTCTGTCACCCAGGCTAGAGTACAATGGCGCCATCATAGCTCACTATAGCTTCGAACTCCCGGGCTCAAGCAGTCCTCCTGCCTCAGCCTCCCTAGTAGCTAGGACTACAGGCGCATGCTACCATGTCTGGCTAATTTTTATTTTTTGTAGGGACAGGGTCTCACTTTGTTGCCCAGGCTGGTCTAAAATTCCTGGGTTCAAGTGATCCTCCCTTCTTGGCCTCCCGAAGTGTTGGGATTACCACCATGCTGGGCTGAGAACCACCCTCCACCGCATACAGTATTAGGACAGGGATAGTCCCAAACCTCAGCCTGTGTACCACTGGAATAGAAGCTTCCTTAGCATCCATTATAAAACAAGGTGTGACTTCTTTTTCTCAGTTCCTCAAGGATCACTTGACTTTGCATCATTGGTTTTCTAGCTCCCTACTTTTTTTTCCGAGTAGTTTGGAACATTCTGCAAAAACAAACCCATCTCCCATACCCTTATCAGCTGGGCCAAGACCTATTTTTCTCCCTCATTAAGCTTAGAGAAGAAATGATATGAAGTAAAGCCAGTGACTTACTTAAGAGAACAAAAGTTCAAAACAGCATGGGATCATATTTCTCCTGGGTCCTGCTCTGATTCAGTTTGCTTTTTCTAGGCTGCCCTGGACATTTTGTATTTTCTTGCCTTCTCTTTTGCTCAGTTGTTTTCTGTTCTTGAAAGAAGACAGCTGTTTGGTTTATTTGAGGGAGTATTGATTTCTTATGCCCCAGGGAAGCACTTCTTTTCCTTTGGGGTATCTTCCAGAACTCTAGTGGGTTATATGTTAGAGAAACGTCTCACCTGTGCTTGAGAATGCCTGTATCATCTAGGCATGGTGGCTCACACTTGTAATCCCAGCACTTTGGGAGGTTGAGGTGTGAGGACCGCTTGAGGCCAGGTGTTCAAAACCAGCCTTGTCAACATAGTGAGACCTCATTTCTACAAAAGACAAAAATAATTATCCAGGTGTGGTGGCACATACCTGTAGTGCTAGTTACTTGGCGGCAGGCTGAGGCAGAGCCCAGGAATCGAGGCTGCAGTGAGATGAGATCGTGCCACTACACTCCAGCCTGGGTGACACAGTGAGACCCTCTCTCAAAAAATAATAATTAAAAAACAGAATGTCTGTATCCAAGGATCCTCCTTTTTTAACTACATACGGCCAGAAGGGACAGTTAGTTGATGGTCTGTAAACCTGAGGTGGTTATCTGATAATCACTTCAATGTCAGAAATACTATCAGTCTCTTTGACAATGAGAAGAGCATTCACATAGTTTTCTAATTGTCTATTCCTGGTTCCGGTTTAGTTTCTAGAGTCTGTTGCCAACATGTTTGCAGCTGCTCAGCAGCTCTCGCAGAACATCAGTTCAGGTGAGCTGCATGCCTTCCTCTTCATTAACAAAATGCTTTCTTGTACTCTATATTCCCAAGCTGCTTGCTTCAGCTCAGTGTCCCCGTCACTGTGTTTTAATAGGTATGCTCCACAGGAAAAGACATAAATTGATGGAGCTGATTTTTACTTATTTATTCATTCATTCAGAAATTTTTGTTGAACCTGTACTCATGAGGCTTATAATCAATGGGGGATCTAGACACTAACTAGTATATACTTACTTGAGTTCAGATTTATAAGAGAAAGGAGCAAGGTGTGTGTGGAATTAAATATAAAGGCTACAATTAACCCTTGAATACCACAGGTTTGTCTGTACAGATCAGGTCTACTTACACATGGAGTTTTTCCAACCAAAAGTGGATTGAAAATTCAGCATTTGAGGGATGCAAAACCCGAGTATATGGAGGGCCAACTTTTCATGTATGCGGGTTCTCCAGGGCCATCTCTGGACTTGAATATGTGTGTATTCTGGTATACTGGGGGTGAGGGGGTGTGTGTCCTGAAACCAGCCCCCTGCAAGTACTGTATTCTCTAATATTTTAATAACAGAGGAAAGTAGAGAAGGACATAATATAAAAACCAGCTAATCCAACCACATTTACTTTGGGGGCTTGAAACATGCCAATTATTTAGTTCTTTTCCAAAAATCTCTCACTGTTCTCAGTGTATCATGCAGAAGCTTCAGATTTTGATGGAAGCAAGTTATTCACACCTGTCAACATTTGCTAAAACAGCCCACCCTCAACTCATGTACTATATAATCTTTAGCTGGAAACACTATGTAGCAAAAATTTTAAAACATTTTATTCAGTGTTGAGTGTTTCCTTTCTATTTGTTTTTGTTTAAACAAGTCAAATTTCAAGGGCAAAAAAATATAGAAATTAGGTACAAGGAATTAACAGAAATCTAAAGATGATTATATGTAACGACTGAAATTTGGAAGACACAGTTCCAGATTTCTGATTTGGCCACTTTCTTCTAATGCCCTTCTCAGTACTATCATTTTTAAAGTTTATAGCCATAAACTAGTGTTTTAATTCTCATGTACAGTATGTTGCTCTACAATTTGAAGTTGAGCAGAACTTAACATTTCTTGAAGCACTATTGAGAAATTCTTCTATACTGACAGAAGCTTACTTAGTATCCCTTATTATGCCTTGTCTCTGACTCAAGCATTCTAAGGGATAGATCTCATCAGAGGTCCCTTAGGTTTGTGCCCAGAATTCATCAGCTTTAGAGGTCTGTTTAGCTTTAATAGTACAGAGAAAGCCTACACTAATTTGTCCTACTTTGGGTAGTTGTGAGTTATTAAAAATGGCTGTTCATTTTATTCCCTTGCTTCGTCTTATATGGTCTACAGAAACTGCACAACTCCTCCTGGTAGTCTCTGATGGGCGAGGCCTTTTCCTTGAGGGCAAAGAAAGAGTCCTGGCAGCAGTTCAGGCTGCCCGGAATGCAAATATCTTTGTCATCTTTGTTGTATTGGACAATCCCAGTTCACGGGTGAGTGACTACTAAAAGCCACCTTTTCTGGAGGTAAAGTGGGGATTCCCTTCAACCTGTTCAATCTGAAATATGGCCTGGATCACTCAGTCATACTGAGAACTCCCAGCATTCATAGTATTCTGTCAAGTACCATTGTAGGCACTTGTAAGTATTTTCTCTATTAATCTTTGCAATAAGCCAGTGAGGTAGGGATCATTATTCCCACTTTACACTGAAGGAACTGAAACACATAGAGGTTATAGGTAATGAGTGGGAGAGCCAAGATTCAGAATGACCATCCTCTGTGGGTCATCATTTCCCTCTATGCAAAGTCAGTGCAGGTATTGCAGCCTTGATAATGGGTACTGACCACTTTGAAATGGAGATTAGGTGTTGCCACACTTAACTTATGTCTCAGTAGCTCCTCACAGCAAGAAGCATCAATCATCTTAGTGAAATATGCCTATAGGGCAGTTCTGTTCCAGGGAAGCATTGTCTCTGTGGGTCACATTAAGGCCTTGATAGGAAGGTAAAGATTTAGTGTGAATGATTCCAAGTGGATGATGGGGAGACACCACTGTAGGGAAAGCAGATTTTCCTGTCTATCCCTTTTCCTTTTTTTCAGTGTCCATCCTCCTGGAAGGGGCACTCAGAAAGACATCTACCTCCTTCTTAGTAGAGTTCTGAAAATTCTCTTTTACTTAGTAATAAAAGGTAGGTTCATATGCAGGAATAAGACACAGGAGATGTAAAAGTTAGCAAAAGAGATCACAGAAGAGCTAGCTAAGGATGCTGGTTTAATCGCTGCCTCCCCATTTCAAAATGTCTTTTGTTGACAGGATTCTATCTTGGACATTAAAGTACCGATATTTAAAGGACCTGGAGAGATGCCTGAAATCCGATCCTACATGGAAGAGTTCCCATTCCCATACTATATCATTCTTCGAGATGTAAACGCACTTCCTGAGACACTCAGCGATGCCCTCAGACAGTGGTTTGAGTTGGTGACAGCCTCTGACCACCCATAGAACAGAAAGAAGAGTCCAAAGTGAGACTTAACTGTGGTCAGAAGGTCACATTGCTTACCCAGGTGCTCCCTTTTGGACAACTACAAAAAATTTTATTGTAATATTTTTATTTTACAACGTGATCTTACAGCCTACAGAATGCTCTCTGGCTCCCGGCTTTGCCTGGGCTGAGGTTTTTATACCAAACCTGGAAGCAGCAGCAGGTGCCTGAACTCGTAACTAGAGAAGAGTTATCCTTCTTCCCTGCCTTGGAAGCCCTGGCCTGGGAGGAGGTCATACCCCACCGTTGGAGCCCAGCTGCCTGTTTTCTTTTGCAGGGGATCTGGGCACCTGTGCCTTGAGGAGATGCTGCCAGGAGCATGGGACTCTGACAGTCCTTTGTATAAAGGACTAAAGGGAGCTGCCCTTTTGACCCTGTTCTAAGCTCTGCCTTGCCAAGCCCATAGTGTGTGCCCAAAAGCTGTCAAGTGGCCAAGACAGCTCGTTTCTGGAGAGTATGAGGGTGTGTTTTCTTATTGTGAAAGGAACTACCTTCTCTTAGAGGGTAGGAAGAATGTGGTGTGTGTGTGTTCTCATAAAGCAACTGGACATTATAGGTGCCCAGGTCATCTATAAAAACGATCCTTGGGCTGTGTAAAAATGAAGTGGCTTTTCAGTATCCTCTTTCACACTTGCTGCTTCGGGAGACTATGCAATGATGGGAAGGTGATTGCCCCTTTATTTCATTCAGTGCCATGGTCCCTGTTGTTGTAGTAATTTATTTGTTTAGTTCATTTTTTTTTTTCTTAACAGTCAAGGGGAAGAGTGATTCCTCACACTGCTTTCAAGCTGGACTGAGCCAGTCTCATTCTGGGAAAGAAACGCTGTGTCCAGAACTCAGCAGCTCCATCTATTTTTTCCAGTCGAAAGAAACTGATCTTTAGGCAGTTTTTACTTGGCCAGAAAGCAGTGCTGAATACTTGAAACTGTGTGCTCTGTTCTACTTAATGTTCTGTCAGAATGTTCTTTTGTAGGCAGTATGTCATGATGTAATCATCTATCTCCTTGTCTGTTTCCAAGTTACACTGTGAAGTCTGCGACCCTTTTGAGGTGGTCATCAAAGACACAGATTCCTTGTTTAACCAAGTGTCCCAAAGCATGTACCTGAAGTTATATCATTTTTTATTCTAAAAAGCTATGCAGCTTATATTCTGAAAACTATTAAAACATATACCACTGTTGTTGATGTAATTTGTGACTCTTCTTAATGGAAGATGACAGGATTGTAAAAGGTATGCTAGGGGACTGATCTTCTCTGCTGGATCAGTCAGTCAGCTGTTACTAGTTGATGCTGTGCTAACATGATCCCCTCCTACTTCCATGTTGCTCTTACTACAAAGGTTATCATTTGCATTTATGTCCATGGTAGGCTGAGCTATAATATGCTGGCTTTGCAGCAGAATGAAAAGGATGAGTTGGTGTAGCCTTATAAGGAGGCTTATAAAAATTAATTATCCTCCATAAATGATGATGTTGCATCCCACTCACATTTCATTGGCTAAAGCCCTCTATGGGGCAGGGAGTTTAATCTTCCAGTAGGGTTGAGTCTGGGAGGGAAAGACACCAATATTATGACAATGCTGCAGTCTATTACATCTGCCTTTGGAAGCTCCATCTTTCTTAGACCTCAAACTGGTGTGCCCAGAGTGATTCCCTTGGCCCTGGGTTAGCTCATGAGATCATGGACAGTAGGAATTCCAGGAAGCAGGAACCCAAGAGTGCCATTTTCAACTTGTGCTGCCAACAGGGGCTTGCAGGAGTAGTGATCAATTAATCTGCCATGTTGATAGTTGACATTTGTGCTATCCTGCCCACCCCCCCCTCCCCCAACCCCCCAGGCCTTGGCCAAATAGGTAAGTAAGTAAGTTCTGATATTTAAGGAATGGACAGCAGAACACAAAAGTCCTCCATGCTGTCTTAAAAATCTCACTTTGGGGCTGGGTGCAGTGGCTCACGCCTATAATCCCAGCACTTTGGGAGGCCAAGGTGGGTGGATCACTTAAGGTTAGGAGTTAGTTTGAGACCAGGCTGGCCCATATGGTGAAACCCCATCTCTACTAAAAATACAGAAAATTAGCTGGGTGTGGTGACGCGCACCTGTAATCCCAAGCTACTTGGGAGGCTGAGGCAGGAGAACTGCTTGAACCAGGAGGTGGAGGTTGCAGTGAACTGAGATTGTGCCACTGCACTCCAGCCTGGGCAACAGAGCAAGACTCTATCTCAACAACAACAATAAAATCTCACTTTGGATAACTTCTTCACCACTCCCGTGGCCTCCACCATCACTGAAGCAAAAGGACTGTAAAATTCTCCATCCAGGGGTCCAGGAAATCTACTCTTTGGTATTCTTAATTATATTCAGACATCTGCTGGATGTCACTGTGTTCTAATTCCCCTATTCCAAACCCATTCCTTCAACATTCCCCATCTGGGATGACCACTCCAACAGCCACCCTGTTTACAAACTTGGGACTTAACCTATACATCTGCTTTACTTCCTTCTCCATCTCTATCCATACCCCAATCAAATTAATTAATCATCTTGTCCAGTCAGGCTTCTGGATATCCTGTCCCATCCCTCCCCCTCCCCCTACTGCACTGTGACTGGGACTCTTTTAATCTCTAGCAGGGACTACTTCAATGGTATCCTGGCCAGGCCAGTAACTTCTCTTTGCTTGCTTCACTTCATCCTATTCACAACATCCAAGATCTTTCTAAAAGTTCTGTAGCTGAAAATCCCTTCAAAGCTCTCCCTTGTGAAGAGGGTAATATTCAAGCTTCTTCATGTGACCTGTGAGGCTCTTGCTTGACTCTCCTGTCCCTCCTCTCCCAGCATTCCTGCCAGTGTTTCCATGTGTTGTCTGGAATCCTCTTAGTGATTCTGCGTTTCTGACAAATACCTAGCTCAGACAAGCCCTCCAGGAAGAATAATTTCCCACAGTATGAACTGCAGCATTCTTTGTTAGCACTATATTGAACTTAGAGGTTTTCCTGCCCAAAGCATGAGTCTTTGAGCAAGGAGCATATGTGACTCACGACAGCATTACCAGTGTCTAGCAAGAGTGAGCCCTTTTTTTTTTTTTTTTTTTTTTTTAAATAGAGCTTTGCTCTTGTTGCCCAGGCTGGAGTGCAATGGCGCAATCTCGGCTCACTGCAACCTCCGTCTCCCAGGTTCAAGCGATTCTCCTGCCTGAGCCTCCCAAGTAGCTGGGACCACAGGCGTGCGCCACCAGGCCCGGCTAATTTTTTGTATTTTAGTAGAGACGAGGTTTCACCATGTTGGCCAGGCTGGTCTCGAACTCCTGACCTCAGGTGATCCACCTCGGTATCCCAAAGTGTTGGGATTATAGGCATGAGCCACCGCACCTGGCCTGAGTGTTTCTTGATGGGAAGAAGAAATAATGTAAAAATGTCTTTCTCACATATTAATGTATAGATTCAACACTACTTCAAAATTCCAACCAAGATCACAAGATGATTTGGAGGGAAATGATACAAAACATTTCTAAAGATTATAGAGAACAGTACTAATGGATTTTTTACAAGAAACTAGAGTCCTGCCAGATAATAAAAACATATAAAACAAAAAGTAAAAACTTAACCCTAAATGAAACAATTCTGGACAGATTACTCAGACCCTAAAAGAATTTATCATACAGTCAAAAAGGCATCCATCATAAAGCCCCGAAAAAGGAATGAGTTATGTAATCAATGGTATTGATACAGCTTAACATCTAGAAAAGAACTTAGATCCACGTGATGCTGTAAACCAAAGTAAATTCTAGATGGAGTAAATATTTTAAAAATTAAAGTTTTTAAAAAACGAATTACAAAGGCCTGAATGGGAAATGAAAAGCCTCAAAAGGCACAAAAATACATGATTGTATAAAGTTTCTGTATGTATAAAGAAATGACAAAAAATATAGAGCCCATATAAATGTCCTCATCATAAACGGACCCAAGTCATGAACAATTCACAAAAACAGTATAACTAAAAATGGCGAGGGGTATTTAACTTCACTCCTTTTAAAAAGTTAGCAATTAACTATTACAGCTAATGTATTAGACAAAATTTGGCATATATTATTGATAATATGATCATGCAGTTAGCATCATTCATACAATGCCTGGTAAAGTTCAAAAGAGCTAATGATTAGAGTTCTTACATGTGCCAGGACCTGTTCTCAGTACATTAGAGATACACAACTGAGGTAGATGCTATATTTCACTTTACAGGGGAGGTAATAGGCCAGGAGAGGGGAAATAGCCAGAACACAGCTAGGAATAGGGAGCCCCAGGATGCTAACAGGCGAGGCAAGCAAGTCCCCAGTAAACTAGTAATTGAACATTTTTCGTTCTATTTTAATTCGATACAACACCACTTGGAAAATTAATATGGCAAAGATTCGCTAACTCCACTTCTAGTGATTTAACCCAAAGGCATGTGTATTGTGGGAAAGATAAAACAACTATAAGGAAATAAAAGCAAAAGCCTGAGGCTTAGGGATGTTAGGCTCCTCGTTATTAGTGATGAAAAGTGCTTAAGACTGAAGTGGGTGAGCCATTCAAAGCTTTGTTTCAAATGATCATGAAGGCCACCGCTCCCGGAAAACCTTTGCGCTACAAAAGAACAGGACAAAAACGAGAAAGAGAAAAAACCAACACAAACTGTAAAAGAAATTAACACTTTCAATTTTAGTATTTTCAACTATACACATTTTTAAAGGCTCGAAAGAACATTTAAATACGTTTTCACCTCTTTCCCCCAAAAAAACCTTAACTTTTTTTTCGAGACAGGGTCTCGCTCTGTCGCCCAGGATGGAGTGCAGTGGTGCGATCTCGGATCACTGCAACCTTCACTTCTCGGGTTCAAGCGATTCTCCTGCCTCAGCATCCCGAGGAGCTGGGATTACAGGCACCTTACAGGCCTCCCAGAGTGCTTGGGACTGCAGGTGAGAGCCACCGCGCCCGGCCTCCTTCACTTTCATTTGAACTCTCTTTACCAGGAACTGTGTTAAGTGCCCTACCTTTCTTCTTTATCAAAACGACCCTATGGTGCACTGTTATCCTATTTTACCGACGAGAAAACTTCGGCCAGCGCAGCAGCTAGGGCTCAGTCCCGAAGCCTCGCGCTCTCAGTCCGAGAGCAACCCGCGGGCCGTCTCCTAGGAAACCGGGCTCGCCACACCCCTTGGTCGAACCCCACTTCCGCTCCTGCGCGCTGAGGCTCCGGCGGACCTCTGGTGGACATGGCTGCTTCCCGCTTACCCCCAGCGACGCTAACGTTAAAGCAGGTACCGGCGGTTCTCTGCCTTCCAAAGCAGCTTACCTGGGTCTGAGCTGGATTCTCCATCTGTCCCTATCCCCAACGGGGCGGGTTCCGGGGTCCTGATGCGGCGTGCGCGCCCTCTGAGATTGGCCCGATGCCTGCGGGGCGGTGCTTCGCTCCGCGGGGCCTGACGGGAGGCACTGGCTGCTTCCTTGGTTTGGTGCGATCGCGTGAGACAGCGTCAGGCGCTTGATTTCCCTGAGTCCCGGTGCCTCAGCTGCCCAGTGCCCACGGTAAAAGTCTATTGCACTGAGCTGTGGCAAACAGCAAATGAGATTACCAAAGATTTGAACAACTGTTAATTTAGAAAAAGTGCTGTCGTTGTAATAACAACTTCTAGGAGACCGGCAGCCCTTTTCAGCCCGGTAGGCAGCTCCTGATTTTTTAATGGTTCTTAGGTTTGACAGAGCAGTAAGCAAAAAGATCAGATGAACCTCGTGATGCTTTCTTTAAAACATCTTTTTGAGACAGGGCCTCACTCTCGCCCAGGCTGAGTGCAGTAGCGCAATGAAGGCTTACCTCAGCTTAGACCTCCTGGGCTCAAGTGATCCTCCCATCTTGGCCTCCCAAAGTGCTGGGATTACAGGCCTGAGCCACTGCATCTGGCCAAAAAAAGAAAAAAAAAAGTTTTTCTTTGCCTTTTTCAAAATTGACCAACGAGAAGTACTCTGGTTACAGCTTGGTTTGCTGAAGTAGAACTTTCCAGGCTGGCGATTGTGCAGTAGTAATTGCTATTTACTCCTCCCTTTTACAGTTCGTAAGAAGGCAACAAGTTCTTCTCCTCTACAGAAGGATTTTGCAAACAATTCGGCAAGTTCCAAATGATTCTGATCGCAAATACCTGAAAGATTGGGCAAGAGAAGAATTCAGAAGAAACAAAAGTGCCACCGAAGAGGTGAGAACAAAATCATGGTGAGGACAGATCCTAACCCTTTTTATTGATCAGTGAATTTTTTTTTTTAAGTTTAGCAGACATCTTGGAATATAGTGCCACTGAGCTGGTATATCTTGATCATTGCTTGTAATGTTACCGATTTTAAATTATTATTTTAAAATTTAGTATTTTAAAATATGTAGATAAAAGAGTATCTACACTCTTCAGCATCATCACTTGACTTTTATGTTGTACATTTTATATGTATGTATGTGGAACTCTTTTAGCTTTTCTAAAAGGCAGCAGTTCCAATAGGTAGTATTGGTTCTTGATTTTAACAGATAAAATGGTATAGCTATACCTTGTTTAACCAGGTAAAACTATAACCAGATTTCACTTTATTCTACAGGATACAATCCGGATGATGATTACTCAAGGCAATATGCAGCTCAAGGAGTTAGAAAAAACACTTGCTTTAGCAAAATCTTAACTATAGCATTATTCTGAAGGATTTTCAAAGTCTCCATGTGTTTTGTTGCATTTAGGATTAACAATGGACAACACAAAGCCCAGTCTTACTATTTATATGTACAGTATTTGGTGATAGAGAGCAAAGGAAAAACACATCAGAACAGTTGCCTTAACACTGAAAAACATACCCTGCATTTTGAAAATGTTTATGGATGTCTCAGCAGTTCTTAAAAGAAGAAAAAAACCACTAACAAATGGCCAGTAGATGCTGGACACAATCATTAGGGAAGTGTAAATCAAAACTACTATGAGGTCGGGTGTAGTGGCTCATGCTTGTAATCCCAGTACTTTAGGAGGCTGTGGTAGGTGGATCACTTGAGGTCAGGAGTTCAAGACCAGCCTGGCCAGCATGGTGAAACCTCATCTCTACTAAAAATACAAAAATTAGCTTGGTGTGGTGGTGCATTGCCTGTAGTCCCAGCTACTTGGGAGGCTGAGGCAGGAGAATCACTTGAACCCAGGAAGTGGAGGTTGCAGTGAGCTGAGGTCGTGCCACTGCACTTCAGCCTGGGTGACAGAGTGAGACAGTCTCTAAAAAAAAAAAAAAAAAACAACCCTGAGATTCACATTCACTAGAATGGCTGTAATTAAAAAGAGAAATAATAATAAGTCTTGGTGAAGATGTACAGAAATTACAGAACCCTCATACATTGCTGGTGGGAATGTAAAATGGTGTAGCCACTTCAGAAAACAGACGGTCAGTTCCTCAAAAGATGAAACAGCTGCTGTATGAGTTAGCACTTCTACCCCATGCCCATAGCCATTATTTGGCACTAAAAAGAAACGAAGGACTTATATATACTAAACATGGATAAACCTTGAAAACGTTAAGTGAAAGAAGCCGGTCACAAAAGATCACATGATGATTCCATTCATACGAAATGTCCAGAATAGGCAGAAAGATTAGTGGTTGCCTAGGCTGGCTGTAGATGGAATGGAGTAACTGCTAATGGGTGTAGGGTTCCTTTTCAGGGTGATGAAAATATCCTACAGTTAGCTTGTGGTGTAGGCTGCACAACTCTTGAATATATTCAAATCCACTGAACTGTACATTTTAAATGTAAGGTATGAATTGTATCTCAATAAAGCTGTTATTAAAAAACTCTTGAGGTGTAGGACTGAAAGTATACTGACACCAGGAGATACCCTGGAACTTTCTCGAAAAATCCTGCATTATCCCTGAGGGTTGTTCAGGTACGTTCTTCAGATGTGTCATAGTTTGATAGAGAACTCATCAAAAAGATCACCACTGGGAATCTAGATCTTTGTTGAAAAGGGAAGAGAAAGAGAAGCTTAATGAGCACATTGAAGCACTTACCAGAAAGAAGAGGGAAGACTTCTGGATGAAACCTCTGTGAGTACCTTAACATTCACATGGAAGTAGTAAAAATAAGATTCTGGGTGCAGTTCTCCAATGACAGGAAAAAAAACAAAGAGAATTTGAAGAATACGTCAGAGACAAATACATTACAACCAAAATTGACTTCAAGGCACTTTTGAAGGAGATCAAATTTATAACAAAATAATTTAGTGAAAGTGAAAGCTTGTGGAAGATGTTGGAATCATCCATCCTGAAAATTGAAGTCTTCTGTTTATCAACAGAACAGCTAAGAAGCTAATCTAAGAATGACCAGCACCTGAAAGATGTAGACAACATTTTGCAGAATGATAAATGGTATCCAGTACTGGACTGTGTCTGAGAGGCATCAACTGAATGTGGATGTTAATGACCTGGACTGTCAGGGTCCACCTCTACCTCCCAGAGCCTCAGAGCCCACAAGACAAAATAATTCTGAATACTGTTCCATGGGGGTAATCTACTAATTCAAAATGCCTGCCTGTGCCAATTTTCAGGTTTTTATGTAGATAAGTATTAGTTAACCTGTTGCAAAATGATCTGACAAACAGAAGCATTTGTGACGTTTCTGAACAGAGAACACTTTGGAAATATTTTTTGTGTGACATGATTGATAGATACATGCTATCTCTAGTAAATCTAAAATCTTGAAACTCAAAATCATCCTTTTATGGGTGTAGAAGTCAGTGATTTAATGATGCTCTTCCTAACAGTGGTGTGCATGGAAAGGTTTTCATTAAAGAGCGTATGTGGTTTGCATTTGCAAGATTCAACTAGCACAGACTCCAAGAAAACCTAAGTTTTTTTGTTTTTTAAAGCAGGTAAGGCCGGGCACTGTGGCTTACACAAGTAATCCACACACTTTGGGAGGCTGAGGTGGGTGGATCACTTTAGGTCAGGATTTCGAGACTAGCTAGGCCACTAGCTAGCCTAACCTGGTGGCACGTGCCTGTAATTCCAGCTACTCAGGAGGGCTGCCTCATATTGAACCCGGGAGGCAGAGGCTGCAGTGAGCCGAGAACACACTACTGCACTACAGCCTGGGCGAAAGAGTGAGACTCTTGTCTCAAAAAAAATAAAAAAGTGCCATCAAGTTAGAAGTTTTAAATTCATGGTACAAGCATTGCCATAGATGTGCCTGCAAGAAACACACAGATGACTTTTTTTTGAGACAGGGTCTCTGTTGCACAAGCTGGAGTGTGGTGGCGCGAACATGGCTCACTGCAACCTTGAGCTCCTGGGCTCAAGAGATCCACCTGCTTCAGATTTTCATTTAGCTGGGACCACAGGCATGTGCCACCATGACCGGCTAATTTTTTTTACTTTTCAGAGAGAGGAGGGGGAATCTCACTTTGTTGCCAGGCTAGTCTCAAACTCCTGGGCTCAAGCAATCCACCTGCCTCGGTGGCCAGAGTGCTAGGATTACAGGTGTGAGTTGTTTTTTTTTTTAAAGAGACAGTCTTACCTCATTCTGTCACCCAGAATGGAATGACTTTCTAAAATTGCAGAAAGCAGAACATATTCCTTGCTGTTTATAATATTATAGTCGTATCAAAGGGAAAGAGTATTTCTCCTTAAATAAAATTACAAATAAGAAATGTATGTTTTACTCTTACTCATAAAAGGTATTGTAGAATACAAAAGGTTTTTCAAACTGGTTTTGTCTTTGATTGGCTTTTATAATCCACACTTCAAAGAAGAAATGCATTTAACTTTTAATAACTTAGTCAAAAAGTATAATGTTGCCTTGCCTTGCATAACCTTTAACTATTGCAAATGATGTTTTGTCCTTCCCCTTTGTCCAGTATTTTCCAAATGGTCAACAGTTTAAACATTTAAGCTTGCACTGAGAAACCTTGCCACATTTCAGCAGTTTTGTTTTGCTTTTGGTGGAGAGCACCTGATCGCGACTTTACAGCCAATGTATTTACTCTAAATTACACTTTTATAGATACAAGGTAAAGTGTAGCTGGGTGAAGGCACTCAGGAGCCATAAAATGTGGTCAACCACAATAAATTAAAATGTAAGCTAAACAAAGTATTCACACTTGCATTTTTTTAATAAGGAATTTAAGATCCATAGTATCTTTAATGCTTGGAAGAGACACAAATTCAAGGTGATAAAAATATTAATTAGAAGACACATAACATGCCTCAAGTATATCAACACTTGACTCCACAAACAAGGCATAACCATGAAAACAACACTCCCTTTATTTTGGGCTCCCAAAATCAAAAGTTAGAACTAATTTATTTAATCACAGATATTTAGTATACTCAATAATGCACTAACAATTTCTTTAAAAAAACACTAATACTGTACAGTATTTCTGTGTTTTAGTTTTTCCCACAGCTGTTGAAAATTTCAGCCTTGATTTGAAACATGACCTGCATGACAGGCTATAAGTTGTCAATAGTTCTTTTTCTTTGGAAAAGTACAGTTGTGGCATTTACTCACTTTAGCAGATAGCTAAAAGGGAAAAATAAGGAAAAATATACACTGGACCTGCAGTTAAGTTTTTGACAATGCCAAGGATCAAAAACAGATGAAACAACATTTGCTGAAGATGAAAAGGTATTGCATTGGTCTTAATAGATGTTGCCATCTCTGGGTGAGGATGCTGACTGAGCCTGTTCTGTGTCTTCATCACCTCTATTTGTTTCTTCTTCTACGACAGACCTCCAAGAGACAAGATCCATGTAGTAAGCCACACTAGGTCCTTTTGACCCTTCTCATTCTTCTGTAGTCTCTTCCCTGTGACTTTTGACAAAAATACTCAGTTCACAATATTAGCTGCCTGCTTCTGATGGGTAGGAGGTAATCAAAATACTCCCACCAAAGCACTCTATGGTCTAGACTTGATACTTAAAATTTAGTTTTCAGCATTCCTCAACAAGGATACCTTGAGGTAATAGGAGATATTTTGGTAAGTGAAAATAATTCCTGCTTGGAACACAGCCTACTGAACTCAGGATTTAATTTCTTGAGTATTAGGCAGTTCTCAATAAATTGATGTATACTGAGGAATGATTCTAAAGAGGTTAGTGATATCCTGTTTGAGAATAGATTTAGAAAACTGAAGGTACTCTCCAGCTCTACAATTCTGTATTAGGAACAATAGGGAAATGAGAAAGTGCCTCTATATTGCAATCTAATGAGTCTCTGGGGGAAGACTGTCTACCTGCGTAGTAGTTGAGAACAAGACAAGCTCCCAAACACATGAAAATCAACTTGAAATAACATCAAATTCAGCCTGGGCAATATCATGAGACCTTATATCTACAAAAAATTAGCCAGGACTGGTGGCACACGCCTGTAGTCCCAAGCTACTTGCGAGGTTGAGGCAGGAGGATCACGAGCCTGAGAGGCCAAGGCTGCAGTGAGGTGTGATCATGCCACTGCACTCCAGTCTGGGTGACAGAGCAAGACCCTGTCTCAACAAAATAAAAAACATCAAATTCATTCCATATTCAGGTAACAGTGACATATATCTACTGAATTATTTTTCTTTTAGGAATGTCTATATCTATGGATTGTCACTATAAAAAAAAGAAAAAACCCTAAAACTGAGCTTGACAAAGGGAATAAAAGCATACTTTGTTTTTCTTGGTGTCCCCATGTTAATAAATCATTTCTTCTCTTTGGCTCAATGAGCAGCATTTTATTACAATTACGTTCAATAGTCACTAGGTTCCTGTGTCTATAGAAATAGAACTGAAGTTTCTGTGCATACATGGGATATTGAGGAGATGAATATAAATCCCATATTCCAAAGGACAAGAAGCTTGTCCAAAGTTTCAACATATCCATGCTACTTTTACAACTTTGTTCTGTGTTTATATTTCATTATGGAACAAAGTAAAGTCTTCTGGCCTCCATGAAGTTGGGGAACAGTGGGGCCTAAGTTGAGTTATCGAATATTTTGCCTTCACCGCAAAGCAGTAGAAAGCTTTTGAGGTTAATGACAGAATTCAAAATGAAATACTTTCAAAAAATAGCCTTATTCATTATAAAATGTAGAGCAAAAATCTCAAATTCAGAAAGGTATTCTGATATAATTGGGTTTGATTAGGAATAGGTTATAAATTTTCAGGTAATTGTTACATGAATTTTTTTCCATTAATCTGCTTTAAAATCACTATATAACTGATTTTTTGACTGAAAATACAGAAAATAACAAACAATTTGAATCTTTCTCATTTGATCTCATTGTTTCCAGAGCTGTTAGCCAATTATTCATTATTTAAATAAACTGACTTTTCAATAAATTTTATCATAAGATATATTGGATCTTGTGACATCATGAAAATATTTCTCCTCAAAAATCTGATAACTTTTCATGTGATTAAAATGTCAACAGTTGGAGAATTACGAATTTGAGAAAGAGGGTTTATTTAGCACATCTCAGAGTTACAGCTCTTACAGAAAGACACTTGTCTAGGCACAGCAGGTGTGTTCAAATTTATATGAATGACTACTTGAGTTCAGACGGGATTACGTTTTTCTTGCTTTTGACTTATATTATTTCACACATCTTGAATTTTAGAGTCTAGGCTTACACATCGTCCAGTTTCTTGGCATGGCTTGCTTAATCTGAGCTTTCAAACTTCAGATTAACCTGGACTGAGGCTAAGAGTTTATAATGAAACCCAAAACTAAGCAAGCTTCCCCTGGTTTCAGTTTAATTGTTGAAGTCTTCATAACTTCCTGGGCATAGGAAACATGTATCTGGCACATTGTAGAATTAGTGATTTTTTTAAAAAGGCAAATCTGCAATATATACAATAGTTGACTCCTTGGGCATAGCTATTATGCAGTTGCAAAACTGGAAATCTTCAAGAATCCTTTCATATTTCCTCTTTATTGGTGCTAATTTTCCTTCTGCACCCTAGTCCTTAGTTTGGCAAGTTCCTCTTCTAAACTTTTAATGTGTTCCTTCAATGTAGCCTTATCTTGCTGGGCTTTCTGATTGGCTTGGCTTCGTGCTTCTTCAATCTTCCTTTCATACCACTTTTCCATCTGGGTAGAAACAGCCTCAAAAAAATACTGGGTAAGCTCCAGAGCTTGGGAGGTGTCCCGAATGTGAGGGCCAGTCTGCTCGCTGCCTGTGGCTGGTGGCGGCTGCCCACAGGTGCTGCTGGCTGCGGGTTGCTGGGCACGATGCCTTGTTGGCCCACTCTTCCCAGACTTCTTAGTTTGAGTGCCTCTGTTGACGCAGGGCCCAGCCTGCTGATCAGATCTGGCTGCCTCATTCATGGGTAGCAAGGCTGTCTGGACCTTGACGTTTCTCAGTCGGGAGCCTGTACAGTCAGAAGACGACAGCTCCTGCTGGAGTCTCTGGGTAGCAGTGGAGTTGAGGGCCTTCTCTTTGGGCCTAACCACTGGAGGGGAGCTGTCGGAAGCTGCTGCTGGACCTGCAGTCACCACTAATTGGTCCACACCTGGTTTCAGAAGGAAAACAAACGTGAGAGCAAATCCACATTCACACAGTCATATGGCTGCGGGTCAGTATTTTAGAGTCTTAAGGATCCTGTATATCACCAGCCTTCTCCATCACCACCCACCATGTGTAACGTCTCCTCTGAGCCTTTTCTCACCTTTCTGTTCCTCCCTTCCACTTTGTCTCCTCTGATGATCACTTTGGCTTGTCAGAGCTTTCATGGATTCTGTGTTAGCCACACTGGTCCCATTTAAGCCAAAAAAGTTGCTGGCTTTTCCTTCAGCCCGCCTCAATCTACCTGAGAAGGCTCTGGTCCTGTTTCCTGATGCCTAAGGATGATGCCGCTCACCAAGTATCTCAAAGCAGATTTGGACATTTATCTATGAGAATATGTATTCCCATTCTCTAATGTCTGGGCCTATTCCCTACCAGTGTACTAACTGCTTGACCCAAGCTCCAATTTGGAAAGGAGGCCCCATTTTCCACACCCAGAGCTCCACGACAAGCCCTAAGAGTAGTCCTAGCATGAAACATTTTCCTGGGATGTTTCCCCATGTTGTTGACACAAAGATGAAACCACAGTTCCAGAGATGGCCTGTGGTAACACAAAGCACTTATATCAAAATCCCCCACTGAGGCCTAGTTACCCAGGCTCTGAATGTCCTCAAAATTGTCATTATTGAGTATAATCACTGTGGCTAATGTAAAGATGGTTTGCTTGCAGCATTTCCTATCTAGCACTGGGGGCAAGTTCTATGTAAGAACTGCTGTTTAATGAGGATTTGCATAGTTGGACAAAAGTAAAAGGCAGATCAAAGAGAAGGAAGAGGTAAAAGGCACAAAAGGCAAGGGAGGAAGAGCCCTGCTGAGGAGACCGATGGATCTTCATCACCTCTCATCTTTGGGGTCCACTCTGATACTATCAACACTGTACTCAAGGCAATGTTATCACCAGTCAACAATTCTTTAATTCCTTTATTCAAATAAGTTTGAGCACATAAATGAGTGCTTTATTATTACATAGCAACTGAGTATATGGTTACGAGCAAAATACAGTCCTTGCCCCTACAGAGTGCACTTTACCATCCAGTGTTTCCCACAGCCCTAGCATACGTACTGCCTTTCAGTGCAGGAGAGTACAAGAGCTGCTGGTCGTGTTCCTTTTGGACAAAAGGGCTCTCTGTGTGTGGGTTACCTGTAGAGGACTCACAAGTAGATGGTGTGGATTTAGCTCTGCAGGCCCTAGAATCTCCAGAAAGCTTCTGCTCCAGATTCTGAATCTTTAACATGCACCAGGTTTTTAATTCATCCACCAAGGATATCTTAAAAAAAAAAACAAACCCCACAAATAAGTACATAGAAGAATCAAGTGAATTTGATACATGGTTTATGAATTAAAGCATCAAGGATGGACTTTTCAATTATAACAGTTGAGGATACCATCTAACAAACCCAAAAGTTATGGCTTGCCCACTGCTATGGTTTGGATATTTGACCCCTCCAAATCTCATGTTGAAATTTGATCCCCAGTGTTGGAGGTGGGGCCTCATGGGAGGTGTTTGTGTCAAGGGGGTGAATGCCTCATGACTGGCTTGGTACCATCCTCACGGTTAGTAAGTTCTTGCTCTATTAGTTTTTTTTTTTGTTTGTTTGTTTGTTTTTTGAGATGGAAGTCTCGCTCTGTCGCCCAGGCTGGAGTGCAGTGGCACGATGTCGGCTCACTGCAAGCTCTGCCTCCTGGGTTCACGCCATTCTCCTGCCTCAGCCTCCCGAGTAGCTGGGACTACAGGTGTCCACCACCACGCCTGACTAAGTTTTTTGTATCCTTAGTAGAGGTGGGGTTTCACCATGTTAGCAAGGATGGTCTCGATCTCCTGACCTCGTGATCCGCCCACCTAGGCCTCCCAAAGTGCTGGGATTACAGGCGTGAGCCACTGCGCCCATCCGCTCTATTAGTTTTTGAAGGAGTTGGTTGCTTAAAACAGCCTGGCACCTCCCTCCTGTCTCTCTTGCCTCTTGTCTCGCTAGGTGATCTGTGCATACCAGCTCCCCTTTACCTTCTACCATGAGTGGAATTTCCTGAGGCCCTCACCAGATGCAGATGTTGGCAGCATGCTTCTTGTACAGCCTGCAGAACCATAAGCCAAAGAACTCTCTTCTTTACAAATTACCCAGCCTCAGGTATTCCTTTATAGCAACACAGACAGATTAAGCCACCTTCCTATAGGCCACAGCAGGCACCCAAGCAGAGAGCTATCTACAATCTTCATTAAGTGACTAGAGCCACCTTAAACTCAACCCCCAAAACCACCCAAATCTTCCAAACCAAGTACTTCTGGTTGCTTAGAAAGCCTGAGTTCTCACACACTCACTGTACTCATTCCATGTCTCTTATCTTGGTGAGACAGTAAACTCCCTGAGGGTAGAAACTATGTCTTGTTCTAAAACTGTAATGGCCTAACAATGCACAATACATGGAATGAGTTCAGGACAGAAATGGCATCTTCCCCAGCATGTTCGGTCTTCATCTGTTGCCAGCATATTCAGCCACGGACATAAACAGAACTACAGGTTCTTTTCTATTAACCTCATTTCAGTATCATAAAAATGATACACTATATAATGTAAAAGCTCTTAGGGAGTCTCAGCCTCTGAGTTTTCAGTGGCAGGCCTGCCTGAGCTCAGTGGGCCTGTGTGGTAAATCATAAGTTAAGGACTAGCAGATGCTGGTTCCTACCTGTCGTTTCTCCCCCTCATGCTTCTCTGTGTCTGAGTGCTGTTGCAGGCGGTTCAGGCACTCCGTCCTCTCTGCAGAAAGTCGCTCAACCATCAGCTTGTCCAAAACACGCATCTAGGAGTGAAGTGGAGCAGAGTGTAAGACTGAGATGATCTCAGGGTGAGCCCTGGCTTCTCAGCTCCTGCAGAGGGGCTTGGGGAACCAAGTAGGAGCCCCTGCATGCAAACTTCAACCCCTTATCTGATTCCATTTGCATGTAGGACTCATGGAACTCTTTCAGAATTCTTGAGCATGTTTCTATGAGGCCAACGTTTCGTTTTTTAAAAAATCTTATTTGTTAAAGTTTAAGAGGTATAAGGACTATGAATATACAGGCCAGGCGTGGTGCGCCATACTCCCACCACCTGAGGTCAGGAGTTTGAAACCAGCCTGGCCAACATGGCGAAACCCCATCTCTACTAAAAATACAAAAATTAGCCGGGTGTGGTGGCACATGCCTGTAGTCCCAGCTACTTGGGAGGCTGAGGCAGGAGAATCATTTGAACCTGGAAGGCAGAGGTTGCAGTGAGCCAAAAAAAAAAAAAAGAGAGAGAGACTCTGAATATCCAGTAAATACACAACCTGAGCCCATGCAGGCCTTGTAGGCCTTAAAACATTATTTCCCAGACTACTGTAAGAAAAAACTACATCTCAAAGTATGGAGATTTTTCTCTTCCCCAACCCCACTTTAAAAAATGTTAGTGGTTGCCTACAAGGCAGTAAAATGAGCTTTTATCCGGCTCTTGCAGTGAGCAAATATTTTTGGTGCTTCATTGGAAGTAGCTAAAGTACGTAAGAAGAGTGTAGAAGGAACTTAAAGGATTGCTTCAGAGAACAAGCAGTTGTCACTTTTTAATCACATGCCCTTCTGGAGTACCCTTCATCTTGGCATTTCCTGTGGGACCCCTACACCTAGGAGGGCCAAACTTTCACTGCTTTGACAAGGACCAAAGAATGAAAGGAACTATTGTTAGGAAGAGCCAATCCGCGAAGGCTCACTGGTGAGCTCCCCTCCTGTCAGGGACACACGTGGCATTCCACACCCAGATGTTCAAAACATTAAGAAAAAAGAAACATCCGTTCTGGAGACGTGGTGAGCACCTTCTGTTTTTCTCTTCAGTCCATGTTTTCCTGTGACCTGTGCTCCTCCTGTTTTCTAGGATTGGCCTACTCTCCCCACTCCCTTAACCTCTTCCTCCAGGTGGCTGTTTTCAAGAGCAGCCATAGGTATACATTGCTTTGTTCACAGGTCACACTAACTGGCTCGGGTATGAGCATCTGACTCAAGGGTGCCACGGTCCTTTCTTGGTGATTTGGAAGGAGGACTAAGATTCTACACCCCAATCTGTCACTCCCTTGAACTGAAGTGAGGCCCTTGAGGTATCCCAACATTCATCTCTCATTCCTCTTTCAGCTTAGGCTAGGCGAAGTGGGGTTTTTATATACAAAACAGTCTTCACTAATCTATTATTGACCTAAGAAAATATTTTTAAAATGGCCTTTCTATAAAATACAGATAGCAAATAAGCCTTAAAAATGTTTCATCTTACCAGTAAACAAGGAAATAAAACTTAAACAGTAAAATGTCCTTAATCAATTTGGCAAAAACTTTTTTAAAAAAAGGGCAGGGCATGGTGGATCACACCTAAAATCCCAGCACCTTGGGAGGCCAAGGCAGGCGAGGCGCTTGAGCCCAGGAGTTTGACACCAGCCTAGCCAACGTGGTGAAACCCCGTCTCTACCAAAAAAATACAAAAATTAGGTGGGCATGGTGGCGTCCGCCTTAGTCCCAGCTACTCAGCAGACTGAGGTGGGAGAATCGCTTGAACCCAGGAGGCAGAGGCTGTAGTGAGCTGAGATTGCCACACTGCACTCTAGGTGACAGAGTCAGACCCCATCTAAAAAAAAAAAAAAAAAAAAGTTGTAACAAATACTATTTTACGAAAACCGAGAAAATCTGAATATGGGCTGGATAACGTTTTCTCAGGTGTGAAAGCAATATTGTTATGAAGTTGAAAGTGTTATTCTTATTCTAAACATTCTGAAATATTTAGAGATGCCCTGTCAGGACAGTCTGCAACTAAATCTGAAATAGTTCAAGAGTTAAAAAAACATGTGTGTCAGAGAGACAAGGCAAATGCAGCAACATATTAACTGGCTGACTACAGGGATTATATACAAGCATTCACTCCATTATTCTGTGAACTTTTCTGTATGTTTGAAAACTTTTAAAATAAAAAGTTGGGAAAAGAAAAAAATACATAATTATTCTAATTTTGTATGCAATGGGAAAGGAGTGTAGCAAAAATTGACATATAAAAAGATTGACATATAAAAAAACTCAAAAAAGATAAACTCTAATTTTTTTTTTTTTCTAGACAGAGTCTTGCTCTGTCACCCAGGCTGGAGTGCACTGGAATGATCTCTGCTCACTACAACCTCCACCTCCCAGGTTCAAGCAATTCTTATGCCTCAGCCTCCCGAGTAGCTGGGATTATAGGTGTGTGCCACCACACCAGGCTAATTTTTGTATTTTTAGAAGAGGCGGGGTTTCACCATGTTGGCCAGGCTGGTCTCGAACTCCTGACCTCAAGTGATCTGCCTGCCTTGGCTTCCCAAAGTGCTGGGATTACAGGTGTGAGCCACCATTCCCAGCCTAAACCCAAATATTAACAGTGCTTTTCAGCACAGTGGGCTTATAGGTGATTTATTTTCCTAATTTTCATATTTCTAAAAATGCTCTGTAATGGGGATATCTTATTTCTATAATAAGCAATTTAAACATGTTCTTTAAAAAGCTGAAATAAATGTACTTTAACAAAATCACATAAGCAGAAGCAGGCCTCTTCCCTGACAGCCCACTGGACACTCCCAGGGTGGAAGGGTGTGCTAAAGTCGAAGTTGGTTCCTGAGTTCATGTTCTGCCAGAACACCTTGCAATTAGGAAGCTGGGCCTTATGACATACTTGGTGCTGGGTCTTATTCTCCATCTGCCCCAGCTTTGTATTCATTTTGTCCTGAACCGATCCCAGCTCTGCTTTTATCTCCTCCACAGTAGCCTCCAACTGATTCTCCAGCTTGTTGATTAGAGGTTCACATCGACAACCATTTATTGGTGCCTAAGAGAGAAACAAAAAAGGAATCAATCCCTTGTTCATTCCTTCATCAGGTATGTTTTGAGCACCATCCACGTGCCAGGCAGTATACCAGGGGATAGAGATGATGGAAGAGATAGGCTCATCCTTGTCATAACTTTGGAACATCTTATAGGCCAAATTTTGGGTGTAGCAGACACTAAAATTCAGAGGGTAAGATATGGTCCCTCTCCTCAAGGTGCTTTTATATACCCTGGGGCCTCAAGATACCTAGTCACCTGAGGATTGTGCAGCAAGCTCTGCAGCTACACACCCTGTCTGCCTTGGCCTTAGCAGCAGGAGTGGATCTGCACCGTGCAGGTGGGGAGGCCATCTGGCTTACCTTCAAAGCTTGTGCTCAACTAAGTCAATGCCTAAAGTGCCTATCAGCCCCCAGGAATGCCGTTAAACAAAAACCCTTGCTGAAGGCCTATGTTCCCTTCTCCTGACACTGCTTTGCAGGTACCTGCATCACTTTCCCATCCTTGCCCCGGTACAATGTGTAGAGCTGATACGCCCTGAACTCATGGGGTGGGGGTGGGGATGAACACCGATGCCTGTTCCTCTTTTTAGGGTGATTATGAGCATGCAGGTTCTTCTGGTGTCCAGGCTGTTGGTCGGCTGGTGGGGTGGGGTCAGAAAATGCTGACACCTGTAAGAGAGGAAGAGACAACACCCCTGAACGCTTTGACCTCTGCAAGACTGACACCAGTCGGTGGCGCCCATGTCACCCCATTTGGGCAAAGAGCCCCACTTTGTTTCACCTCATGGTGTCCTACTCCAAGCCACACATGTCAAAAGAAATATATCAGCACATTCACCTTATGTCTGATGTTAGCCAGATTTAATTTCTGTGCTCTGGCTCCAAACCAGCCAGCCAAGTGAGTGGCTTTTTAGCTGATGGGCATGACGCTCTGCCAGGACCCTCGCCACCCTGCCTCCCAGCCACCCCTCTGGGCTGCTTTCTGTGTCTCCTGACCTTGGGCCTTGACTTTCTCCTCCTGTCATCCTTTGCTCTGGGTTCTGGGGAGGCTGACAGGAACTCTTCTCTGGCTTCTTCTTTTCTGGCCACAGCCTGTTCACTGCTGGGGGTGTCTCCTGCTGAGACACTGCCCTACAGAAGGAAAAAGCCCAGAGACCCATTGTGTTTGCTTCCTTGGCCTTTTTCACTAATATGGTCAAATATTCTTTGCAAGATTCCATATGGTAAGGGACCCACGAGAACCTTTGCAAATAACATAAATTTCAGACATAGGAAACACTGCTTGGTGGTCTTAACTAACATAGAACGTTTTCCTGGTTGGTTGAACATTTGGCTTTTATTGTATTTATTAGGTCCTAAGCTAAATATATTCCTGGGTCCAATTCGATGTTGTAGAACACCAGGAACCTACCCGACACAAAACACCTCAGCATTAGAGATTTTTGATCGTTTAGATTTCAACAAAACATAACTCACTCATTCTTTGACCTCGGATGCAGCCCCCCTCCCGCCCCCCCCACCCCCCACTCCCCCACCCCAACCCACAACACTCATGGCAAAGAGTAAGAATCCTTTGAAATGAAAAAATATCATATTTCTGGTCCTTGTGAGAACGTTCACAACTGAATATGTACAATTCACATCTAGGAAGTTAATCAGAGTTGTAATGCCTTAACCCTGGAAATTGATGAGAGGATTGTGAAATAGCAGATAGAAGAGCAAGTACTTGGTGATAACATTTTCTGTGCCAAAAGCTGTCTCTATATCCCAGACTTCTCCCTCCTGAGTGAACTCAAAGGCATGGTTTATTCCAGGGCTACACGGCACAAGAGCACCTAGCTGAGGTGGAGGTGTGGGGCAAGAGGAGCTGAAATCAGCTCGGGCTCTGCTCACCATGCGTGCCCTGTGCACAGTGGGTCTGCCCAGGGGACATCTTTTTCTAATTCATATAAGGGAGCCATACAGGCTAGCATAGCCTTGCTCCCCTCCCTCAATGGAAGTGGCCTGTGCCAGTGGCTCTCAAATTTTAGTCCCCATGAGAATCCCCTGGAGGGCTTGTTCCAACACAGATTGCTGGGCCCCACCCGAGTTTCTGATCCTGTGGGTTTGAGGTGAGGCCCAAGAATTATCATTTCTAATAAGGTCCCAGGTGACACACTGGACACCACATTTTGAGAGCCACTGCCCTACACAATCTGGGCATGGTGTTAGAGAGGCAGTGCTACCCGCAGGACATGGGCAAAGGCCACAGATACCTGGGCTGGTAAGTGTGCCCCCCACGTGTACTGGACGGGTAATGGGCAGCGCACACGGAGGCACATGGCCTGAAACCTTGGGGAATGGAGGATGTGAAACCAAAGAGAAAAAGACTGGCAACAGTTTGAAGAGCTCCAGCAAGGAGGAGAGGCAGAGAGGGCCGGGCAGCCACCAGGTGAACCTGGCCGAAGCAGGGAGATAGTTTCCCACCCTCTGAGCATGGGTGGATGTGGGGACGGCGGGAGGACTGCCCCCCACCTTGCTTTGGGCCACCTCATCTCTTGGCACAGACTGGGCTCTCCTCTCTTCCTTGAGCCTCTCTCTCTTTTTCCTCAGGCTTCGCCCACGACTGAAGCGCAAGACCTGAAGGAGGCAAACGGCATTGTTACAACCACTGGTGTGCGCAGCATCTGTGTGAGAGAATTCTCCTTGGACCTGGGGCTCTGACCTAATGGAATTTACAGCTTAGAGGGTGAGAGCAGGTGTTCACATCAAGCAAGCACCTCTGGACCACCTACCATCCTCCTAGGTCTTGTCCTGGGCACCACGGGGACTCGGAGACAGGTAGGATATTATCCCTGACCTCAAGAAGCTTAAAGTCTATGATGATAATAACTACAGACACTGATGCTGGGCCGGGACTGCCAACTACATGCACAGAGACTGTGCTCCAGGGAGTGCCATTCACATAAACTAGGATATGAATGGCGTCTCCTGGAGTTGTGCAACGCAGCAGCCCCGTGTGAGGCACAGTCTCACTCTCCATCTTGGTACACTGGACTTGAGCTAGCCCAGCAGATGTTCCCTTGGCCAAACTGTGTCCAAGTCACATCAATTTGATTCAAAATATTATTAAAGTGTATCTATGAGCCATAGTACCAACCACGGGACAGTTATCTCTTCCCCAAAAGGAAGCATTTACTCTGCCTCTTACAGTGCAGAGTGACAGAATGGACACAGAAAAACATAGGTGGGTCAGAACAGATCTCAGTTTGAACCCAGTAGCTACTGGCTATAGGGTCTCTGGGCAAGTGATTTGACCTCTCTGCGCTCTGTCTTCTCAAATGTAAAAACGGGTCAGGCGCAGTGGCTCATGCCTATAATCCCAACACTCCGGGAAGCCAAAGTGGGAGGACTGCTTGAGGGCAGGAGTTTAAGAGCAGCCTGGCAGACAAAGCAAGACCTTGTCTTTATTTTTTTATTATTATTTTTTTTTGAGACAGAGTCTCACTCTGTGCCCCAGGCTGAAGTGCAGTGGCGTGATCTCGGCTCACTGCAAGCTCCGCCTCCCGGGTTCACGCCATTCTCCTGCCTCAGCTTCCCGAGTAACTGGGACTACAGGCGCCCGCCACCATGCCTGGCTAATTTTGTTTTTGTATTTTTAGTAGAGACGGGGTTTCACCGTGCTAGCCAGGATGGTTTTGATCTCCTGACCTCATGATCTGCCCATCTTGGGCTCCCAAAGTGCTGGGATTACAGGCATGAGCCACCGCACCCGGCCTCGTCTTTATTTTTAAAAAAGAAAAAGAAAGAAAAACGGGGAGTCGTTGGGATTCACCAAGAAAAAATAGGTGGCTGGCATGCAGTGGACTGTCAGTCACTGTCAGGTGCTTCCCTACCTGCCTTCAGGTGGCTTAATTGGCAGGGGGTGTTTAACAGAATACAGATCTTTGAGTTGATGGAAACCTTCAATCTCTGGTCCGTAATAGTTAAAAATGTAAAAGAGTCCTTAGACCAAGAAGTCTGAGAACCACTTCCCCGAGTCATTTCTAAAGCTAAATTCAGATTCACCAGGAAATCAAGTATGGTGAAAGACAGTGACTATACCCATTGCTCACCTGATGTATGGACTCTTAATACAGCACCAGGATCAGCCTAAAATGTACTTTCAGAGCGTTCGTGAACCACACCAATCAAAATGACAAGTGACACTCAGAGGTCACCCAAACCCAAAATAAGAATCAGCAAAATTCCCTCCATTCACCATATCATTAGTCAGTGAAAATAACTTTGCATGGCTTCCAGCCTTTCTCAGCAAACCAGACCATCTACGAAATGGGATGTCATTAATCTTTTCCAGTCCACAGAAGTGAGGGAATATTGACCTTGAGGCCTCCAAAAGTAGTATCCTATGGCTGGGCATGGTGGCTCACGTCTGTAATCCCAGCACTTTGGGAGGCCAAGGTGGGTGGATCATCTGAGGTCAGGAGTTCGAGACCAGCCTGGCCAACATGGTGAAACCTCGTCTCTACTAAAAATACAAAAATCAGCTGGGTGTGGTGGCAGGCACCTGTAATCCCAGCTACTCAGGAGGCTGAGGCAGGAGAATCGCTTGAACCCCAGAGATGGAGGTTGCAGTGAGCTGAGATTGCACCACTGTACTCCAACCTGAGTGACATAGCGAGACTCTGTCTCAAATAAATAAATAAACAGTATCCTCTTAGTACTGCTGTGGCCCATTTAAAATCCACGTCCAACTACGGGCCTAAGGCAAGGGGATTTTCTCTTTTCAGGCAAAGCAAATACTAATGCTATTTCTGTAACCACAGATCAAGAGAACAGTATGCGTAACATCTTATGCCTAAAGTTCCTTGTTTGTGTTGAGAAAAAGCCTCAGCATATACAATTATGCATAAAATAAACTTTCATAGCATGCCATCCAACTTATTTGTTATTCGATGTAAGCATGGAGAAACCTGCTTAAGTCTTTTTTTGTTTTAAGTGGAAACAAAAAAGAACTGCACAGGGAAATGGTCCACAGTAAGGCTCTTTGCCCTTTAAGTGAAGATCCTTGGGCTCTGGAAGACAAATGACAGGTGGATTAAAGATCCGTCAATCTTTCTATGCCTGGGGAACCCTCCAACCCTGTAAGACTTGATCTTTGTATGGCTGAGGGTGGGGCTGGCTGTCCATTAAATTACCACATACTGAAATTGCCAGAGAAATGTGATGGGTTCTGACGTTTATACAGCACTTCATACTTTTAGATCCATGAGAGACTAGCATTTTTCTATCAGGATTCATGGATGTGATTCCACTTACGATAAAAGCTGCTAGAGGTGGAAACCCCGCAGCTTTTCCTACTGACTTTCTTTTGTCGGGAGCTCTGTGGCCTTCCAGAGACCACTGAGAAGGACCAGCTCCATGCACAAGAAGGTGATCAATTTTGCAAAAGACAAAAATCTTAACCATTTCCAGAAACTACTAGTTATATTAGGCACGTTTTAAAAACTTAAACAAAATAAAGGCCATCCCAAACCCTGGGCTGTTGTCGGGTTATTTTGCAGCAGGGTTGTGTTCAAAATCTTCCTTTGACTCCCTGAGACTTTATCTTCTTCTTGCAGAATAAGATGGAAAGCCAATCAGTGTTTGCTGTAATGTAATACAGAATAGTGCCAATCTGGAAATAACCTAAATGTCCAACATTAAGGAAATGGCTTAATAAACTATTAATAGCAACAAAAATAATATTATGCCTCCATTATAATGAATAATTATGAAGACTGCAGAACATTGTTTTATAATAGGATAAAAGGAAGAAATACAAAAGGGTATATACATTGTAAGCACAATTATGTAAAAATTATGTGTCTGTTTCATCTATTTTGTGGATGAAACAAAAACAGTTGTTTCAGGGGGCTAGAATTATAAATAGCTTATAAATTATTATGACATTTCTTTATTGTTACTTAGATAATGTCAACCTCAACTAAAGTATCAGCCACCATTTTAAAAAAAATTAAATGATGGTCAAAATACCATTAGTCAGTAAAAGAGGAAAGAAAACTAGACTGTACTTAACTATCTCCGGCAGGCGACTATCTGCCCAGAATCGTCCCCTCCCTCCTGCCTTTCTCTGGGGAATGCCACTTCTCTTCTTAAAGTCCCTGTCCCACTTCTTCAGGGATGGGCATTTGGCCTAAACTCTGCAATCATGGCCCTGTCCTGCGATGTCTTAAACTGGAACTTCTTCCTTGGCTGAGTAGCTGGGAAACTATGACCTAGGCAGCTGGCCGTGACAAAGATCCAGCCACAGGGAGAAGATGAGGCGGCCCAGGCATGAACACGAAGAGCTGGACTTGATGCCTTTGACTCCCGTCATCCTGGGCCCCCATGCATGCCTATACCTCCACTGCCTGGTTACATTCCATATTTAAGTTAGTTTGAAGAGGCTTCAGTAGATTGCAACCAGGAGTCCCAACAACTTTGTAGTCCCGCATAATCAGTACCATGGAAAGGGCAGTAAATCCTACCTGGGGAGCTTTAGTAAGGAGAAGAGCAACTTCCGGGTTATTGTGGTAGCGGGCAGTCTCCAGCGGAGTCTGGCCTGCCTGAGGAGAGGCAGAGTAGGACAGGTGAGAAAGGGCCACGGGTCCCACACGCACATAGCCCAGCTGGCACAGCTCTGGCCAGGAGCAGGCAGTTCCACACCCAGTCACACCCAGCACCTACGTGGCAAAACATGGCCACCTATGTGATATGGCCCTGGTCATCAGCCTCAGACCCTCCAGTGAGGGAGGTGGGTCACACTGGAAGACACGCTAAGTAAAATATATGACACCAGAGGGCAAGGGCAGACCAAGGGGGCAAGAAGTGCTTTAGGAGGCCAAGGCCTGGGTACCACCCACCAAGGAGTGCTTCCCTGCAAAGAGGGGAGGGAACGTAGCACTCAGACAGCATCCAGGGGGAATGTTTCAGTTGGGGAAACACCACAGAGGATCTGAGGCCCAGCCCAGTGATTAATCTCCCCTGGAAAACAGTGGGAAGACGCCGGAGGAGCAGATCAGGGCTGGCCAGAGAGATTCAGGAAGTTGAATATGAAAAGCAACTACGAGTTATGGCCATAATGTAGGTTCTCAGGAGATGAAGCCAAAACCCAGGAGTTGATAGCAAAAGGAAGATATTCAAGGCATCATGGAACTGCACCCCCAGTACTGGTTGTAGAGCTAAAAGAAGGCAGGAGGAGAAAGAGGGGAGCTAGATACAGGAGCCAAGGAAGCTGAAGAGCCTTGTGCCAGCTTCAGCAGTCCCAGACCACACACCCCTCAAAAAAACCTCCACACAGCAGCTGTTGCACCCTCCAGGCCCTGCTGAACCATTCAGAGGGGCAGAGACCGCAGGACAGCCTCGAAGAAGAAAGCGCACCTGAGCTGGTGCCTGCTCTAGGATCTGCAGGACACACAGTGAGAGGGGGAGAGGGAAAGGGAAACAGTGAGGTCAGGCAAAGTGGAAGAGAAAGGAGTTGCTTTAGAATTTTGAAGCTGACTAAACTGAGGGCCATGTGGCCATTTTTCTGAGCATCACATGCATTTACAGCTTGGAACTCACTTTGGGTAACATCCACTCGTCAGTTTAACTGGACATCCCTGAGTTCTTTTTCATGCCAGGTTGTGTTCACTGCAGTCAGGCAGCTAAAAGCAGGCCCCAAGGCTTGTCAACTCCTGGGGCTGCTCAGAGCAGGGGTACCCTTCAAGTCCACCCCAATGGCCCTGGGGGCTGTGGTTCCAGCAGAGATCCCCCGTCTTCCAGAGTGCGCTGGGCCTGGGGGTCTGCAGGGGTTTAGTACACATCCCATTCTGGAAAGGGGTGGGAACCACTTTAGAAAGCAATGTTGCAACTCAACTTACATTGTTAACAATGGTCGTATCTGCTCCGGCTTCCAGTAAGATTTTGGCCACCTTCTTGTGATTTAGGGCAGCAGCAACGTGAAGTGCTGTGTCTCCAGCCTGGAATTGATTAGAAGGTCTGCTAAACCTCATCTGCTCATGGCCTACAGCCCCCAGCTTTTCATTACCTGGCCTAGGTGTGGCTCTTCAAAGTCAAACTGAGATTTGCCTGAGACTGAAATGGGGCCCTTTGTTAAAGCGTTATGAGGCTCTACTTAAAGAGGTCTTGGAACTAAGTGACCTCGGCACCAATATCACCTTTCTTTCTGAGTGAGGATACCTGAAATCACGCAGCAGGATTAAACGCAGGGGCAAAGTAATGCTGGCCTGGGTTGTTGAGAATGGTGGGACCTGAAGCCTCACGAGGACAGGAGGACAGGCAGGAGGCCTGGGGCAGGCAGGCTAGTCATTCCACTTTTGGCTCTGTTCTTTTACCCAGGGAGGTCAGAGGTCAGAAAACTGCTTGGTGTCTGAGTGCTGGATTGAGCAGGAGAAGCCGTGAAGATGGCTACTTCTGCAAGCACCGGAGAGGTGACAGGCCAGCCTGCAGCTACAGCGGGTAGATCTGAAGGGGCCACTGGGACTCAATCCATCTGCAGGCTCAGGATATGCTTTGTGCGGGTGGAAACACCAAGAACCAGTGTTCACTCAAGACCAACTGTTTTCTACATCTTACAGATAGCCTATAAATAAATGTTCATATTATCTTTATACAAGAAATATGCTTTCACAAAATCAACTATGAAAGGAGGATAAAGACAACTGCAGCTTAGTGGGCCAATTCCAAATGCAAATGCTGTCATTTTCCAAACACAATGATATAAATAAACCAGACAAATATAGGAGAAGTGAAACAATTCATTCTTTCTCCTATCAGGTGATCAGGCAAAGCGCCTGATACTTTTTTCCTGGGTAGCATGAACATTCAGCCATCTTTGTGAGGGGTGGGAAAATTTTTATTTCATTTCTGAGTCACTTAGCTATGTGTATTGAAGGGAAGCTCTGCACAGTGCTTTCCCCTTGGCTGAATATTGGAATAAGCTTCAGAGCTTTAAAAAATGATGATGCCTGGGTCCCACTCTCAGAGATGCTGAATTCATTGGTCTACCATGTGGGCTGGGCAGGGGGACTTTTTAAAGCTCTCAAGTGCCGTGACACGCTGCCAAGGTTGAAAGGCACTGGTTGGTGGGGGCTATGCAGGGGTCACCTGATGATCTAGCACCCCACTGGGGAGGCCGTGCTACTTGATTAGGTCAGTGGCTGTATACTCAGACAGAGAGCTTTTTAAAAACACCATTGCCTGGACCTCACCCCCAGAGGTTCTGACTCTTTCAACTGGGGTGGGATCCAGGAACAGTATTCTTAATTCCCCTGTTGATTCTCATATGCAGCCAGGGTCAGAAACCACCATTCCATGGTATTTTTAATCTACACCACAATCTAATTTTTTTTTTTTAGTTAAGATTTATGCACTCCAACAAAGAAAAGTGAAACAATGTACCACATAGGTGTCAATAAATACCAAGACAATCTAATTTTCAAATCCAATGACTGCTGGAAATTGTGCACATTTCTAAGGAAGACGGTAATATTCACAGCTTTATTTCAAAACCCCATTGCATGGCACTCTCTACAGATTATATGCCCAATTTTATGGGAATGAAAGACTATCAGCTCAAGTGTAAGTAAGTGGCAGTGCAAGGAACAGAACTTAGGGAGTTATAAGACTTCTAATTCCTATGCTTGCTTGGTGGGTTTTTTTTTTTGTTTTTTTTTTTTTCCTTTAAAGAGACGGGGTCTCATTCTGTTGCCCAGACTGGTGTGCAGTGGCAAGATCATGGCTCACTCACCACAGCTTCAAACTCCTAGGCTCAAACAATCCACCTGCCTCAGCCTCCTGAGTAGCTGGAACTACAGGCACATGCCACTCTGCCCAATTTTTAAATTTAATTAACTTATTATTTATTTATTTTGAGATGTAGTCTTGCTCTGTTGCCCAGGTTGTAGTACAGTAGCATGATCTCGGTTCACTGCAACCTCTGCCTCCTGGGTTCAGGCAATTCTCCTGCCTCAGCTTCCTGAGTAGCTGAGATTGCAGGTGCACGCCACCACGCCTGGCTAATTTTTGTATTTTTGGTAGAGACAGGGTTTCACCATGTTGGCCAGGCCGGTCTTGAACTCCTGAACTCGAAGTGATCCACCCACCTTAGTCTCCCAAAGTGCTGGAATTACAGGCATGAGCCACCACGGCCGGCCAAATTTTTAAAAAAATTTTTTGTAGAGACAGGGTCTCGCTATGTTGCCCGGGCTGGTCTTGAACTCCTAGCCTCAAGTGATCCTCCTGCCTTGGCTTCCCAAAGTACTGGGATGTGAGCCACTGCACCCGGCCTCCCTTGCTTCTTTACTAAATCACATTCTTCCTCGTGGGTTTTCTTTTTAAAATCACATTTAAAAAACAAAGCCTGCCCCAGGATCTCCAGAAAATGTTCAATATGCAAATGTGGTGATATGCACAGGAATTATAAGGGCACACTTTCTCTAGCAGGCCAGATAAGCCAGGGCCACTAGAACTCAGTGTGACACCCATGCAAAGCCCACTGCTGGCTGAGTCCCAGGTAGGTGACATGGCAGCTTCCCAGCAGCCTCTGCTCCCGTTTGCACTAACAGACCTGTCCGGTAGCCTTGTGGGAAGGGTGCTGGCAGCCATGAAGAGAATACATGCACTGACCTGGTTCTTTTCATGGACAGAACAGAAAGCAGTGAGGAGGAGCCTAATGATGGACAAGTGATTATAGCGCGCAGCAACGTGCAAACAGGTGTCTCCTGCCTGCGGACAAAAATCAAACTCTAAGCACAATCTGAGCAGTTACAAAACAAATAGAGAAAAGTAGAAAGAAAATGTTATTTAAAAGCTAGCAGACTATCATGTACTCTTTAGGGAATCATAAGCAGCTCTTTTAACATAGATGCTCCACCCCAAGGCTCGCCATTCTTTGCTGCTGTGGGCAGCCCTGCTCCCTTTCTGCCTGTGCAGAACAACCACGTGGTCACAGAATCACTGCTTCCACGTTTATGAAACTAGACGTCTGCTCCCCATGAGACCTTTCCAAGAGCTAAGGCAGGCTCTGCTTACCTGTGCTTGAGGAGGATCCAGGGACCCTAGCCTCCCTACAACCCAAAAGGTCAGTAGTATACTGACTTAAGACCAACAGCATTGCTTTGGAAATGAGCCCTTCCCAGCATAGATCCCTCATGGATGAAAGGACAGGGCAGCAGGGGGGTTGTCAAATCTTAAGATTACACGTACCCCCTGAAGTTCAAGGAGTATCCCACTTCAGTTGGACCCCAATATCCTATATGGAGCTATGTAGTAGGGGAGCTCATAAGGAAGCAATCACTGGGAGCAAAAAAAGGGTATGAAGAAAAACTCAGGGGCAGGATGCTCAGTAAGCACAACAGGCAGAACCCTGTTCCCACAAAGACAATAAAGAACTGGAGACAAAAAGCTGCCTGCAGTGTTTTCTTGCCATTTCCATCCTAGCTCTGTCTGGAGAACACTGGCCACTTGGCATACTTTTCTCCCCTGCATTAAGACGGAACCAAGCTCAAAGCTGAGGTTCAGAGCATTAGATGAGTCTACCCCAAACAGGGAGACCCTCACCTGAGGACACTTTAGAAAGAAGCCTCAGATTTATTTATTTATTTAGCCAACGTGGCTAAGGCAGGGGATTTATAAAGGAAATACAGCTTCTTTGTGAAGAAGCGATACCCATGTGACCTTTCCGGTCAGCTCATCCCAAGGACGCCTCAGTCATCAGTAGGACCTGCTCGCTATAGATGCTGGGCATGGGGCATTAGAGGACCTCCCCTGTAAATGGCACCAGCTCATATTTGCTGATAATAGTACAACACTCAACACTCTATGTGGGTAGAGACTTTCTTAAAACATTAACTGGTTTCCTAGTCTGTAATTGGCCAGACACGTACTGTAAGAAATGATAAACCAAAGATGAGGCATGAAGGGAAAATGATGGGAGAAAAGCAGTATTTCCAAGTCTTTTGATTCTTCTTCTCACATGCCTGAATGATCCCTTAGAAAATTGCCAAAAAAAGAACACTTTAGAGATAGTCCCCAAATACTTTTTACATTTTAATTTCTAGATGTTAAGGTTCAAGTATGCTCATGAAGTTATTTTCTGAAGTGACACAAGAAAGAGAGAACGTGAGAATCTGGTTTTGTTCACCCACATTATTTTTGAGGTCAGCGCGGGACCCGGCCAGCAGGAGGACGCGCGTGCTCTGGGAGTGGCTGTTCTGGCAGGCCAGGTGCAGAGCTGTGTTCCCCGCCTTGGAGAGAGGCAGAGAGAGGGAGGACATATTAGCAACATGCTTCCGCACAGACTTGCATGCCTTGCAGAGGGGCAGTACTTACTCGGGGGAAAAGGCAACGCTCACATTCTCTGCCTCTTGCCCGATGGTTTCAGTGGGGATGCTTCAGAGGTAAGAACATTTAATTTGGAGTCTGAACAGGCAGAAGAGTCCTATTTGTCATAAAACCTTGGTTCCAAGTCCTGGCTCTGCAACTTACTAACTAAAAGCCAGCCTTTTCAAATGCTCAAATTCCTTACCTGGGAAATGGAGCATGACCCCCACATCCTAAAACTATGGGGATTGACTCAGAGTGTCTAGGAAGGTGTTTTCTTAACACACAATGCTGGACACATGCACAGTACTCAATTCCTATCAGATGACTTCCTGCCCCACATGGGCAATAGCTGTGGTTACAATCCCTGCCAATGGTGGGCTAAAAAAAGTAAAACTAGCCACTTCCTGGAAGGGCAGGCTAATGCAACTGAGATTTAACTTGTTAGCCTTTTTCAAGTCACCCATTCTTGTATTTTTCTTGAAACATCAAAATTTTAACTATGGACACCAGGCCCTGCCTTTCAGGCAGTACAGTTGCATCTATCACTTAGGACACAGATTGAGACCCTCTTGCTTTTTGGGTCCTTCTTGTTTTTGAGAACCTCAACAAACCACATCACAATGACAACCAAGGGTCAGAATAAGGTCCATAGCAATACTGCAGGAAAAAATTGCAGGACATGAACAGAACTTTTGAGTCTATGGGAGTAGGGCATGTGAGGCCGCTGATAACCCCTAGAAAAGTAACAAGAAAGCAAGGCCGTGTGATAGGTGACATTGTGTCATCCAAGAGCCTGCAAGCACTCAGGAGGTTAAACACAGAAGCTCCGCGTTGGTTCTGCTGAGCTCAAGTGCTGGGTCAGGCTTGCAGGTGCGTGGGCTCAGAGCATTACACTGCCTGTTCATTGCTTCTCCCTCACCTAGTTCACACCCTTCTGGATCTCACAGTCCTGGCTGCCGATACTCCAGTATATCAGATTCCTGATCTTTTAAAAAGAGAAATGAGTTAAAAAAAAAAAAAATAGAGGAATACTGGATGCGGCCAGTTTGCTTATCCCCCTTCTCTTCACCTTAGCTCCAACCAGCCCTGGTGGACCTTTTGTCTCACTTTTACCTCCAGGCACAGGGAGGATTACAGGCCTGAGGTTCTAGCAGGCTCGCTGGTTCTCAACCCTTGGGTGCACATTAGAATCACCTGGGGAAGCTTTCAAACCAGCCCTGTGCACAGCCACAACCGTTCTAGGGACTCTGATTTATGTGGCCTTGGGGATGGGTATCCAGCATCCCTATTTTAGTACTGAAAGTCCCACATTCCGGGAAACCCTTTAGCCCAGGGCAAACTGGGACAGTCCATCACCCCAGGCCTGGTCTTCAGGTTTTTTTTTTTTTTAAGTTTTGTTTTTTTTCCTTTTTCGTTTGTTTATAGTTCCCCAGGAGGGTCTAATGTGCAGCCAGGTGGAGAACCACTGCTAGTTTAGTTCTCAGCAACAAGGGGTCTGCCCAGGTTTTAAAAACACTACTCTCAAGTTGTCTGCAAGTTATGGGCTTCATGGCAACCACTAAATACGTGTTGAATACATGAGTGAAATGAAAGAAATCTGATGCCTCTAGAAATAGATCATACCAAAGCTTATATTGCCAATAAGGAAATATCGATGATGTGGAAAAGCATTTGCACCAAGAAAATTAAAAACCATAGGTTTGGATAAACAAATTGTGGTAGATCCACACAATGGAATACTCCTCAGCAATAAAGAGGCGTGAACCATTCCTCCATGTAACGACACGGAGGAATCTCAAAAACATTATGCTAAGTTTAAGAAGCCACACACAGAAGGCCGCATACTGTATGATTCCATTTACATGACCTTTATGAACAAGCAAAACAGATCCGTGGTTGCCCGGGGCTGGGAGAGGGTGACTGGGGGCCTGCCACCAGAGGGCGCAAAGGAACATTAAGGGGCAATGGAAACATTCTATATCTTATGGTGGGGGTTACACAACCGTATACATTTGTCAAAACTCACAGAACAGCGTGACTTCATACCTATATCTCAAAACCTGACATTAGAAAATGTGACCTAGGGTAGATATATATGTAGCAGGCGTTTTTCCCCACCCTGAGTAGTGGGTACTGATTTCCCAGACAGGAGCTGCTACATCTGCTGAATAAGAAGGATCTTTCTACGGGCTATGGCTGGTACAAAATGTCCCTCCCTTTGAGACGCATGAGTTTCCTGACCTGTCCTTCTGAAGCCATTTTATTTACACAGAAACAATTTCTGGGCTGGGTGCAGTGGTTCACGCCTGTAATCCATCACCTTGGGAGGCCGAGGTGGGTGGATCACAAGATCAAGAGATCAAGACCATCCCAGCCAACATGGTGAAACCTCGTCTCTACTAAAAATACAAAAATTAGCTGGGCATGGTGGTGTGTGCCTGTAGTCTCAGCTACTCAGGAGGCTGAGGCAGCGTAATAGCTTGAACCCGGGAGGCAGAGGTTTCAGCAAGCCGAGATCGCGCTCCAGCCTGGCAACAGAGTGAGACTCTGTCTCAAAACAAACAAACAAACAAAAAAACGTGGTGATTACAGGCCGGGTTCGGTGGCTCACTCCTGTAATCCCAGCACTTTGGGAGGCCAAGGTGAGTGGATCACCTGAGGTCAGGATTTCAAAACCAGTCTGGCCAACATGGTGAAACGCTGTCTCTACTAAAAATACAAAAATTAGCTGAGCGTGATGGCAGGTGCCTGTAATCCCAGCTACTCGGGAGGGTGAGGCAGGAGAATCGCTTGAACCCGGGAGGCGGAGGTTGCAGTGAGCCGAGATTGAGCCATTGCACTCCAGCCTGGGCAACAAGAGTGAAACTCTGTCTCAAAAAGAAAAAAAAAAGTGATTACACACCATCAACTCCTGTTCCAGACCATATGCATTTTGAAGAAATGGGCAGCCACCCACCTCCTGAGCTGTGAGCCAGGCACTACCGGCGATATTACCATACGTAGCTTGCTGCTCTCAGACCTCAAGCTTTTGATCCATGAGGGAACCATGAAAAATATGAACTAGGAAACGACAGCACAAAGCTGCATGCGGTGCCAAGGGAGAGTTGCAGAAGCAGCCCAGTGGGTCTTCGGGGAGGGAGAGGGCCTGGGGCCAGGTTGGAGGTCTATAGGCAGGAATGAGAAGCAGGCCAGTGAGCCCCACTCTGAGGGCACAGGAGGTGCTCTAGGGGAAAGGAGCCAGGAGGAACTCCAGAGGTGGGCCAGCAGAGGCTTATAGACAGTGTCAGACAGGAGCTTTATGAGAAGGTCGCTGAGCAGAGGAAGAGCAGGATGAAAGGAGGGACTAGATTTGAGCCTGCCAATCTGCTTGAGGCATCTGAAATAATCCAGGGCATGCTTAAGAATGAGCATGGAAAGAGGAACAGGTGTGAGACTTGAAGATGTCCTAAGATGTAATGAGGGACTGGAGAGGGGAGACGGATGAAAATGACGAAGGCATGGCTTGCTTAACTATGCTCTCTAATGAACCAATGGAAAAGTAGTGAGAGCCAGGAGATTTCACCGGAGGGCAAAGCCACTGAGGTGGGTTCTCTTGCTCCCACAGAGATTACGTTCACAAAGGAGTTTCAGGCTGTCATTTCTATTTCCTGCAGCATGCAAGGTCTGGAGAAGTCACTTCATTGATGGGGTATATTTCTATAGCTTGATTTGCCTGGCATTGCTGTTGAAGATCTTGTATGCAGATGTCTGTGTGTCATAAGCTAGAGATACTATGGTTTCAGATTTGACTTGGCCATGAAATTGTACATATATATATATATATAGTGTGTGTGTGTGTATTAGGGAGGGTACTTACTGCTGCCCATTGTCCCCAGGCTACTGCCACCTAGAACCCCATTCTAGCCCACCTGATTCATTATCCTACCACTATTAGCTGAAGCTACCACTCTGTGATGTGGCAGTGCACTGTGGGAAATTCTCAGGCCCCTGCTACAGACCCAATCTGGCCATCCAGGGAAAGAAAAGAGGGTAAGCCCTTTTATGACCCTTCTTACCTCAACTGCAAATATCTCCAGAGTACTGATAACGCTTTTTTATTTTTGAGATAAAGTATATCTCTTGGCATGGGCACAGTGGCTCACGCCTGTAATCCCAACACTTTGGGAGGCCGAGGTGGGCAGATCACGGGGTCAGGAGTTCAAGACCAGCCTGGCCAACATGGTGAAACCCCATCTCTACTAAAAATAGAAAAATTAGCCAGGCGTGGGGGCACATGCCCAGATACTTAGGAGGCTGAGGCGGGCAGATCACGGGGTCAGGAGTTCAAGACCAGCCTGGCCAACATGGTGAAACCCCATCTCTACTAAAAATGGAAAAATTAGCCGGGCGTGGGGGCACATGCCCAGCTACTTAGGAGGCTGAGGCAGGAGAATCGCTTGAACTCAGGAGGCAGAGGTTGCAATAAGCCGACAGTGTGCCATTGCACTCCAGCCTGGGTGACAGAACGAGATTCTGTATCCAAAAAAAAAAAAAAAAAGTCTCTTCTCCCAATTGTAAAAGAAATAATGGGTTCATTCTGGAAAATTTGGGAAAGGTACAAAAATAAAAATCAATCTTAGCCTCAATTCCCAGAGATAACCACTGTTAATATTCTGATGATATTCTTCTGTGCTTAAATTTTTAAATACACAAATTTATATTAAGCACTGGGACATGTACTATATATGATCTTATATCTCTTTGTGATGTTCTTTAACAGTGGAAAGCATTATTTTCAAAACTACGATTTTAATATTAATTATATTCCACTGTATGAATGAACCATAATTCTAAGTCTCCCTCCCCACAGTTAAAAAAATATAACTACTGCTGTCATGAACATCTTTGTCGGTAAAATTTTACTGGTTTTATTGCTTATTTTTTTCTTTTCCATATTTCATTTCAATAGCAGGTTTTATTACCTTTTTAGGATAGAGTCCAAGAAAGGTAGGTACCAAGTAAAAAGGACCTTTTTTTTTTTTTTGAGACCGGGTCTCACTCTGTCACCCAAGCTGGAGTACAGTGGCACGAACTAAGCTCACTGCAACTTCCGCCTACCAGGTTCAAGCGATTCTTGTGTCTCAGCCTTCCGAGTAGCTGGGATGACGGCATGCACCACCACATCCAGCTAATTTTTTGTATTTTTAGTAGAAACAGGGTTTCACCATGTTGGCCAGGCTGGTCTTGAATGCCTGGTCTCAAGTGATCCGCCTGCCTCAGCCTCCTAAAAGTTTGGGATTACAGGCATAAGCCACTGCACCTGGCCAAAAAAGGCCCACCCCCGCCCCCACCTGCCCCCACGACAGTCTCTCACTCTGTGCCCAGGCTGGAGTGCAGTGGTGCAATCTTGGCTCACTGTAACCTCTGCTTCCTAGGTTCAAGCGATTCTCCTGCCTCAGCCTCCCAAGTAGCTGGGACTACAGGCATGAGCCACCATTCCCGGATAATTTTTGTATTTTTATTAGAGATGGGGTTTCACCATGTTGGCCAGGCTGGTCTCAAACCCTTGACCTCAGGTGATCCACCCACCTCAGCCACCCAAAGTGCTGTGATTACAGGTGTGAGCCACCATGCCAGGCCAAAAAAGGACCATTTTAAGGCTCCTGATTTGTTTTGCCAAATTGTCTCCCAAAGGTGGCTATTCGTATCACACTTTCCCAGCAGCATCTAGGGGAGCCCACTTTACTAATTTTCGGTATTAGCATTTTAAAGTTCTTTTGCTGATTTTTTTAATGCCAACTCCATTGCCATATTTTTTGAATACAAAAAAACTATGGGACAGTAATCGCATGTAGATTCCCAGCAGCAGTCAGGGGCCTCTCACATAAGCAGGGTTTTGGCGCTGTTGGTGCACTTGCTCCTGACCTGGAATATCAATCAGCTTCTAGCCTTTTCTGCAAATGAAACTTCTGGGCCGAATGGACCTTCAGGTTCCTCGTGCCACTCTGGGCTCTCACTCTTCTCACTGGAAGAAGGCTCCCACAGGGGGAGAAACCCACAGCCATCCTCACCTGTGAATGAGGCATTCTAGCATCTGCCAGGCCTCACCTTGTTCTTGGCAAGCACGTTGGCTCCTGCTTTAATGAGCAGCTTGGCTGACTGGCTGAAACCATGCCAGGATGCTTCATGCAAGGCTGTATTCCCATCCTAAGGAAGACACACAGGTGGGAAAGGCACATTACCCAAGACCTAATTCTTCTCATTATGATCAATACATCACAGTGGATTTTTACGGAACACCAGACGGCCTTTCTCAATTGGACTTTCTCATCTGAGCCACAGACTACAGAAGATGATTTGAGTGGTAAGTTTCTCCATTATCCCAGAAATGATACATCATAAGAACCATTCTAGATGCACAGAAGAGAAATGAATCCATGACGAACCATGGATGATTGTTCATAAGGCATTAGAGGTTAAGTCTCTCTAGGAACCCCAGTTGAGAGAGGCTCTAGGCCCCATCCACAGCTCTCGTTTAACAGAAAGCATCATCAGGATAGCATGCCATCTATTTCTTCCCACCTCCACCACCCTTAGAGTCTGCTCTGCTCCTGGCATCAGAGAGAACCCTGCAAAGATCAGGCAAAGGAAGAGGCCATCTTCATAAGATTCAGGGGCCTGATCGATTCCCCAACTTTTTTTCACTGAAACTTAATCTCACCCACCTTAATTCAAAAGCCTCAGGGCCCCAAACAAATAATGAACAGGGACTGAGGAAACAGTGATTTGGAAATAAAACAAACAAGTATCCTCAATGTGTGGCCTTTATTTTTTGAGACAGTCTTGTTCTGTCACCTAGAGTGGAGTGCAGTGGTGTGATCTCAGCTCACTGCCACCTCTGCCTCCAGAGTTCAAGCGATTCTCCTGCCTTAGCCTCCCAAGTAGCTGGAATTACAGACATGCACCACTATGCCTTGCTAATTTTTGTATTTTTAGTAGAGACAGGGTTTCACTATGTTGGCTAGGCTGGTCTTGAACTCCTGACCTCAAGTGATCCACTTGGCTTCCCACAGTGCTGGGATTACAGGCGTGAGCCACCGTGCCCGGCCTAATGTGTTGCTTTTAAATAGAAGTCATTTAATGAACATAGCTCGTATTTGCTTAGCTTACTATTTTAAACAAATAAATATCATTAAGTGCAATGAATTGAGTGGGGTGGGGGCGGGAAGGCAGGAGTTCCAGGGAGGGAAGAGCCCGGAGAAGGAAGGGTGCAGGGCAATCAGCAGAGGTCAGTGCAGGTGCATTCTCCAATTACATCCAGGCTCTGGCTTCAGCTTTAACTCAACCACATCCATGCCCCTAGAAACAGCTAAAAATAAAGGCCTAACACAGCTGACCTCCACAAGGGGAAGTCTAGGGTCTCAAAGGCCAGGGGATGGGGTGGTTGCTGGGAACTGTATTGGCGGTGTGTGGCCCGGGCAGTGGGACTGACTGCAGAAGGAGGAAGCCAAAGGAAAGCGGGGATGCAAGGGGCAGGGGGCACAGGGTATGGGGCTTCTGGGTGCTGGCAATGAGCTGCTTCTTGAGCTGGGTGCTCACACAGGTGTGTTCTGCTAGTGAAATTCAACAAGCTGCACACTTATTTGTCCACTTTTCTGTATGTATATTATACTTTAATGAAAAGTTATTTTTAAAAAGTAAAGCAGAGTTCTTCCCAGCATAGCCTCTTTAAAGAAAAAAAAAAAAAGTAAGCAGAGGCTGAATTGCACTTAATTGTGAAGTTTTGTGTTTTAAGATTGTTTGAAAATTTAAAAACATTAGGTTAATATGTAAGAAGTCATTAGGATTCCTTAAATAATCAATTTTTCTTTTTCTTTTTTTTTTGAGACAAGAGTTTCGCTCTTGTTGCCCAAGCTGGAATGCAATGGCACGATCTCAGCTCACTGCAACCTCCACCTCCCGGGTTCAAGCGATTCTCCTGCCTCAGCCTCCCAAGTAGCTGAGTTTACAGGCATGCGCCACCATGCCCTGCTAATTTTTTGTATTTTTAGTAGAAACGGGGTTTCACCATGTTAGCCAGGCTGGTCTCGAACTCCTGACCTCAGGTGATCTGCCCGCCTTGGCCTCCCAAAGTGTTGGGATTATAGGCATGAACCACTGCGCCTGGCCAATTTTGCTATCTATCTATCAATCTTATTTATTTATTTGTTAAGAGACAAGGTCTCACTCTGTCGTCCAGGCTGGAATGCAGTGATGCAGTCATGGCTCACTGCAGCTTCAACCTCCTGGGCTTAGCAATCCTCCCATCTCAGCTTCCTGAGTAGCTGGGACTACAGGTGTGTACACTACCACGCCTTGCTAATATATATTTTCTTAATTTTCAAATTTTTTGTGGAGACAGTGGTTTGTTATGTTGACTAGGCTGGTCTTGAAGTCCTGGCCTCGAGCAATCCTCCCACCTTAGCCTCCCAAAGTGCTAGGATTACAGGCGTGAGCCACTGTGTTTGGCCCAGTTGAGCTTACTTTTTTTTCCCTGCAATATAGTTTAAAGAAATTAACTTGCTCACTTATCTAAGAAAGTAAAGAGAAAGTCTGGGGCACATCCCTTACCCCCCCGACCCAGGCCTACATAGGTCCTTATTTCTAGATTTTTTTCTTTACCATTTAAGATTTATGTGGTTGTCACTGGTGCCATAGAACAAGGAAAAAGATTTTTAAAAAATACAATTGGCAGCTGGGCACAATGGCTCATGCCAGCATTTTGGGAGGATGAGGTGGGAGGAGCACTTGAGCCCAGGAGTTCCAGGTGCAGTGAGCTATGATCATGCCATTGCACTCCAGCCTGGGCAACAGAGTGAGACCCTCTCTCCAAAAAAAAAAAAAAAAAAAAAAATTACAATTGGCTGGGATACCAGATAGTGTTTCAAAGGAATTTTAGGCTGATTTAATCATGTTAAATCATAAGTGGTAAGACAGGAATTATAATACCTCGAGGACTCAAAAGTTTCCAGAGCGGGCTCCTCCAGCTCCCCTGAGCCACTGGCTTCCCTTGCCTTGGGGAGTAAGGAAGCTCAGTGTCCACTCACCTTGTCTTGTCTGTCCAGGGCACACCCTTCGTGGATGAGCGCCGCGATGATCTCCGTGTTCCCCACCACTGTGGCCCGGTGCAAGGCGGTCTGGTCCCCCTGCAAAGTGACACAAAGGCAGGAACAGCAGTCAGCTCCCCTGCACCCCCTGCTTGCACTACTCACTTGACACTTGGACACAAGGACCCCTCCCGTCCCCACACAGAGCAGAGCGGTTATTCGCAGAAGGGCTTGGTTACCACAGGCAAGGCGGGCTTTGTGGTCTTGTTAGTAGACAACGCACGCTGGCAGAGAAATTTTGTTCATAAACTAAGAGGGGGACCTTAAGCCGACAGCAAGAATAGCCCTCGGCCACAGAGCCAACCTCAAAATGAGGGTCAGGCTCTCTCCTGCCATCCAGGGGCTATGACTATCACAGGTGTGAAGAGTGGGTGTGAGGGCAGGTGTGTGCTATGCAATTAAAGCAGCAATGCCTGGAATCTCTACTGCCTGCCGAGTTTCCAGCTTGCAGGGGGACCACTGTCCAGCTCTGCCAGTTAGCAGCACTCATGATTTGATGACAGGCGGGTCATTTGTTCATTGACCTGTACTAGTCAACGGCAATGCAGGGGTTTGCCCTATTTCATCTGAGGACTCCAGGGACTGCAGCTATCACTGCATATTTCTAAGAAGCCTCTTCAGAGAGTTCATGACAACATCCTCACTGATTTATGCTGCACTCTGAGCCCTCTTCTCTATGATCGGATTCCTGGGATTGCCGGCCGTTGTTCTCCTTTAGGCGCCAAAGGGAACTTGACTCTTCCTAATTGCAGTTGAGTGAAGGATGAAACACTCCCAGAGGTAAGCAGGTCAAGACTGTAACAGGAGAGTTCTGAAGTCTCTAAGAGCACCCTTTATCTCTGACAGGTCCTCAGGAAGCTAAGTTGAGGTAAATCAAGCTGAGCCTGTGGTCCAGCCTTGAAAGGGAGGATGGGTGGGCAGTGTGGAAATGTTCTGGTGGAAAGCAATGAGCACGAGACAAGGGGTCAGGAGGCCTGGGCTGTGCATGGCTTGCTAGAAGCCTGTCACCCTGCTGGACCTCAGGTGTGTCACCCTGGATGATCCCAGGGTCCCTCCATTGCCTTCTTGGATTCTATGATGTGGCTGGTCAGAGTTTTGTGAAGTTTCCTGGCAGAGCACCAGAGGGGCAAAGAAAACATTCTGGGGCGTCCCTGGTGCTTGGCCCAAAAGAGGACAGAGGCCATCATAAGATAAAACAGATTTTTTAAAAGAAGGATGCACTGCTACCTATAAACAACCTTAACGAAATACTGATTCTACTTACTAAACTCCCCAGATCTGTAACAAACAATGCACATTAAAAACATGTAATCTGAAACAAAGTTCTAAAGATAGATGGTGGTGATGGTTGCACAACAATGTGAGTGTACTTAATGCCACTGAACCGTATACGTAAATATGTTCAGACAGTAAATTTAATGCTATGTATATTTTATTACAATAAAAAATCCTAGTTAAAACTCAAAATTGCTTTCTTAAAATTAAAAAGTCTCCCTTTAAAAATCCATGAAAGGATTTTTCTCTTTTAACTTTTTATACTTTTTAATATTTTCCAGCTTTTTATATTTAACACGGATAACTTTTAGCATCAGGAAAAACCGCTACTTATTAGAAGTCTGAGCAGAAACAATACCCCAGTAACAGGACTGTCCCTGTCACAGACTCTCTTCCCACTGTTCATTTGTGGAAGGTAAGGAATTTCTGCAGTGAGGGGGGGTCAGGACACTGAGGACAGATCACTGTCCTCAGCACTGCCACCACCGACCTCCCCCCTTCAGCATCCTAAACTATTATTCCTGTTATCAGTTAGGTTCAGGCTGATTTTCTTCTCATCCACCTTCCCAGACCCCTTATTCAAAGAGAACCCTTGCAGTGGTTAAAAAAAGAATGTGGCCGCTGGGTCAGTGGCTGCAGGAGGTAGGCTGTGCCATTTGCGCTGTCTACCTCAGACCTCTTAGAAAGCAGTTCTAGACAAGGAAACTAGTAATCATATGAGATACTGCCCAAGTCTCAACTTTTTGTTTTTGTTTAGAGACAGAGTCTCGCCCTGTCGCCCAGGCTGGAGTGCAGTGGTGCCATCTTGGTTCACTGCAACCTCTGCCTCCCAGGTTCAAGCGATTCTTCTGCCTCAGCCTCCAGAGTAGCTGGGATTACAGACACTTGCCACCATGCCTAATTTTTTTTTTATATTTTTAGTAGACATAAGGTGTCACCATGTTGGCCAGGCTGGACTTGAACTCCTGGCCTCAAGTGATCTGCCCACCTCCACCTCCCAAAGTGTTGGGATTACAGGCGCGAGCCACCGTGCCTGGCCCCACGTCTCAACTTTTTAAAATTTCCGTAAGATTTCCAAGACTTCCCATTTCTCTATCAGAATGGTGACGGAATTTCCCAAAATAGGCCTCCAGTGCAATGATGATTACTGACCTGCTAAGAAAGACAGTGCCCTTCTTAGCAAGAACCACGCGACTGCAGCTCACGCTTTCAGGGTAGTGCTGACTTGGTTAGATTTCCACTTCTTACAGGCTTTTTAATATAACCACAAACTACTTACACTCTAGTGCTCTTTGGACCAATAAAAACAACTTTTTCCAGGACAAAGCTTATCACTCTGTATTGTTCATGAAGTATGAGCAACAAGCCCTGAGCATATGGGTCGTGTTAGCCACTCTTGCTGTACAAATTATTTCACGAAGGGCCTTCACTGGATGGTACGGCACAGACTAACCTAAGCCTTGGTTTAGGTCAAATATTTTTTGTCATGTTTCACAAGCTGCCCTCTAAATTATGAGTTGAGGTATCTTTGGAGCCGGAATGGCACCAAGTTATTTATTACTTGCTTTCATCATCAATCTACTGTATTTGCTTCCTTTGAGAAAATTTTCCTTTGTGAAACTCTAGCTCAATGCAAGCAGCTCAATCTAACTTTCAGTTCAGACCTTGGGAGGACATTTCCAGACTAGCAAGACTCAAGGAAATCTAATGACTTGTGTGAGGTTGCGGCGAGAACACATAGTGTCCTAAGCTGCTGGCAAAGGTCCTGCACACCCCTTCCTCTGGGGGACCTTTTGGCTGTCCTGCCTGTTTCCAGGCCACAGCTCCCCCTCCAGCCGTCCTCTCAGACAGAGACCTCACCGAGAGCCCGGGTCAGATAAACACTGCTGTCAGGCCAGGCTCGGACTCTCCCTACCAAAAGTGGCTGTCCTTGGCTGTACTGCTAGCTGTGCTGACACTAGCTGGAATGGTTCTGGAGGACTGGGCAATACGCTTTCTCAGGCTTTGAAAAACCCACCCTTCTCAAGTAACCAAGATGAGAATTAAAGGCTCTGAGGTGAGAGACATGAAACATGTAAACAATAGCTGCCTCAGGTTATCATCTTGGATCTATTCTTCCCTAGAATACAACACAAACAATTTAGTACCTTGAGGCCCTCAGTTGAAACAGGGTCAGTTATCTACAAATGGACTCTTTCCTCCTATAAGATTAAAATTTACCATTGAAACATTTCCTCCTTGAAATGACACGAAGAAACAAGATGTGGCCTCAATACATACAAGTGGCTACTTTGACATAATTCTTACTTGCATATGATACCTACCTAAGTCAATCATGAAATTCTTAAATGCTGGGAAAAGGTAGAGCACTCTCAACAGTGTTTACTGAATTATCTATTTGGTGAACATCCACTCATTTTGAGACAGGGTCTCACTCTGTCACCTATGCTAGAGTGCAGTGGCATGATCTCAGCTCACTGCAACCTCCACCTCCCAGGCTCAATCAATCTTCCCACTTCAGCCTCCTGAGTAGCTGGGACCACAGGCATTTGCCACCATGTCCAGCTAATTTTTTTATTTTTTGTAGAGATGGAGTTTTGCCATGTTGCCCAGGCTGGTCTCCAACTCCTGGGTTCAAGCAATCCTTCCTCCATAGCCACGCAAAGCACTGGGATTACAGGTGTGAGCCACCAGGCCCGGACTGAATATTTATTGACTCCCTACTGTGTGCCAAGTCTAATTCTCTCATTTTATTGATGTCTAATTCTCTCATTTTATTGATAAGCCTAGGACAGCATGCTTGGACCAGAAATCAAATTGTCAAGGCTCTTTGCACTCACCCCAAGCTGCTTCCAACCTGTGAAGTCATTAACCTTAGGACGAGCCTCAGAAAAGGTCAGATGCATCTGTGGGGTTGGGACTGCCTCTTTCATAAAGTAAAGCATAGCCACTAGAGCTGCCCCAAAAGCATTTGTTGAATGATTAACTACAAGAAGCAGAAGGAAAGATGCTGTAGCTGGAAACCTGAAGGGCCTGCAACCTTGCAGTTTGGCACTTTGATTTGGAACATGTTGACCCATTTGCGAAGTACGTGAACTGCCAGCTCTCAGTTTTTCTGAGACAGTGTTTCTCACTTTGGGATTTTAAGAGCTTTGGTGCCTATAAGGTCTAAATCTTTGTTTTGAAATACTGTTATTTTTCTTTCCTACATGGTGAAAAAGAGTGAGTGTAGTGTTGGCAGATTTCAGTCATGCAAGGGTGCAGTGTGCGCCTCTTCAAGAGGAAACACCCCCATGTGGCACAGGCAGACATACTGCAAGGAAGCTCAAGACAGGTTAGGTGTGTAAAGCAAGTTGCTGACCTCTTTTTCTCTCTCTGATCTTCTAGGGTCCTTCCTAACCTTCCCTCTGTGGTTTTTCTTATTTTTGTCTTCTTTCATGGCTTTCACTGTGGCCACAGCATCCTGGACTATTTCTGAGGCGGGAGCTATGTGATTGCTCATTGACCAATCAGAGATGGCATTAGCGCTCCAATGAGAGTTGACACGATTGGCAGGAAGCAAGAAAGAATTTGCTCCTGGAGTTGCATAATCTAAAGAACTGGTTTCCACAGGTTGAAATTCATAATAATCCCACTCCAGGCCACTGGAGGTCATTCTTCAACTAATTCTCAGTTCTTACCATGCCATAAAGATCAGTATCTGTAGAATATGAAGTTAGGAGTAAATTCTTCATATCATTAACATTCTCTGTTTCTACCCACCATCCAAGACAGGTAACTTCTGAGATTTTTTCAAATAACTGATCTCCTAGATTCTTTAAAGGACACACATCAAGAGTTTTCTTCCTTGATTTCTTGCATGTATTTCAAGGCTGGTCATCAACAGCATGGTAAATACACAGAGAACAGGCATGGATCATATTGCTGGCAAATGCATTTCTTCAGAACTAGTGAAGGTCAATTCTACCTTCTCCACTCCCAATTATTTCTTGTTGTTGTATTTTTATTTTAATTTATCTGGGAGAAGCAATATATGCATTGTCTCTCTAGGACAAGGAAAAGATGCAAGAAAATACCTTCAATAAATAAAAGGGACTCTCTCTGTCTAAAAGTAGAGCTGGCTTTTCTTCTGCTGACACGTCTCACTTTGGCTACCTAAGAAAATTCTTGCCTGTTTCACTTCCTACCTTGCCTGGTATAAACAGCAGCAGTTCTAGGAAATTAGCAAGGCTTTTGCTGCATGAGAACACAGTGATACTTAGAGCCCAGGATGTGAGGCAGGGGTGTCAAGTTGGAATGGGTTAGCATGCCTGGCATTTTGGCCTTGCCACTGTGGCAAGCAAAGCCTTTAATTATGCGAAGAGAAGACCAAATGCATCCCAACATGTTTGCACCAGTAATAACTCAATTCCCCACCTTTTCTGTGGCCAAAATCTTTTCTCTCTCCTTGTATTTTTGTTCCTGTCATCTAAGGATATGATATAGTTGAGAATGTTATGATGACCATAGTGCAGGAAAATAAAAAAGTATTATGACCTAAGGTAGAAATCAATGGCTTAAAGCTAAATCAACATTTTTTGAAAATAACATCTTTGATGACCCAGCAAGTTCCAGATATAACCAGAGATTTATGAAAGACACTGGATGGCCTTCTGCCCATGCATAAAACAGTCATAGTTATTTCTTTGCAAGTACTGTCCTTCTTACTGTGTGTTTGCCAAGTTTTATGACATTATACACAGACCCAAAGAAAACTAGAAGCACTTTAGTAAACCACACTGTAGCATATCTGAAGATGTGAAATTTGAATCACACTCTATAACTACAGTTATTAAAGGTGAATTTGGAAGAGGTTATAAGTGCAAACACTCCAACATTCTGTGTTCCCCATAAAAGTTCTTATTTCTTAGAGTTCTACTACATGAATTAGTGTTGCAACCATTTCTAAAAATAGTTTTCAACTGTATTATCAAAAGACCTTTTCCTAATAGCTGTTGGAGGACAATTTATATGGTCCTTTCTTAGAGAACCACCTTCTCCAAAGACCCAGTAGGGCAGCCCACTGTACTACGTGACTCCACCCCAGCCACTGCTGACTCACTCAGGATTGGCCACTTGATGCCAGAGGAGCCAATCAGAGTCCATCTCTAGATAACCTGAATGAATAGACTCAGAGCTGAGTTGGTTGATGGCCATGTCTCAATAATAGCATGGTGGCAGAGTAAACTCTTTCTGGAGGCCTCCTTTTTCTTAGATTCCATGAGATCTGTGTCTTCCCCCAACTCCCCAACTTGAATAGATCATTTTCCATGTCATATTCACTGACCAAGAGAAATTAAGATGAGAAAAAAATTAAGTTTTTAATCCCCATTTTTTCTCCAATGGTAAATTTGGTCATTGACACACATTTCCGGCAAGTCTTGCCCATACTCACTAATGTGCATGTGTGTGTCTCTTTATGCTGAGACAGGACACAGGCAAAAATCCCCTTTGAGGCATTTTGTACAATAGAGAGGAAGTGATCACTTGAATAATAGACAGGAAGTGAACCATGATGGAGAACCACCCCACACTCCCAAACTCTAACTTGCTACTGAGAATGGGCCTCAGAGCAGGTCTTCCAGAGGAAGTTCTTGCTGCCACAGAGACCAAGATGCAGCTAAAATGTGCTGCGAGAGCATCTACTACCCTCCCATCTCACAGCTTACACTTTGTGGATTTCTAGCCAGAAAACCTCCCCTGCCAACTCAGCCTGATAGAATGATGGCTTCTACTCACATCATCCTGGACATCAAGGTCGCAGCCAGCCTTCAGCAAGATCTGGACCACAGGAAGATGGCCCTTATTGGCAGCAAGATGCAGGGGAGTCCGGCCATGCTGTGAATGCAAAATGAACAATGATTTCGGAACAAGTCCTCAATGCTACTCCCTTGGGAGACAGAGGGCCTAGAGCAAGGTTTGCACAGGGGCTTTCGGATGATCACTCCCTCCTGCCCCTTTGGATTGGCAGGAGATTCTTATGGGTTAACCAAAATTCAAGTTTGTCTCAGTTAACCTTGGCTATTGTCATTGCAATCAATGAACACGATATGTTCAAAATGTGAAGATTTCCTTTAGTGCATTATTTCTACTCTCCACTCATCAGACTATCAAGTAGCAAAACGAGGGGTTTTGTGCCTTCTCTTAATTTCTCACTGGTGCTAATACTGAGGAATAATGAAGTGGCCATGATGAACCTGGGCAAGAGGTGGGAGAACAGCAAGATGTCATGGTCATCAGCCCCAGAGGAGTCCAGTTAGTAACAGGTGAAAATTAAAACTGTTGATTGAACTGATTAGGAAAGGTTCTTCCTTTTTTTTTTTTCTTTGAGACAGGGTCTGACTCTCTCACCCAGACTGCAGTGCAGCGACGCCATCTCGGCTCCCCACAACCTCTGCATCCTGGTTCACTTATTATTTACTCATCATCCTCTTGATGGGCACCCAGGCTAATGCCAGGCTAACCCAGGCTCAAGCGATTCTCCTGCCTCAGCCTCCCGAGTAGCTGGAATTACAGGTGCACACCACTACCACCTAGCTAATTTCTGTATTTCAAGTAGACAGGGTTTCACCATGTTGGCCAGGCTGGTCTTGAACTCCTGACCTCAAATGATCCACCCGCCTTGGCCTCCCGAAGTGCTAGGATTACAGGCATGAGCCACCATGACTGGCCGGTTCTTCCTCTTTTTAAAAAAAAATTCTACGCTGGGTGTAGTAGCTCACACTTGTAATCTCAGCATTTTGGGAGGCTGAAGTGGGAGGATCACTTGATGCCAGGGGTTTGCGATCAGCCTGGGCAACACAGCGAGACCCTATCTCTATAAAAACATTTTCTTTTTTAAAAATTAGCTGGGCACAGTGGCATGTGCCTGTAGTCCCAGCTACCTAGGAGGCTAAGGTGTGAGGATCACTTGAGCCCAGGAGGTCAAGGCTGCAGTGAACTGTGATTGTACCACTGCACTTCAGCCTGGGCAACAGAGCAAGACCCTGCCTTAAAAAACAAACAAACAAAAACACTAAACTGAAATTATGAAGTATTTCAACCACTAAAAAACATAAGTAATATTCTAAACTTCACATAACCACCAACCATTTCAAGAAAAAAAATAAATCATTGACATTCCTCGTGAACAACTCCCAGGTCTCATTTCTCTTCCATCCCCAGAGGTAACCACTCTCTCAAATTTGGTATTCATCACTCCTTTGCTTTTCATTATATTTTTTACTACATGTTTATAGTCAAAGACAATATATATAAACATTGTGTTGCTTGTTTCAAACCTTTGTTTTTTTTTTTCTTTGAGACAGGGTCTCACTCTGCTGCCCAGGCTGGAGTGCAATGGCATGATCATGGCTCACTGCAGCTTCAACCTTTTGGCTCAAGCGATCCTCCCACCTCAGTGTCCTGAGTAGCTGGGACCACAGGCATGTGTCACCATGCCCAGCCAATTTTTTCTATTTTTTTGTAGAGATGGGGTTTCACCATGTTGCTTAGGCTGGTCTTGAACTCCTGGGCTCAAGTGATCCGCCTGCCTCGGCCTCCCAAAGTGCTGAGATTGCAGGCGTTAGCCACTGTGCCTGGCCTAATAGTTTTCAACTATACAATATAATTTGGCATTTTTTGTCTAACCTTGTATTTTTGAGATTTGTTTTTCATGTTATTCATGTAGTTCTGGTTCACTTATTATTTACTCATCCTCCTCCTGATGGGCACCCAGGCTAATGCCAGGAGGTTGCAGAACACAGCGTGTTCCTCTCCTTGTGCACCTGAGTAGCCTTCTTAGCCCTGTTGCTGGGTCATAGAGAAGACCATTCGCTTCAAATGCTCTAAGCATGTCGGCTCCCAAGGTGCCACATCAAGGGTGACATCCAGAAGAAATAACACTTTTTGATGTGAATCAACTTCTATCTAGAGAACTGCCCTGCCAAACTCCAAATTCTCAAGCAAACATGTTTCCTTTGCTTTCCCCTACAAGTTTCACTGTGAAGAAACATTCAAACATCAATGAACCATGGCCCCACCCATGCTGAAGCATACCCCTAAGGTCTTCCCAAAGGCCTTTATTGATACTCTAGCAGGATACACATTAATGATTTCAAGAAAGCACCAGTTTGCCATGGGTAATGAGCCATGGAGGAAAACAGAGATAACAGACAATAAAGGATCTTAATTTCTCCCCATGAAATGTGACCAAAGCACTAGAATGATTCTGGAAAGAGGTCAGAGCTTACTTTAATCACTCCCCAAAAAAGTGGGCTATAAAAAGCCTTCAGAAAAAGGCAGCATCTGAGATGAAGAGTGACCTTTCTCTGACAGTGACTGTGCTCAGCCATGTGCTCCCTAACCTCGATTCTTCCAATGAAATCATAGCTGATCAGATAGAGTGGCATGACCAGGTTCCACTGGCTGGGCCTGGTCCCCAGCTTCATCTGTCACCACATATCCTTGTCAAGGACTTCTTGACATTGAGTATGTGCCCTTCACAAAGTTTCCTAAGACATTCTGAAACACAGGGGAGTTCATCACATGAGGACAGAGAAGTGTGTGCTATGAGGGAGGTGACAGCATGGTGGGACACAAGTGCTTCTGGGCAGCTGGAAAATACAGACCAGCAAGGAGAGAAGCTGCCTGGGGAGGCTGGAAAGAGGCCAACAGACCCAGGAGTACTTTTTAAAAAATTGAGATGGAGTCTCACTTTGTCACCCAGGCTGGAGTGCAGTGGCGCGATCTTGGCTCACTGCAACCTCTGCCTTCTAGGTTCAAGCAATCCTCTGGCCTCAGCCTCCCAAGTGGCTGGGACTACAGGTGCGTGCCACCATGCCCAGCTAATTTTTGTATTTTTAGTAGAGACGGGTTTCACCATGTTGGCCAGGCTGGTCTCAAGTGATCCTCCCACCTCAGCCTCCCAAAGTGCTGGGATTACAGGTGTGAGCCATGTGCCTGGCAACGTTTTTTTGTGTGTGTGTCTCAAGAGATCCTCCTGCTGTGCTTGGGGTCCCAGATGCATGAGTACCTCCTGATACTCTGACCATGGAATTCCCAGCTCCCAGAACCATGAGGAGCAAATGTCTGTTGTTTAAACTACTTACTCTATGTTACCTTGTTAGAGAGGCCAAATGGACTAGGACAGGTTCAAAGAAGATCACTTCTGGGAGGGCACTTTAGAAACTAAATTACCAACAGGATGGGCCTGGATTGGAGGCACCTTTCTAATCCAAAGTCAGTGAAGAACCGCCAGTGGAGAAATGAAAGGCCAGAGGTATCAGAGCTTAGTTTGAATCCCAGCTCTGACTAATAACACCTGTGTCATTTGGTGCTTAATCCCCCAAACTAAGCATTTTCTCATCTGTAAAATAGGAATAACCTCCACTGCCCACTCCACAGGCTTGAAATAAGGACACGAGGTAACGTCCATCATCTAGCATGGGTCTCCCTTCCCTCCAGCTGTCCTTAGCCCCCACCCCAGAGGACACCCCAACCACTCCCTCTGCTCTTCGACACCCTACACCTTTGCCTTCGCAAAGACCAGTGAGATATTTCCAATGTCAAACAGATTTGGGTGAAGAGTTGGATCTCTTCCAACCAGAAGGGCTATGGCTGGAGGGTCCAGGTACCCACCAGCCAGTCCTGGCCCTCTTGTCCACTTCCATTTTTGAAACGTAAACTGTGGTTCCCAGTCTCTGTGTCTCTTCTTGGAAGGGCATTCTTCACCAAGAACACCATTCTCCAAACTATGACTTCCCTGATTCTCCAGCAATGCTCCTGGCCTCGCACAGCACTCAGGCTCCCTGTCAGCAAGGAGGTGTGACATCCTGAGAGCTTCAGGAGCTGAGCTACAATGGTACAGGAGCTTTTCTGAGGAGGGGCTGTGTTCCCTGCACATTCTTGGCTCCTTTTCTGGCCTCTGATTAAAGTACAGCAATAGCAAAGGCAGTAATCGGTTTCCTATAGAAGCTGAAGCTGTCTCCTCCGTCCTGGGGCTTTCCTAGCACAAGGCCCACCCTCTTAAACACACACCACCTACCAAAGGAGAAAAGCAAGAAAGCAGCAGACATGTACTTGGTTTTCCAGAACATTCTGTAGTAAATAGCAACAAAAATAGAGCCCTTTGGAGAAGAGGCTGCCCCTATCCAGCACATAGGAATGCCCCCAGGCATGTCCGACTAATGGGAAAAGCTGGAACCCCTCTTAAGGGTGAAGGAGCAAATAAAAATTGATCCTTAGAGGCACCTTTGAATGACTTAGACTTAAGGATGCAACTGCTCTCATTTCCATTTCCATGCCCCTAGGACTGGCCACAGGAAGAAATGGGAACAGGAGAAAAGACCATGTATTAACGAATAAGAAGTTTGGGCCAGGCAAGGTGGTTCACGCCTGTAATCCCAGCACTTTGAGAGGCCAAGGCGGGTGGATCACTTGAGCCCAGGAGTTCTATAGCCTGGGCAACATGGCAAAATGTCATCTCTACCAAAAAATACAAAAATTAGCTGAGTGTTGTTTTGTGCGCCTGTAGTCCCAGCTACTCAGGAGGCTGAGGAGGCTGGATGGATGGAGCCCAGGAAATCAAGGCTGCAGTGAGCTGTGATCGCACCATTGCACTTCAGTCTGGGCAACAGAATAAGACCTTCTCCTTAAAAAAAGAAAGAAAAGAAAAAAAGGACGAAGTTTTAAAGCATCAATTTGCCCTGAGTCCTACCCCAGTTATCGTCAAAGATCAGTTCAGCTTAACTCAACCTAGGCCCTGGTGAGCCCAGCGAGACCAATAATTGGGCAGAGCAAGAGACAGCAGCGGCCAGAATTTATTGAACGCTTGGGTCCATTTATTGCGTAGAAGGCACTATCTTAAGAATTTTACACGTTAGCTAATTCTATCCTCCCAATTATCCTATGAGGTGGACACTATTATCGAACCCATTTTATAGATAAGGAAACTGAGGCTTGGGAGACTGTCACTTGTTCTAAGTTATACAGCAGCTAACTGGAGTCTGGATTCACCCCGTCAGCCATCTGAGCTCAGCCGCATGCTTTCCCTACCACTCTGTGTGCTGCCCTGGTTGTGTTGGGGGTAAGGGTAGGAGCAAAGTTCTTCTCTGGCAGAGCAGGGGCTTCATGTCTCACCCTTAGGAAGCTCAGCTCCCAAGTTCTTGGGTGTTTTACCTTAGCCCAGCCACTAACCTCTGGGGTTTGTTTAAAAATAACCTGATTTTTTTAGAATCTCAAGGACAAGGAGAGATGTTTTCTATTTTCTCTGCATCTGGCTCTCCTGGGGAGGTTGGTCTGTTGTCATTTCTCTGTATTGGTGTGTAAGCCTCTCCCTCCAGAGTCTCTCATCAACTCGCTGTGGTGAGGCCCAGGCAGTTTTTATACAACCTCCCCAGGTGACTCTAATGTGTGACCTTGTTGAGAACCACAGGATGGGATGAGGAGGGGCCAGGATAAACCCTCCCTGGACAGCTACAGGCACTTAGGCTAAACCCGCACTTCAGGCCTGCTCCAGCAAGGGCCATATCTCTTTTACATTCTTGTTGATGCTCTCATCAGCCTATCAATATAAAACACCTAAAATACTGCCTTGCCACAACCTACAGCTTCCCAGATCTTCAGAGTATATAAGCAATGTAATGACATTACTAAAAATATGGAAAAGAATATCCTCTATAATTCCACAACCCAATACAACTATTATCATTTTTATCCAATCATTTTCAGTGCATCTCCACGTGTGGCTGGAGGTTATCACCACTGCCTTTGACCCTTTAAAGGTGCTGCTTCCTCAAGGGGCCCTGGTATCAGGCTGGGCCATCTGAGGCCGGCAGGGGTGAGGAGAAGAGGCAGTATTCACCCTGACTTCCTGCATCTCCCTCTGATCCAATCAGGAAGAGGCACAGACTCAGGGCCTTGCTTCCAGGGAACCAAATCAAAGGGTCTTGAGATGTTGCGAAGCAACAACCACAAAAATGTGTCCCCACTGTCCACACCACTGGGGCACTGACTGGGATGATGATTTGTTCAGGCTGAGCCCTGTGGATCTAACTCCAGCATAACTGCTGCATGGGAACATCAGAGTGACTCCCATTCCAGCAGGCAATAAATTACATGAACAAGTGATCACAATGATGCCTAGAATGAAACAGTCTCTGCTATTCACTCTGAAGAGGCCAATTCCCAGTTGGGAGTGGGAATCTTCCAGGAGAAGAATTCCCGTTAAGATAATGATCTCCCGCCAGTGAGGATGACAAGGGAGCCCAGCCAAAGGTAATCCACTTAAAAGAAACCCTGAAAGGAAGTGGAGGTGTTTTTGTTCCCAGCAGGTGTCAGACTGGTGCTCAGCCTCCTTCCTGGATTCTCCAGGTAGACCAAGGCGTTATGTCAGAAAACCCTTCCTAGGAGGGGCCAGGACCCTCGGAAGGAGGCGAACCAGAGCCATTTGAGAACTACAACCTACAGAAACAAGCCAGTCAACTGCCCCTGTCACTGACTGCACGGGGCCTGGGAGCCCAGGGCCATGACCCTGGTCCCTCATCACTCCAGCCAGGACGCAGGTTGGGTCCCAGCTCCTCGCTCCTGCTTCAGTATCTTGGACCCTACTTACTAAAGGGCAGGCCTTTCAGACCAACAGTACCTGTCCCAGGAATGACAGGTCTAACAGAGCAGACCTGGACAAGACCCGTCCCAACAGAATGCACCTGAAAAGTGAGAAGGAAAGGTGTGGTGCTTAGCCATTCCTGGAACACCTTTTTTTTTTTTTTTTTTTTTTTTGAGACAGAGTCTCGCTCTGTCTCACCCAGGCTGGAGTGCAGTGGCGCAATCTCAGCTCACTGCAGCCTCTGCCTCCTGGGTTCAAGCGATTCTCCTGCCTCAGCTGGGACTACAGGCGTGCACCACCACACCCAGCTAATTTTATATTTTTAGTAGAGACAGGGTTTCACCATGTTGGCCATGCTGGTCTCGAACTCCTGACCTCAGGTGATCCACCTGCCTTGGCCTCCCAAAATGCTGGAATTAGAGGCGTGAGCCACCGTGCCTGGTCTCAATGATATTCTTATGACCAGAGTCAAAAGGAGACCTGGGGCAGAAGCCAAAGGAATAAAAGGGCAGAAAATCTGAAGGAAGGGAGTAGGGAAAGGTTGTATAAAGGAATTGAGACTCATTGGCTCAAACAATAAAACAATTTAACCATCTCTACTGGGGACTGTAACAAGGAGGGCAGCTGCATGCTGTGACCCAGACAAGGAGAAATGGTGTAATGGGAAGAATTTAGGTTAAATTAGTGTAATCATTTCATAAAGCTTCTTTTCTTCAAGAGACCATGAGAAATACATTGGATCAGGGTCATGCAGTCTTTTTTGAGTCAAGCCTTTTTTGAGTCAGTCTGCCTATATTATCTGTCGCATTAAGAGAGAGGTAGTAGGAGGCAAGAAAGTTGTAACATTACTAAAATAAGAGTGGCGCATATTTTACAAACATGATATTCAGAATGGGAAGAGTCTTTGAGAGTTTCATTTGGCTGAAGAGATGAAATGAATTCTCAATACCTCCAATCTTATTTCTGGCAGAACTGCAAGAACTGCAAGGTGGAATTCTGGCCACCTGGCTCCTCGTTTAGATTTTAAAAAGTGGAAGACTCCACCAACTTTTCTAAGTGCCCCAAGGGTCCTCTTATCATAGATGGTGTTCCCTGAGAGCTTCAACAGCCTGGAATGGTGTAAATTTGGGTCAGAAAAGTTCAAAGTCCTTCTCAGGCTTATGATTCAATGAAGACAAAGTTATGAAGACATTCAAGAAAAAAATGGAACACATTCGAGAAAAAAATTGAAAAAGTACCATCGATCAAAGAAAATAAAACTTTACATTTAAAAACAATTTATAATTTAAGAAGCTTTCAGAGTTTTCTTTCCTTGTTGCAAATATATTTTATCTACTAGTCTACTTACATGAGTGACACATCATATCTTAATCAGACAATAGTTGACAAGAAACGGCAAGGGAATAAATTCCTTGGCTGACACAAATCAGGATCCAAAACAATCTCAGATTGGAATAGGCTAATTTTAAAAAGATAAAATGTAATGGGGGCAGAGGGTAATTCCTGCACTGGGGGCCAACAGTCCCATCACACAAGGATGGAAGTATTAGGATGGCCCTGTAAAATAATAATAATCATAAATGATATGGAGAGGTGATTTGAAATGTATATTGTTAGGAATCAGTTATTCCTAACAATTGGGTTTAATTGATAAGAGAATTCCTTTTTTGTTTGTTTTTTGAGATGAAGTCTCGCTCTGTCGCCAGACTGGAGGGCAGTGGCACCATCCTGGCTCACTGCAACCTCCACCTCCCGGGTTCAAGCGATTCTCCTGCCTCAGCCTCCCATGTAGCTAGGACTACAGGCATGCGCCACCACTCCCGGCTAATTTTTGTATTTTTAGTAGAGACAGGGTTTCACCATTTTGGCCAGGAGGGTCTTGATCTCTTGACCTCATGATCTGCCTGCCTCGGCCTCCCGAAGTGTTGGGATTACAGGCGTGAGGCACTGCACCCAGCCTTTTTTTTTTTTTTTTTTGAGACGGAGTTTCACTCTGTCGCCCAGGCTAGAGTGCAGTGGCATGATCTCAACTCACTGCAACCTATGCCTCCCAGGTTCAAGAAATTCTCCTGCCTTAGCCTCCCAAGTAGCTGAGATTACAGGTGCCCACCACCATGCCCCGCTAGTTTTTTTGTATTTTTAGTAGAGGTGGGGTTTCACCATGTTGGCCAGGCTGGTTTTGAACTCCTGACCTTAAGTGATCCACCCACCTCAGCCTCCCAAAGTGCTAGGATTTTAACCATGAGCCACTGTGCCCGGCCAAGAATTCCTTTTGAGGTAACTCAGTAATTGCTAGGGTTGGGCTTCCTTCTATAAAGATCCACCAAAAAGAAGGACCAAAATATTTCAGGCAACTTAACTGGGTATTAAGAATTCCATCAGCTTCTACAGTACACTTGTCCCTGAGTGGTAAGACATCAGTTAATGGCCCACACACTCCTCACAGGTGGCAGCCCAGACTACATTTTCTTTTTTTCTCCCCCAAGACAGTCTTGCTTTGTGGACCAGGCTAGAGTGCAGTAGCATGATCTCAGCTCACTGCAACCTCTACCTCCCGGGTTCAAATGATTCTCCTGCCTCAGCCTCCCGAGTAGCTGGGATTACAGGCATGTGACACCACGCCCTGCTAACTTTTGTATTCTTAGTAGAGACAGGGTTTCACCATGTTGGCCAGGCTGGTCTCGAACTCTTGACCTTGTGATCCGCCCGCCTCGGCCTCCCAAAGTGCTGGGATTACAGGTGTGAGCCACTACGCCTGGCCAGACTACATTTTCAATGGGTTGACGCTGACAGAGCACAGCACGGTAGGCCAATACATGATGAACTATGGTTGGATATAAGGACTGTTCTTGCTTCTCTTCTGGTTTCTAACAAAAACCAGAAAACAAGAATCACTGCCTTTTCAGGAACTGTTAATATAATCATGTGTTTTTCTCTTTTAATTTGTTGGTATAACAAATTATGGAACAATCCTTGCATTCCTGGAACCCACCTGATCACACTGTATTATTATTCTCATAAATGCTGCATTCTATTAGGTAATGTTATAAAGAATTTTAAAAATCAACATTCATAATTGAGATTGGTGTTTCTTGTTCTTATTGATCTGTTTTTGACATTAAGGTTGTGCTGACTACATGAAAAAGTACAGCTTTCTATTTTGTTCTGTGCTTTACAATAATTTAAACATTGGATTTTTTCTTGTTGATAAAATATAAAACAGGACCATGAAACCATCTGGCCCTAGTGCTTTCTTTTTTTGTGAGACAGAGTCTCGCTCTGTCACCCAGGCTGGAGTGCAGTGGCACAATCTCGGCTCACTGCAACCTCCGCCTCCAGGGTTCAAACAATTCTGCCTCAGCCTCCTGAGTAGCTGGGACTACAGGCACACATCATCAAGCTCGGTTAATTTTTGTATTTTTTTAGAGACAGGGTTTCACCATATTGGCCAGGCTGGTCTCAAACCCCTGGCCTCAAGTGATCCACCCGCCTTGGCCTCCCAAAGTGCTGGGATTACAGGCGTGAGCCATCACATCTGGCCGGCCCTAGTACTTTCTAAAACTTGCATCTCTAATCGTGTTTCCAATATTTCCTATGCTAATTAGACTAAGTTTTCTGCTTATTCTTGGGCCCATTTTTTGTGATTTATAAATTTGTGGTCAAATATGCATATACATAAAATCTACCATTTTAACAATTTTTAAGTGTATAATTCAGTGGCATTAAGTATATTCATAATGTTGCACAAGCACCACCACCATCCATGTCTAGGACTTCTTTGGGGATTAAATTGCTTGCATTCTTCTTGCCTTACTGTGGTGGCTAGAACTTCCAGCACTATAGTGAACGAGCAGACACCCTGTCTTGTTCCTTATCACAGCAGAAAAACATTCAGTCTCTCACCATCAAATATGATGTTAGCTCTTGGTTTTTTTTAGATGCTTTTTATCATGTTGAGAAAGTTTTCCTCAATTTCTGGTTTTCTGAGAGTTCTTTCCCCAAATGCATGTTTGGTTTTGTCAAATTCTTTTTCTGTACCTATTAATATGATCAGATGATTTTTCTTGTTTAGCTTGTTATGGACTAAATGTTTGTGTCTCCCTGAAATTGATATGTTGAAGCACTAACTTTCAACGTGATGGTATTTGGAGATGGGGCCCTTTGGAAGGTAATTAGGATTGGATGAGGAAATGAGGGTAGGGCCCTGATAAGATTAGTGCCCCTATAAGAGGAAGAGAGACTAGAGACCCCTCTCTCTGCCACACAGAGAGAAGCCAGCCATCTACAAACTAGGAAGAGAGCACTCACCAGGAACTGAATCTGTAGGCACCGTGATCTTAAGACTTCCCATCCTACAAAACTGTGAAAAATAAATGTCTGTTGTTTAAGCCACCGAATACGTGGTATTTTGTTATAGCAGCCTGAGCTAAGGCACTTGTTGATATGGTAGATTACACTGATGTTGACCCAGTCTTGCATACTTGGAATAAATTTCACTTCATCATAGTTTATAATTCTTACACATTGCTCAATAAATTCACTGAAAAGATGAGCTAAAAGCAGACTAGGCAGAGCTGCTACCTATTCACCCACATACCCTAAATTATTGGCTTAGAACAAGGAAACATGTAACAGCCCACTCTCACTAGAAACAAACTGACTGGCCTGCTGAGAAAGAATTTTCAGTGTCCCGACAAGTTCCTGGCTTAATTTATTTTCTGAAACCTAAGTCATTATAACTTAAAAGAAAGAAAAGAAAAAGAAGACAACTACTAAGAGGGCCTCAGGGAATTCGCCAATAAGACCACCTGCACTGGCATCTGAGCAGAGGCCCAAGTGGGCAGCTCAGTGGCTTCGAGAGCTCCTTTTCTCTTTGGCTTCTTCATTTTACAGCACTACCAGGGTGGGGATGTGGAGAATCACCCATGCAAGCCTCACAACATGCTGATTACTGGCCTGGAAACCAGCAATCCTCCAACGCATTTTGTTCAGGAAAGGTACAGGTATTTAGGGAGGATTTTTAAACGCTGACACCCAGCTGTGCCACAATATTATAATGTCTCGTCTAGAGTGGTTAGGACCTACTAAATATATGTTTTCAGGGAGTTTTACTAGCACATAATCTGGGTTATAAAGCACTCAGCAGTGTAGTTAGACTTACTTTTAAGTGCAATCTGCTAAGGCAACAGGATGCAATATGGACAAATCACGGTGGTGGCAGATGGTGGATGGCTTGCTGATTGAACACTCAGGGGTTGGTGGGGCCTCTGGGCCCAAACTCCCACCAAGCCTACCTAGAGTTGAGGAGAGAAGCAGGGGGCAAACAGGGCCTGCCTTCACTGCCACTGAGAACCACTGTAAATAAGGTGGGCTTTTACAGAGGGCAGGAGGAAAAGACATTGCAATTCTGCATAGGCAGTGAGGGGCAGGAGAGAGCAGCCAAGAGATTCAGGATGAACTCTTACCTAGACTCTTTAACAGCAGCCTAATAGCCTCTCCTAAGATGCTTGAGTTAGCTTTGGGGGCCCATCCCCAAAGTTCTGAAGCTTGTTCTCCTCAATTACAGCGTGTCTGACCTGCCATACCAATTCTTCCATTATCCCACTCAATCTGAGGGGCTGCCTCTTTTTCCTCCAAAGAGCATCTCCTAGGGACACCTACCTACCTTTGCTAGAAACATGAGTCACTGTGGTACATGCCTAATTACCATCCTTATCATAGTAAGTTAACACTTAAGACTTTCATATTATTGATCCCATAATTTTCCATGCATTATCTCATAGACAAGCCACACAACAATTCACAGCATATGTTTGCTTTCCCATATTTGAGACATTTATTTCCTGCTAATAAACTTGTTTCTAGCTTGAGTCATGGCATTTAGAATATCAATATTTCATGGTGTTCTACAAAGAGCAGTACAACTTCCAGATGTCTAACCACTGGCTTGGCCCGATGCTCAATGGACAGTGTTGTCCTGCCCTGCATGGAAGGCTCTGAAACCTCAGGGGGAAATACCAACAGCAGTGAGTAGTTCTCTGCCTTGCTGCTCTGAAAAATCCCCAAGCCCAGGCCATATCCCAGACCAACTAAACCACAGCATCTAGGTATGGGCCTGGGCATCAGTATTTAAGGCTCTAAAGGTGGTTACACGTGCAGTCAATACTGAGAACCACTGACTTTTGTGTCTCCAAGGACAGCTGACTCAGGTGGAGAGATGGTCTTCATGATAATAGCAACTCCCATCCGTTGAGCTCTTTCTACATCCTTAATTACACTGTTCTAAGCACTTTGCATGGATTACCTCATATAATCCTCACCACATATCCTTGAGGTAAGTGCTGTTATGCTGATTTTACAGACAGGAAATGAAGGCTCAAGGAGGCTAATAACTTGGGCAGGGTCGAAAAGATGGTAAATGTGATTCATTGCCTCTAGGTAAGGAAAGATTGTGAGAGACTTTAAAATGGATCACAAATTCATAGAGACAGAAAGTGGAATGGTGGCTGGCAGGGGCTGGGTGGGAGGGAGAAAAGGGGAGTTAGTGTTTAATGGGTACAAAGTTACAGTTTGGGAAGATGAAAAAAGATCTGGAAATGGATGGTGGTGATGATGACACAACTGTGTTGACTGCAGTTAATGCCACTGGATTGAACAGTTGAAAATAATTAAGACGGGGCTGGGCATGGTGGCTCATGCCTGTAATCTCAGCACTTTGGGAGGCTGAAGTGGGAAGACTGCTTGAGCCCAGGAGTTCAAGACCAGCATGGGCAGCATGGCAAGACCCCGTCTCCACAAAAAGTAAAAAAAGTTAGCCTGGCATGGTGGTGCATACCTGTGGACCCAGCTCTTTGGCAGGCTAAGGTGGGAGGATCTCTTGAGGCCAGGAGTTCAAGACCAGCTTGGGCAATTAATATAGCAAGACTCCACCCCCACCATCTCTACAAAAAAATTTTTTTAATTGTCTGGGCCTGGCCTGACAATTCTCCTTCAAAACAGTTGTATCATCTTACTGGTTTCCTCTTTAATTAATGAGTTAAATAAAATGTTAACACGTGCTCATTTTATAACTTTCTCAGAATTAGCACCATATGTTAATCTTCCCCAGAGATTTTTGATGATAAACTACAAAAGCCTAAGCTTTCCCAGTTGAGATTTTCTTCCCACAGAGTGATGCTTCTAGCTATTGTAGAACACAAGCAGATTTTGTTTGACTTGCCATGTAACCGTATACCCTCAATGCCCTGTTTGTTTCAGTGAAAAGACACCTGCTCCACACAGTGTGTGGATGTGCTAACCCGGAGCAGAACGAAGCACTGCAGCAGCCCTGCATGGGCTCCTGCCCTTGCTCTGGATGTGACAACACACTGGAATACTTGGGGTCAGAACAAAAGACCCAGGCATCTTGGGAAGGAATTCCATTTTCCATTTCGGAATGGAGGATGGGGAAGGGGAGGAGAGGTGTGGAGATCCCCCTCTTCTATTCCCCTCCCATCAGTCACTCCCCCACTTTTCCCTTTGATTCCCAGGCAGCTGGGATTCCCAGAGAAAATTCTGCAAAACCCATGCTGAAGTGAAGAGGAACCGAGGCCAGAGGCCAAATGCACCTTAGCAGAGAGCTCCTGGAGAGAAGGCTAGAAAGGTAAGATGAGCTCAGATGGTGAAGGGCCAGGAGAGGCAGCAGAGGGAGCCCAGTGTACCACTGGCACTGTGTGTTTAAAGGTCAGTCCCATTGGGCTCCTCACACACTGCTGGTGGAGTATAGACTGGCACAACCTCTCTGCAGAGCAATTTAGCTCTAGCTGTCAAAATTGCAAGGGCATGCATGCTCTGACTCAGAAGTACCACTTAGAGAAATTTATCCCACAAACATAATCGTACTGTGCAATAAGACCTCCAAACAGAGTCACTGCAGCATGCTTTGTAAGGGCAGGAGATTAACATAATCTAAATATCCATCAATAGGGGATTGGTTAAGCCAATTAAAATGAAGGAGAGTATAGTATCCCACAATTTGTATAAAATGGGGAAACACACAGAGATACATCTACTTGAGTGTATGTACGTAAATATCTCAGGAACAATGTAAGAAGCAGGTAAGACAGGTGCCTTCAGGGAGGGAAACACTGAGTGGTGGGGGCAGCATGGGAGGAGGACTAGGCAAACTTTGTGCCTTCTGTAGTAGAACCATTACCTACTCCAATTAAAATAAGTGTATGGGGTCCTTTGGAAGGAGCATGCTATATACAACACATTCTCCCAAGTGAAAACTTTCACCTGACCAACCACCTTGTAAGTGTCAATTTCCCCCACGTCCTGGGGAGTGACAGCTTAAAGCAAATGACTAGGAACCAGCAGGTCGGCAAACACGAGTTCAGGCCACGCCATTCTGGTAAGTCCTAACATTAAACACAAACCCAGGAAATCAAAAACAAAGCAAATGACCACCACAAAAGATCCTTCGTTTCCACTGCTCCCCTGCCTTAGAACACCAGCATCGCAAATCCCTCGTGGAAGTGAGGTTTTGTCGAAACTGGAAACAGGTTTCAGAGCAGGAAGCCCAGCGAGTGGCAGCAGGAGAGCCTCTCGGTGCAGAGCCTGTTCTCACTGTGTTTCTTGAGGCCATGAATGTATACCACTTACTGACTTCCAGCGTTCTCTTGAAAGTGGCTGCCGGAAAATATTTACCAGCCAGGCATCCTCTTCATTTCTGAAAACATCATCAGGTGCTCATGCTGGGGAAAGTTACTACTTTACTACAATTGAACTCTTTGCATTTCTCTTTTTAAAAGTTTAAAGTTCATATTGGAGTACAGTAGTTACCAGCATGGGGAGACAACATGATGCAAAAGCCCCACGGGAACCACAAGCAACCTACAAAGGACTTATTCAGCCTCTTGAAGCTTCTGTTTCCTCATCTGTAACAATTAAGAGAGTTATCTTTAAAAAAAAAAAAAAAATCAAGTTTCTCGAGGTATAATTTCCATTCAACAAAATCAACTTTTTTAAAGTATTCACTTTCATGTGGTTGGAGAAATGTACACAGCCAACCCCACAAACAAAATATGGAAGATTTTCATCACCCCCACCCAAAATTCCCTCCTGCTCCTTTGCAGTCAATAATTTCCCACCATCTCCAGCCCCTAGCAATCACTGATCTATTTTCTGTCCCTATAATTTTGACTCTTCTAGTAAGTCTGGAAGATACCAGTATGTCCGGAAATCAGGTAGCAGAAGTCCTTCAACTTTGTTCTTCAACGTCACTTTGGCTATTCTAGGTCTTCTGCATTCCATATAAATTTTAGAATCAGCTTCTCAACTTCTACTCCAAAAAGCTGATAGTTTTATTAAATGTTGGACACTGAGACACTTTGTCATCTCATTTAGCCTTTTTTTTTTTTTTTTTTTTTTGAGACAGGGTCTTGCTCTGTGGCCCAGGCTGGAGTGCAGTGGCACTATCTTGGATTACTGCAGCTTCCGCCTCCTGGGTTCAAGCAATTCTCCTGCCTCAGGCTCCCAAGTAGCTGGGATTACAGGCGTGCACCACCACACCCGACTAATTTTTGTATTTTCAGTAGAGATGGAATTTCACTAGTCTTGAACTCCTGGCCTCAAGAGATCCACCAGCCTTGACCTCCCAAAGTGCTGGGATTACAGGCATGAGCCACTGCACCCGGCCTTCATTTAGTCTTGATGGCGATCTCATGAGGCTGAGATTATCCTCACTTTTCAGGTAGGATACTGAATGGCCTTGTGTCTTCCACTCAGGACTCCCTGCCTGATACTTGGACCACAGCTCTTAGCATTGTTGCATTGTCAGAATCCCCTCAGTGCCTACTATATTTGACACTGACTATGTGCTAAGCACTGTTCTAAGTAGTTTGCATATACTGATTCAGGTAGTGCTTAAAGAACCTAATGAGGTAGCTACTATTATTTAATCCTCATTTTAGAGGTGATGATATGATGCACAAAGTTATTTCCTCAAGACCATAGAGCTAGTAAATATCATTGGCATTTGAAACAGAGCACCTGGCTCCTGCATCCACGCTTGTACCTTCTACACTACACCGCCTTCATCAGGAATTTCTGAACTTGCTATAAAACTCTGGAAATGGTGTGCAGGAGGCAAGGACAGGGGAGGAGAAAATTCCCTTTGGGCCACCCTGCAGACAGCTTCTTTCTCTGTCTGCACTGAGGGGTGGCCAGCATAGTGGTGGAAGGGCAAGGACTATGGAGGTGCTGGAAACAAGGGTCAGGAGTGCCTACATGTGGGCCTCAGGGCCACATAAAGCTGGCTCCTTCTCAGGGCTAGCACCTACTACTTCTTTGGTCATGGGCAAGTTACTTTCTGTCTAGCACCTCCCTTTCCTTATTGGTATCTCAGCGATAAGAGCACTAGCTTGGCAGAGCTGTGGTAAGGATTTCAACCAGATAGTATATGGCAAGCACCTGGCCCACTGCTGGTGCAGGCACTCAACACATATTTTTAAACTTGACTTTATCTTTGACAAAGTACAAAATTAATATATGCTTATTTTAATAACTGAAACAATACAATGAAAAAAATCAGGCTGGATGCGGTGGCTCATGCCTGTGATCCCAGCACTTTGGGAGGCCAAGGCGGGCAGATCACTTCAGGCTAGGAGTTTGAAATCAGCCTAGGTAACATGACAAGACCCCATCTCTACTAAAAATACAAAAATTAGCCAGGTGTGGTGGCACGTGTCTGTAGTCCCAGCTACTCAAGAGGCTGAGGCAGGAGAATCGCTTCAACCCGGGAGGTGGAGGTTACAGTGAGCCGAGACTGGGCCACTGCACTACAGCCTAAGCAAAAGAGTGAGACTCTGTTTCCAAAAAAAAAAAAAAAAAAAAAAAAAAGGAGGCGGGAGGGGGAAAAAGCTAATCGTCTTCCTTGCTAGGCAGCCAATGTTAACAGTCTCATGTGTCCCATGTCGTTCTCCTGGCTCACCAAATGAAAGCATACATTTGTGGAGAGAAGTAGACTTGCCTATTTAAACTGAAGTAGATCACACCGTATGGTCTCCATGCTACCTGCCCTGTGGCACCTCCTGAGTTTTCTGCCTGCCCACTCTGCAGAGAACTCTGGGGGGCTCACCCTCTATGAACAAGCTCTTTGAGGCCCTGGGGTTTGTGCTTAATTATCTAAATTCCAATTTCGTTACTCAGGGAGAGTGGTAGGTATCAAATGGAGATGAATTTTATGAATGATACTGAATTTTCTTCTTAACCAAACTTGCATAAAACAACCTTTGTCTACTTCCTTTTGGAGAAGATAAAAACTTCAGTAAAACATTCCAAGGACCAGCATTTTTGTTGTTTTGTTTTTTGAGACAGGATCTCCCTCTGATGCCCAGGCTGGAGTGCAGTGGCACAATCATGGCTCACTGCAGCCTCAACCTCCTGAGCTCAAGCAATCCTCCCACCTCAGCCTCCTATGTAGCTAGGACTATAGGTGTGCATCACCATGCCCAGCTAATTTTTTATTTTCTGTAAAGACAGGGTCTCACTATGTTTCCCAGGCTAACCAGCTTCTTAACAGTTCTAGGAAATGATACTCTGCCTGGGGACTCCTAGAGGCTCTCAACTCTAATGTTATGGCCAATGCTTGGCACTAAGGAGCATGTAGAGGATTTATCCAGATGACAAAACACCTGTTGGTACTGAGGTAACAAAATTAGCTGTATCAGAAGGTATTTGACTAAAGCACAAGGGAACTGGAGAGAATATGTTCATTTATAAAACCAGAGCTTTCTTGCAAAGAAAAAATATATCCCATTTTTTTGTTTTAGTATCAAACATCTCAAGCAGTGCCTGCAGGGGCAACTAGAAAGACACAGAGTTGAGAGAAGTTAGGAGGCATAATGAGCCTCACTTGGTCACTGACAGGAAGCGTCAGTGGAGGGATGTCAAAGACCCAAAAGAAGAAACGATGGCTTTGGGCTTCTGCTTGAGGTGTGCACAAATGGGGCTCCCTCGTACTGATAAAAAGGGACCTTGGGAAGAGGACCAGGCCTCAGGAGGGGCTGCAGCTTCCAGTGTGGGCACTTCGATTTGAACCTGTGGATTCTGCACATAAAGATGCCCAGGAAGGCTGGGCATGGTGGCTCATGACTGTAGTCCCTGTTACCTGGGAGGAGAATCACTTGAGTCCAGAAGTTTAGGACCAGCCTAGGCAATATAGTGAGACTCTTGTCTCAAAAAAAAATAAAAAATAAAAAATGCCCATGAAGGCAGCTGGCCTTGGGGATCAGGAGACAGGGCGAAGCTGGAGATGGAGACATGGTAACCAGCCTTGAGCTGGAAAAGCCAAGTGGGTGTCCAGAGGGAGAGCAGATGAGCGCAGAGGGCCTGAGGAAAGCCAATTTTAGAGGCAGGAAAAGCAAAAGGAGATGGAGAAGGCACCTTGGGGAGGAAAACCAGGAGGCAGAGCTGACAGACCCAACGGGAGCTTCAGGGATAGGAGTGCAGGCAACAGTGTCAAATTCTAGCCTGTCTCACCAAGAATGCAAGCTCCAGCAAGGACCAAGATGTTTTTTCCTGTCTTGTTCACCAGTGCACAGCTGAAGCTCAAAATATATTGTCTAGATGAGGGAAGGAAAAGGTGACTTTGGTGAAAGGAGTAGCAGAAAAGTGAAGGGTCATGAGCCTGAGTTATTGTCTTTAATAATCTGCTCCAGAGATATCTCAGACTTCTCAGCATACCCAGTGCTTTTATCAGATTACCTGTTCCAGCTGAAAATGTGTTTGTCAACATGATGAAGTACAACTGGTCGAAATATGAAAGTTGTGCAAATGGCCAGGTGTGGTGGCTCACGCCTGTAATCCCAGCACTTTGGGAGGCCGAGGAGGGTGGATCATGAGGTCAGGAGATTGAGACCATCCTGGCTAATATGGTGAAACCCCATCTCTACTAAAAATACAAAAATTAGCCAGGCGTGGTGGCAGGCGCCTGTAGTCCCAGCTACTCAGGAGGCTGAGGCAGGAGAATGGAGTGAACCCAGAAGGCAGAGCTTGCAGTGAGCTGAGATCGCACCACTGCACTCCAGCCTGGGTGACAGAGCGAGACTCCGTCTCAAAAAAAAAAAAGAAAGAAAGTTGTGCAAATGGAAAATCATAGTTCTTAGTGAGCCTTTCTCTTAAAACATGAGTTTTAAATTCTTACATGTAGTTCCCACATCAATTTCCAGCTCCCAACCCCACTTGCTCTGAAGACATGTTCTGTGCATGACAACCCCATCCTTACTTAGTGGACAACATACTGGAACCACCCACTAGGAGTTGAAGTAAAATTCCCAGGACAGAAGAGATGCCCTTATCTGTGGCAGAGAAAATGTCCACAGGAGCCAGGACATTCCAGTTCTCATCTGGGCTCTGGCATGCCCTATTTGAACAAGTCACTTTCCTTCTGTGACCTCATTTCCTCTCAAGGGAAACCATATATATCTTACAAGCCTCTGGGGACAAGCAACATATACATGAAAATAATTCGGAAATGTTTTATACAAGTACAATCCCATTATTGGGAAATCGCTTATTTTTTTTTAAGTAAAGTACCTGGGCATATTGAGCTCCCAGTCAATAAAACATTTGCAGATTATATCCACAATGTGTCAGGTGCCAAGGAATATGCTCTAACAAGCAGCAGCCCATAGAAAGTTCACAATCTAAACTTATAAACCACATAGTGGAAACATGATGGTTACCAGTGTTGGGGCTCAAAAAACAACCCAAAAGGAAGGCCTCACAAGCAAAAGTTTTTCTCTGACCTCTTCCTGCCCTCCTATCTCTGGCCCCTCAATTCCTCCCCAGAGGCTAACCATAGAAACTAGAATCCCTCTTCCCCCAAGGCAGGTCATAGAAACCAGAATCTGCTACCCTCAAAGCCAGCCATAAAACTTAAAAATATTACTCTAACCTTCCCCTCCTCCCCTTTCTGCGTAAAAGCAAGCCATAAAGAAATTATCTGACCTAGTTGAATGTAGGTCTTAACACTCCATTCCAGAGAGGGTCCTGCCTCATACCTAGAAGGCAGAAATGCTCAGCTCAGAAAGGCCAAGAAGAATGTAGACAGACAGGCTTTGCTGGGTTTCCCATGCAATCAGCATTAGATCGTGCCCTTTCTGTCCAATCATATTTCTACATGGCTATCCACACTCTTTTGAACCTAAGCATAAAAATGGACAATTTCCCCTGCATTTTTGGGTCCTCATTCTGAAGGCTCCTGTATGTACATGTTAAATAAATTTTTATGCCTCTTCTACAATTTATCTGCCATTTGTCAGCTGATTTTTCAGTGAGCCTTCAAGGGCCAAGGGGAACTTTCCTCCTTGCCTCCTGTGGGAGCAAGGACTCTCGAACCACATGGCCAGGGTTTGAGTCCCAGTTTTGACACTTTCTAAGGGAAACTTAGGGCAGGTTACCTGATCATTCCTTGCCTCAGTTTCCTCATCTGTAAAATGGGGATAATAGCCATGGTGAGGTTTAAAATACTTAATTGTTGTAGAGCTCTTACAAGAGTACCTAATACCTTGCAATTGCTATCAAAGTGTAAGAAATTCACAGTCAATAACATTATTCCCCTCATTCGGCACAGATGGGATGTGAGTACCTTGCTAGGCACTGGATGAGTTAAAAAATAATCAATATTTTATGTCCACTTAGATTTTATAACTATGGCAACATGTGCTATCACATTTAGTGCTTATGGAAACTCTAAGGTTTGTGAGGAAATAGAGACTCCTGTCATGATTGGCCTAATCCATGGTTCTGAGGCGGGGATGATTTTGTTCCTCAGGGGATGTCTGTCAGTGTCCAGAGACATTTTTGGTTGTCAAAATCCAAGGAAAGGAAGTACTACCAGCACATCTATGGCAAGAAGCCACAGATGCTGCTAAATACCCTACAATGCACAGGAAAGTCCCAATAGCACAGGATGATCTGGCCCAAAATGTCAGTGATGTTGCTAAGGCTGAACAACCCTGGCCTACATTAATAAGCCTTTAATAAGCAGCAGAACAGGTGCCTACACCAAGGTCTTTGGATTCCAAATTCAGTGCCTTTCTCCTCTGTCAAACACAGATAAATGTAAGAGAGACACTATGACCCAGGTCACAGTGATGATGTGGTGGGGAGTTCTGAGCACCCACAGAGCAGTATGAAGGACACAGAATGCATAGAGAACAAGGTTACATCAATTGGGAGGAGAGCAAATTCCATCCAGGGTACCATTCACTGGGTGGACTTCATGTTGGTGGTGGCTCCTGAGCTGAGTCCTGAATGGGCAGGTCCTTCAAGGGGCAGAGTGGATGCAAAAGGCCTTTCAGAAGACAGTTGCAAGGAACACTATAAGCTGACTTTCCCAACAGCAACACTATAAGTTCAAAGATGAGGCACTGCGTTTGAAGTTCTTAGGCAAAATAATTCTCTGCCTAGGTTTCTATACCAAATTGTCCCGTAAGCAAGAGGGTAGAATAAGGAGTTTCAGACATGCAGACTCTCAAAAAATTTATGTACATATTCCCTTTCTTAGGAAGAAATCAAAGAATGTGCAGTATCAAAGTTAGAGTGACATGGGTTCCAGCAAACAGGGATCTAATACAGGGGAGAGGTGAAAGGACTTCTCAAGATGACTGTGCAGAACTAGAGAGCAACCCAGATCAATCAGAAAGAAGGATAAATGACTCCAGAGGGGATATCCCCAGGAAAAGACTCGGGCTGATAAATATGTAATAGGTTTACTCATGGAGAATTGCACTAAGAACGGTTTTACAGAGTTATCAGATAGTAGATGAAACATTTACCAATAAATTTAAATCAAATTAAACAAGTGAAAAAATTAGGGTAACTATCAGCTCCAGGAAAAATAATAAGATATATATTTTTTAAAAAAGTAATCATTCTCAGCTAACCAGTGAGCAGCATTTACATAGTCACAATAATTATAAGTCTGATTTTAAAATTGTGGTATTTGGGAGGCTGAGGCAGTAGGATCGCCCAGGAAGTTGCTCATTATTATCAGCTAGGCATGGTGGCACACATGCCTGTAGTCCCAGCTACTCAGGAGGCTGAGGCAGGAGGATTGCTTGAGCCCAGGAGGTTAAGGCTGCAGTGAGCCGTGTTCACACCACTGCACTCCAGCCTGGGAGACAAAGCAAGACTCTGTGTCAAAACAAACAAACAAACAAACTGTGAAGAGCTCACACTTTCTGACTTCAAAACACATTAAAAGCTACAGTAATCAAAACAGTTGGTATTAGAATAAAAATATATAAAACCTGTGAAATATAATAGAAAGCATAGAAATAAACCTTCATGTATATGGTCAAATGATCTTCAGCAAAGATACCAAGACCGCTCAATGGGAAAAGGATAGTCTCCTCAACAAATGGTCCTGGGAAAGCCAGATACCCACATGCAAAAAAGTAAAGATGGACCCTTACCTTACACTATATAAAAAATTAACTCGAAATGGAATAAAAACCTAAATATAAGATCCAAATCTATAAAGCTTCTACAAGGGGAAAAGCTTCATGACATTGGATCTGGCAATGATTTCTTGGATATGACAATGCTAGCACAGGTAATAAAAGCAAAAATAGACAAATGGGACATCAAGCTTGAAAATGTTTGTGCATCAAAGAACACAATCAGCAGAGTAAAAAGACAAGCTACAAACAACGAGATACCACTGTAAAGCTACTAGAATGGTCAAAATCCGTAAGATTGAAACACCAAATGCTGGTGAGAATGTGGAGCAACAGCAAATCTCATTCATTGCTGATGGGAATCCAGCAGTTTGGCAGTTTCTTACAAAACAAAACATTCTTACCATGTGATCCAGCAACTGCACTCCTTGGTATCTAGTGAAAAAAGCTGAAAGTGTATGTCCACACAAAAAACTGCACATAAATGTTTATAGCAGCTTTACTCATAATTACCAAAATTGGGAAGCAACCAAGATGTCCTTCAGTAGGTGAATGCTTCCAAAACTGTAGTATATCCATACAACGGAAGATTTTTCAGTCCTAAAAGGAAATGAACTATCAAGCCATGAAAAGACATGGAAGAACCTTAAACGCATATAACTAAGTGAAAGAAGCCAATATAAAAAGGCTACATATTGTATGATTCCAACAACATGACATTCTGAAAAAGGTAAAACTATGGAGACAGTAAGAAGATCCAGTGGTTGCCAGGGATTGGGGTGGGAGGAGGGAAGGGGATAAATAGGTGAAGCACAGAGGATCTTTAGAGCAGTAAAAATAATCTATATGATACTATACTGGTGGATGTATGTCATTATACATTTTTCCAAATCCATAGAATGTACAAGAATAAGCCGTAATGTAAACTATGGACTTTGGGTGATAATGATGCGTCAGTATAGGCTCACCAGTTGTAACAAATGTATCACTCTGGTGGCGGATGTTGATAATGGGATAGGTTAAACATGTTTAGGGGCGGGAGCAATACGGGAAATCTCTGGACCTTCCTCTCAATTTTGCTGTGAATCTAAAACGGCTCTAAAAAAGTACTCCTAAAGGCAACCACAGAATGAGAAAAAATGTTGCAAATCAAATATATGATAAAGGATTAATATCTAGAATATATAAAGAACTCTTACAACTCAACACCAAAAAAAATCAAATAACCAGATTAAACAATAGGCAAAGGACTTGAATAGCCATTTCTCCAAAGATGATACACAAATGGCAAACAAGCATATAAAAAGACATTTAATATCACTAATAATCAGAGACATGCAAATCAAAACCACAGCAAGATATCACCTCACACCCATTAGGAAGGTCAGTAAAAATAGTAGCACTTTGGGAGGCCAAGGCCAGCGGATCACGAGGTCAGGAGATCGAGACCACCCCTGGCTAACACGGTGAAACCTTATCTCTACTAAAAATAAAAAAAAAATTAGCCAGGCATCATGGCGGGCACCTGTAGTCCCAGCTACTCAGGAGGCTGAGGCAGGAGAATGGCGTGAACCCGGGAGGTGGAGCTTGCAGTGAGCCAAGATAGCACCACTGCACCCCAGCCTGGGCGACAGAGCGAGACTCCGACTCAAAAAAACAAACAAACAAAAACAGAAGGCAAGTATTGTCAAGGATGTGGAAAAGTGGGAACCCTTGTGCACTGTTGGTAGCACTGTAAAATGGTGCAACAGCCATGGAAAACAGTATGGAAGTTACCCAAAACTTTAAAAATAGAACTACCATATTTCACTTCTGAGTATATAACCAAAAGATATGAAAGCAAGGGCTCAAACACCCATGTATACCCATGTTCATACAGCAATATTCACAACAGGCAAAAGGCGGTAGCAACCCAAGTGTCCATCAGTGGATGAAGGGATAAACCAGATGTGGCATATACATAAAATGGATTATTATTCAACCTTAACAAAGAATGAAATTCTGGTACATGCTACATGAGTGAATCTTGAAAACACGCTAAGTGCAATAAGCTAGTCACAAAAGGACAATATGGTATGATTCCACTTATTTGAGGTGCGGCTAACAGTCAAATTCAGAGACAGGAAGTAGAATGGTGGGTGCCAGGGTCTGGGAGGAGGAAATGAGAAATTAGTGTTTAATGGGTATAGAGCTTCAGCTGGGGAAGACGAAAAATTTCTGAAGATGGATGGTGGTGATGGTTGCACAATAATGTGAATGTATTTAATGCCACTAAACTATACATTTAAAAATGGTTGAAGTAGTACATTTACTATGTATATTTTACCACAATAAATAAATTTTAAAAATATAAAAGAAAGGCCAGGCATGGTGGCTCATGCCTGTAATTCCAATACTTTGGGAGGCTGAGGAGGGAAGATCACTTGAGACCAGGAGTTCGAGACCAGCCTGGGCAACGTAGGGAGACCCTGTCTTAACAATTAACAGTGTGCATGCCTGTAGTCCCAGCTACACAGGGAGCTGAGGTGGGAGGATTGCTTGAACCTAGGAGGTGGAGGCTACAGTGAGCTATGTTCATGCCACTGCATTCCAGCCTGGGTGACAGAGGGGAGCATATCTTAAATAAATTATACACACACACACACACACACACACATATACACACATACACACACACGAGTATAACATAAATAAAATATTAAACTTGACTTCACTAAAAAAACTAAACTGTTGAATCAGGTGGTAGAACATACATATTCATTGGAAATATGGAGACAAATACCAGAAAAGAAACATCTAGAAGGCTGAAAGTTGTTTCTTTGGAGTGTAAATGGGACTGGGCTAAGGGATCACTGTTTTTATTAAAAACCTTTAGCAGTATTTGAACTAATAGTTTTAAAATTCCAATGGGAATCTTTGCTAAAGATAACTATGAAAAAGCAAATGATGTATAAAAAAAGACAGGCAAGCACTGGTGAGATTGTAGAGAAGCTGAAACCTTCATACATTGCTGGTAGAATGTAAAATGGTACAGGTATTCTGGAAAATAGCTTGGCAGTTTCTTAACGTGTTAAACAGATTTGCCATACGACCCAGCAATTCCACTCCTAGGAATATACTCTAGAGAACTGAAAACATATTTCCAACACAAAAACTTGTATATAAATTTTCACAAAAGCATTATTCATAATAGCCCCAAACTGGAATCAACCACAAATGTCCATCAACTGATAAAGAAATAAACAGAATATATGTATACAATGGATTATTACTCAGTCATGAAAAGGAATGAAGTACTGATACATGCTACAACAGAGATGAACCTTGAAAACTTTATGCTAAGTGAGAGAAGTCAGACACAAAAGACCACATACCATATGATTCTATTTACATAAAATGCCTAGAAAAGGTAAGTTTATAGAGACAAAAAGTAGATTCATGGTTGCCAGGAGCTGGGGGTGGGAATGGGAAGTGACAGCTACTGGGTACGAAGATTTTTACTAGGAGCCAGGCGCGGTGGCTCATGCCTGTAATCCCAGCACTTTGGGAGGCCAAGGTGGGTGGGTCACCTGAGGTCAGGAGTTTGAGACCAGCCTGGCCCAACACGGTGAAACCCTATCTCTACTCAAAATACAAAAATTAGGCAGGCATGTTGGTATGTGCCTGTAGTCCCAGCTACATGGGAGGCTGAGGCACAAGGATCACTTGAACCTGGGAGGTGGAGGTTGCAGTGAGCTCTCCTGCCTGGGCAACAGACGGACACACTGTCTAAAAAAAAAAAAAAAAATTATATATATATAAAATTTTCTATTGTGACAATAGAAATGTTCTAATATTTGAATGTGCTTATATTAGTCTTCTCAGGTTGCCAGAACAAGAGATTTGTTCCTCAGTTCTGGAGGCCGGGATGCGTGAGTTCAGGGTACCCGCGTGGTCAGGTTCCAGTGGGGGCCCTTTTCCTAGCTTGCTGATGACCACCTTCTCACTGTGTCCTCACATAGCAGGGAGAAGGAGAGACAGCAGACCCTGGTGCCTCTTCTTACATAGAAACTAATTTCATCACAAGGGCTCCACTCTCATGACCCCATTTAAAAACCTAATTACTTCCTAAAGGCCCTATATCTCTAAATACCATTAGGGATTAGGGTTGAAAAAAACGAATTTGGGGGAGAAACAATTCAGTGCATAGCAGTGGTGGTATAAATACGCTAGAAATTATTGAATTGTACAATTAAAATAGGTGAATTTAATGAACGTAAATTATATCTTAATAAAGCTGTTTATAAAATAGCAAATAATTAAGTCTATGTATAGAAAAAACTTGCAGACTATGCCCTAAGTGCATTAAATAAGTTATTGTTCTTATAACAATTCTGAAAAGCTGACATTACTATCCCTCTTTTACAGATAAGAAACTGAGGCTCAAAGAAGTTAAGCAACTTGCACAATTAGCAAACAAAGCAGAGTTAAAATCTGTGAGCAGGTGCCCTAACTACAGAGTCTGCACTCTCTCCCATTTGTGATTGCCTGGGCCCTGGAAAGTGCTATGGGTAGATCACACAAGCTCTGAGTTAAGGCCCCCTTCACCTTCAGTTCCAAACAATCCAATCACCATCTATGGGCAAACCCCTGTTCACCTCCATGGGGACCTACAAGTAGCTCAAGACCTCTCTGGAGGCCGGCATGGAATGTGAAAACTGCACATAAGTAAACATGAAAATAGGAGCTGACCGATCTGCCACAGGAGGTCAGAAGTTAACAGGTGACCTTCTATGAAAATTAAACTTTGCCCCTCTTCACAGCTCTTTCTGGGGAGGACTGGAGGTTGGGCTTCGGAGCCAGACTCTGTGGGTACAAGTTGCATTTCCACCACTCAGCGGCTGAGGGACCCTGGACAAGTTTCCTCCTCTCCAAAACAGGAATGAGAAGAGAATCTCTTCTAGAAGGCTGTAAAGTGCTTACAGCAATACTAGGGCTCAATAAGTGCTTGCTATCAGCATTACTTTGCCAGTGTATTTAAACTCTCCCTCTAGCTGCGCGGAGCCTGCCTTTTCTTGGCTTTGCTACAAAACTGCCTTTGGCCAGTATGGTCTCTTATCTTTCATAGTCTTCTCTGTTGGCGCAGGGTAAGCAATGCCCTCCAAAGCTTACCACCCATCTTCACTGACCCACATGAAATCAAAGCCTATAGAGGTTGTAGCAGTCATCTGGTCCAGGCCGTCATCATACAGACGGGGACAATGAGACTCTGCACAGTGGAGGGGCTGTGTACAAGCTGGTCCACCTCCCCGGGAGGCCCATCTAACGTGATTATCGCACACTCTGTCCAGTAAGCTTTTGTGTCCCAACTTCTCCCAAGAGATCTCCTCTCCATTTAGCTAAAGAAATAGGTGAGAAAAGCCACCGTGATTTTAAAGACTGTCAAATGCTAATTACAAGTTGCTCCACTTGAAAGATGGCAACAAAAGCATTCTTAATAATCCTCCTTCTCCCCAAACCTCCATCATTGGAAGAAAAGCCAGTTCTTTGAAAGCTGTGAACCAAACACAGCAGTTTTTCAGACAATGGTTAAGAGGTAGGCCAGTTCCCAGGGAATGGCTACAGCGTATTTTTCTCTTGTTACCTTGGTAACCGCTACCCTGGCGCCCTTGTTGATGAGCTGAACCACATTCTCTGTTTGGCCTTTGTACGCAGCTACGAGAAGGCGCTCTGAAAGTGCAGCGACCGCATCTTGCTGGCTCATGAATTAGGAAAGAAAGGTTTTCAGGGAAGCGGTAGACAAGTTCCTTCAGCTCAACACGAAGTCACTGGCCCGGCCTGGCACCCAGAGGTAAAGATGTTCACAATCATCAGAAGATGTCTTTATGAATATGCCATCTTCGGGACCTAGGGGTTACAAAACAAAGGTGCCATCAGGGCCACTTGACACACAAGGACAGGTCACACCTCTTCTCTGTGATTTTAAGGCATTCTGCTGCTTGCATGTTGCAGGGGAGGGTAGCTGTGGGAGGCAGGACACACAGGAAGCACACTCCACAGCAAAGCCCCTGAACAGAACTTCCAAGTGGAAGGCAGCAGAATGTGCCAACTTCCCTCCCTTCTTCCCCTATCAGGGACATCCTCCGGAGGAGTATGGCCAGAACTGCAAGGTTTGCTCTGTTTTTCTCCCAGGGAGCGGAGGCCTGGTATAATCCCCTAAGCACCACCTGGTTTACACACCGCCTTTGGCAGGGAACTGTACCGTGTGTGATCATCAAAGGCCCCCTGGTTGGATTTTGTGCGTCCACCATGGCTAACGTGCCGCTTCCCCAGTGGGTCAGTGGCCTGTGGAACACACCCCACAGAGACCCTGCTGAGTGGGTTCTCTCTTTGGGGTTTTCTCCTAGCATTTACTGCAGTTCTCTCCCTTCAACCTTTTTTCACCGTAAATAGTGTAGTTCACGAGTTCTGGAACAGATGGAGAGCTGGGCACAGGCCTGGGCCAATTCCTTGTTCCAAGTGGCTGAAACAATCCACCTTGGGGACAACACAGATGCTAAACACTAACAGTGGCTCTGCCAATGCAGGGGGCTGGTCATGTTGCTTCCTTGCTAACAGGAGGAAAAGAAGTGGCACCAAAACCACCTATGGAACACTAAAGCCCTGTCGCAGAGCAGTGATCTGGAGGGTAGTAACTAGTAGCAAACTGAATTCTTCCTACCACATAGCAAAATGAAGAGAATTTTAAAGACTGGGACTCCCCCCAGTATACCTGGGCTGCCATTAGACCCAACCAAAGCCACTGGTAATTATTTCAAGGGTGAATGGTAGAAGAAGAAATACTTAAATGTCTAATCCAGTCCTGCTAGAACAGCAAGGAAGTGAGGGCTTCTTTGCATTTTAAAAGATACTTATTAAAAATACTAGTACATACAAATGGAAAGAAAATGCTACAACAGAGATACCATCCTTCAACCCAAACCCTACCACACATCCTAACTCTGAAGGTCTGGAAGATGCAGCCATCCTTTACATTTGTTCCCAGGCACACCCAAATGTCCTTTCAGTCTCTAAAGATTAAGGAATTGGCCATGATACGGCTGGAAAGCCCTGGACCATATCCTGTTTGAACTCGTTCACCGTGGCATTCAGGCAGGTTGTTTGGCCAACCACTCTGTGAGGCTAGGGTTAAATGCCCACGTATAAAACAGACATGAGAACATTTATCTCCCAGGACTGTGGTGGGTATTAAAGAGGGTATTTTATTATGTGAAAGTATGGCCCAGATGTGAATACTGTAACTTCGGAAAGAATTCTTACCCCCCACTCTTGTGAATTATCAAACTTTCTCATCATTCTCCATCTGTTGCTCAAAATGCAGGTAAAGAATAGCAGAAAAAGAGAGAGGAACTCTCGCAAACCCATCCTGCTCCTGCTCACTGGGTCATTAGAAACAAAACAGATCTGGTGAAGGGTCTGCTGTAAAGCAGCTTGGTGAGTCACGGTCTGAGATCCCTGGGATATGCCAGAAATAGAACAAGCCAAAAAAAAAAAGAAGGAATAAAGTTGAGACTCAAAACACTGAAAGTAATGGAACTGGAAATGCCTTTGAAAATTCTCATGGTCACGCTGAACGGCCACAGTCTGGGCTTTATCTTTCCCAGACCGTTACACTATTTGAAGTGGTTTGTTTTTAAAAACATAGGTGCGCTGCCTCTTTTCATTCAGGTAATCTGTGCTTTGTTCAAACCAATTATACTGAGCTTCTGCTCTGTTTGCCCAAATATTGCAAAATCACTCCAGGCCTAAATGGCAGGAAAATAGAGTATTAGCCATGACTTATGAAATGATCTCCCTTCCACAGCCACACCCTCCCCCCCGTCATCTACCCATTTGTTAACTCTAGACACTAGACCCAACGGCCCCCTTCCATTCTAGAACCTTTCTTGCAATGGGTATTTAAATGTCTCAAGTACAACAGCCCAGTTCATACAAACATTTTCATGGCTAAAATTCTACTCATTCTGCTCCATGGCTTAGCCCCTGAGGGTAGAGGTTTTTTTTGCTGCAACCTCAGTACAGCCCATCAGTTGAGGTCACAAGCTCCACACCAGCAGTGCTGTGCAGCCTCCTCAGCAATGGATGCAGGGGTCCAGCTGGCCCATAGTAAATTGATAGCCACTCCCCTCCCACCCTCCAGTCCCATGCAATGAATTCAGCCTCCTGGATACTGAGACTGAAGTACACTTATGCCATAGCTGCAGGCTACTGAGATAGCCTTGTTTAGATAATTACCACTGGTAAACAGCCCTTTGCAAGCACAGCCCACATTAATTTTCCTTTTTGTTTGGTTAAAGATAGAAAAATACTACAGTGGTGAGAAAACATTGGCCAAGCAGAAACACCCTTCTATTTTTTTGCTTTTCAGTTACAGCTACTTAAGAATGTTCCTCTCTCATTCCATCCCCTCCACCATGACCAAAGCACCCACAGAGCAGCCTCCAGAACAGGTCCCTCACACAGGACTTTGGATACTCTCCCTACCAGAGTCATACAGAAAACTGCCTGCAAGATCAGGAACAGAACCCCAGCTTTCCAATTCCTAGTCTGTTGCCAACACCATCCCTATGTGCTTGGACATCTCAAACTCATTTTCAATTTAAGCCCAGTAATCGCCTCCTTACTAGGATCTCCAGCCTTCACCTGCAGGTGCATTTACACACAGTTTGTGGGTGGGAAGGTATCAAATGAGGGTCTTCTTTTCTGCTTCCTTTCTGCTTCTTCCTGCACCTTCAGCCTTGGGTGTGGGTGCAGGCCCAGCAGAGATACCAGGTGCAGGCCAAGCAGAGACACCACCTCTCTCCCTCCCTCATGGTCACTGTTCCTAAGTCCCAAATCCTTACCTCCCATCTAGAACAATGATACCCATTCCTTAGAGTGAGAAGACACTCTGCTTCTTCTCATCTGATGCCCTGACCTGACAAATTGGACCAGATAGAGATGTGTGTGTTGCAGGGGTGGGGGGCAGTTTAAGAAGGGATGGGGGAACCCCTGACAGTAAATTGGGAGGGAAAGGGAATAGAGGGGTGAAACCAGTCTTGAATCAAAGAGTTAAACTTCACTGCCAACCTGTTGGCTACCTTGGCTGTAGCAGTTCATCCCCTCCTTATATCTGAGCCTCCTCTTCCAAGTAGATCAGCTATCATTCAAGATACTTCCCATTGCTGGCAGTGAGAAATGTATTCTGCCCCAAGCCTATCAATTACACCCCTCTTTGTCACAATGTTCATTTTTCACAGCATTCTGGAGGAAAACCTTAAACGCAAACACGCTGCCCATTCTTTAAGCAAAAAGGAAATAAACACATGAGCATAAGTATGCAATGCACATTCTGAATCTAGATAGGGATTTAGCTTGCTAAGATTTCCCTCCATCCTCCCAGCCCACTGCCCCATTTTTGTTGCTCTGTAATTTGCTAATTCTTTTGTCTCTCATCACAAATACCAGAGGGTCACACAGCTGCTTGTCTGTGATGCAATCAGTTTTCTTTTTACAGAAAAAGGTCTATAAGGTTTGCTTTTGCTGTTCTCTTGGGGCTTTACAACAAATTCTCCTATACTTTGGAGAATTTGCCAATATCCTAAAGCCACTACGTTCTGTCTCCCGACAAGCAAAATATTCCAGAAGAGACCTGCAAATAAAAGTCCCGGCCAGGCATTATGTACAACCCACCCAGAGATGGCCCACAGGCACCCAGGAACTGGTGGCTATGGAGCGCCATCAGCTATAAACTAGCTTTGCTCCTACTGCTCCAAACCTTGTGTTGAAGAGATGGTACTCACATCCGAGGGGCTGTCCTCTCTGTTCTACATCGTGTTCAGTTTCTGGATAACTGTGGTCAATTCTTTCCTGGAGAGATCATTAGCTTCCTAGGGCTGTCACTCCCAGCAAATCTGCAGTGATTTACGTTACAATGTTCGCTGCCTTTTCCCGTTAGCCTCCTCTGCTGATGCTGGCCAAATCACATCTAAAAGCTTATTAAGACATCCATTCAGCTTGCAATGTTTTGTGGCTTGCTAGTCTGCTCGTCACAGCTTCTGAAAGTCTTGTGTCTGCAGATTTTCACGGACTGCTCCCTCCTGCCAGCAGAGGACCTGTAACACTGCCCCGATTGAAGTCAGGGAACAATTCACAGATCGGAGGAACATTTCTGAATGACGCTCAGATGACAGAGAAACGAAGTTTGCATAATTTCAGCAGTAATGCAAGAAAAGATGAGTGTGCGTGTTGTAAGGGAGGGAGGGATGCAGAAAGGGTTGAAATCTGTAATAAACTGCCTCCAAGAAAACAGGAAAATGCTTGCTTTGTGGGAGCAGCGGAGCCCAGACACTCCACCCTCCTCGGCAGAGAGTTCCAGCACAGTGACTGCGGCAGCACAGGAGACAAGGGTCTGGCTGAGCAGCTGTTCCCGACGTTTGTCTCACAAATACTCCTCTGAACAGTCTCTGCCGGGGAGGGGGAAGGGAGTAAACAGGGAACTGAGCCCCTTCAGAAGCTGTTCTGAGTGCTGTCGACTGCCCTAAACTTGTAAGCGTGTGCTCCAGCCCACTTGTTGAAGCAACAGAAATCTAATTCCCACCTGGAGAGATCATAGAAAGGAGAGGGCTTTCATTTTGACTTGAGCCAATATCCCCACATTTTCCTCTCTGTCTCTAAAGACAGAATTTTTGGTCCCAGAGATGGGGAAATTACTCTGTCAGTACAAACCCTCTTACCACCTGCCGTCCTAAAGCATTGCCCTATTTCCCCAAGGGTAATGGGGCAATGGAATGGACTGCAATCCTGCTTTGGTCATCATTTGCCTTACACCAAGGGCAGGAGAATAGCTGGAGACTCTGGTGGGTGCATTGCAAAGAGGCTGAATCCCACTGGGGAAACAAATTGCCAGCAGAATAACACAAGCTTAAAAAAAAATATACAACCATCATACTAGTTATCCAAAAGCAATCACTACTGGGTTACTGTGATCACCACTGGGGGACAAGTAAGGCTGCAACAGAGAGGAATGTGACTCAATCCGTACTTTAAAGAAACTCATCATCTGGCCACTGAAAAGCCACGATCAGGGACCAAAAGTCCAGTTGCCAGAAGATAAGTGTAAACTGAGTGGGAAGGAAGAATAAAGCAAGGAGTGGTTCATTTTCTTACAGCTTCCAGAACACTTCCTCCTTCTGAGAAGATCTACTCCCACAGGTAGGGCCCTTAACACAGTACTACCTATGAGGACACTCAGCACTGACTGCTCACGGAACCTGGTGCCCACCAGGACTATTTGCGAAAGAAGGGAAATGACAGGGTGGACACGCTCTGCTTTAGCAAGCCCATGACTCATTATAAATACACCCCACTGTCACAAAGAAACAAGTATGTTTATTTCTTGAGCCATTTAAAGCACAAAAACTCTCTTCTTCTAACTCTGTCACTGAATCTTTTGAAATAACCACCTCTGCAGGAGGCATAGAGGCTGTTACAGTGAAAGCTGAGTGACATCTGAATATTATTCAGGAAACCTGTGACATACCCTTCCAAGAAAAGCTGCTTACAGATGTAAAAATCACATAGGAGGAATAAGCACATATCACCGAATAAAGATGTGACTGACAGAAGGCTTGGGAGGTAGAGACCGTCCCTTTTTATGTAGGACAATAACTTATTGACTGACCAGCACTGCTAGACCACCAGAGCCTCCAAGTCAGGGCTGGGCACTCCCATCACTTGGCAAATGACCATGCGCATACTCAAAGTTCAGACCAAGTGTTATCTCTGCTAAGCCTTCTGCTGTCCCTGCCTTGCCCTAGACAAGATGACCATTCCCTCATCTGTGCACCTACCGTTTTTCTTTTTTCTTTTTTTTTGGAGACAAAGTCTCGCTCTTGTCCCCCCAGGCTACAGTGCAATAGCGCAATCTCGGCTCACTGCAACCTCGGCCTCCCAGGTTCAAGTGATTCTCCTGCCTCAGCTTCCCGAGTAGCTGGGATTACAGACGACTACCATGATGCCCGGCCAATTTTTGTATTTTAGCAGAGACGGGGTTTCACCATGTTGGCCAGGCTGGTCTCAAACTCCTGACCTGAGGTGATCCAAACGCCTCAGCCTCCCAAAGTGCTGGGATTATAGGCGTGAGCCACCGTGCCCAGCCAGCACCTACAGTTTTCTATAAGCTTCTGCTATGAACTGAATTGCGTCCCCCAATTCATATGTTGAAGCCCACACCCCCAGTGTGACTGTATTTGGAAATAGGAGATAATTAAGGTGAATTTGGTCATAAAGGTGGAGCCCTGATCTGATAGAATTAGCGCACTCATGCTTGCACACGTACTCTGAGTGTGCACACACAGAAGAACAGCCATGTGAGGACAAAACAGCCCATCTGCAAGCCAAGAAGACAGCCATCACCCGAAACTGAACCCTGCTGGACTTTGATCTGGGACTTCTAGCCAGAAGAACTGGAAAGTAGAACTGGAAGAAAATAAATTTCTGTTGTTTAAGCCACCCAGTGTGTGGTATTTTGTTATGGTAGCTCAAGCAGACATGGTAGCTCAAGCATAATTGCTGTTATAGGCTCAAGGTTGGTCTCCCTGGTTATATGAACTCCTTGTGGCAGGAACCCCGTTTTGGTCATCTTGTATCCCCAGAGCCTATCATGGTGCCGGGAACACAGATGGCCTTTAATGTCCATTTAATGAATGACAGAAAAACCAATAATCAATTTATTTTTAGTCATCAATTGGTCTTCAGGAGCCTGTGATCCCGTAAGAAATATATGAGGTACTCACCTAGTCAACTAATCTTTTTCCTTTCCAAATAGATGAGGCAGGCTCTGGCTCCAGACCCTCCAAAAGATAGCAGAGAAGGGACATGGTCTTTCTCCTCTCTCCCTTCCCCCTCAAAATAGAGGACTACAGTTTCTGGGGCCAAAAAAATTATCACTCTAGAGGCATCCTTTATTCAGTGAGACAGGCCTGTCAGCACCAGAGCATTGGACAGCACCACGGCCACTCTGGGAATTTCTTCTCACCACCCTCAACCCCTGTTAGGTAAAGATCCAAATGCTAAAGACAAATCAAAATAATTAACACAGCATCACAATAAAACCAATTCTATGTACTCAAATCTCAATTTCTACCCATTGCTTAAATCTGCTCTGATCTGGCTTTTCTGTCCCCAGTTTTTCCACTGAAACCATTTTTGTTATTTATTTTGTGGAGTACCAAGCATATATTGAAGAGATGGGCATAAGGAACTGTGGAAACTGGGAGAGGGATCATTCTTGCTTGCTGTGCTGGGGTGAAAGGAGGTCAGGAAAGTTTTCACAGAGAAGGTAGTGTGTTAGAGGAGGTAGGATCTGGTTAGGTTAGAAGGGGAGAAGACACAGGCAGAGGAAACAGCAAGAGCAAAAAGGCAGAGTGGTCTGAAAGTATGTGTCATGAGTAGCAAAGAAAGGCAAAGAGACAACTGCAGCTGGAGCTTGTAACACGGCAAAGACCAGTGATGGTGTTAGAAAATGAGGTGGCAGTCAGGCAGTGAAAAATTTTCACATCATGCCAAATTACTTGAACTGCATCTTACACTTGTGATGGAGAGCCCTAGGAGTTGGCAAGAAGAGTGGCTAGTCATATTTTTGTTCTACTTGTAACACAAGCATACAGAATTAATTATAATTATGGTTTTATGCTACACTCTCAAGATTGTATATGCACGGCTTTCTCTTTCTTCCTGCCCTGTTTCCTCCTTCATTTATTTCTTCTATTCCATCCTTTCCTCTCCTTTTTATCTTCACTGATAGACTTTTAGAGCGATTTTAAGTTTACAGAAAAATTGGGCAGAAAGTTCAGAGTTCTCATATAGCCCTTTGCCCACCCCCACCCCTACAGATTTCCCTTTTAATAACATCTTGTATTAGTGTGATACATTTGTTACAATTGATGAGTCAATATTGATACAGTATTATTAACTAGAGTCTGTGGTTTGCATTAGGGTTCACTCTGTGTTGTACAGTTCCATGGGTTTTGACAAATGAATAATACCATGCATCTGCCATTAAAGTACCACAAAGAGTAGTTTCACTGCCCTAAAACTCCCCTGTGCTCTGCCTATTCATCCCTCTCTTGCCCCAAAGCTCCCGGCAACCACTGATCTTTTTACTCTCTCCAGAGTTTTGCTTTTTCTATAATTCTGTGTGGCTGGAATCATACAGTGTGTAGCCTTTTCAGACCGGCTTATTTCCCCTAGTAATATGCATTTAAGGTTCCTCCTTGCCTTTTCATGGCTCATTTCTTTCTGGTGCTGAATAATATTCCATTGTATACCATAATATTCCATTGTACCACAATTTGCTTTTCTATTCATCTACTGAAGGACATTTTGGTTGCTTCCAAGTTTCAGCAATTACAAATAAAAATGCTATAAACATTCATGTGCAGGTTTGTGTGGACATAAGTTCCATCTCATTTGCATAAATAACAAGGAGTACAATTGCTGGGTAATATGGCAGCACAGCGTTTAGCTTTGTAAGAAATGTCTATACTGTCTTCTAACACAGCAGTCCTCAAACTTTTTGGCACCAAAGACCAGTTTAATGGAAGACAGTTTTTCCACAAACTCAGCAGTGGGGAACAATGGTTTCAGGATGATCCAAGCACATTACATTTATGGTACACTTTATTTCTATTATTACATTATAATATATGATGAAATAATTATACAACTCACCATAATGTAGAATTGGTGGGAACCCTGAGCTTGTTTTCCTGCAACTAGATAGTTCCATATGGGGGTGACAGGAGACAGTGACAGATCATCAGGCATTAGATTTTCATAAGGAGAACATGACCCAGATCCCTTACATGTGCAGTTCACAGTAGGGTTCACACTCCTATAAGAATCTAACGCTGCCGCTGATCTGACAGGAGGGGGAGCTCAGGCAGTAATGCAAGTGATGGGGAGCAGCTGTAAATACAGATGAAGTTTCACCTGCTTGCCTGCTGCTCACCTCCTGCTGTGTGGCAAGGTTCCTAACAGGCCACGGACAAGTACTGGTCCACGGTCTGGGGGTTAGGGACCCCTGTTCTAACATGTCTGTACCATGTTGCACTCCCACCGGCTGGTTTTACATTGACGTAATTGCCAAATGCAATAGTAACTTTTTGACTCTTCCTTTACATGATTTCTCTGTTGCACTGGGCCCTGCTACCATCCCTCCCTCAAAATTCCTCCTCCTTGGTTCCTGTGAGCCATTCTCTCCTCATTCTCCTAACCATCCCTTGGACGATTCCTTTCTTCCACTGAATGCTTTTTTCACTGACACCTTAAATGTTGCAGGTCCTTGAGGTTTTTGGGCATCTTCTCTGCTCATTTTCTTCTCTAGATCTCAGTGCTCCCCCTCCCTTCTGCTCACATGCTCCTCTGCTGCCTAGATACAGATTCCTCTGAGTCTACTTCTTTACCCTCAATCACGTTCTCTGAAGCTCTATATTTAAACACCCAACCACCTACCAGACATCTTCCTTGGATGTCCCCCATCAATGTATTCACAACCAAATCACCATCCTTCCTCCCAAACCTGTTCCTTTTCCTGTGTCCTCACCTTGATGAGGGGCTCCATCTTTCATCTAGCTATCTATTTCCCTAATCTGGAACATTCCTCCCCCATTTCTCTTCTTCCCCTTCCCCCTATCCCACATTCACTAAACCACCAAATCATCCTGATTTGAGACAGTAAGGCCTAGAGACTAAAAATATAAGCTTTGAAGTCAGACTGCCTGGGCTCAAATCCCAGCTCTGCCACTTACTTTGGGCAAATTTCTTAATGACTCTGAGTCTGTTTCTGCACATGTAAAATAGAAGGGATAACAGTTCCTACCTCATTAGGTTGTTGCAAAGATTGAATGAGATAATGCACATTTTATTCAATGCCCGCCACATAGAAAGTGCTCAGTTAACATAAGCATGGTTCTATGGTTACTGTTTAGATGTTCCTTGATCTGTTCCATCTTCTTTAGCTGTACTGCCACTGCCTTAAGTTGTCATCATTTCTTACCTGGGTTATTGCAACGGTCTCTAACTGAATGTTGCTAATGTTTCTTGAAATTCTGTGATTATCTAAACTTAGAAATTGGGACAAGAGGTAAAGCAGGTTTCAGCTTATATATGGAAATCTGCTTCTGCAGATGGGTTTTCACTTAGGGAAAAACAGAAGCCAAAGCCAGACTAATATTCAGGATTCAGATAGTGAGTGTGCTTTGTCTCAAAACAGGTCCTCAATAAAAGATAACTTTATACAAGTCAGCACAAGCTGGTCAGCTAGTTCTTGGGATTTCTTTAACTTGACTCCCAGGAAAGACAGAACCATTGAGCCCATGGTGGTTAAATTCTCTGTGCTCTGTCTGGATCTTAGAGGGCAATGAGCCAATGAGAGGCAAGTTCCTGCTTTATGTTGTGTCAGTGTTAGAAGAAAGGGATAATGAGAACCTAGCCCTTCCCCTTCAGTTTGTTTCAAGATGGCAAAGGTTGAGAACAGACAGCTGAGCTGCAATGCAGTAGGAGCCACTGCCACTGTGCCCACTTGCCAGGGGGCAGACTGCTGGCGGTGTTTGCTAGGTCTATGGTGCCTTTATCTATGGACTGCTCTTCCTCTGTGCCTCTTGTCAGAGTGTTTTATGTAAACAGACCATACAGGGGGCTAGTGGGACTGCTAATTATGGGCTGAATTTGCATGTAAAAGCCATTCTGCCACGTTACTCTCCCTGCCTCAAGTCCTGCCCTCTCCCTCCCCCGCCTTGATTTATGTGATCCCTGATGTTACAGTGCTCTTTTCACAACACAAATGTGATTGTGTTTCTCCTCTCCTTGGAACCTCAGTGACACATATTTCCCCCAGAACAAAGTCCAGAGATATACAAATCCATGCATAGTCTCATCCCAGTCTGTTTCCAACCACCTTTTCTTCTGATACCTCTCCCCCGCTGCATCCTGCACCCTAGCTTGGCCAAAAGGTACTTAGAGCACCTTGAAAGCCCCACCATGTCATTTTTGCTTAGAATTCTCTTTAAATCTTGTCCAAACTCCTTCTTAGACTTCAAAGATACCTGATTCAAAGGCGTCCTCCTCTTAAAGGTTCTCCTAATACTCTTCCAACCTCCAGGGTCCCAAGGGTGAAATCACCCTGCCCTGAGCTCAAATCCCAGGTCTGCTACTGATTTTGAGCAAGTTTCTTAATGACTATAAGCCCACTCCCTTATGTATAAAATAGGAATAACTACAGTTTTTACCCACTGGGTTGCTGCAAAAATTGAATGAGGCCAGCACAAAATAATGTATTTTTAAAATCTCACTGTAATACTTATCAAACTGGACTGCAATTGTGTGATGTCAGTACTGTTGGCCTCTCTTCTTATATTCTAAGTAAAAAGGCTTCTCCATGTGCCTCTCCTTCTAAGGAGACTGTCCTAACCAGAGAAATTCCTGGGCTTTAGGATGTAGACTTAGAGGACAAGCGGGAGAGTTGAGATAGAATAAAGCTGACTTGTCAAGGGAGGCTAAGCCCATCTATATAAAAAAACGCTGAGGCGGGGGAGGGGGGAGAGAGGGGGGAGGGAGGAGAGGATGAGAAGAGAAGGGGGGGAGGAGAGGATGGAGAGAAAGCGGGGAGGGAGGAGAGGATAGAGAGAGGCGGAGAGGGAGAAATGAATGTGCCATGCAGAATGGGGGAATGTGAGAGAATTAGGAAAGAAAACCAGGATATGAACATTGTACTATGGGGTTATATTTTGGATTTCCTTTACTTTTGAGAACAAGAAGTTATTAAAATGCATTTACAAGTTAATTTTGGTCTTCGGATTGTGCTTCTTTGAATATCTTCTTACAAACACTGGACCATGAGAGACTGAAATTCTCTCAGGTTAGTCTTGTGTACAATGTCTTTCCTCTCAGACTCTGAGCTTCTCCAGCACAGGGGCTGTGTCTCATTCCACTATGTAAGTTCAATGCAACCACACAGCCTGTCACACGAACAATACGTGGCATGGAAACAATACAGGCTTATTGGATAAATAAACACATCTATATTCACCTAACTGCATTACAGACTCTTAGAGAGCTGATACCTTCTCTTACTTTTTCATGTTTCCAGATAAACTAATAGAATTCTATAGTGAACTGAATGGTGGGTCCCCAAAAGATATGTCCATGTCTTAGTCCCCAGAATCTATATTAATTTATATGACAAAAAAAAAAGACGTGATTAAGTTAATCCGTTGATGTCCTGGATTATCTGGGTGGGTAGTCACATGTGTCCTTTATAAGAGAGGCAGAGTTTTGAGACAGAAGAAAAAGAGGCCATGTGACCACAGAGGCAGAGAATGGAGTGATATGGCCACAAGCCAAGGAACCCTGGAGCTACCAGAGAATGGAGGATACAAGGGAACAGTCTCCTCCAGAGGCAATGCGACCTCACCAGTGGCTTGATTTCAGACTCTGCCCTCCAGAACTGTGACAGCATAAATGTCTGTTGTTTCCAGCCATGTCGTTTGCAGTGGTTTGTTACGGCAGTCAAAGGAAATAGGAATGCCTTCTACGTAATGGATGCTCAATAACTCTTCACCAATTACTTGTCTCAGCCACTGAAAATCACAGGCTGTGCTCCCTTTTTGAAGTCACTCACACCCCCCCATCTTTAGGGCCAAGAACCAGAGCTCCAATATGTCACTTCAACACCTGTAAATACTTTGTAACCTAAGGGTCCCTTGCTGCTGTTTGAAGGATGGTCAGGTTCCAGGGGCAAGAGTAGTCCTACTGGCTACATATCCTTCATACAATTTCATACACTTTATATGTACTTCTACATATTAATTATCCATCACTCATTCCTTTGTGAGGGAGAAAGTAAGGTGGGGAAGCACTTGATATGGGCATGATGTCAGCAGGAGAAGTGGGTCCTGCTGGTGAGGGCGAGACGAGAGGCACGCTGGCTGGGGTCTCTCCAGCTGCCAGCTGAGTCAGACTGAGTCCTCAGTAATCTCCCACAGGAAACACCACTGAACTGAAATGAGCGTGACAGCCTGTCACTTTCCAATTCTGCACCATAAGCTTGAAAAAACCAGGAAGCTGCTCTGCTAGCGGGGAATTAAATGTCTGACTATAATCCTGCAAACATAGTCCTGAATATGGCAAAGGGAAGCCTTTGCTTCCCATAAACATGAATATCTACTCAGAAGTAAACACCAACTGTGATTTGCTACTCTAATTTGGTTTCCAACAGTATTTCTTCTACGCTATCCCACAGAGGACAGAGGCCTTCTCCCAGGGCTGGAGGACACCTGCAAGTCAGTGAGCCCGCCATCCTCAGGCACACGCTCAATCTCTCCCAGTGACACATACTTGCTTCTGCTATCAGTCGGCTGTGTGACCCTCCTCCAGAAATGGTGTTTCTGACTCTTCTGGGCCTGGTTTTCATTCCAGGAGTCCCATTTTATTCAATCATTCTGCCACTGAGGCATTTCTTGAAATGATATCCATCTGATGCTAGATTATTCCAGATACTATGACACACACTGCTCTTCCCTCTCATCCCTCACTCTCCCTAACCCACATGACCTTCTCTCACAGCTCTCTGCAGCTATCAACATGCATGTCCAGGTTAGGTGTGATTTTCCGCTGATAATGTCTACCACCTGTGAGAGGTGACATCATGGTCTGGAAACACCGGTACTACATGGACTGTCCACACCACTATCCACAAAAGACTCCGCTAGGTCCCCTTCTCAATTCTCTTCCAAGGTTGGCTGAGGCAGGAGTGGGGAGAAGCAAGGGAAGGAGAGAATCTATTTAAGCAGTCCACCCATAGAATGCGCTTCATGGCCCTAGGCAGGTTATATGACTAACTTCCTTGGGCCTTAATATTCTCATCTATAAAAATGGGGATAATAATGATAGCTGCTGACTTCATAGGGTAGCTAGGAGAATACGCTAGGGAGCTACTCCCAAGGGAGTAGATGATAAGCACGGCACTTGGCACAGAAAAAGCACTCACTAAATATTAGGGTGTATGTATGCCTATGTAAAGTCAACAAGAGGCTAAATTCTCCAATTAGATTTCCAAGCCCTTCCCAACATCTACTCCTTCCTCTGTCTCTTAAACCTTCACCTCTTCTTTATAGTTCCCAAGCGCTGCCCAAATCCTCATTTGGTCTCTTGGCCTTACTCAGCACGCAGCATGACACAGTATTTGGCTTCAGCACTGAGCTTTGCTGGGATCAAGTGTCTCTGCAGATAAGGGGGACTAGGAGGACTTCAGGTACAGCTGGCCATCAGGGAGGCCCTGAGGGTCCTCTCCTATACTCATGTCATCATACATGATGATTAGCCATGTGCATGTGCAGTCCATGGCAGGAAGAAGCACTCTAACCTGGTGGACTCTGACCCCTAAGGAAGGTAATGCTCCAGTTAGGTGGAGGACATGCTTCGCAAGAATACCCTGTCTGAAGTCAGCTTATCTTCAGTCAGCATCTCCCTAATCCTGGTTATATCTGATTATTTCCGAGCTAAGGCTTTCTTCCAAATTGGATATTGTCCATATTTTAAGTTTCAGCCACAGATTAGCCATGAGCAAGTTTGGTCCACTACATTCCTTAACCAATAATTATGTCACATGACAAACATACAAAATTGTCAACAGTATCATTATGAATTATTTAAAATCAAAATTCTGCCACATCTTTGTAAAAAGAGGTTCCTAATGTGAAGGCCGCAGGAAGAGAAATGAAACTCACCTTGAATTGTGTTTTTAATGCCCAGAATCAGCCCCAGGGATATTTATTCCTGAGAGTTTTAAACAGTCTTAAAATAAACATCTCTCTCAGGATAGTCTCATTATTATCATAGGCAAATTATTTCTACAACAAAAATTAGCTGAGATTCAGCAGTCTTCAGGAGGCAGGATCCAAAATAACCTGAGAAATTACAAAGCTTAAGACTCTTCTGTGAATAGTCCCAGGTTAACCCTGTGCCCTTTCCCTACTGATCTCATAGCAAAAGGCTTGGTCTTCTCTTCATAGAGAAAATCTGCATTTGCTGTGGTAGATGATGGAGCTTTCTCTCTTGGGCTTGCCTCTTCCCTAATCTCAGGGGCCTGGAACCCAGTCTTTGGGGAGTCCTTTGTAGGGAAAATCCACAGACCTTCTCCTGGGTGGACATTCCAGTCCTGACAACCCTTTTCCTGGGGGATCTCCCAAAGCCCTGGGCGAGGACAGTCCTGCACATTCCCCAGCCTCAGCCAGATCGCCTCTTGGATAATTTATATCTAGTTCAATGTCAAAACAAACAGCATGGTGGGAAGAGGGTGACAGAAAAAAAGGCAGGAAGAGCTGGGGGTAGGAGAGGAGACGCAAAGGAAGAAGAATGACATGAAAAGACAGTGAGCATACCAGCGTGAGGAAAAGATGCAGCTACTGACGATAGGTGGGGGCTCAAGCTCAGTCCCTCCCATTCCTGAGGCATTCTCAAATCCCACCCCCTTCCTAACAAGAAGACTGCCTCCCAGCCCAGGCTCTGCTCTTCAGATATTTGCTGAATTAACAAAGGGATTCTCTCTGATTGAATTTATTACATTTCCATAGTCTGTATCATGTTTAAGATTTATTTTAGAACTAGAGATAGGGAAAACATGAAACCAATTATTTATATGTATGTGTGTATACATATACTTTCATTCTTTTTATTTTTGCTGTTTTTTATTTTTTGTCTCTGTCGCCCAGGCTGGAGTGCAGTGGTGCAGTCTCTGCTCACTGCAGCCTCTGCCTCCTGAGTTCAAGCGATTCTCCTGCCTCAGCCTCCCAAGTAGCTGGGACTACAGGCGCCCGCCACCATGCCCTGCTAATTTTTGAATTTTTAGTAGAGACAGGGTTTCACCATGTTGGCTGGGCTGGTCTCGAACTCCTGACCTTAAGTGATCACCCCTCCTCGGCCTCCCAAAGTGCTGGGATTACAGGTGTGAGACACCGCACCTGGCCTACTCATTCTTTAAAAAATTCTAATATATAGAAAAGTGTACACTTACAGCATGTAGAACTTTCTAACAGGATGTACCTGTGTAACCAGCACTTCAGTCAAGAAAAGACTAACCAGTATCCAGCAGCCCCTCACACCCCTTCCAATCACTACCCTCAAGAGTAGTCACTGTCCTGGTTTTAATATTGCAGGTCAGTTTTGCCCATATTTGAACTTTATATGGACGGAACTACACAGGATATATTCTTTCCCATCTGGCTTCTTTCACTCAAGATTTTATTTGTGAAATTTATCCAATATTGTTATGATTCTTTCATTCTCACTGCTGTATAGAGTTCTATTATGTGACTATATTATAGCTCATTTATCCATTCTTCTGTTGAAGAGATTTTAGGTAATCTTACATTCTGTGTATTAAAAAAAAATAGTGGTGCTGCTATCAATATTCTTATATGCATGTCTCTTGGTGAATATACAGACACATATATATATACCATATATACCTAACAGCAGAATTACTAGGTCATAGGTATGCATACATATGTTTAACTGTAGCTGGTTTCTTTCTTTCTTTCTTTCTTTTTAAAGACTGAATCTCATTGCTCAGGCTGGAGTGCAGTGACACAATCAGAACTTATTACAGCCTCAAACTCCTGGGCCCAGGTGATCCTCCTGCCTCAGCCTCCTGAGTAGCTAGGTCTACAGTGGCCTGCCACCAAGTCTGGCTAATTTTTTTTTCTTTTTTTTTCTTTTCTTTTTTTTAAAGAGACACAGGTCTCACTATGTTACTCAGGCTGGTCTTGAACTCCTGGCCTCAATAATCCTCCCACCTTGATGTAGCTGATGTTTCTATGCATATTTCTCACATTCAAATGTACCCATCAGTCTGTTTGAAGCATATAAGGCATTGGGTGTCCCAGAGGCAGGAGTGCAGGGCACTGGGCTTCTGTCTGTTCCTCACCACTCTAAAAAGCAGTCTATGACTTCAAAAAGTCACATAAAAAAAAGAAAGTCATGTAAGAATAAACTCCAAGTTGTTTTTGTTTTGATTTCTTATCAAAGCAGGCTTAAAAAATACCTGAATGCATGGGAGGTTGTCTCAGTCCATTTTGTGCTGCTATAACAGAATACCTGAGACTGGGTAACTCATAATGAACAGAGATCTATTTCTCACAGTTCTGGAGGCTGGGACATCAAAGATTGAGAAGCTATCATCTTGCAAGGGCCTTCTTGTTGTATCATCACATAGCTACGGACAGAAGGGCAAGGGAGGGTGTGGGGTGGTGGGGGATTGGGGGTGGGGAGGCAAACTTGCTCTTTTATAATGAACTCACTCATGCAATAACAGCATTAATCAATTTACAAGTGCAGAGCTCTCATGGCCTAATCACCTCTTACTGGTCCCACATCTCACCTCTTAATATTATTACAATGGCAATTAAACTTTTTCCTTTTTTCTTTTTTTGGAGACAGAGTCTCACTCTGTTACCCAGGCAGGCATGCAGTGGCGCGCTCATGGCTCACTGCAGCCTCAACCTCCCAGGCTCAAGCAATACTCCTACCTCAGCTTCCCAAATAGCTGGGACTACAGGTGAACACCACCACCATGCCCAGTTAATTTTTGTATTTTTTGTTGAGACAGGGTTTCACCATGTTGCCCAGGTTGGTCTCAAACTCCTAGGATCAAGCAGTTCACCTGCCTCTGCCTCTTGAAGTGCTGGGATTACAGGTGTGAGCCACCGTGCCCAGCCAGCCTCAATTAAATTTCAACACGAGTTTTGGAAGGGACAAACATTCAAACCATAGCAGAGATAACAGAAATGGAAACCTAACTATTACTATGCAAGTCATGTGTTTTCCAGCCTACACACTAAGACGCTGCGTAACCCTCATTTGCTAACACTGGTCGCCACTGTATAATTTTATCAAAATAATAACAAAGCTCCAAAGGAGAAGCCTCTTTTTTCACAGCAGTGGGAACTCTCCTCTCTATAATATGCTGGGCTTCTACAGCACTGCCTTAAAAATTGCCTTATCTACTTTATTTTCATACCTTGAGAAGACTCAGGAGTTCAAGTAAAAGTCCAGTTAATTCATAAAGTTACCATATGACTCAGTAATTCCACTCCTAGCTCTGTGTCTAAGTGAACAGAACACATATGACCACACAAAACTTGTATACAAATGTTCTCTTCAGCATTATTCAAACAGCCAAAAAGTAGAAACAACTCAAATGTCCATCAATGGTGAACTGATAAACAAAATGTAGTATAGCCACACCATGAATATTATTCAGCCATAAAAAGGAATGAACTACTGATACATGCTATAACATAGATGCATCTTGAAAAATTAAACTATGTAAAAGAAGCCAGATACAAAACACCACATAGTGCATGCTTCTATTTATATGAAATGTCCAAAATAGGCAAATCCATAGAGATGGAAAGTAGATTAGTGGTTGCCAGGAGAAAGAATAGGGAATGACTATTAATGGGTATGGGATGTCTTTTTAGGGTGATGTAAATGTTCTGGATTTAGTGGCGATGACTGACATCTTTGTGAATATACATGAAAACCACTGAATTGTACACTTTTAAAAGGGTAAATTTATGGTATGTAAAATATATCTCAATTTTTAAAATTCTATTTAGGTGTTGGGGCATTGAAATCAGACACGGATTTCATTCCAACTGACTGCATGCTATATGCCACAGGCAAGTCATTGAAGCCCTGTAAGCCTCATTTTCCTTCTTTGTAAAACGAGGGTGATAAAAAAATATTGATATGGTTACTGTGAGAACCAAAGAAGGTAATAAAGTGTTTGCCACAGTGATGAACATAGGAAATGCCCATTAACAATTGAAGTGACAGAAATGGTAGCAGCTGGCTCTCAGCCAACTTACCTTTTGACATTCCTGGGATATACTCAATGATTTCTATCAGATCCAATAAAGGATACAATTTTCTATAAAATATTATGTAAGGAGTTAAACTGGTTTGCTGTTCAGTCAAAAAGAGGAAAATCCTGCCATCAAGGAATATCCACAAGCAGAGAAACAGCAACTAATACTGAGGGGATGGCAAGAGTTGTTTCCCGAGCCCCGCTGGTGCGCTGCCAAGCAGCTGCTGTCAGGGAGCCCCTACATGAGTTAGCTGAGCAGGGCAGGCTGCCCCCCAGAGGCAGGTGACACCCCCGGAGGCCTGGGAACAAGACACCACACCTGATGGCTTTCCACCCCGCCCCTTTGTCCTCAGTCATGGGCAAGAGCATCAACATCAGGTCTGCAGGCCATGACAAAGGCACATCCCACACACCAGTGAAACCACTCAGCTGGGCTGGCTCTTATTGGAGGTAGCAGCAGAAAGGGCTGCCAACAGTGGTTTCCCACCTCTAAGACCAACCCTTGCCAGATTAACCACTGCCCCCTACATCTGCCTCAACTCATTGCTAGAACACATATGTAACCCCCCCCCCAAATAACAAGTTGTAACTAGTTACCGTTCTTAGCAATGGCCCACAACAGTGCCCCATAAAGAAGTTTCTTAAGGCCAGGCACAATGGTATGCACCTGTAATCCCAGCACTTTGGGAGGCCGAGGTGGGAGGATCATTTGAACCCAGGAGGTGTGGCTGCAATGAGCCGTGATCACGTCACTGCATTCCAGCCTGGACAACAGAGTGAGACCTTGTCTCAAAAAAATCAAAATAAAAAATGAGGTTTCTTAAAAGTGATATTTCACAGCAGCTCAACAGGTATCCTGTAAGTGCCAAGGACTAGAGAGGGGCTGACTGCAGGCGCTCATCTTGGAAAACGCCAATCACAGTGAGAAGGTCCTATGAAACAGGGACATCTCCCCATTTTTTCCTTCTTTTCTTTTTCTCTTAAATGTGGTTTACTGCAGTTAAAAATATATAATAGGCAAGGCTCATACCTATAATCCCAGCACTTTGGGAGGTCAAGGTGGGCAGATCACTTGAGGTCAGGAGTTTGAGACCAGCCTGGCCGACATGATGAAACCCTGTCTCTACTAAAAATACAAAATTAACCAGGCATGGTGGCGCACGGCTATGGCCCCAGCTACTCGAGAGGCTGAGGCACAAGAATCGCTTGAACCTTGGAGGTGGAGACTGCAGTGAGCCGAGATCACGCCACTGCATTCCAGCCTGGGTGACAGAGTGAGACTCCATCTCAAAATCAATCGATCAATCGATCAATCAATCATCACACTGCTTTCAGCCCTTCTGTCCCCCCGCCCACCACACAACTTTTGGAACATCATTAGCTTGTTACACTGTCCCTTTTTCAAAAATTACATATATATGAAAGATTCTGACTGGTATATATATTTCTTAAGTTTTTATGGCTTGGCTGGAGAAGCAAAATAGCTGTTATAAACCAGATGGTTAACATTTTAGAGTCATATAAATTTAGGTTCAAATTCAAGCCCCACTCCCCTCCTGGTGTTTTTACTGTGAAGAAGCTGCTTAACTTCTCAAAGTGTCAGCTGTTTCTTTTGTAAACTGAGCATACTATCTCTCTGATAGATGGTTATAAAAATTAAAGTAAGGCCGGGCGCAGTGGCTCACGCCGTAATCCCAGCACTTTGGGAGGCTGAGGCGGGCAGATCATGAGGTCAGGAGATCAAGACCATCCTGGATAACACGGTGAAACCCCGTCTCTACTAAAAAAAATACAAAAAAATTACCAGGCGTGGTGGTGGGCACCTGTGGTCCCAGCTGCTCAGGAGGCTGAGGCAGGAGAATGATGTGAACCCGAGAGGAAGAGCTTGCAGTGAGCCAAGATTGCACCACTGCACTCCAGTCTGGGCAACAGTGTGAGACTCTGTCTCAATAAATTAAAATAATATACACAGAACATTTAATCCAGATGCCATCTTTTAATAATGGTCAGTAAATGGTAGCCATGATTATTATTGCTATTATCATTGTTATAACAACAACCACGTTTGATTCAAGTTCAATGTTGTTTTCTTCAAGATTTAGTTCATCTTTTGGGGTTTGAAAAACTTCAGGGGCAACACTTGGCCTCCTGAGATTCCTGTGACTGTACCCGTCACACAGGAATTCTGGGTTTAAATGAAGTACTTATCTGACCTCAGAAATAAAGTCTCATAGAGAAGGCTTGTACAAACACCTCCTGTGCGCTACTTCATAATCCTCTCAGCTGCACTATCTCAGCTACTGCTGCTATGACCAGTAGAGCTACATAGCACCTCACCTGGGATAGAGTTTCTCTGACACCAAAGAGTGGGACTACCGCTACAGGAAACCACTGTCACAACCCAGAGATGTGGAGAGTTTACCCAGATGGAACCACCCTGATACTTGCGATAAGGACATTTGGTGGACAAGTCCCAGAATCTTGAACTCCCAAATTCCCCCGAACTTTCTGGGCCAGTAGAAACAGCCCTTTTTCTTTTCTTTTTTTTTTTTTTTTTTGAGATGGAGTCTGGCTCTGTCGCCCAGGCTGGAATGCAGTGGCGTGATCTCGGCTCACTGCAAGCTCCGCCTCCCAGGTTCACGCCATTCTCCTGCCTCAGCCTCCCAAGTAGCTGGAACTACAGGCGCCCGCCACCACGCCCTGCTAATTTTTTATATTTTTAGTAGAGACGGGGTTTCACCGTGTTAGCCAGGATGGTCTGGATCTCCTGATCTCGTGATCTGCCCGCCTCCGCCTCCCGAAGTGCTGGGATTACAGGCGTGAGCCACCGTGCCTGGCCCGAAACATCCCTTTCTTACTAGAGGAGAGCAACCTCTTCTTGCCTAGAAATCCTGTAAAGACCTCATCTGAGGCAGCTACTTCTTAAGATGATGCTTCCCGTCCTCAAATCCTTTTCACTCCAGTTGATAAGGATCATGCAGAGAATAGCTTCATGCTGAAGGACTTTCAGGACCCACTGGTTTTTTTGTTTGTTTTTTGTTTTTTGGGGTTTTTTTGGACATAGAATCTCACTCTGTCACCCAGGCTGGAGTGCAGTGGCACAATCTTGGCTCACTGCAACCTCCGCCTCCTGGGTTCAAGCAATTCTCCTGCATCAGCCTCCTGAGTAGCTGGAACTACAGGCGCCTGCCACTACGCCCAGCTAATTTTTTGTATTATTAGTAGCGATGGGGTTTCACCGTGCTAGCCAGGATGGTCTCGATCTCCTGACCTTGTGATCTGCCCGCCTTGGCCTCCAAAGTGCTGGGATTACAGGCGTGAGCCACTGTGCCCGGACAGGACTCACTGCACTGATGGGAGCCTGGGGAACAGGCGGAAAGGGGAGGGTGATGAGGTGAATGTCAGGCTAGATTGGTGAGGCTTTATCTGCATGGGAGCACTCTGCTGTGACTTGTAGTTTAGTATTCCGGCAGACACCTAAAGCTGGTCTGCGGACATTGGGATGGCTCCTTGCGGCCTGAGCACAACAATGGCCTCGTGTAAGTTAAATGGAGATGCTGGTACTGCCTTGGCAGAATATTGAGGAGGTCAAAAGGCTCAAGAGTGGGCATGTAGTGTGGATCTCTTATGAAAGATCAGAAGAGCCAACCATCAGACCATGATCCCAGGAGGGCCGAGAGGTCGCTTCCTTCACTAAAGGGATAAGTGCATCTGTGAGGGGCACAGTGTCATTGAGAAGCTCAGTGGTTTTGTCCTCTGTTGGCTGGAGTTGACAGTAAGAGACACTGCCACGGTATTGAGCTTTTTAATTAATGGGGGATGGTAGGATTCCAAAATAGCAGAGGCCAGGTGGTAACAATTAACCAGAGGCAAGGATGGATGTAAATGTCATAACGGACAGCAAGGCCAGAGTGGCAACCGGAGTTCTTTGACCACAAAGGATCTGTGGCTGATTGGCATGGGCGAGATAGACAGAAACTGACACGTGTGTTACCTGACTTGTATAAAAGAGAGGGAGCTGAAAAGCAGAGGCTGACATCAGATGCTGCAATTCAGTCTCAGAGTCTACTGTCTGAGGAGAGGACAGGTCTTGTTGAGGAAGGAGCCTGCAATACCCACACGCACAGTTCATATGATAAAGATTTCACTGATCCCTCTACAAAAGAACCTTCTACCACCTACTAGGATCACAGGCCACAGGCGGGTGCTGGGGAAAGGGGAATGCCAGATCTTTCAGACTGTTAGATACGGGTCTGAGCTGACCCTGACACCACAGGATCTAAAATGGTGGTTCTCTCGTTAGAGTGGGGGCTTATGGAGTCCAGGGGACAAGTGGAGCTGTGGCCATGTCGGTTTCACAGTGAGTCTAGTAGGTCCACAGAAGCACCTTGTCCCCAAGTATATAAATGAGGTAAATATACTTAGAAACTAGCAGACCCTCAAAATGGTTCCCTGGATGAGGAAGAGTCAGAACACCCTCCACAGAAAAATAATATCTATAGGTCTTCCTTTTCTTAAGTCTATAAAGCAAAATATGGTATGTTGTCCCTGGAATAATAGCTGGCAGCCATCACTCATAAAAAGTAGTATATTTTCCTTTACAAGATGGCATCAAGGAATCTCTGCAGATTTGCTTTCGCCACGTCTGACATTCCTTGCATTTCCACATTTGGCAACCTAAATCCTATCTGCTATCAGGCAGGCTGAATGTTAAGTACCGTAAAAAACCCCAAGAACAAACAGACATTTGGCAATTTTTAACTGAATAAAGGTTATTCATTTGGATAAATAAAATCCCCACCCTTCCCACAAAGTTACATTCTGTTTAATGACCAGAAACAGAAGTTTGTTAGATAAACAGGAAGAACAAAAATGCTACCAGTTTCTGAAATTGAAATTAGAAGGCTGTAATTAAGAATACCTTTCAGTAAATTTTTGCCCTCATATGAGTAGATTGTGGAGTGAAGTGATTTAGCACTGAATTACTTATACTGGTGATCTTAAATAATTTCAGGTGTCAGAGCTGATCCAAACAGTGAGACAAAAGTCTTGAGGTTAAAAGACAACGTCCTACTCTACTTTAACCCCGACTTGTCTTCACCGTGTTTTGCAAAGAGTAGATACTCATTAACCAGTTGGTGAGAGCTGTTTCTATATGACAAGAGACCTCTAGAAAAGTGGAATCAGGTACGAGGACTTTTAGTAATGTCAAAGGACTTGGTTTTGTATACTATCTATGCCTCCTGTGTCTCGGGAAGCGGGGGGGTGGTCAAAGAGTTGACAAGATGAAGTTTCCCTTTCTAAAAGTATCCCATAGATGTAAATAAGCATAGAGATAAATGAAAGAGGAATAACAGGATTAGAATATCACCACTGTGCATTGTCTAATACACTAATGGCTCTTGACAATAATCATCAACAGGTAACATCACAGAAAGAGACAAGCAGCAACTAGACAGTGTGTCCTCCTGCTAAAAGTACGTAACGTCAGTTGTGAAGTAGTCCTGTCCCTCTCACCCAGAAAAAGCGCCCAACTCTGACGAAGCTTTCAGGAAATCTAACTACCAAGGTACACGAAATACAGAAACAGAAGAGCACGTTAAATGACACCACAGGCATGTTTGTTTCTAACTTGGTTTTTTAGTTCTAACCTGTCACTATTTTAAAAATTGTATTGATAAATACAATAAAAATACATTAGAAAAGAGAAAAATACTTATAAAATATAAGCCCCAATTTTTTATTCATAGATTCAAAAGACATAAAAGTACATTCTAATTAGAAAAAAAAGAACAAGAAAAAAAATTAGGAAAGCTATACACATTATTTATCGAAGGTGCAAATACAGACAATTATTAGAAAATTCCTATTATACTCACAACTTTCTGTTATTCTGCAGTCATAACTAGGTAAAGTTATGAGACTCCATAAGAAAACTACATATAAGATATATATAAAACTATATATATATATCTCTATGAAAACTATATATAGGAACTGACAAACAAGTACAGTAATGTTGCAGGATACAAAAATCAACAGTATTTCTATATGCCAACAGTGAACAATGTAAAAAAGAAATCTAAAAAGTAATTCTATTTATAATAGCCACACATACTGGGGGGCCGAGGCAGGCGGATCACAAGGTCAGGAGTTCAGGACCAGCCTGGCCAACACAGTGAAATCCCGTCTCTACTAAAAATACAAAAAATTAGCCAGGCTTGGTGGTGGGTGCCTGTAATCCCAGCTACTCAGGAGGCTGAGGCAGGAGAATCGCTTGAACTCGGAATGTGGAGGCTGCAGTGAGCGGAGATAGCGCCACTGCACTCCAGCCTGGGTGACAGTGCGAGACTCCATCTCAAAAAAAAAAAAAAAAAAAAAAAGCCACACGTAAAATTAAATACCTAGAAATAAACTTAACCAAAGAAGTGAAAGATCTCTATAATGAAAACTATAAAACACTGATAAAAGAAATTGAAGAGGACACCAAAAAATGGAAAAATATTCCGTGTTCACAGATTGGAAGAAATCAATGTTGTTAAAATGTCCATACTACCCAAAGCAATCTATAGACTCAGTGTAATCCTTATCAAAATACCAATGACGTTCTTCACAGAAATAGAAAAAAAAATCCTAAAATTTATACGGAACCACAAAAGACCCAGAGTAGCCAATGCTACCTTAAGCAAAAAGAAGAAAACTGGAGGAATCACATTACCTGACTTCAAATTATACTACACAGCTATAGTAACCAAAACAGCAAGGTACTGACATACAAACAGACACACAGGCCAATGAAACAGAATAGGGAACCCAGAAACAAATCCATACACCTACAGTGAACTCATTTTTGACAAAGGTGCCAAAAACATATACTGGGGGAAAGATCGTCTTTTCAATAAATGTTGCTGGGAAAACTGGATATCCATATGCAGAAGAATGAAACTAGACCCCATCTCTTGCCATATTCAAAAATCATATCAAAATGGATTAAAGACTTAAATCTAATACCGCAACCATGAAACAACTACAAGGAAACACTGGGGAAAATCTCTGGGACATTGGTCTGGGCAAAAATTTCTTGAGCAATACCCCGCAAGCACAAGCAACTAACACAAAGAAATGGACAAATGGGTCATATCAAGTTAAAAAGCTTCTGCACAGCAAAGGAAACAATCAACAAAGTAAAGAGACAACCTGCAGAATGTAAGAAAATATTTGCAAACTATCCACCTGACAAGGGATTAATAACAAGAATATATAAGGAGCTCAAACAACTCTATAGGAAAATAATCTAACAATCCAAACAAAAGATGGGCAAAATATTTGAGTAGATATTTCTCAAAAGAAGACATACAAATGACAGATATATGAAAAGATGCTCAACATCACTGATCAGAGAAATGCAAACCAAAACTACGAGATATCATCTCACCCCAGTTAAAATGGCTTAATATCCAAAAGACAAGCAATAACAAATGTTGGCGAGGATGTGGAGAGAAGTGAACCCTTGTACACTATTGGTGGGAATGTAAGTTAGTACAACCACTATGGAGAACAGTTTGAAGGGCCCTCAAAAAACTAAAAATTGAGCTACGATATGATCCAGCAATCCCACTGCTGGGTACATTCCCAAAAGAAAGGAAACCAGTGTATCAAAAAAAAATCTGAACTCCTATGCTTGTTGCAGCACTGTTTATAATAGCTAAGATTTGGAAGCAACCTAAGTGTCCATCAACAGATGAATGGATAACAAAAATGTGGTTATTCAGCCATAAAAAATAATGAGATCCAGTCATTAGCAACAACATGAATGGAACTGGAGATCATCATGTTAAGTAAAATAAGCCAGGCATAGAAAGACAAACATCGCAAAAACATCTGGTTTTTTTTTTTTGTAGAATCCAAAAATCAAATCAATTGAACTTATGGACATAGAGAGTAGAAGGATGGTTACCAGAGGTTGGGGAGTTATTGGGGGCTGGGTGGAGGGAGGTGAGGATGGCTAATGGGTGTAAAAAAAAAAAAAGAATAAGACCTACTATTTGATAGCACAGCAGAGTGACTATAGTCAATAACTACATTTAAAATAACAAAGAATGCAACTCGATGGATAAATGTTTGAGGGGATGGACACCTCATTCTTCATGATGTGTGTATTTCACATTGCATGCCTATATCAAAACATCTCATGTACCTCATAAATATATATACAGACTATATACCCACAAAAATGAAAAGAAAATTTAAAGTTATAAAGGAGGTAGCAATTCTTCATAATAAATGCTTATATACATACTGCATAAACACCATGTATATCATTATTTTTCATATTAAAAATTTTTAATGTTTTCTTCTAGCCTATTAATCCTAAACTGGGTTAAGGACAACACTACTTGGGGATATTTATATTAACTGTTTCAATGTTTAATAACAATCACCGTAGAAAAAAACAGTCTCACAGAGGTATGCTTATGTAAATGAAACAACAGATTTTAAAGTAATTTTTAAATCCATAATTAACTCCAAGATATAATAATTCCAAGATATTTACTTTTTAATTTTTATTCAAAATGAGACAACTGACATTCCATTTTCATAATTCACCTTAAATTTATAATAGCCAATTCTAGTAATTCATCCTGTAACATTAAATTTAAATTATCTTTCAATGAAAGAAATAGATTCCTAAATCCATGTATTTCCCATATGTGGATCTTCTTTTAATGAACAATTAAAATCAAACATTGATAAAATTCAAAAGGTTGTACCTAGGTATAATCACATGTAGACATTGTTCGCTAGTTATCAAATTATGGAATATGTCATAAGAATCTGTTGAAACTCTGTTCTTTCAAGTTTTTTTTTGGCCTTTTGATCTTGTCATTGAAAAACATGTTGCTCTTCTTCTTTGCATGAAAGTATTAAGATCATTAAAATATCAAAGAGATCAAATTCACATTTTTTTTTTAAAGAAAAAGTTGGAACCAAACTGGTTTCTTATCCTGAGGAACTCTAGGATTTCCTACATTTGATGGAATTTCCCCCTAGATAACCATACTTCCCACCATACTTCAACATGTAGTAACTATTGTTTATGATCACCTTCCACTTAACACATGATAGAGTCTTGACCTTAACAGATTAGCTTTTATCTAAATAAATAAATTTCACTGCATTACTAAGCCTGTTTAATTCTGCTGAAATTTTTTCATAGTAAGATATTCTTGAAGGAAACAGTATGTTGACTTACATTATGGTGCATGCTTCTTCCGCTCTGTACTCTAGAATGCTTTCCTGTATTGTAGCAGCACCTTAGAATATCCCCATACATACAATTTAAACCCAAACCATGTTTGCCGATGATGATGCTCATGTGCTTGGATGTTGCAGCAATGTCAAATTGCTGTAAGTTTCTAAACATTTACTGTCAATTTCTATACTTTTCACAAACCAGCATTAGATCACACTTTGAGAAGCTCTGCTGTAAAAGACAAAAGACCTGATTGCTTCAACAAAAACAGAAAATTGCAAGGGGAAAAATGAGATGGAGAAGAAACGTAGAGATTAAGATTTAAGAGATTTATCACCCAATGACTATGACCTTTGGATCCCAATTAAAAAAACTTAAAATGTTATGTGACAATTAAAAAAATGTAAGTAAGTACTAAATATTTTAGGATACTTTTTGAATGTGTGGTAAAGATATTGTGGTTATGTTTTTTTAGAAGAGTGCATTTAGAGATACAAACTAAAATGCTGTAGTTGAGGATGAAATGACATGCTGTCTGGGATTTGCCACAAAGTAACTTGGGAGGGATTGGCATGTAAAGTCCATTATATAATACTATTCTTGCCTTTTTTCTTTTCTTTTTTTTTTTTTTTTTTTTTGAGACATTGTCTCACTCTGTCAGCACAACCACAGCTCACGTTTGTAACCTCTACCTTCTGGGCTCAAGCCATCCTCCTGCCTCAGCCTCATGAGTAGCTGGGACTGCAGGAGCATGCCATTATGCCCAACTAATTTTTCTTCTTTTTGTAGAGACAGTCTTGCTTTGTTACCCAGGCTGGTCAAGCAATCCTCCTACCTCGGCATCCCCAAGTGCTGGGATTACAGGCATGAGCCATCTTGCTACTTCTATATGTGTTTAAAATTTTTATTATAAAATATAAAACATATTATAATTATATAATAATTCAGATTTTTGTGGTCTAGGCAGCCGCTCAGAGCATATTAAGTTCCTTTGCAAACCAACATCTAACCACAAGCACTTGTCCATTTTGTTGTGGCATTACTGGACTCATTTAGCATCTGAATTGAACATGGATTTGGGTTGAAGAAGAATCACTGGCAATTAGTATCTGAAACATACCAGTATCAATGCTCTAAAAACCTTGTGGGGTGTGTGGGTGGGGTTCCTGCAGAAATAATGTAAAGTAATACCTTCACAAGTATGTCACTGTACACTCTGCAATGGGGCTTTCCTTGCTAGGTCAGCCTCATGCTCATTTTAATTATTATTTTAATTATAATTGCAAAAGTAATATACCATAAATTGTATTGTAAAATCAAATTCAAATACAATAGATAAAGCAAAATTCCCCTAGGCCTCATCTTATCTTGATTCTCTCCTTATAGGAAACCATGTTCCCAGTTCGGTGTCATCCTTTCTACACTATTTCTGTACACACACACAGTAGCACAAATCACAAACTCTCTCATCTGTGCATGTATATTTTCGTACAAGTATCGTAACTACTACTTGCAATTGCTTTAAAAAAAAACTGCTATGACTGGGCATGGTGGCTTACACCTGCAATCCCAGGACCCCTCGGGAGGTTTACAAAAAACCAAAGGTTTTTTCCTATTGCTTATTTCTGTTACAAATAATGTTGTAATGAACAGATGTCTCTTTGTACCCCTCATAATCACTTCCAGATGAGTACATGAAGGTAAAAGAAGGCAACTGTCTTGCCCAGGCTTGCAATATGTCCTAGAGCAGAACAGAAAGGACCCACCAGCCTGCTGGCTTGCTTTGCAAAGTTCTCCCTAGATAATATGAAGAGCATTCAGTTTGCTCTTCCAACATCTCAATGTGCTTATGACAGCGCACGCGCAGACACACACACACATTCAAGTTACCCTGACAGGGAAGCCTTTGGAGACAATGCCTACTGAATCAGCTACATTCCTTAACAAACTCCCAAACATGTCTTCGACATACACAGGGCCACAGAGGACAGTCACGCTGCATTTCACTGAGAGCATGTTCCACCACTCTGAGCCTGAAAGCAATGCAGAGTTGAGTTCATGGCAGCACACACTTTCTTCTCAATAGTGCCTCAGGTGGTGAGGATGTAGCTTTCATGCCGCTTTACTGAGAAAGGGCAGCTGGGAAAACAAAGGCGCAGAGGCAGCCCGCCTGGAAACCAGATGAAACCCAGAAAAGACATGTGTGGACCCAGCAAGAGTGCTAATGTTTATTGAGCTTTTTGCTGTGGGCCACACATTGTGGTAAGGTTTTTTTTCTCTCTCTCTTTCTGAAACAGTCTCGCTACTTCGCTCAGGCTGGAGTGCATTGGTGCGATCTCGGCTTAGTGCAACCTCCGTTTTCCAGGTTCAAGGGATTATCATGCCTCAGCCTCCCAAGTAACTGGGATTACAGGCATGTGCCACCATTCCCGGCTAATTTTGGTATTTTAGTAGAGATGGTGTTTCCACCATGTTGGTGAGGCTGGTCTCAAACTCCTGGCCTCAAGCAATCCACCTGCCTTGGCCTCCCAAAGTGCTGTGATTACAGACATGAGCCACCACACCTGGCCTGTGATACTCTCTTCATTTAATCCTCTGACAACCCAAGGGATTGGCCCTATTATACCCACATTTCAGATGAGGAAAGTGAACAAGAGACCATGTACTTGGGATTGCACAACTGGTAAGTGTTGGGGTCTGGATGTGAGCTGAGGTGGTCTAATTCTACAGCAACTGCTTGGAACTGTCATGTGACACTGCCTCCCTAGCTTCAAGAAGGAATCAACTTTCCACATTAGGTCAAGGACAGGTCAAGTGCTGTTGTATTCTTTCAGGAGAAACACATTTTGACTTAAGTTTGTCCTGCATAAGGTCAATGGAGCAAAGCCCTGAAGTCCTGGTCACTACTGCCAGGAGTTCTCTGTAGAGCTGCCCACTCAATGGAGAAGTTGTCTTGTGTATGGCCAGGTACAGGGCAAGAATTCAGCCAAACAACCATATGTGCATCACGTTCCATATTTATTGGCGAATCCAAAGCACAGTATTTTTGCATTGATCTGTGAGTGTGTGTGCTTGTATTTTAAACTACAGTTTTAGTCTGTTGTTTCAGCTGTCAAAATGCAATGGCTGAGGAAACATGCAGACTATGGTAGTAGAGTTTCAAACCAAATATATATTTTTCCCCCCAGGATGGCTAATTCTTGGAAATTTTATCCCATTTTATACTGCAGGCCTTTGAGGTTTACCACTTGCAAACATTTAATGAAGGTCAAAGTTTGATATCATCTAGGGGCACACTTCTCCCCCTCTCCTAAGTCAGGATGCACTTACATTAAGTTAATCAAAAGGAAGTTTTAAATATACATTCCATTTTTAATGAACTTGATTAAAGTGGCAAATGAGAACTTTACTCTTGTTTAAGACTTTGAATGCCTTTTTTTCCCCCCAAAGAAGCTATGTGCTCTACTTAAGCTGAGCTGAGAGTCCAAAGAGAGTCCTGCTAATGGTTTGCCAGGTTTCTGCAGAGGTTTCCATTTCCATCTGCCAAGTGTGCAGCACTGCCTTGCAAATTCAGGTGGGAGGGTGGGGATGAGGAGCCTTTCTCAGACATTAGCTCCCTAGGTCCAAAACATTTCTGGCAGGTTAAGATGGAATAGCTGCCTCTCTCCCTGAACTCCACAGGCCATCATATTACTGAGTTCTATATTTTCTGCACAACAATCAACACCACTTGAACTTACCTGGTTGACTAATTTACTTCTGTGCATCTTGTCTCCCCTCACCCTCATCCCCATGAGAGCTCCAAGAGGGCAGGAACCCTGTTAATGCTCACCACTGAACCCCTGCACCTGGAAAGTCCCTGGGCACAGCAGCACTTATAAATATTTGTTGCATGAACAGATGGATGAATGGATGAGTAGATAGGAGAGGTCTAATCAAGAAAGTAAAAACAGAATCTGAAGACAGTTCTAAATGATCACCCTATCCACAAAAAAAAATCACTTTATGAACTCACTGGCCAGGAGAAAGCCAAAAATCTTAATTCCTTCCCACACTTAGGAGGGGAGGCACAAGCTTTTTTTTCTTTTCCCATGCCACTTTTATGTTCAGAAAATAACTTTTTCATAAGATGGGTTTTCTTTATTCTTTTCTTCTTTTTTGGCAGAGGCAACAACCGCAGGGTAATTATAGGCTTTACACCTAATAGGATCATAAATTAATTGAAAAGCTTTATACTTCCCACAACTCATCTCTCCTTTGACTATCAGCAAGAATCTGTTAGGGTGGCAACATGGTATCAACTGAGTAGTTAGAGACAAATGCAGCAAGTCAGCCATCAAATTGTCTAATTGGCTTTGAAAATTAAACTCTTTTACAGCAGAGCTAAATTTAGCTGCATTATTAATATTGTGACTTGGCAGAGAAAAAAATAACTTATCCCATCATCTGGGGAATTAGTTTGTAATTTAACACAATGCAATAGGCAGTTAGAAAACAATATCCCAATATTCTGTGTGTGTAGACGTATTCTCAAGTCACCTTGGGAAGACAGCCTCAAAACATACAGGTATATACTGGATTTCAGAAAATCACATCTTTTTATTGGACCAGGTACCGCCAGGTCACTGAAAGATGCCAACTCAAAGAAAGCAGCTTCCCCAATTGGCTCCCACTCAGTCACTGTAAGTGGAAGACAGGCAGAGAGGGTTGCTCTCAGGGGAGTACACTGGTCATGGAGAAGCATTCATTCACACACACACACACACACACACACACACACACACACACACTCATTTTCTCTCTCTCTCTCTCTCTCATTCGTGATGGCTGGAGGCAAAGGAGCACCTGTAAAGATCAGGAGTACCTTCAGTAAGCAGAGAGCAGCATTCTGCTTCTCAACTGGGTATCTGCTAGCCAGCAACCTTGCTCTCTTGCTCCCATTTACTGGGGCAGAGGAAAAAAGTACTGAAGATGGTCCAGAGAAGACTACAGAGTGAAGAGGGTACCAGGTCAAATACCAGACTCCTGAGAGATGGAAATGGCTCCTATGGTGTGACTATCAGGAGGCAGAGGACACTGTGGGGCATCCAAGGGCTACTTATCTCATTAGGTTGCTGCAAGTTGTCAAATAGGATAATACCCAACTCCATGGTTACACTCATTATTATTTTAAAGCCCAGCTTCTATACGACTACATGACCTTGGACAAGTCCCTAACCTCTCCGGGCCTCAGTCTATTAAAGTGAAGATCACAGTTAGTATTTACGTATGTCAAGAGCCTAGTATCTTCACTAGCCTGGGCAACATGGCAAAATACCGTCTCCATAAAAAATACAAAAAATCGGCCAGGAGCAGTGGCTCACGCCTGTCATCCCACCACTTTGGGAGGCCGAGGGAGGTGGATCACGAGGTCAGGAGTTCAAGAACAGCCTGACCAACATGGTGAAACCCCGTCTCTACTAAAAATTAAAAAAAAATTAGCCAAATATGGCAGCACGTGCCTGTAAGCCCAGCTACTCAGGAGGCTGAGGCAGGAGAATCGCTTGAACCTGGGAGGCGGAGGTTGCAGTGAGCCAAGATCACGCCACTGGCTCCAGCCTGGGCAACAGAGCGAGACTCCATCTCAAAAAAAAAAAAAAATACAAAAAATCAGCTGGACATGGTGGCACATGGCTGTGATCCCAGCTACTCAGGAGGCTGAGGTGGGAAGATGGCTTGAGCCCGGGAGGCAAAGGTTGAAGTGAGCCAAGATCGTGCCATTGCACTCCAACTTCGGTGACAGAGTGAGATCTCATCTCAAAAAAAAAAGAAAAAAAAATCAATTTACTATCTTGTAAGCTTTCAATACGTTCTTTCATTCATTGAATGATCTTTGAGCAGCAGGGAAGTGTCAGGCATGTAATGGCAAAACAGATAAGCTCCCTGCCCTCATGGAGCTTAAATTCTAGTGGGGAAGGCAGACAATGAACAAGGAACTCTAATTGTGATATGCGTTATCAAGGAAAGTGTAGTGTGCTCTGGTGACATATATCAGAGGGAATAAACCTAGCCAGGGAAATTTGGGAAGTGCCCTTTAAGAAAGGGGAATTTCAGCTGATAGATGAATTAGAATGAGCCAGATGAAAAAGCACTCCAGATGGAATAAACAGCACGTACAAAGCCCAGAGTTCAGAATTAATGTAACATATTAGAAAAGTTAGGAGAGGTCCAGTATAAACAGACGACAGAAAGCAAAAGAGGGAGGTGATGGTTAATAATGTCAATTTGGTTGGGCCACAGGGTGCCCTGATATTTGGTTAAACATGATTCTGGGTATTTCTGTGAGAGTGTTTTTGGATGACATTAATATTTAAATTGATAGACCGAATAAAGCAGATTGGTTCCATATGTGTGTGGGCCTCATCCATTCAGTTAAGGGCCTAAACAGAACAAAAAGACCAGCCTCTCCCAAGCAAGAGATAATTTACCAGCAGACTGACTTCAGACTTCATCCGCAACATTGGCTCTTCCTCGTTGGTTCTACAACAGACTGTCTTGAACCGCAGCATCAGCTCTCTTAGGTCTCCAGCCTGCTGGCCTTAGAACTCAAACCGCACCATTGACTCTTCTGGGTTTCCAGCATGCCAACCCACCCTACAGATTTTGGATTCACCAGTCTCCATATGGCATGAGCCAATTCTTTCTACTAAATCTTTTTCTCTATATACACACAACCTATTGGCCTTTTTTGTAGGAGAATCCTAATACAGGGAGTGAGGAGAGACAAGGTGGTAGTGTGGGCCACCCAAAGGTCCGATGATACTGGCAGGTAAGTCATGGGATATAAGATCAAAGAAGGGATACAGGGCAATAGTGAACCCCAGGAGGGCATTTTGGAGGAAGGTCCAAGAGACCGGATCTCCAATTTTTTAAATGGTCTGCCACAGTGTGGCATGAAGACTGGAGGGATGGGGCAATGACGGAGCCAGGAGATATTGCTGTGAGATGTTGCTGCAAGCAGCATGTGCAGATGTCAAAGGCTTGCACTAGGGGGAGAATGCAGAGAAGCAGAAATGGAAGAATCCATAAAATATCAAGATGCTTCGATCCACATGGTTGGATATTAATGCCTTTTCTCTTAGAAATGGGAGATAAAACATTCTATAAACTTCCTTCAAGGAAAGTACTTGCTAGTAACAGGGATTCATTGGTTCTCTCCATTTGAGCATATTTATTTGCCCATATCTTCCATTCTATTGTTTCCGCTACCTCCTTTCCTCATCCTAACAGCGACATAACTGTGAAAACAGGAGCTAAGAGAAAGAACAGATCCGCACTTTGGCTCGATTCCCAGACAGGAGCGCACCTTCCGCGCACTGGCAGGCGGATGCATGCTCACAGGCCCCGAGCCACCTCTCCTTCCCATAGACACACAGCTCTCTGAGGTGTGCAGCCACAATGATTTATCATGTATCCTTTACTTACAACTCCTAAGGCACACTGGGGATAATAATGCCTGCCTCGGTATCTCATGATTACACTTTATGCGTATGTGTCATGAAAACAAACCCAACAGACTTTGTAACTCCTGACATTCCAATGTTGAATTTAATAAATAGATCTGTTCCTTGAGGTAGTATCCATGACTTTCAAGTGGTCGGCCATTGAGCAGCATGAAGACTAGAGGACTGAGACAATGGCAGAGCCGGGAGATACCAATGTAGCTGTTACTGGAACCTCTCCACCCAGCAAGTACAACTTTCAGAATCCAGTTCTCCATTTCTCCCGGAACATTTTCAAAGCAAGCCCTCCTGGCTTTTACCACATTCTTTATTCCTCCAACCAGAGCCCTTCCTGCTGGCCCTGACTGGCCCCAAGATAAAGCACTGTGAGTGGCCAGCCTGGTGCTGTCTGGGCACTGCACAAAATGAACACCATTGATGGTCTGTCTCCCTCTCCCTGAAAGCAAACTGTGCTACTCAACTCCCAGTTGCCACTGAAACAGTGTTTTTACTCACTTAAGGTCACCACAGAATGAGGCCAAACAAAAAACAGTGAACTACTCCCCCTTCCCTAATCAATAAGATTTGGGCATGTCTCATTTTACGGCGCTTCACTCTGTTGTGCTTCACTTTTTTTTTTTTTTAAACAAATTGAAGGTTTGTGGCAACCTTACCTTGAGCAAGTCGTATCAGCACCATTTTTTCCAACGACATGTGCTCACTTCATGTCCATATGTCATACATTTTGCTAATTCTTGCAATATTTCAAACTTTTTTCTTCTGAGACAGGGTCTCACTCTGTTGCCCAGGCTGGAGTGTAGTGGCACAGTCACAGCTCACTGCAGCCTCAACCTCCTGGGCTCAAGCAATCCTCCCAAGTAAGCCTCTCAAGTTGCTGGGACAACAAATGTACACAACCGTGCCCAACTAATTTTTGTATCTTTTTGTATAGGCAGGGTTTCACCACATTGCCCAGGCTGGTCTCGACCTCCTGGGCTCAAGTGATCCACCCACCTCGGCCTCCCCAAGTGCTAGGATTACAGACGTGAACCACCATGCCCAGCCCTCAAACTGTTTTGTTATTATATTTGTTATGGCGCTCTGTGATCAGTGATCTTTTATGTTACTACTGTAATTGTTTTGGGGTACCCTGAACCACACCACATAAAATGGCAAACTTAATTGGTAAATGTTATGTGTACTCTGACTCCTCCACCAACCCCTGGTTCCCCTTCTCTCTCCCTCTCCTTGGGCCTCCCTATTTGCTGAGACACAACAAAATCAAAACTAGGCCAAGTGATAACCATACAATGGCCTCTAAGTGAAAGGACAAGTTTCATGTCTCTCACTTTAAATCAAAAGCTAGAAATGATTATACTTAATGAAGGCATGTCAAAGCTAAGAAAGGCCAAAAGCTAGGCCACTAACACCAGTTAGCGAAGTTGTGAATGCAAAGGAAAAGTTCTTAAAGGAAACGAAAAGTGCTGCTCCAGTGAACACAGGCATAATAAAGTGAAACAGCCTTATTGCTGATATGGAGAAAGTTTGGTCTGGATAGAAGATCAACCAGACACAACATTCCCTTGAACCAAACCTAATCCAGAGCACAGCCCTAACTCTCTTCAGTTTTACAAAGGCTGAGAGGTGAGGAAGCTGCAGAAGAAAAGTCTAAAGCTAGCAGAGGTTGGTTCATGAGGTTTAAGGAAAGGAATCATCTTTCATAACTAAAAGTGTGAGGTGAAGCAGCAAGTGCTGATGTAGAAGTTACAGTAAGTTATCTAAGAAGAGAAAATCTAGCTAAGATAATTGGTGACAGTGGCTACACTAAACAACAGATTTTTCAATGTACATGAATCAGCCTTCTACTGGAAGAAGATTCCATCTAAGACTTTCATAGCTAGAGGGAAGTCAACACCTGGCTTCAAAGCTTCAAAGGACAGGGTGACTCTCTTGTTAGGGGCTAATGCAGCTGGTGACTTTAAATGAAGTGAATGCTGATGTGCCAATCCCAGGGCCCTTTCAAATTATGCTAATTCTACTCTGCCTGTACTCTATAAATGGAACAACAAAGGCCAGATGACAGCACATCTGTTTACATCATGGCTTACTGAATAAGTCCATGCTTATTGAGACCTACTGCTCAGATAACAAGATTCCCTTCCAAATATTACTGCTCACGGATGATACACCTGGTCACCCAAGAGCTCTGATGGAGATGTACAAAAAGATTACTGTTGTTTTCATGCCTACTAAACAAAACATCCATCCTTCAGCCCATGGATCAAGGATTTAATTTCTATTTTCAAGTCTTAATACATTTTGTAAGGCCAAAGCTACCACAGTAAGTGACTGCTCTGATGGATCTGGGGAAAGTAAATGGAAAACCTTCCGGAAAGGCTTCACATTCTAGATGCCATTAGGAACATTCGTGATTCACAGGAAGAGGTCAAAATAACATTAACAAGAGTTTGGAAGAAGTTGATTCTAACCCTCATGGATTACTTTGAGAAGTTCAAGACTTCAGTGGAAGATATAACTTACTTTTTGGTGGAAACAGCAAGAGAACTAGAATTAGAAGTGGAGCCTGAAGATGTGACTGAATTGCTATAATCTCATGATAAAACTTGAATGAATGAGGAGTTCCTTCTTACGGATGAGCAAAGAAAGTGGTTTCTTGAGATGAAATCTACTCCTGGTGAAGATGCTGTGAACACTGTTGAAATGACAACAAAAAATTTAGAATAGTACATAAATGTATTTGACAAGGCAGCAATAGGATTTGAGAAGATTGACTCCAATTTTGAAAGAAGTTCTACTGTGAGTAAAGTGCTATCAAACAGCATCACATGCTACAGAGAAATCTTTTGTGAAAGAAGAGTCAATCAATCTGGCAAACTCACTATCGTCTGACTTTAAGAAACTGTGGCTGGGTGCGATGGGGCTCATGCCTGTAATCCCAGCACTTTGGGGGGCCAAGGCAGGAGGATTGCTTGAGCCCAGAAGTTTAAGATCAGCTTGGGCAACATAGTGAGACCTTGTTACTACCAAACATTTAAAAAATTAGCCAGGCATTGTGGTGTGTGCCTACAGTCCCAGATACTTTGGAGGCTGAGGTGGGAGGAACACTGGAGCCTGGGAGTTTGAGGTTACAGTGAGCTGTGATTGCGCTATTATACTCCCGCCTGAGTGACAGAGCAAGACTCTGTCAAAAAACAAAACAAAACAAAAAAACAAAATTGCCATAGCAACCCAACCTTTAGCAGCCACCACCCTGATTAGTCAGCAGTCATCAACACTGAGGTAAGATCCTCCACCAGCAGAAACCTCCACCAGCAAAAAGATTGCAATTCACTGAAGGCTTAAATGATCATTAGAATTTTTAGCAAAAGTTTGTTTTTCTTTTCTTTTTCTTTTTTTTTTTTTTTTTTTTTTTTTGAGACGGAGTCTCCCTGTCTTGCTCAGTTACCTAGGCTGGAGGACAGTGGAGCCATCTCAGCTTATTGCAACCTATGCCTCCCGGGTTCAAGTGATTCTCCTGCCTCAGCCTCCCAAGTAGCTGGGATTACAGGTACCCAGCAACATGCCCAGCTATTTTTTGTATTTTTAGTAGAGACAGAGTTTCACCATGTTGGCCAGGCTGGTCTCGAATTCCTGTCATCAGGTGATCCACCCTCCTCACCTCCCAAAGTGCTGGGATTACAGGCGTGAGTCACTGCACCTGACTAAAAGTATTTTTAAATTATGGTATATACACTGTCCTTTTAGACATAATCCTTTTGCATACTTACTGGACTACAGTATAATATAAACATAACTTTCATATACACTGGGAAACCAAAAATGCCTGTGACTACTTCTATTGCAATATTTGCTTAATGCCGTGGTCTGAAACTGAACCTGCTCTATTTCCAACATATACCTATGCCTGTGATTGTTAATTTCATGTGTGAACTCAACTGGGGTAAGGGATGCCCAGATATCTGGTTAAACATTATGTATGGGTATGTGTGCAAGGATGTTTCTGGAAGATACTAGCATTTGAATTGCTGGACTTAATAAAGCAGATTGCCCTCCCCAATGTAGGTGAGCATCATCCAACCTGCTGAGGGCCTGAATAAAACAAAAAGGCCAAGGTGGGAGAGTCACTTGAAGGCTGAAGTCTCTGCCTGACAGTTGAGCTGGGAATTTTCTCCTGCCCTTGGCTCTTCTGGTTTTCAGGCCTTCAGACTTGGATTGGAGCCTACGCCATAGGCTCCCTGCCCCTCAGGCCTTCAGATCTATACCACTGGTTTTCCTGGGTCTCCAGCATACAGATGGCAGATCATGGGACTTCTCAGTTTCCATAACTGTGTGAGCCACTACCTTAAAATAAATTTCTGTCTGTATGTCCTCTTGATTCTGTTTCTCGGAGAACCCTGACTAATACCATAGTTTAGGAGCCCTCACCCCATACCCATCAGGAAATGGTAAACAGGGCATATGTTTCTTGCAGATCTGAACCACTGTGAAATGGGCAGAATTCCACTAGGTACTCTCTCCAGCTCAGGCCAGGGCTGCAATTTGAGAAGACACATTTTAGAGCCTGCCAACAGGACTACTGTGGGCTGACAGCTGCTGTTACTCTTTCTTGAGAGTTCATAGATGAAAAGGTATAGGAGCAAGGCTGAAGGAGGGAATGGAAGGCTCAAACTGCCACCTCTTTGGTTCATGAATGTTCAACTTTTGTGGCTCCCTGGATGTCAGCACCAGAGATTATGGGGAAACTGGATGGGGTAGACCATTAGACCACTCTGGAGCATTAAAAGCCCCTGGCAACCAGAGTGTGTGTACACACATAATTGGTACCTCACAAACAAGCCAGCAGCTCATGGCAGTGTGATCTGAGAGACTAAAATAGATGTCCCTTTATCGACTAAGACGAACACTAAGGTTAAGGAAACAAAAGTTACCCATGGGCAGAGGGTAGAGGGTTCAGGGCTTGGCGGGCACAGCCCCGAATTCCTAAATTCCTACAGCTACAAGAAAAACCACACTCTTGCCAAACTCCCTAAAAATAGGAGCTGTCAGACAAATTGTCTTCCTAAATCTGATTTACAACCCAGACCACTACAACTCCAATTGGACAGAGAATGGGACTTACATACATTCTTTCCTGATAAGCAACTGCAGACCTCAAGCCAGTTTTGACCAGCTTACAAAGACTGTGTTTTGTGGCCTATAGTTCACCTTTAGACAGAGAGCCAAATTCCACTTTGCTTTAATGTTAAAATCCCACCCCAAAGTGAACATGAGATATATGTTACATGTTTACTCATTGTTCATGTGCAGGACTCCCCTCATAACTATGTATAGCTTTTCCCCTAAACCTGCTGAATATGTATGACTCTATTCTATGATACAGGCCCAGTGAGGCATAAAACCCAACCTGCCCCTTCCCTATGCAAAAAGAGAACACCTTTGGTCCATGCCAGAGGCTATCTCTTCCTGGTTTGCCTACTGATGTATTGCCAATAATCCTTTCTACTCATTAGCCATCCTGGTGGTCCTTTGGACAACAGCAGCAAGAGGATGCCACAGGATATATTTAAAATGCACAAAAACAACAGCGTGGAAATGCTGGATTCCCAGTGAGAAACAGGCAGGAGAAAGTGCAACTTGCTGCCATCTGAGAGCTCTCAAGGCCAGGGGTGCAGGTCTTTAGGGAGGGAGCCTGGGCACAGGCACTCTTTTTTTTTTTTTTTTTGAGATAGGATCTTGCTATGTCGCCCAGGCTGGAGTGCAACAGCACAATCTCAACTCACTGCAACCTCCTCCTCCCAGGTTCAAGTGATTCTCCTGCCTCAGCCTCCCTAGTAGCTCGGACTAGAGGTGTGTGCCACCAGGCCCAGCTAATTTTTGTGTTTTTAGTAGAGACAGGGTTTCATCATATTGGGCAGGTTGGTCTTGAACTACTGACCTCAAGTGATCCATCAGCCTCAGCTCCCAAAATGCTGGTATTACAGGCATGAACCACCACACCCAGCCTAATTTTCTTAAAGCAGAGCAGATTCAACATCACTAATTATCAAGGAAATGCAAATTAAAACCATAATCAGATACCACCTTACTCCTGCAAGAATGGCCATAATTTAAAAATTAAAAAAAAAAAATAGATGTTGGCATGGATGTGAATAGGGAACACTTTTACACTACTGGTGGAAAGTAAACTAGTACAACCACTATGGAAAACAGTGTGGAGATTCCTTCAAGAAATAAAAGTTGAACTACTATTTGATCCAGCAATCCCATTACTGGGTATCTACCCAAAGAAAAAGAAGTCATTATATGAAAAAGACACTTGCATATGCATGTTTATAGCCCCACAACTCGCAACTGCAAAAATATGAAACCAGCCTAAATGCCCATCAATCAACATGTGGCTAAAAAAAATGTGGTATATACACCACATTATTTCATTCCTTTTTATGGCTGAATACTACTTGGACATAAAATACTGAATACAACTCCAGCCCAGTTGCTGCGAATGTCGTTATTTTGTTCCCTTTTATGGCTGAGTAAGAAACGAAATAATGGCATTCTCAGCAGTCTGGATGGTGTAGGAGACCATTATTCTAAGCAAAGTAACTCAGGATTGGAAAAGCAAATATCGTATGTTCTCACTTGTAAGTGGGAGCTAAGGACACGAAGACATAAGAATAATATAGTGGACTTTGGGGACTCAGGGGAAGGTGGGAGGGGGGTGAGGGATAAAGGACTACACACTGGGTACAGTGTATACTGCTTGGGTGACGGGTGCATCAAAATTTCAGGGATCACCAAAGAACTTATCCATGTAACCAAACACCACCTGTTCCCAAAAAGCTACTGAAAAAAAATAAAAAGAAAATTATCAAGAGGAAAAACAAACAAAACAGCAGAAAGAGCTCCTGTGGGTGCAAAAGCTGAGCTGATGGCCCTTTCCTTTCCTGCCAAAGGTTATCATCCTACTCCTGCTAGTCTGGCTCTCCTGGCCTAGGGTGAAAACCATATAAGAACTGACATCATTCACCTTTTAGCCAATTGCATATGAGTTCAATTTATTATAGGAACATGTTTGGTAGCCAAACGGACTGCATCATTATCAGATGGAGGCAGAGAATTTGCTGTTAGGATTATTCTTTGATACTAGATTACAAATGCTGACAAAAAAGATTTATTCATGCTATAAACTCCTTGAGGGTAGTGACTTCAACATATACATTTCTGCAGGCTTAGCACCTAACACAGTAGTGTCCTAAGGGACTGTGAATAAATGAATGTTCCACCTACTAAAGAAATGAGCACAGAGAAGTATGAGGCTGGCAGCCTGGGTATGCCACAGATTCTACCATAGCAAACGTTTCTCAGCATCACTATGGGTACTTGGGGCATAGAACCAAGGAAATACTGGACTTATGGTAAAAACTGAATTCTGGATCCAGAAGGGCACTAAATAAAGCTCTTCTCTAGGCAGGAGAAGAACGAGTTATCAATAGGATAAACACATAAAGAACTGCCCTCTTCTAGCCACAGGTCAGTACCTCTGAGCTATTCTTAGAAAAAGTTCACTGCTCCCAATAAAAGAACCAGAAGGTCCTCCAACTATAAACTAGACCAATAACAGAAAAAGCCTTCTTCAATATCTTATCTTTAGTTCTTTTGCATGACAGTCTTTGAAGGCAAATTCTCTCCTTTCATTCACTAAGAGCTGGCCCTCCATCCCTGGCCTTTCCCATGAAGGTAGCCACTTACCAATG